>NC_000016.10:10010000-11213783 GCF_000001405.40 Homo sapiens | reverse complement strand
GAAGGCACCAAAGAGAGAAAGGGAGACTCCACCTGTGCACCCAGCACCCCTACCCCTCATCTCTCCCCATGCAGTATGGTGGGAGGGCAGCCCTGACTGCAGGGAAATCCACGCCTGCGCCCCTTCCCCCACCACCTGGCCTGATGGGCAAGTGCAGAGCAGGAGGCAGCTCACACTCCAGAAGGAAGAGGCGCACCCTCTCCCAGGGCCCCGGGTGTGTGCTGGGTGCCACACAGCCCTGCGTTCCAGCCATCCCTGAAGGACCCACACTAGGACAGGGCAGGACAGGGACCCACCAACCATGAGGCAGCCCCTGGAGGAGTGGGAGGGTCAAGGGGTACAGGAGGAGCTGGGGATCCCTGAGGTTGGGGGCTGCCCTGGGTGCTTGGCTCTCTCCTCCTGCTGTGCCAGAAAGGGTGCTTGGGTGACAGGCACCCACATGCCTCCAGATTACAGGGTACCAGGGCATGGCAGCAGGGTGGGCCTGGGGAATTCCCACATGGCAAACCTGTGCATCAGCCTGGTAAGGCAGAAGGGGTGTCAGGAAGCCAGGCTGTGGCTCCATGTCACTGCATGACCTCGGCAAGTCGCTTCTGCCCCTGTGCCCGGCTCTCCCGAGCTGTCGAGTGAGGCGTGGCCTCTGGGCCCCGAGGGGTTTACGGGTTGCCTGGGAGCAAGACAGAGATGAAAGGACAGGTTGGCAAGCCTGCCTGACTCTGAGGATGACTGGAGATGGTGCCCCTTTGGGGCAAGTCCCTGCGGAGGCACCTCCTGTCCTGGCCAGGGATGTGGGGGTCCCCTGCTCATGACTCACGCTTTCTGGGACTGACATTGTCCCCTGGGAGGCGCTTGCCAGGAAGGGCCTGATCTGGCCCTTTCTGCCCTGTGCAGATGTCTCAGCCTTAGCTGCGCCTGGCCCAGGCCAGGAAAATGCTGGCCGGCTCCGCCCCACGGCAGGGAGGGGGACGGCGCTGAGATGTTGGGGGCCTTTCTTCTGGACAGTGGACTGCATCTGTGCTCAGCTTGGTCGCTGCCCTGATGATTTTTGGCAACACGAAACTGATATAACCACTTGTCCTCAAGGAAACTGCACCCTGAAGCCATCCCTCGATCTGAGTCAGGGATCCCTGTCTGATGCGTCCCGTCTCGGGACTGGCCACCCTTGCACAAGTCAAAACCTTGTGCAAACGCCTTTCCTTCTTCTTCTCTCAGCCCCCAAATCTGAAGTCACCGTCCTTAGTGCATGTTCCCTAGAAGCTGACCCTAGACAGGGGTTTGGTGACCATGACATGGTGCTGGGTCACCCCGTAGGAGTCCTGATCAGGGGCAAGGGAGCTGGAATTTTATGCCCACCGCATGTGATTGGTTAAGGGATCCCCCCCTTCTGCCCTCTGGGCAGTGCGTGAATTCCTGGGAGCTTCTGCCTCTCCAGGGGTTGCAGGCAAAGCTGGTTCCAGCAGCAAAAGATGGCGCCTGACTAGAAAATGTAGGTAGCTGCTGCTGGCAGAGAAAGTTCCCTGGGGGGAGGGGTAAAGGGATGGGGGCTAGGGGAGGAATCTGGGAGGAGTTTGGGCAGCGCCTGCGACAGCAGCTGAATGCTCTCCATTTGACCTCTATTTCTGGAAAACATTTGCTTCTCTCCCTTCCCACAGCCGCCCTTATCTGTCACCAGGACACCCAGGAGCTTCCCAACTAAACTCCCTGCAGCTCCATTAACTACTACCTACCCAGGAGCAGAGGGACTTTCTAATGCCTATCTGAGCCAATTTTCTAGATCAAGCCGATTTTCTAAATGCCAATCTAGTCACTCTAACCACCTGCCCTCCGGTGGGCTCCCCCAGCCCTTAGTGGTCACAGACTCAGCCGCCCCCAGGCACAGGGAGGTGCCATGAATGAATGAAACCAGGGTGGCCACTGCAAGCCCATAGCCCTCCCCAGATACCTGTTTGATGGAGACAGCAGTTGAGAAATGCACCTCACCTCTGAGAAGATGACATCATAAGTGTGATGATGGATTGGTGTGGTGCAGCGGTAGGGGAGTGGAGGGTACAGGTCCCGTTCAAAGGAGGCAGCCTCTGCTCGGCTCCAGCAGATGGTTCTTGCAGGGCTGAGGGACAGCATGTGCGAAGGTCCTGGGGCAGGAGCGGGGCACAACCATGGGAGATGCAAAGGAAGGCCAGTGGGGCTGGAACACTGGGGAGGGGCTGGGAGATGGGGGTAAAGGAGGGGTGAGGGGCCTAGACCCTGCACTGACAGCAAGCCAGGTGGGCTGGGGGGCAGAGCAGTGTGATTCACGCCAGAGGAGATCAGGAGATCACCTGTGGTGTGGGCAGAGTTGGGATCATCGAGGAGGGGCCAGGAGACCAGATGGGAGGTTTCTGCCATGGATGGTCCAGGTGGGAGATGAGGAGGTGTGGACCCGGGCGGTGGCCTCAGGGAGGAGGGGATGAACAGGCTCAGGATGTGGTGAGGAGGCCTTGCTGAAGGGCCAAGTGTGGAGCCGGGAATGGCTGTGGCTGCATGTCAGTGGACTCGAAGGCTGGAGGCCGAGAGAGGGAGCCATCTACTCCAGAGTGCATCTCACTGCTGCTTCCAGGAGCCCTCAGGGCACCTGGGCAAAGACTGTCCTGGAGGGTCGTAGAGCCCCTTGGGGAGGGTAGGAAGGGCACCCGGGCTCCCACCCTGTCAGTAAGGTCAGATCAGCCCCACATCAGTTCTGGGGTGCAGGGGGAGGGAGAATAAAGAGGAAAAGGACCCAGGAAGCACTACATGATCCTAGAAGGGGCTGGGCACGGTGGCTCCCGCCTGTAATCCTAACATTTTGAGAGGCTATGGTGGGAGGATCACTTGAACTTCAAGGAGTTCAAGAACAGCCTGGGCAACACAGTGAGACCCCCATCTCTACAAAAAGTTAAAAAAAATTGTTTTAAATAGAAAAGCTCCAAGAAGGGGTGGAATCCCTAAAACATCTCCCACGCTGCACACCCAGGTGCTGGTGCTGGGTTTCCTCACTCACCTGCAAGGTGGTGTGAGGGGGGCTGGAGTCCACCATTGCAGGCTGAGGACTCAAAAGCTTGGAGAGGGAAAGGCCCTGCCCAAGGCCACCCAGCTAGAGGGAGAGGGTGTCATCCCCAGCACAGCCATGACGCCCCCATCTCTGCTTCCTCTTAAAGCCATGCAGAGGCCGCCTGCCCCCGCCACCAGCCCCCTGCCCTCCTGTGTTCAGCAAGCCCTGGCCACAGTCGTGACTTGCCTGAGACTTTCCCTGTCCTGGCCTTGCAGGGTTTGGTTCTGATTCTCAAAGCAAAATGGCCTCCTCTGTTGCTAAAATGTCTTCTCAGAGGATGGCGGCTTCCCAGCGGAGCTGTTGTGGGCACGAGGGGAGGAAGGAATACACAGGGGGTGTACCAAAGAGCTGCTTACCATCTTCCAGGCTCTCTGCTGAAGGCCGTGTGTGTTCCCCATTTTTTTTTTTTGAAACGGAGTCTCCCTCTGTCACCCAGGCTGGAGTGCAGTGGCGCGATCTCTGCTCACTGCAACCTCCGCCTCCTGGGTTCAAGCGATACTCCTGCCTCAGCCTCCTGAGTAGTTGGGATTACAGGTGCCCACCACTACACCTGGCTAAGTTTTGTATTTTTAGTAGAGATGGGGTTTCACCATATTGGCCAGGCTGGTCTTGAACTCCTTACCTTAAGTGATCTACCCACCTCGGCCTCCCAAAGTGCTGGGATTACAGGCATGAGCCACTGCACCCAGCTTGTGTTCCCCATTTACGGAGGAGGAAATGAAACGCGGTGAGGCGAGGAAGCAGACAAAGACAGAGCCCACTGGAGCCCTGGGCCCCTCACTCAGCTTTTAAATTGTGTGATTTGGAGGAAGAAGAAAATCAAGTACCTTGTGCAACTCTGTGTCCCAAGTTTTCATCCCTAAAATGACCCCACAGGACGGTTTCAGGATATTCTTCTGCGCCCGAGGGATGAGGTTCAGGGGACTCTGGGGGATGAGGCTGGTGCTGTTTGGGGTGCAGGGGTGAGCCCCTGAAGCAGCATCCATCCACTGCTTCCTGTGGCCAAGCTCCTTGCCCAGGGAACTCCCGGGCTGGCAGGAGGTGGCCGGGTGCCCTGTGTCTCCTTTCCCCATTTTCCCAGTCCTGTTGACTTTTCCTCCAGACCCCAGCTGTCCCATCTGAGTCCTTCTTTCTGTCTAGACAGAGGTGGCCCTGGCTGTGCCTCTCCTTTGGAACCCATGGCCCGAGGGGCGTGCTTGGCAGTGGTATGGAGTTGACAGACCTGCTTTCTATTCCTTTTTTTTTTTTTTGAGATGAGTCTTGCTCTGTTGCCCAGGCTGGAATGCAGCAGTGATCTTGGCTCACTGCAACCTATGCCTCCCGGGCTCAAGCAATCTTCTTGCCTCAGCCTGAGTAGCTGGGACTATAGGCACCCGCCACCATGCCAAGCTAATTATTGTATTTTTAGTAGAGATGGGGGTTTCACCATGTTGGCCAGGCTGGTCTCAAACTCCTGACCTCAGGAGATCTCCCTGCCTTGGCCTCCCAAATTGTTGGGATTGCAGGCGTGAGCCACTCAGCCCAGCCCTGTTTTCCATTTCTGAATCACATCTGCAAGTCTGGGTCAGCTTAGCTGGGAGGCAAGGGCACAAAGTCGGCCCTGGTGGGGAAACCCTGAGAACGAATCAGGGCTGTCCAAGTGTGAGGCAAGTGACATGTCCAGGCAGTCATGAAATTCCAACCTCACTTCCTCTTTTTTTTTTTTTTTTTTAGAGACAGGCTTTCACTCTGTTGCCCAGGCTAGAGCACAGCAGCACAGCCTTGGCTCACTGCAGCCTCGAACTCCTGGGCTCACGGGATTCACCTGCCTCAGCCTCCTGAGTAGCTGGGACTACAGGTGTATACACCACCACACCCAGCTAATATTTTAGCTTTTGTAGAGACAGGGTCTCATTATGTTGCCCAGGCTGGTCTCAAACTCCTGGGCTCAAGCGATCCTTCCACCTCAGCCTCCCGAAGTACCAGGATTACAGGCATCAGCCACCATGCTCAGCTCAACCCCACTTTCTTACGATCATGGTAGGTCACCCAAGCCTTCAATGGCTCCCCAGGGCCAGTCACACTGAATCCCAGGTCTGCCCTTGCTCATTGCCACTGCCTTGATCTTCTTTCTGGCCTCCAGGACTGTCTGCTGGGACCATTGCCGTAGTCTTTTGCCTGGTCCCCTACTCTCCCAGTCTTGCCCCATCTGGTCTAGCTTTTCCTCCTAGCAGCAGACTGAGCTTTCTGGAACCCAAATCTGACCACGTCCCACCTCCACTTACAGTATGTCACTGGGTCCCACTGCCCGCAGGCTGGCATCCAAGCTTGCTCTCGCCCTGGCATTCAGGATCAGCTGCCTTGGATCTACCCCCTGCCAACAGGTCCCCACCGAACCCCACAATCTGACCCAGATGAGCCATCATCCCCAACACTCCCTGTCGTGTCCCGGAAGCCTGACCTTGACCCTGGTCAGCTGTTTCCCACACCCCGAATGCACTTGCTGTCCTTCCCATCAACATGGGCTCCTCCTTCAAGGTTGGTCCGAGTGGTTGCCCCCAAGAGGGGCCTCCAGGATTCTTAGTGACAAGTGACAGAATCCAAATGTGGCTCATTCAAGCAGAAGAAAAGGTATTAAACAGATATTGGGGTATGCAAAACTCCCAGGAAGGCAGGAGGATCCCATGGAAAAGGGGAGGCAAGACGTCACCCCTATTCCTACCACAGAGCCAGCCTGGTGAAGTCCTCCTTCTTCACAGCTGCCAGGAACTCCATGTGGCCCAGGCTCCCCCCAGAAAGAGTCCTGGACAGGACAAGCCTCCAATTCAAACTCCAGAGCAGGTGCCTCTGATTGGCAGAGTCCAGTCACATGCCATGCCCTAGCTGCAAGGGAGGCAGGGAAAGTGGGTGTGGACTATTTGGGCTCCTCCCATGGAAGGCGGGCTCTACTTGCCCATTGTCCTATGTGGGAGGAGTTTCCTAACTCTGGGGTGGGAGTTCAGAGAGTTAGGGCTCATAGACTAAGGCTCTGTGCCTCCCCAAACCTCAGCATTCCCCATCTCAGGAGAGGCACAGTCGAATATCTGGTCACTCAGTCCTTGACACAGCCCTCTGCTGCACCCCAAGTCCACAGGTTCGACTTCCTGCGTGTGTCTTGCACCCATGGGCATTTCCACATCTCTGCCTCCTTCTCTGTGCAAGCTTCCGTGATGAGTCTCCCATGCAGTGGAGGAGACAGGCACTAAAATCATGAGGACAGCCCAGTGTGATACATGCTGTGATGGGGACATGCAGGGAGCCTAGAGGAGGCACCTGGTCCAGCTGCGGGCATCTGGGAAGGCTTCCTGGAGGTGACACTGCTGAGTGTTGGAGAAAAAATAGGAATTATAGAAACAAAGGTGTTAGGCCTTGTGCAGTGGCTCACAACTGTAATCCTAGCAGTCTGGGAGGCCAAGGTGGGCGGATCACAAGGTCAGGAGTTCGAGACCAACCTGGCCAACATGGCGAGACCCCATCTCTACTAAAAATACAAAAATTAGCTGAGCGTGGTGTACATGCCTGTAATCCCAGCTACTTGGGACGCTGAGGCACAAGAATTGCTTGAACCCAGGAGGCAGAGGCTGCAGTGAGCTGAGATCGTGCCACTGCACTCCAGCCTGGGTGACAGAGTGAGACTCGGTCTCAGAAAAAAAAAATAAAGAGAGAAAGAAAGGTGTTGGAGGCATCCTCTCAGGCTGAGGCAACAGCTTTGCAAAGCCACAGAGGTGCAAGGGGGAATTCCAAGGAGTTCTGGCATCACCAGGGGTAATGTGTGAGGCAGAGTTGTCAAGAGATGAGACCACTCAGGGTGGAAGGTACCCAATCACTGCTGGCTTATGAGGCCTGGCTTTGAGTGAGGGCTAGGTGCCAGGGCAGGGGAGTGGCATGGTCAGATGTGAGCTGAGAACGACCCCTAGGAGAGGCTGACCTGGGGAGCAGCCAGGGGTGTGACAGGACTGTGGGGAGCAGGAGAGGGACTTGACCTGGAAGACTCAGCTGGCTTCTGGGGGCAAGCAGAAGTTTGCCACTGCTGCTGCGGCATGTCTGGGCGAGGCAGAGAGACGTGGGCAAGTCCCTGGCCCAGTCTGGTGTCCTCAGTTTCCTTATGTGTAAAGAGAAGGGTGTGGTGATCTCCAGGCCAGGGGCTGAGAGCCATTGAGGCCACCCACTTCCTGGTCCTGTCCGCCCCACTCCCACGATGTACCAGGAGCTGGGGATGCAGTGACAAGAAGTGGAAGCCACAGCCCAGCTCTCATGGGCAGTGGGTCCGGGAGTGGACATGCAGTGATGACCTAGGTCTGGGCTGAAGAAGCTTTTCCCAGCAGTATGTAGCCCAGCACGCAGGAGAGATGCACCAGGAAAGGGATCTTAGCCGTTGACAACTGCCCTCCCATAGCAGCCCCACTGGGGCCAGGTTTCTTGGGACAATCAATGCCATCATTCCGGGAAGCCTACCCCAGGAGAGGCCCTGATTTCCCCCCATTTGCATAGCCACAGTAACAGGAAACAGGACTCACATTGCCTCATCAGTGCGGGCTGGGCCAGGCCAGGCCAGCTCAGGGCTCAGCTTGGATGTCCCAGCCTGGGCTGCCTCCTGGACAGCTGGCAGAAGCCCCATCTGGGCACTCCATCCGGTGGTGGCCAGACAGGTGGCCCGGGAGCTCCAAGGCTGTCCCCAGGCCCACCTGGATGTCCGACATGAAGGCTCCAAGCAGCTCAGCAGCATCCCCTGGGAAGGAAGGGGGGCTGTCAACAGTGACAGCTGGGTGCTCTATTGGGGTCAAAGTGCGCCGAGTTACTGCCAAGCTATCCTGGTTCCCAGAAATGATGTGTAGAACTTCCTGCCGCAAGGAGTGTGGCTATCTGCTACCTGGCCCCCCTCCATCCTCTCCCAGTTTCCCCCAGCTCCCTTCCAGAAAGCCAGGCTTTCAGCAGGAAGAGTGTTTCTCGGATGCCGTTCACTGGGTGCTGGGTGTGACCCAAGGCTCCACGTGCTGAGCTGGGTCCAGAAACCAGGAGTTTGGGGTGCAGAGAAGGGGCAAGCTTGAGTTTAGCCTCATCAGAGCCAGGTGCCCCTGGAGCCCTGGACCTCATGGGCCTCAGTCCTCCCACATCTGCCATGGGGATACTTGTGACTACCTCTCAGCGTTGACAGGAGGCACTAAAAGGGAAGGCGCTGTAGCAGTGCTGGTGACTGCGATACTAGCGCTCACGTCTGCCTTAGTCCCAGTGCTCCGGCCGCGTTGGGGCAGCTATTGAAAGAGAAGCCAGATTTCAACATTATATGAAGAGACAATGTGGTGGAAGTTTAGCCCTGTCCAAGATACCCTGTGGACACAGCCTGACCTGGGTTCGGATCTTGACTGTGCCACTTGCTGGCCGTATGACCCAGGGTGAGCTCCTCAGCTTCCCTGAAGCTCAGTTTCTGCATCTGTAGAATGGGAATGAATAGCGATGTCCATCCGTTAGGGCTATGGTAAGGAGTCGATGAGACACCACATGAAAGGGACCCGATAAAAGGGAAGGTGTGGATGACGGGGTCACGAGCCCACTGAGAGGATGTAAAGCTCAACCCTATAGCGGCTCCTGTGGCAGAGGCTGGGGTTATGGAAATAAGCCCCCGTGGCCGTGTTAAATCAACCCCCCAGAGAAGTCAGAGGCAGTGAGGAGGCAGGAAGCACTCAGTCCTAGACTAGGGATCCAGAAGACTAAGGAAGGCAAATGCCTGGCCAGTGACATCTGAGGAGGCTTCCTGGAGGAGGGGATGTCTGAGCTAGTGTCAAGGATGGACAGGTTTGGCCACCAACGTGAAAGGTCACATCCCAGGAAAGCAGCCAGCTGGGGCAAAGGCAGGGTGACCAATGTTTCTCTGCAGGCGTGGGAAGGACAAGCCACGTGGTTGAGGGATCACCCACTGCCTCCCCCACAGACCCCTGACTCCACCTCTCAGAGCCCTGAGCCTCCAGTCATGGGCACAGCCATTCTCTCTCTCACTCCAGGTCTTCAGACCCCTAGCAATGGGGATGCCCCCTTTCCTGGCATCACAGGAAAAAGTGGTGGCACATACCTGGTGGTATGGACCCTGTCCTTCTCCATGGGCCCCTGCTCTTCCTCCTCAGCATCATCGTTGCCAACATTGTAATTTGTAACTGTTTTCTGGTCATTTTTCTATGCAAATAATTTTTGAATGAACAAAATGGGGTTATGGTTTCCAAACTCTTACAACTTGCTTTTTCCTCTAAGGATACACATACCATGAGCATTTTCCCAGGGAAGCAATACTCCAAATCACCATTTTATTTTATTTATTTTATTTTGAGATGGAGTCTCATTCTGTCGCCCAGGCTGGAGTGCAGTGGTGGCTCACTGCAACCTCTGTCTCCCGGGTTCAAGCGATCCTCCTGCCTCAGCCTCCTCAGTAGCTGGGATTACAGGCATGTACCACCACGCCTGTTTTTTTTTTTTTTTGAGATGGGGTCTTGCTCTGTCGCCCAGGCTGGAGTGCAGTGGTGCAGTCTCAGCTCACTGCAAGCTCTACCTCCCGAGTTCACGCCATTCTCCTGCCTCAGCCTCCCCAGTAGCTGGGACCACAGGTGCCTGCCACCACGCTGGGCTAATTTTTTGTATTTTTAGTAGAGATGGGGTTTCACCGTGTTAGCCAGGATGGTCTCAATCTCCTGACCTTGTGGTCCGCCCACCTCAGCATCCCAAAGTTCTGGGATTACAGGCGTGAGCCACCGCGCCCGGCCTATGCCCGCCTAATTTTTGTGTGTTTAGCAGAGACAGGGTTTCACCATGTTGGCCATGCTGGTCTTGAAATCCTGACCTCAGATGATCTGCCTGCCTTAGCCTCCCAAAGTGCTGGGATTACAGGTGTGAGCCACCTCGCCTGGCCTCCAAATCACTATTTTAATGGCCCCATGGCATAGATGGACTGTCATGAATTTAACCAAGTCTGTAATCTCAGCAAACATTTCTTCAGGAGGGTAAGATGTGTGCAGCCAAGAGTACAAGGGTCCAGAGTCCTTCGGTTTGGTTTCTGACTCCACTTTTTTGTGTTTAAAGAGATGGGGGTCTCACTATGTTGCCCAGGCTGACCTCGAACTCCTGGGCTCAACTGATCCTCCTGCCTTGGCCTCTGGAGTAGGTGACTCTACTTCTTAGAGCTGTGTGACTCTGGACAAGTTACTCAACCTCTCTGTTTTTCCTTGGTTTCCTGAAAGATGAGAAACAGAGGAGCCCCTGCAGATGCCTAGTCATGAGACTCCCTTGAGCTCTTGGGTGTGTGGTGCTTAATGAAGCGCAGCGCCCTGGAGACAGACAGGAGGTGCCACGTGGATGGGGTAAGGGGTATTGTTGCTCTTTGTTGTTGCTATTTGGGCCAGGTATTGATTTTACAGTCTGGAGAGTGAAGGGCTCATGCCAAGTGGCATGAATGTTCAGAGTGACCACGACGGTTCAGTGAGACCTTGGTGCCTCTTCCCCTCCCTGGCCCCTTCCACGGAAAGCATCTGAGTCCCTTGCAGGGGGCAGGTCTCCAAATTCCCAGAAACATCTGGGGCTGGTTGGCCTCACAGGCCAATTACACCAGTGTCCCAGGAGTCTAGAAAGACGTTCTAGAAAGACACTCTCTGGGGAGAAAACCATACTGAAGTCTGCCCAAAATGCCACCATCACCCACCCCCTCCCTCTGGGTTCAGCACTGCCCTCTCCCTGGGTTCCCCTTTGCATGTTAAATTAATGCCCCAGAGAGGCTCTGCAGACGGCCCCAGTGACGGCCACCACTGGAGAGACTCCCTGGATGGATGGACAGATGGATGCAGCCCCAACTCCCCCACTCCCACGGGGCCCCAGCCAGAAGGCAAGAAAGCCCCTACCCAGCCTCTAACTGCTCAAAATCCCCAGCACCAAATTCCCCCAGCCTGGGGATCGCCAGGAGGGAGCCCTGCGTCCCCAGTGTTGGCCCCACCTCCCTTCCCCCAGGGGGCAGGTGCAGCCTAGCTCTGCTCTAGTGTCCCCTGGGCACTTCTGTTCCCAGACCAGGAGCCTCCCTCAGCCCCAAGCCTGGGCACCCCAAGGCTCTCCCAGGCTTGGGTGGCAGCATCCCTGGCTCTCCTTTGCAGGCTGCTCAGCCTCTCTGAGCCGTGATTTTCTGCAAAATAGGAATAATGGGACTATTAGATCGAATGACACATGAGATTGCCATTTTTGTGGGTCAAGATCAGACAGGCAATCAGCAATTTCTTATGGTTTCAGCAGACGGCTGCCTTCGGTAGGGAGCTGAGGACTAAATGAAGAAACAAACGAGCAGCCCTGGGCACAGAATTTGGCCCAACAAACTTTTCATTGTCATTCCTATTACTTATTGTGGTGGATGGGGCTATCCCTCTCCCACTTCAAGGATCAGCAAGCCCTGCCACTCGGACGAGGCTCCCTCTGAGGCCAGGAAGGGGCCAGGGGGCCCTTCCTGAGTCCTGCCCACAGCCCCTGACTCGCCAGGCTGGACACTCCTTGCTGAGTCTTTTAACTGTCATTTCCCCCAAAAAGCCCTTAATCACCCTCTGCCGGGCCAGGGGGAGGAACCGGGAGCTGCAGGAGCTGCAGGCTGGCCTGCAGGAAGATGACTCAGGGGAATCCTTCGATCCCCTTGGCACGATGTGGGGGAGTGATTAAGGGGGGCGTCACAGGTGTGCGCCATGTGTCCGTCACCTGGCCGCTGAACTTTTTCTGAGCTGGAGCTGCTGGAAGCTGACTCAGGGGGTGGGCCTCTCCTGCCCTCCTTCCCCTCCCCAGGGCCAGGTCCCCTCTCTGTGGTGCTGGGAGGCAGGCCCTGAGCATTTCATTCATTGATTCATTTCTTTCATTTGTCCATTCATTGTTATCAGATCGATCAGTGGCTCACTTGTGTGACTCATCTGTGGGTCCGGCCCTTCATTCATTAGTAATAAACTCCATGACCATTCGCCCAGCCTGTCCTCTGGGCCAGCTGCCTTGTCAAGTGGGTTTTCTCATTCAGTCCTCTCAGTGCCCTGGAGGAAGAGCTATTATTACCCCCATTACATGGAGAGGAAAACTGAGGCATGGGAAAACTCAGTAACGCCCTGTGGAGTCCGGATTCAAATCCAGACCTGCTGCTGTCTCTAGAAAAAAAAGTCACCGTCCCCCAAAGCTGTGCCTCCCCTTCTGTGTTCCTGTAGCCACGTGGCCAGGTAAAAGTTACCCAGGCCAGCCTCACCCCACGAGAGCAGGGACCTCAGCTCACCACCTGGGTCCAGCACAGGCTTCCTCCCCTTGACCCTGGGAGAGTCGAGTGTCTCTTTAGGCTAAGTAAGAGCCCCCAAACCTGAGTTCCATCCCCTGTGGAAAGCCAAGCCTTCCCCTGCAGATCTCTAATTTCCAAGGACTCACATCCTCACAGCCTCTCCAGCCCCAGTCTCCCAAATGTACGGAACTGGACCGGATTTCCTATAGTCCCACCTCTGCACATGGGCTCCCTCTGCTCCTCAATCCCGTGGACCCCAGCAGAAATGTCAGTTCTTCCCTGTATCCCTCAAAACAAAACTCATGCTCCCATGAGGCATTTGTGAGAAGCGGTGGTGACTGAGGATTTGGGGGTGTAAACGGGAAGGGGGTTTTGCAGCCACAGAGCTGCGATTTCATATTGACATCAGATCTATAAGCCACTCCAGCACAGACCACCCAGATGGACCTGCTGTGCCTGATGCTCTGTCTGTGGATTCTCCCGTGTGGTGGATTTTTCTGGTGGTTTCTAAGCTTTATTGTGAGCTCATCTTCAGCGGGGAGATTTGCTGCGTGTGCCTGTGCACGTTTGGGCTCCCACACCCCTCAGGACGAGACGTTTCCCAAAAGGGATGCGTTGAGTTTGAGTAATACTCCAGGGATTTCACCAGCTGGGGACCTGCATTCACACTGAATTCCCGGCATGAGATTCCAGCAACCCAGAGTAGAATCAACCCAGACCTCAGTCTCCCCTGCCCTGCCCCACCCCCACACTCCCAGGCTCAGACTTTCAATTTCTTAGACTTCCCGCTATCCAATCTCGGGCTGTTCCTAGGCTGGGCAGAGGGTGATGTACCTTCCCATGGGATGGGGGAAGCCCTTCAGGGTCCTGCCTTCATACTGGGGTTTCTGTTCCTGCTCCCACGAAAGTCATGACCAGGGATCAAGGCCAGTCTGAGTCCCTTTCCCCTTCCCCACCCCACCCTTCCACCTTGAGTTCCATTTTTATTAGTGACCCCTGAATTTGCTTTTCTTTGAGCTTTTTATTTTTCACTTTTTTTATTTTTGAGACAGAGTCTCGCTCTGTCACCCAGGTTGGAGTGCAGTGGCGTGATCTCGGCTCACTGCAATCTCCGCCTCCTAGGCTCAAAGGGATTCTTGTACTTCAGCCTCTCGAGTAGCTGGGATTACAGATGTGCACCACTGTGCCTGGCTAATTTTTTGTATTTTTAGTAGAGATGGGGTTTTGCCATGATGGCCAGGCTGGTTTTGAACTCCTGACCTCAGGTGATCCGCCTGCCTCAGCCTCCCAAAGTGCCGGGATTACAGGCGTGAGCCACTGTGCCTGGTCTCTTTTGAGCTTTTTAAAAACATTTGTGGCCGGGAGTGGTGGCTCACGCCTGTAATCCCGGCACTTTGGGAGGCCAAGGCAGGTGGATCATGAGGTCAGGAGTTCAAGACCAGCCTGGCCAAGATGGTGAAACCCTGTCTCTATTAAAAATACACACATTTGCCGGGTGTGGTGGCACGTACCTGTAATCCCAGCTACTCGGGAGGCTCAGGCAGAGAAATGCTTAAACCTGGGAGGCGGAGATTGTGGTGAAGCAAGATTGGTGACAAAGTGAGACTCCATCTCAAAAATAAAATAAAATAAAATAAATAAATAAATAAATAAATTGCAATTATTTATTTAATTTTTAGAGACAGGGTCTTGCTCTGTTGTCCAGGCTGGAGTACAGTGGCACAATCACAGCTCACTGCAGCCTCAACCTCCTGGGCTCAAGTGACCCTTCTGCTTCAGCCTCCTGAGTAGCTGGGACCACAGGTGCGTGCCACCATGCCTGGCTAATTTTTTTGTTTTTTTGGATAGAGATGGGGTCTCGTTATGTTGCCCAGGCTCTTCTTAAACTCCTGGAATTGAGCCATCCTCCCAACTTGGTCTCCCAAAGTGCTGGGATTACAGGCATGAGGCACCAGACCCAGTGGGGGCTTATCAATAGATATTTTAAAATCAGTTTCATTGATCCTGTATTAACTAGCTCCCTGGAAACCTCACCATGGCTTCCCACTGCCCTCAGGATCAAAACCTGGCTCCTTGGAGCCCTAGAGGCCCCACACATGACTTCATCATTTCACTTGCTTAATGCCAGGAAGGAAGCATTACTGTGTCCGAGGTGTGGATGAGGAAACTGAGGCATGGAGAAGGTGGTGATGTCGAGGAGGGGCAGAGGAGCCCTGTCTGATGCAGGGTGGCGCGGGGGGAAAGGAGACTCAGAATCCAGGCCTCCTGCTCAGTCCATCCCCCTGGGTGCCAGTCCCCAAGCTGTCTGCTGTAGCCGAGGGGGTTGGGACACACAGGAGCCACTGCCTGAGTCTGCCTAACCACTCCCTCCCTTCCCCAGAAGCAGACACGTGGTGAGACACACCCGGTCACTGGCACCTGTGAATGGCAAGTCAATACTGGGTGTGGCCCTTCCTTCTAGGAATAAGCTCCCTAGAGGTTCCCTTCACAGAAGTGGGCAGGGTCCTGCTCGTCACAGTCTGTCCCCCGGCCAGACAAAGGGCTCCATGCCTGGCCTCAGCACTCCCTAAGCCCACAGGGGACCCTGTCGTGGAGCTCCTCTGTATGCCCAGGCTGTGCAGGCATCCAGGTTTTGGCAGTGAGGATGGAGGGTCAGCGATTGAGAGCCTGAGCTGTGAGGTCAGGGGGACCTGAGTCCTAAGCATCTCTGGGATCTCGGGCAGTTTGCTTTCTCTCTCTGACCCTCGGTTTCACCATCTGTACAATTAAGCCAATGATAGCACCCACTTCATGGGGCACAGTGGGAGAGACAGAAACTGTAGGAAAAGCACTTGGTCCCTCTCCTCTCCTTTTTCCCCTCCCCTTCCCTCCCCTCCCCTTTCCTTTTTCCTTCCCTCCCTCCTTCGTTCCTTCCCTCCCTTCCCTTCCTCCCTTCCTCCCTTCCTCCCTTCCTTCTTTCCTTCCTTCCTTCTTTCCTTTTTTAAAAAAAGACAGGGTCGTGCTCTGTTGCCCAGGCTGGAGTGTAGCAGTGCGATCACAACTCACTGCAGCCTCTAACTCCTGGGCTTAAGCAATCCTCCCACCTCAGCCTGTTCAGTAGCTGAGAATACAGGCACACGCCACCCTGCCTGGCGAATTTTGGTACTTTTTGTGGAGATGGGGGTTTTGCCCAGGCTGGTCTCAAACTTCTGGACTCAAGCGATCTGCCTGCCTTGGCATATTCTTACGCTAACCTGCCTGGGTCTTGGGTTCTTTGTGAAATGGGGGAACAACAGAGCCTGCTCCTAGGGTCGGAGGGCAGAAGGAGCTGATGGGTGGGAAATGCATGGAGCAGGGCCCACTGGCGTGGGGCTGTGCAGGGCAGCTTGTTTCTCTTCTCTCCCGACGCCCATTCCTGCTGATGGCCGGGACCCTCCTCTTGTCACTTAAAGGTCTCTATGCTCTCGCATAGTCTCTTTCTGGGCTCACTCTTTTGATTCAGGACTCCTGTTTTTGTTTTCTTCCCACCCCATCCCTTTCCCTAGGGGTGGCGTCCTAATGGGAGAGGGGTCTTCTGAGCCTCTGGTTGGCTCTGGGGCTGTGCCTGGCCTTGGGTGTCCTGGAGTGGAATCTGTCTGGCTGTGGCTGGTCCCACTGTGGCATTCATTCTGGGCAGCATGGTTCTCGGGTTTGGGGCCTTCTGGAGTGTGGGAGACATTGCTAGATCCCCCAAGGTGTTCAGTTCTCTCCTCCTGGGCGTGTGCCCCCTTGCAGGTCAGTGGGGTCCTGGGCCTTGCTTCACGGAGTGAAATGTGAGCAGAAGCAACCTGTGTCTTCCTGGGCTGTCATTTCAGAGCTGGTGGCTCTCTCCAGGCTCCTTCCACTGTGGGAAGCCCTGAAACCTCATGTTGAGGCGGCAGCATTGTAAGAGCGTGAGGCCTCCATCAGCCTGGGAACCTGAGTGACTATAATGGGCTCGGTCCCTGCCACCCCATGCGGGACACGTGGTGGGTCCAGAACCACAGCCCGGCTGTGCTGAGCCACTGTGAGTTGAGGCTTGACTCTGCAGCACAACCTAGGCTGCCCTAACCAAGACACACAGACACCTAGGCCTCTCGCTGGTTCTGGGATTCCCAGGACCTGGGTGCAGGGGGACTTCCGGCCTTTTCTACGCACCTCTTATAGGCAGTGGGTACTGGGTGGGCACAGTCTCAGGCCCACTCTTAGCCTGTGTGTTCACGGGTCGCTCCCAGTCCCAACAAGAAGCAGCTCACAGGCTCGTCTGATTTCCACTGCACCTGCCCACTCCCATCCTCTGTGGGCTTTCACAGCCCACACACTCAGGGTCCAGCCAGGGCTGCTGTCTTCCTTTCTTCACCTCCCCAGAACGGGCACTTCCCACACTCCCTACCTGGTATTAAAATGATCTTTGGCCAAGCGCGGTGGCTCACACCTGTAATATCAGCAATTTGGGAGGCTGAGATGGGTGGATCACCCGCGGTCAGGAGTTCGAGACCGGCCTGGCCAACATGGTGAAACCCCTTCTGTACTAAAAATACAAAAATTAGCAGGGCATGGTGGCGGGCACTGTAGTCCTAGCTACTCGAGAGGCTAAGGTAGGAGAATCTCTTGGACCCAGGAGGCGGAGGCTGCAGTGAGCAAAGATTGTGCCACTGCACTCCAGCCTGGGTGGCAGAGAGAGACTCCATCTCGAAAAAAAAAAAAAATCTGCAAGTCTGATCTCCTTTCTGGACTCAATGTTCCTCCAGGATTGTCCCACTTACCAGCTGTTTGGCCTTGGGCAAGTTAACAAACCTCTCTGTGCCTCATGGTCTTCATCTGGAAAGACATAACATTGTTGGGAGAATTGAATACATTAATACACATAAGGCACTTAGTAAAGCAATGCCTTTTACTTGTGTTGCTTATCTACTGCCACATAACAAATTATCCCCAAAGTTTAACAGCTTAAAATAATAAACATTCATGATTTGGCACTGTTTCTGAGGGTCAGAAGTCAGGGAGTGGTTTCTCCAGCTGGTTCTGGCTCAGCCTCTCCCATGAGGCTGCAGTTAGGATATGGGCAGGGGCTGCATCATCTGAAGGTTTGGCCGGGGCTGGAGGCTCTGCTTCTGAGATGGCTCACTCACCTGGCTGTTTGCTGGAGGCCTCAGCTCCTTGTCACATGGGTCTTCCCACAGGGCTGTTTGAATGTCCTCGTGACACGACAGCTGACTACCCCCAGGGAAAGTGACCTGAGAGAGAGGAAAGAGGAGGCTGCAATGCCTTTTATATCCTAATCTTGGATGTTACACATCATTGCTTCCACATCTATTCATTAGAAGTGGGTGCAGTCTACACGTAGAGGAAGGACAGTTAAGCTCTATCTTTTGAAGGCAGGGGTGTCAAAGAATTTGCGGACATATTTGAAAGCCACCAAGTTGTCCAGGTGCGGTGGCTCATGCCTATAGGACCAGCACTTTGGGAGATGGAGGTGGGAGGATTGCTTGAGCTCAGGAGTTCGAGACCAGCCTGGGCAACACAGCGAGACCTCTTCTCTACTTAAAATAGAAAATATTAGCCAGGTGTGTTGGTGCATGCCTGTAGTCTTAGCTACCCGGGAGGCTAAGGTGGGAGGATCACTTGAGCCCAGGAAGTCAAGGCTGCAGAGAGCCATGATCGTGCCCCAGCACTCCAGTCTGGGTGACAGAGTGGGATCCTGTCTCCAAATAAAAATAGAAATAAAACCACCAAGCTGCTGAATCCACATGGGTTGCTGTTATTACTGCCAATCCTCTTGCTCCTTCCAAGGGGCCTGAGCACAGTAAGTACATAATGAATGCTTATTGAAAGTATGAGTGGACTGGGCATGGTGGCTCACGCCTGTAATCCGAACACTTTGGGAGGCTGAGGCGAGTGGATCACTTGAGGTCAGGAGTTCGAGATCAGCCTGGGAAACATGGTGAAACCCTATCTCTACTGAAAAATACAGAAATTAGCTAGGCATGGTGGTGCACACTTGTAATCCCAGCTATTCAGGAGAATAGCCCCTGCCCGTATCCTAACTGCAGCCTCATGGGAGAGGCTGAGCCAGAACCAGCTGGAGAAACCACTCCCTGACTTCTGAGGCAGGAGAATCACTTAAACTCGGGAAGTGGAGGCTACAGTGAGCCGAGATCATGCACCCCAGCCTGGGCGATAGAGCGAAACTCTGTCTGGAGGATAAAAAAAAAAGGAAAGAATAAAAAGACAAAGGAAGTATGAGTGCATGAATGGATGTGGGAGTGAAAAACATGAGCTAGAAGAGGAAGGAGAGGAGGCAGAAGGGAGGAAATGGTGTGAGGGGGAGGAGGGGCTGTGGGTTGTGCCTTCTGTGTTTCAGGCTTCAGCTCCTCTCCCTCCCTTGGCCTGGGGTCTGCCTATCCATCACCCTATCCCAGCCTGACCCCCAGGCTCCCAACCCTCTGAACCTCTGCCCTCCATCTGCCCCCTTGAGCTTGCTTTGGCACGAGACAGCCCCTGTTCTTGCTGTGGCTTCTGTGCCTCATGGTTCTAACATGGCTGCCCCAGCCCCATACATCACCTCCTTAGGAGAATAGATCCTGAGGGGGGAAAATATCTTTCTCTTCCAGGATCTTTAATTTGTCAGGGAGGAAAATCTTTTCAGGAAGCTCTCCCCTCTCCATCCAAAATTCCCCTACTCCTTATATCTCACTGGGTAAAAGAAGGTCACATGCTTACCCCCTGGACCAATCACTGGAAGGAAAAGAGGATGGCGATGATTTCTCCCTTGGTGCTGGGCTCAGTGCCTGGTGTACACAATGGGGCTCTATGGGCAGAGACATGCATGTGGCTGCTGGGCAGGCACTCAGGGTGACTGACCCCAAAAACCATGAACAAAGGTCTACAGGGGGCAGAGCTGAGGGGCTCCCAACAACTCACAGAAGCCTGGACCTGCTTCCCCAGGGAGCTGAGGCTTGAGCAGGGCTTTGAAGGATGCATGAGTTCACCAGGCCCAAGAAATCGCCTGCAAAGGCTCTGAAACACAAAATAGCAAATGTCAAGGTAATGAAGAGCCTCTCGGAGGCTAAGATAGTTGAAAAGTGAATCAACAGTCCAGCGATTAGACTGCCAGGCTAAGGGGCTCAGGTCTAACTTGTGGGCCATCCTTCTTCTAATTCAAGCCTTTAAAGTACCACTTCTGTGGTTGAACCATGGCTGAGCACCATTATTTAACAATTTATTTAAAACGCAACAATTTTAAAAGGTAATTTCAACTTAAAAGTACATCCCACAATACTCTACAAGCAGAACACCAGCCCAGCTTGCCACAAATAGCAGGTAACTAAATAAATGCAATGAAAATAAAACAAGGCCAGTGTGGTGACTCACACCTATAATCCCAGTACTTTGAAAGGCCAAGGTGGGAGGACTGCTTCAGGCCAGGAGTTTGAGACCTACCTGGGCAACATGGTGAGACCCTGTCTGTACAAAAAAACACAAAAGTTAGCCAGATGTGATGGTGTGCACCTCCCAGCTACTTGGGAGGCTGAGGTGGAAGAATCCCTTGAGCCTGGGAGACAGCAGTTACAGTGAGCTGAGATTGCACCACTGTACTCCAGCCTTGGTGACAGAGTGAGATCCCATCTCCAAAAAGAAGAGGAGGAAGAAGAAGGAAGAAGGAAGGAGGAGGAGGAGAAGAGGAGGAAGAGGAGGAAGAGGAGGAAGAAGAAGAAGAGCAGGATGAGGAGGAAGAGGGAGGCAAAGAAGGAAAAGATGAGGAGGAGGAAGAGGAGGAGTTAGAGGAGGAGGAAAAGATGATCATCATGATAATGACTGATGATGAAGAGAAAGAAGAAGAGGAAGAGGATGAAGAGGAAGGGGAAGAGAGGAAGAGGAGAAAGAAGAAAAGTTATGATGCAGATGGGCCAGGCACCATGGCTTACACCTGTAATCCCAGCACTTTGAGAGACTGAGGCAGGTGGATCACCTGAAGTCAAGAGTTCAAGACCAGCCTGACCAACATGATGAACCCCTATCTCTACTAAAAATACAAAAAACTAGCTGGTGGTGGTGGTACTTGCCTGTAATCCCAGCTACTCAGGAGGCTGAGGCAGGAGAATCGCTTGAACCTGGGAGGTGGAGGTGGCAGTGAGCCGAAATCATGCCACTACACTCCAGCCTAGCCGACAGAGCCAGACTCCGTCTAAAAAAAAAAAAAAAAAAAAAGATGATGAAGATGATGCCAGGGAAGACAAAATGATGATGGTGATTTTTGTTTGTGGAATAACAAAGGGAAGTAGAATAACAAAGGATAGGCTTGGCTTTTAGAAAGTGTTTCTCACAATCACCTTCTCACAGCTGAAAAGCATGAGAGGAAGCTCTGTGAGTAGCCACTGAGCCTGGAGTGTCCTAGGTGGGTGGCTGGACCCTGCACTGGGGCTGCTCATGGGGCTGCCTGTCCAGAGACTGCAGCTCCCTAAAGGCAGTGGTAGCTTCTTCAGCCCCCTGCCCAGCCTGGGACAATCCTGCCCAGAGGGTCATGGGACTGCAAGGCACCTCTCAGTAGCCACTCCCTGAAGCCAGAGACAAGGGCAACTGGTTTATTCACCAATCTTGTGGCATGTCAAGGAGAAAAGGGTCACTGTAGGAGTGCCTGCTGGGGGCCAGCCACTCATGACCCCTCTTGGTGAAGCTGGTGTGCAGACTTTGCACACAGGCACTCTGGAAAGAAGGTGTCTGAACTTCCATCTTGCAGGAGGGGAAACTGAAGTTCAGAGATGTCCAGTCACTTGCTCTTGGTCACACAGAAAGTTGGTTGTAGAATCAGGAGTTAAAACCATGCTTGTCTAGCCCCAGGGTCTCTCTGTACATGTGTGTACATACGGGTACACACATGCATTGCACACCTGTGTGTGTGTGTGTGTGTGTGTGTGTGTGTGTGTGTGTGCATGTCTCTGGGAGCCCTCCCCTGTGAGACTGGTAAGCTGGACTTTTGGCAGTCACCTTCTAGCTGACCTCCTGGCCTCCACCCTCACCCTGCCCCAGGGTGTTCTCCAAGCAGAGGTCTGAGTGGCCCTGTTAAAACCTAGGTTGTGCCACAGCCCTCTCCCCCCAGTCCTCCAGGGCTCCCCATCCTTCTCAGAGGAGAGGCCAAGGTATCCTCTGTGGCCTCCCCGGTCTTCCCCATCATTGCTCTGACACCTCTACCCTTACTCTCCCTAGCTCCTCTCCAGCCATGCCAGTGCTCGCAGCTCCTCCAGGGTGCTCCAGGGCCTTTGCACTGGCTGTTCCCTCTGCCTGGGGTGCTGTCACCCCAGACATCCATGAGGTTCTCTCACTCACCTCCTTCAATCTCTGCTCAAAGTCCTTTCTCAGAACAACCTTCCCTGACCTCCTGGTTTAAAACGGTAGCTCCTTTCTTCCCCTTACTGGCCTGCTGATCCCCCTTCCTTGGCTGTATTTTTATAGAATTTACCTATTTTTAATTTTCTTTGTTGCCTATGTCCCCTGCTGGGAGGTCCTTCCCTCCCTTGTCTGAGTCATTTACTGCTGCCTCCCTAGTGACCTGTACAGTGTCTGGTACACAGTATGTGCTCAGTCA
Organism: Homo sapiens; assembly: GCF_000001405.40. Lineage (NCBI taxonomy): Eukaryota > Metazoa > Chordata > Mammalia > Primates > Hominidae > Homo > Homo sapiens. Next base: position 11,191,853 of record NC_000016.10, on the reverse strand, counting down.
ACGTTTTTTGTTTGTTTGTTTTTTGTTTTTTTAGACAAAGTGCCACTCTATCACCCAAGCTGGAGTGCAGTGACATGATCTCAGCTCACTGCAACCTCCGTCTCCTGTGTTCAGGCGATTCTCATGCCTCAGCCACCTGAGTAGTTGGGACTACAGGCGCATGCCACCACACCCAGCTATTTTTTGTATTTTTAGTAGAGATGGGGTTTCGCCATGTTGGTCAGGCTGGTCTCAAACTCCTGGGCTCAAGTGATTCTCCCACCTCAGACTCCCAAAAGTGCTGGGATTACAGATGTGAGCCACTGTGCCCAGCTAAGTTTTGCTGGATCAATGTTCAAGTCCTGGGAGAAGCCAAGCCTTCCCTCTCCACCTGCTGAAGCCTCCTGGGGAGGGGCCCGAGGATGGGGCTTTCTAGTTCCCACCTCTCATGACAGATGCCATCAAGGCCCAGGCAGACGGTGCGCTGCGCCAATGGATTTTGGCAGCAGTTACTCTGAAAAGGGCTGTTCCCGCTTGGGCAGATTGGCAGGAAAAGCCCCAAGTCAATAAGGGGTGGGAGATAAGCATGTTCGAGAGAAGCCACTGAGATTGGGTGGGCTCCAGGCTGTTCCTGTGAATCTGCAGGGCAACCCAAGGTGGGGGCGGGGTGGGGCAGGTGCCCTGCTGTGGCACCTGGAGCTGGCACAAGGCCTGCTCTGGCCCTGGTCACGGTGTGGGGTGGGGGCTCCTTCTGTCTTTGGCTGCCTGTATCTGCTCTGTGAGAGGCAAAGGATGCCAGGCCCAGGGCACTGGACCAGGCTCGTGGACTCCTGCTCAAGGCACTGCCGACTTCAGATTTTAGGTCCAAGTCCCAGGGGGGACTTCGCTTCTCAGCCAAGTGGCCCTGGTTCAAGGGTCCGCCATCTGTAACATGGGGATAATAATAGTCCCAGCGCAGCAAGGTTATTGGGAGTATGAACTCCGATTAGGCTTAGAAACTGCTTAGCTAAGCCTGGCCTGGAGGAAGTGCCCATTAAGTGGGAGTTTTTGCTGCTATTTTAGCTGCAGCAACACTGCCTCATAGCTGTGTGACTCAGGATCAGTCACTCAGCCTCCCTGGTCTGGGTCTCAGTTGCTGTTCTGTAAAAGAAGATGATACTACTAGAAGGCTTCCCACCATCTACAAGAGACTCAAAATATGCAGGCTGATTGAGGCTGGGAAGCTGCTGGGGGCCTCACCTGGATCAGAGGAGACTCCAGCCCTGGAACGTCAGACCTCCAGCTGGGATGGACTAGGGACAAGTGGAGGGAGGGGGGCCGCTGGCTGTGGGAATGTCGAGGATGGAGAGGGGAAATCTGAGGAGGCTTCTCAGAGGAGGTGAACTCTGAGCTGGGCTGTAAATCGGGAAAGATTTAAAATGTACAACATTTGGCGGTGGGGAGGCTGTGGTGAGATGGGCACTTGTGTACATCGCTGGTGAGAGTGTCAGTGGTCCAATATTTTTGGAAAGCAATCTGGCAATTTGTAGCCAGAGTCTTAAGATGGTTTACCTTTCTATGATCTAGTAATTCCCATGCTCAGGACCTCTTCTGGGGAGGTAATATAAAATGTGGATAGACCATGAGGGTGCACAGCTAGCCACAGGGATACATTCCCTGCAGCAGAACTTGTTACACACTTTAGAAATGGAGTTTCCATGGCCAGACTCAGTGGCTCGCACCTGTAATCCCAGCACTTTGGGAGGCTGAGGTGGGCAAATTGCTTGAGCCCAGGAGTTTGAGATGAGGCAGGGCAACATGGGGAAAACCCATCTCTACTAAAAATACAAAAATTAGCCGGGCATGTTGGTGCATGCCTGTAATCCCAGCTACTCAGGACACCGAGGCAGGAGAATTGCCTGAACCCGGGAGGCAGAGGTTGCGGTGAGCTGAGATGGCACCACTGCACTCCTGCCTAGGCAACAGCATGAGACTCCATCTCAAAAAAAAAAAAAAAAAATGGAGTTTCCAGGATCGTGGAGAAATGATGAACCATATCATGTCACGCTGGGTCAAAAGCATGACATGAAATGACACCCACTGTGTTATTTCAATTCTAAAATGCATAGAAAAAAGACCAGAAAGAAATCTGCCAGGATGTCCACAAGGGTTGTCCTTTAATGGTGAGATTATGGGAAATACTGTTGTTCTAGACTTTGCCAAATTGCCAGGAGAGCTGTGCAGTCCTTTTGGCAACCAGTTGCAGCAACACAGCAAAAGAGAAAAATGAAACCCGGCAAAGGAAGAGGTGACGGCAGCTCAGGTAGACACCGGGCACACGGATGGTTTGTTTGGACACTTGTTGAGCCGCCGGCCTGGCCAGAGACCAAGAGCTGTCCTTTACCCGTCCTCTCCCTTGTGGCCAGTCCGACCAAACCTGTCAATTTTACCTGCTGAACATGTTGCAGGTCACCCACTTCAGCTGTGACCTGTCCCCACTGCCATGGGCTCCTCTTGATCACTCGTCACCTGCAGCTCCGGCCATCTTCTTGCCAGCCACATCCAGCCAGGCGGTTTTTTTTGTGTAAAACACTTCAGTGTGTGCCATTGCCATTGGTCCCTCGGCCAAGCTCTCCAGTGTAGCTTTGAAGGCCTCTGGGGGCTGCCCAGGCAGGCCCTCTGGGTATGGCACCGTCACGCTGCGTTCCTGCCTTTCTAGCTGGCTTCTTTACCATCTTCCATCTACGCCACGCCCAGCCTGGCCCGGGAGCTAGTGCTGCAGAGTGGAGCCAAAGAACAAACACGGGGATTGAATGAACAAGCGGAGTGGTTCCTACCATCCGCTGGGGCATGCAAATGGGGAGAGGGAACCCAGGGAGCGACCCATTTTCCAGATGAGGAAATGGAGGCCTAAGAAGTTAGTTTCTGTGCCCTGTGTGCAGATGCCACAGCTGGGAAGTCATGGTCTGCCTGTCTGTTGTTAGATCCTGTCCTTTGTGAGGGCAATGGCTGTGTTCAGGTCACCTCTGTGTCCCCAGGATGCAGCCCAAGCAGGCACACAGGCGGAGGTGGAATGAGAGAGTGAGGAGGCCCTGGGTCTCGGCCCATAGGGCAGCAACTTGAATATTTTTAGCTGCCTTCTTGGGGAGGGGACATGCGGGTAGCAGCGGAGAGTGCTCAGGAGGGTGGCCTCAGTTTACCCACAGGGGCTGGGCTAATCAAATATTGAGCTCCCTGCACCTGACCCAGGGGTTCGGAAGGGCTACTGGAGGTGAAGGGGTCAGGGTAAGGAGAAAATACTGTACCAGCCACCGATCACCAGTCTGCCCCTAGGCCCAGGTGTTGGGGGAGCTGACAGGGTGGGGAGCCCACACCTGCCAAAGACTGGTCCGTACTTCTATCCAGGTGGACAAGGGCCCAAGATCCTCACATGTGATTTTTAAAGAGAAGCCAGGAATCCAGGTATTTGTACCAGATCCCCGACGTTTAAAATCTTGGCTCAATGGTTCTTTTAAAAGCCTTTGATGGCCAAACGGAACACACAGAGGGGCTGCACTGGACCCAGGGGCTGCCCATTTGTAACCTCTGGTTTGGGGGGTGTGGCTACTGTGTTTGGGGTCTGGTAGCGCCTCCCTGCATCCACTCCAGGTCCCCAGGCCCCCACCAGTCTTCCAGCCCATGTGCCTGTTGAGTCTCCAATTTTCTGTCCAAATGAGGAGCTCACTCAGGAGCCATCTCGGCTCCAGGCGAGGCAGCTGGGAGGAAGCAGGACCTTCATGGCATGGGACAGTCCTCAGCCAACAGGGCATGAGAGTTGGGGGATAAATGCCTGACCTCCTGCCCCTCCCAGGACCAGTCCCAAGGCTCATCTATGCAGCTCTGCAGAGGGGCTCCAGAGAGGCTGAGTATCAAGTGCCCCCAGCAGTGTCTGGCGGTGACCAGGCCAGCTGTGCCCTGTCTACTGGCCTCCTGCCCTTCTCTCCCAGCTCCCACTCCAGCTTCCTGGGGCCACTACCCAAATAAACCAGCAGCACTGTGTCCTCCTTTCAGGCCTCTGATGTCAGGGGTTCCCCAAACGAAAGCCATGAGATTTTGCTCATGGCAAAGAAACAAAAATCCTTTGAGGTGTGACAAACGCCAGGAAAGAAATGGGTGGCAGCTGCTGATGGAGGAAAGCAGGGGTCTGACGTCAGAATAGTCCCTGGAAGTAACACTGATTCTGTGGACGGAGGATAACGACAGAGGATGGGTGCAGGTGCAGAGGTTGGGGAGGGGGCTGGAGGGAGGAAAGGCAGGTGCCAAGGTCCTGGGAGGGGAATCAGTTGAGGGGTCTTCCAGGACAGGGCAGAGGGCTTGTGTGCTCCAAGTGGTGGGGTGTAGCCAGGGTGGGCTGCAGAGGTGGGCCAGGCTGGCTTCTTATTTTGGGTGCTGTATCAGTCAGGATTCTTCAGAGAAACAGAACCAACAGGAGATACAGATAGGTAGGTAGATAGGTAGGCAGGTATAGATATATAGATTTATAGGCTGGGCACTGCGGTTCATGCCTGTAATCCCAGCACTTTGGGAGCCTGAGGCAGGATAATCACTTTAGGCCAGGAGTTCAAGATCAGCCTGGGCAACATAGTGAGACAAAAAAAACTAAATTACCAAGTGTGCTGGCGCACGCCCGTAGTCCCAGATGCTCCGGAGGCTGAGGCGGCAGGATCGCTTGAGCCTGGGAGTTCGAGGCTGCAGTGAGCTTTGATGGCAACACTGCACTCCAGCCTCGGTGACAGAGTGAGACCCTGTTTCTAAAATAAAATTAAATTAAAAATGAGATTTACAGATGCCCCTCAATTTACAATGAGGCTACATCCCAATAAACACATCCTAAGTTGAAAACAACTTTAGTACCTCGATAAACCTGTCATAAGGTTGAAAAATTGTCAGTTGAACCCTTATAAGTTGGGGGCCGTCTGTATTATGGGAATTGGCTCATGCAATTCTGGAGGCCAAGGGGTCCTAGAATCTGCCGTCTGCAAGCTGGGAGGCCCAGGAAAGCCAGTGTCGTTCCAGTCCAAGCTGGAAGGCCCGAGAGCCAGGGCCTCTGATGTCCAAGGGCAGGCGAAGATGGACATACGGGATCAAGCAGAAAGCAAATTTTACCTTTTTCCTCCTTGTTTTATTTGGGCCCTCAATGGATTGAATGGTGGCCGCCCACAGTGGTGAGGGTGATCTTCTTCACTCAGTCTACTCTTTCAAATGCTACTCTCTCCCCCAGCCCCCACTTTTTTTTTTGAGATAGGGTCTCACTCTGTCACCCAGGCTGGAGTGCAGTGGCCAATCTCGGCTCACTGCAGTGGCCAATCTCGGCTCACTGCAGACCTCTGCCTCCTGGGTTCAAGCGATTCTCATGTCTCAGCCTCCTGAGTAGCTGGGACTACAGGTGCCCACCACCACGCCCAGCTAATTTTTGTATTTTCGGTAGAGACAGGATTTCACCGTGTTGGTCAGGTTGGTCTCGAACTCCCGACCTCAAGTGATCCACCCACCACAGCCTCCCAAAGTGCTGGGATTACAGGCATGAGCCACCTCACCCTACTGCAAATTCTACTTTCTTGCAGAAACACCCTCCCAGTCACACTTGGAAATCATGTCATGCCGCTATCTGGGCACCCCTTAGCCCAGTCAGGCTGACACATAAACTGAATCATCACAGCTGCCTCTGAGGATCAGCTGGGGACCTTAAAAAATTCCAGGGCTCAGCTGTACCCCACAGGTGCTGGCTTTGTACCTCAGGGGGTACATGTAACTGAGGGGGCCTGGGCCTGGGCTGAAGCCTGTTTTTCTGGCTGGGCCGCTGGTGAGACCCCCTGGCTGAAATTGCATGTGCCAGGCTGGGTACAGGTGCTTGATTTACCTGCCCCCACTTCATCTACACAAGCAAGGACACTGCCAGAAAGGTTCCCATTTTACAGATGAGGAAATTGAGCCTCATGCGGTTTCACCATGTACTCAAGGCCACAGGGATGGGGAGCATTGGTGCAGGGACTTGAACCTCGTCAGCAACTCCAAAGCCTGCACTGCCACCTACTCCACCCTGCTTGAGGTCTCGCTCATCACTGAGATACCAGCAGCAGCTCGGTCTCAGCTCAGATACCTGTGGAGGGTTGGGGGACACAGAATTTCTGATGGTGGCAGAGGAAAGCCCTCAAACACTCCTACCCTTGGCAACCTGGCCCGGGCAAATTCTCCTGAAGATCTTTGGCTGGCCCTGGTAAGGCCTGGAAGACACCAGAGTGAGCACACATAGGGAGAGGCTGAAAGTTAGGGCCATGGGCATGGAGAACTGAATGGAATTCAGGCTTTAAGAATCTGGAACTGTATCCAAGAATGACTCCATCCATCAGTCCATCCATCCATCCAACATACATGCACAGAGAGCTCATGGGCCAGAGCCTGCACCCAGCTCCCACAGAACAGGTGAAAATAAAACACAGTCGTTGCCTGTGGGTGAGTCTATTGGAGAGGGAGAACTGAAATAAGAATTGCAAGGCTGGGCGCTGTGACTCACGCCTCTTGTCTTAGTGCTTTGGGAGGCTGAGGCAGGAGGACTGTTTGAGCCTAGAAGTTTGAGATCAGCCTGCACAAGTGAGACCTTCTCGCAATGAAAAAATTAATAAATTAACCAGGAGCGGCAGCATGTGCCTGTGGTCCCAGCTCTCTGGGAGGCTGAGGAAGGAGGATCGTCTGAGTCCAGGAGGTTGAAGCTGCAGTAAACTATGACCGCCCCACTGCTCTCCAGCCTTGGTGACAGAGCTTGACCCTGTCTCCAAAAAAAAAAAAAAAAGAATTCCACAGTTCGCAACACACTGTGATATGTGTGTGTCATAGTGGCATCTCTGATCTGGGATGACATTTAGGGGTACAAGGACTCAGACTTAAATACCCTAGTCCCAGAGTGAGCTGGTTCTTTTCTTCTGTCAGCATTTTTTTTTTTTTTTTTTTTGAGACAGGGTCTCACTCTGTTGCCCAAGCTGGTGTGCAATGGTGCAATCTCAGCTCACTGCAACCTCCACCTCCTGGGTTCAAGCGATTTTCCTGTTTCAGCCTCCTGAGTAGCTGGGACCACAGGCCTGGTTAATTTTTGTATTTTTAGTAGAGACGGGGTTTCACCGTGTTGGCCAGGCTGGTGTCGAACTCCTGACTTCAAGTGATCTGCCCACCTTAGCCTCCCAAAGTGCTGGGGTTATAGGCATGAGCCACCATGCCCGGCGTTTTAGCTCTTCTGATCCTATCACTGAGAAAATCTTGGTTAGGCGCCAATAGGCCTCCCCTATTAATGGCACAGGCAAGGCTGGGCCCAGAGCCTGTGGCAGGTGCTAGGACCTGGCTAAAAATTTAATGATATGGATTTGCTTGTGCTGCATTTGTTTTTATATCTTTAATTTCTGGCAAGGGTAATGGGTTGAATGGTGAGCCCTTCTAAAAAGGTGTCCATGTCCTGAATCTGGTCCCTGTGAATGTGACGTTATTTGGAAATAGGGTTTTTGCAGAGGAAATGAAGGATCTTGAGTTAAGACCACCGTCGATCAGGGCGGGCCCTAAATCCAATGACTGCTGTCCTTTCAAGAGAAAGGAGAGGGGGATTTGACACAGACACGGGGAAGAAGGTGCTGTGGGGAGAGGCAGGGACTGGAGTGATTCACTCATGGGGCGAGGAACGCCAAGTGCCGGAGCCACCGGAGCTGGGAGAGAGGCAGGAGGCAGCTTCTCCCTCTAAGCCTCCAGGAGGAGCAGCCCTGCTGGCAACTTGATTTTAGACTGGCCTGCAGAACTGTGGGAGAGTAAATATCTACTGTTTTAAGCTGCCCTGTTTGTGATCATTTGTCATGGCGGCCCTAGGAAATGAATGCTGCAGTGGTGCTGGTTTTCTGTTTCCAGCGAAAAGTCTTCCTCTTAAAAAAATTGAATTTAAAGGGCAAACCAAGAGTCAAGGAAGCAAAGCCAGGTGTGGTGGCACTTGCCTGTAGGCCCAGCTACTCAGGAGACTGAGTTGGGAGGTTTGCTTGAGTCTGGGAGATGTAGGCTGCAGCGAGCTGGGACCACACCAGTGCACTCCGGCCTGAGCAACATAGCAAGACCCCGTCTCAAAAAAAAAAAAAAAAAAAAAAGGGCAAGGAAGCGTCAGTGGAGGTGACAGGCAGGCGGCAGGCATGTGTTCAGGGGGCACGTGCTGCCCTCTGGGAGGAAGTCAGACTGAGCCAGGCAGTGTCAGGACTGCAGGGACCTGCAGAGCAGGCTGGGCCCCAAGGCAGGCGCACGGCCTGGGAGCCCAGGTGGCTGGTCTCTAAGTGGGGCAGGTAGACCCAGGGCTGGAGCAGGGCCAGCAGCCCCGGGGCCTGTGGAGGGAAGGGAAGCTTCACACTGCCCATCGGGCAGCCTTAAGTGAATCCCCAGGAAGCCCCTTCACCCCATGGGTGATTCAGAACCAACTTTCCTTTGGAGAAAAGCTCTTTAGACGTTAAGGGTTTTTTCCCAACGCCATGAAGTGCCACAGAGCAGTAGGACGTGGGGGAAGGGGGTTTCCAGCAGCTGGCTGGCCGGCAATCGGTCTTCCCCTAGAGGTCACCCGCAGGCAGGTCACTACCACCTGCCCTTGCTGGCCCCGCCCTCCGGCTAGAGTCAGGACGCTCTGGGCCTGTTGGGCATAATCACTGGACCCTGCGAGGCTTCGCTTCATGGCTACCGAGGGGAACCCTCCCGAGGCCCTGGGGAAAACACTGACAGCAGCCGGTATACGCAGGCCACTTCCAACCGCAGAGCAGGGGATATACAGACATGCTCTGGGGGCACCAGAGAAGTGGCCCCAGCCTCTCAACCAGCCCCAGGCGACCCCTGGGTTTGAACCTGGGCTGGGAATGCAAGGAGGGAGGAGCTGTCACCCAGCGGGTCTCAGACATGTAAATGCCCACGAGGCCTGAGACCCGGGTGAGGCGGGGGCATGGGAGGGCAGCTCTGCCCTGGGCAGTGGCTTCCTCCTTCTGTTGGCATAACCCCAACCCTTGGCATGCGGTGGGGGAAGGGGGTCCCTTGTTCATTCTTTCTCGACTCAACTTGGTTATCCTCTCAAGACCCAGAAGTTCCCTGCCATTTCTGGGTAGGGTTTAAGCTGGATGGTGAGATTTTGAGAACCTGTGATCCTGTTTCCAGGGATTTCAGGGTTTCACGCTGGTGGACGTTGGTGTTTCCGAGTCATGTCCACCCCCGCACTTCACCTCTGTCCTCGGTGGGGAGCCTTCCTGCTTCCCTCGGCCCAGCCTGGCAACAATGACGCTGCTCGCTACGCTTGTCCTGCGAGGTAGGGCTTGGCTGTCCAAATCCACAGATGCAGAGCCTGAGGCTTGGATGGGCAGCCACCTGCCCAACAGGGAAAAGATGCAGAATGTGGACCACGCTCCCTGTACCCGGCAGGGGTAGGGCGGGGACATTTCCTGATGGTGCCAACTGCCCCTTAGCAGTTATTCCCGGGTTGTATGAGCCCCGACAACCTCTTAGGAACCTGGGGATGGGAGGGAACCTGGTGCGGGGAGGAGGGAGAGGGAGGGGCTCCAGCCACCACACCCCTGCCAAGCAGCTGCGCCGGGATGAGGGGTCATTGGCTGGGAACCTTCCCCTGTGCCAGGCCACGGCCTCCTGCCACAGCCCCCAGGAGCAGCACGCTACATTCTTGGTAACTTTTTTTCTCTTTTATTGCCAAGTTTAAATTTACAAGGAAGTTCCAGTTTTCATTTCCACCCTCGTGTTCAGTACCCACGAAGCATGAGTCATGCTGGCGAAAGCAGGTACTTCCCTAGAGCGGTCCCGAGGCTCAGAGGCATCGAGGTTTTCTAACCCTCGGTTCTCACTGGGACAAAAATTATTTACATATTTTTAGCTCAAGGAAACATAAGGAACTCGTACAGTGTAGGCCCAATGTCAAGATGACTACATTAAATGCTTCAGATTTATTTATTGCATCTAGACAAGAAGATCAAAATCAGTTCACCCCACGCCTTTTTAAAAAACGGTGCATCTCAGAGACCTTAGAGGAATCTAGCGCGTCTGGCAGGGCTGCGCTTCTTCACCTGCCCCTTAGGTTGCTTGTGAACGCAAGTGTCTGGGTTGTGGGAGGCTGCCAAGGCTCCGGGAGAGGGACTGGGCTGGGACAGCGGCAGAGGAGGGGCTGCTCACGGAGGCCCCTCCTCCCAATCCCACGCGATGGTGAAGGCTGGCCCTTCCTGCCTGGGGGAGCGCCTCAGCTGGCCCCATCTGACCTGCTGGGACAGGTACCTTGCACGTCCAGAAAGGGACGAGCACACCTCCACAACAATATTCAAAGCCAAGGTTTGGGAGTTCCTGCGGCCAGCCCTGCTCCCTGACTTGGCAAACCCAGCCGGAGGTGCACAGGGGAAGGGTGGACCAGGGCCTGGGCCATAACTCTAAGTGCTCTCTGCAGGGACTTGGGGGGCGGGCCGGATGGGTCTGTGGGGGCTGACCTCAGACCTCTGAGGCTATGACCTGAGTGTCAGAAGCCACAGCCCCCACTGTGGGCCTTCCCACACTCCTGGCTCTTCCTCTGGATGCCAGGGGCCCAGCGTGTCCTGTCTGGACTGGCCTGTCTGGGAGCGCCCCAGCTATGAGGTTTGACGGGAGCTCCTGAAGACATAGCTGTGCCCACTGCCGCTGAGACCTGGGTGAGGTGGGGTCCTTTGAAGCCAAAATGGCTGGTGGCCTCCAATGGGCTGGCTCCCAGACCTCCTTACATAAGCAAAGCTTCTGGGAGCCCTGGTTATAGGAAATCCTCACCCCACACACCTGGAGGTGTCCCCCAGACGCAAGTTGCCAGCCCCAGCTGAAAGAGGCCCCTGAGAGTGACCCTGCAAGCCCACATGGGGACTGCCCTTTTCTTGGCCAGGGATGCAGGGTAGAAGCCCTGCCCTGAGCAGTGTCTTTTATCCTCCGCTGGTCCTCCCAGTCACCTTTAATCCTCTGCTGGTCCTCCCGGGCATGCTGTCCAGCCCTGACCAAGACCTCTCTCCTTCAGTGCTCAGTGGTTACAAGACCAGTTGGAGCCCAGAGACTTCTGACAGCAGGCTGGTGGCCCACCCGTGTGGCATGGAGTGAGCTGCAGGCTGTTCCTCCTGGTCACGCCTTGGGGTGGGGCAGCCACTTGCCTTCTCTAGTTTCTGCTGCCCCACAGACAGAGTCATTTCAAAACCAGAAGTGCATGTCTCAGGGGCTAGCCATCTCCAGCCAGGGCCAGCTTGATCCTCTCTACCCCTCTTGCTCTTAAAAAATTAAGCAACACACAGGCTGCCTGCTGGGTGTGGCGTGTCCCGTCTCCTGATGCTGTGGTCCTTCTCTCCATGATGGTCTTCCCCCCGCTCCACCCTGCCTTCCTTCTCTTCCAGGGATTCTGCAGATGGCCACGGTGGTCGTGGTTTGTCCTTCCTTTGGGTTTCTGCCCATGTGGCCCCCTTTCTGAGCTGTGCGTTTTCTCTATGGAAGCAAAGGTCCTTGTACCTGCAGCCATGAAGGCTGGGTGGGCACAGCTACCCAGAGGGCTTCTAAGGACTGAGGCCTGTCCCCATGGGCGCCACTCCCCCTCCTTGGCAGGACTGTGTTTCCTTCATGAGGTTGAAAACTGCCCTCGGCAGGCCTTGCCGGGACAGCTGGCTGGGCCGAGGAGACAGAGACCATGTTCTTCTAAAATGCAGGTGGCAAAAGATCTCAGCGCGGCTCCCGAGACTACCCTATGGCCAGGCTCCGGCGGATACCTAATGCCCCTGGTGGGCACATCTGCTGGCAGGTCTGGAGGAAAGTTGTGGAAGGTCTCACCAGTGACCAGAGAGGTGAGGGGCCGCTGGCCCTGGTGGACTTGGGGAGGGTGGATCACGGCCTGGGCTGTGAGTGCTGTGTCTGGCTCCCGAGCTGGCCGAGTAGAAAGGAACATCTTGGGGGCTGTGTCTGATGCATCTGGGTCCTTGCTTGTACACACCCAGTCCGAATGGGGAAGGGAACCATGGGGTTTCCATATTCAGATCAGCAGCAGTAGCAGAGGGAGAGTGACAGACTCAGAGCTCTGGGGACACCATGCCCTTGCAGCTGGAGGGGAACTGGCTCTGGGCCATCTCTCGGCACATGTGGGCACACACAGTCGAGGGCAGGTGACGTAGAGGGTGTCTTCCTTTGATTTCCATCATGGCCACAGGGTCGGGAGTCTTCACGGTCCCAACTGGTTCCTTCTTAGAGATGGTAACACTGAAGAAGGTGCTGGAAGCTGTCTCTGTTTGGTTTTGGTGAAGAGAAATGAGGAAGCGTCCTGAGTGGGGAGCTGGCTACATTCCTCCTTTTCCTGGAGAAATCTTTCCATGATGGGAGGCCTCTCGGCTGCTATAGCAGAAAACCATTCAGCCCTCTCAGCTCTGTGTGTACCTGAGAATACATGTATCTCCCTTGTTTTTGTTTAAAAAATAATCCAAACTTTCCAGGAAGGTACTTCATTATTCCACAGGCTTGCAGAGTTAGTGAGTAACAAAGAATCACTTAAATAAATGGAAAAAGCCACACTAAGAACTCTGAAACAAAATATCAGGAAAGGTCCAGTGAAAATGATCATGAAATCTTAACTGTTATTATTACACTTTTCACATGACATCAAACCTTAGTGTTGATGTTTTTGGACTTCTTTTAAATAGAAGTTTTAAAAATAAATGTTCACCTGCTGCCAAAAGCGGAAATAAATATCCAAAGGAGATGTTTATCTAAGTCTGCTTTTCTACAAATTTCTACGTACAGTGACCTGGTCCAATTCTTCTGTGCACACTGGGGCTGGTGACAGAGGAGCCATATGACAGAGGAAGAAAGAGGTGCCGGTGGGTCCTGCCACCCGGGGCTCAGAGACACGGAGCCCAGGCAGCTCCCTGAGTGGCCGGTGCAGTCATCTGCATTCGCCGCGGTGTCTCCGCTGGTCCCAGCCTGCACGTGAAGAGATGCAAAGTGAAAAAGGAATTCAAGGACAACGTGGGGCTTCTTCCCATTCAAGGGAGCGCAGGGATAGGTGGTTGAGATGGCTGCTGGGGGCCGCACAGAATGGTGGGTGCTCCCAGTGTGTCTTGCCAGTCAGCGGCACTGGGGTCCCTACCAGCGGGGCCACACACACAAAGGGAGGCCCCGGCACTGACTCAGTCCTCAGCGGTGCCCACAGGCTCAGCACATGCAGCCTCTTCGCCCACGGGCTCTGTGCAGGCGGCAGCCGGCGTGGACAGCGGGGGCATGCCGGTGAGGCTGCGGAGGCTGTGGGGGTCAACTGGGGGGACAAGGGTCAGCGATTCGACGCTCAGCGTGTCAGCCGTGTCCTCGCAGAGCAGGGAAATGGTGGGCTGCCGGGCAGGGACGAGGCTGGGGGACAGGCTGGCTGTCTCCACGGCTGCGCTCCTGGCCACGTTCTTGCTGGGCTTAGAGTCTGCTTCCGTTTCGTTGACGATTACCAACTGGTCAGGAAGGTGAGGCTTAGGCAGTTCTGGACTCATGGGGGCATCTGGATTGGGGGAGAAAAACCGGAAACACACTGAGCCCTTGAGACACCCCGTCGCACTGCGCCCTGTGCTCCCATCCTGAACCGCGGCCCTGGTGAGCTAGGTGGGAGGTGGCTGGCTGGCGTGAGGGCTCAGCGTGGCTCCACTCACTCCTTTTGGGGACACAGAACCTGCAAAATCCAGTCTGACTTAGGCCTGGGGAAAATACAGCAGGGCCTAGGGTTACCCTGACTTGTGATATGAGGGGAAAATTCAGGGCCTGTGCAAAATCAGCATGTGGCTTATGAAAGCACAGTTCCTGGGTGCAGAGACCCAGCTGACAGGCTTTATGTGTGGGCAAATCTCAGGCCTGCCTGATGATAAATACTTGTTTGGGAAGTAAATGGGCTTGGGTGTGCTCGTAATATCAGGCCATTTCCAGAGTATACATTTGATGACATTTACCCAAGAGGGAACCCACTGCAATATTAAAAAAAAAAAAAAAGGAAATTCTGTAGAACTTTTCAGCTTGCAAAACCAAAACAAAACCTTGGCCTGTCTCCTCCTCCTCCTCCTCAAAGTGCTGAGCCAGCACCCACCAAGGGGCTGCTGTGGTTCCTCAGGCCATTATTGTCCCGAGCTTCCCGGCAGGGGCCACTGAGAAACCACGCCAGGACAAGGCAGGTGAGGTTCCACCCAACGCAGTTATTCTTGGAGCAGCAATTTCTTTCCTTGGTGCTTTTTTTTTTTTTTTTCTTTTGGCGGAGTCTCACTCTGTTGCCCAGGCTGGAGTGCAGTGGCATGATCTTGGCTCTCTGCAACTTCCACCTCCCGGGGTCAAGTGATTCTCGTGCCTCAGCCTCCCGAGTAGCTGTGATTACAGGCATCTGCCACCACATCCGGCTAATTTTTGTATTTTTGTAGAGATGAGGTTTCACCATGTTGGCCAGGCTGGTTTCAAACTCCTGACCTCAAGTGATCCGCCCGCCTCGGCCTCCCAAAGTGCTGGGATTACAGGCATGAGCCACCGTGCCCGGCCCTTTTCAAAATCCTACAGACACATGCTGGCCCATTTGCCTTCCAGTGATGAGCCTGCCTGAACAGAAACACCAGATGCAGCTGGAATTCATTGTGGAAAACATCTTCCAGCACTTCAGATGCCGGGTGTTTAAAAACATTGAGAAGAAGACAGTGGGCATCCTGCTTGGAGGCAAATTCTCATTTGCACAGAGCTGGGGGTCCCCAAGCCATGGCGGGAGGTGCTGACGATGCTATATCGAGCTAAGAGTCTGACAGCAGCCTGGGACCCGGGAAGCATGGTAGAATTTTTTTTTGTTCAACGTGATTCCAGTTTAGTTTTTTATTTTCTCTTTTAAGTCAGGCCAAAATAAAACAGAAGAGCAAATGGAACATAAAGCAAAATAATGGAAAAACAAAGAACGAAATAAAAGCAGGCAGCATATAGAAAGGGAAGAGGGAGAGGAAGAGAGCTCCCATCACGGAGCGAAAGCACGAGAGACAGACTGGATTTCAAAGCACACACCGGCATTTCTCCCCACAAGACTCTGGGCAAGATGAACTCTAAAAGGTCACAATTCATTTCATTTCTTTTGTTTTTTTGAGACAGGGTCTCACTCTGTCACCCAGGCTGGAGTGCAGTGGCATGATCATAGCTCACTGCAGCCTCAACCTTCTGGACTCAAGTGATCCTCCTGCTTCGGCCTCCTGAGTAGCTGGGACTACAGGCCCGTGTCACCACACCTGGCTAATTTTTAAAGTTTTTTGTAGAGACGGGGTCTCATTACGTTGCCCAGGCTGGTATGGAACTCCTGGGCTCAAGCAATCCTTCTGCTTTGGCCTCTTAAAGTGCTGGGATGTGCACAGGTGTGAACCACCGTGCCCAGCCCAATTAATTTCTTCCTAATGTCTTTTTTAAAAGAGAGAGAGAGAGAGAGAGATCTAGAGGAAACCACTGCATGAGGCTTTGGTCCTCGCTCTGGGAGGGTGGCAATGGGCATCGGTGAACACTAGTGGAAAAAGTGATTTGAGGTGTGATCTGAGCCCAGAAATGCTGAGTAAACACTACATGCGAATTCTGGTTTCTTTGAATTTCAACTGATTTGCTCCATTCAGTAAGGATGGCTTGCGGTGCTGGGCTGGTTTCAGCTCAGGCGTGCGCCCTGACCTAGCACGATCTGCCTGCTGTTCCTCAGAACCTGTGGTTCCCTGAGCAGTGCTCACCTGCTCTGGTGGCCTCTGCCCTTGCTTCGAATGGGCATGAGCAGACCTGTGACAAACTCACACACATGTGGATCCACACATAAATTTTGCTGCTGAGGAGGCAGTTTAGAAATGACTAATTCCCCAAATGGCACTGTCCTACCATCTGGAGACAAAGTAGCCAAGCGTTACCTTCACGTTTTCTTAAAATTTCGATGTAAGTGTTTTCTCTCTTTGCTCAAGTCTGCATTTGCATGCAGATATTCAAAGAAGCTGGCCAACTTCGTTCCCTGCTCCTTAATGGGGTGTTTGGTTATGAGAATAATCAGGGATGTGGAAACCTTGTAGGCAAATATATCAAAAAGAGCAAACCAACTAACAATAGCATGCGCACAGAACTGATTTCTTCTTCAGGAAAAGGACCAACAATTTTTATTAAAAGGGTTGGTTTCCCCGCTAAAAGTAGCCTCTTTTTAAATAGGGAAAAAATAACCTCTTCTTACCCATCACCTATGACATGGCCTTGTTGTTGTTTAAGAACTGCTTCCTGAACTTGATCTACAAGGGTATCCAACCAAGGCAGGTGAAAAAGGAGAACTCTGCCAGGTTTTCATTGGGGGGAAAATTACCCAGTGAGGACACTTTTTTCTAGTCAAGTGCTGAGCTGCAAAAGTTACTGGTGAAGCCTTGGCTTCATGCCTGCTGGTGTTTTTGAACTCTAGGGCCACAAGTTGAGGCCAGGCTCAGGAAATGAGGGATTTGGAGAAAAGTCTGACTTCCTGGCCACGGGCTGGGGAGACAGAGCCGAGGGGGTAATGGGACATTCAGGAAGGCCACGTTTCCATAAGCAGCGGACAGACATCCCGTGGCTGTGGCCAGTGAGGACACCAAGGCAGCAGGTCCCCCATGTGCCTGGCCAGCACCTCAGAAACTGATCTGCAGGCCTAGGGTGGGGCCTTAACACATCCTTGTCAAGCAAATGGTGACTTCCAGCAAAAACTTGGATTTGTTGTGCTGGGCTGGGAAAAGGTGGGGCTGAGTGTTGTGGGGAAGAAAAGGATGGTACCTGTAGAGCAAGTGGAGGGCAAAGCTCAGAGAAAATAGGATTTCAACACAAAAGAAGGCAAAGGCTCCCAGCAGACAAGCGCAACGGCCAATGGAGAAAAGCGCATCAGAAACCACAGAAGAAGCGTCATAGGGGAGGCAGCAGGGATGGCCCCGACAGCGAGCCAGGCTGCTGGGTGGTGGCCCATGGATCAGCCTCACTGCTGTGTGGGTGCCACTCAGAAAGGGAGATGGTGGGGCCACATCCATCCATGTGTCTATGAGGGAAATGGCTCTTGGCTTCCGGTCAAAACAGGACTGAATTTGCCACTTATCTTAGATCAAGACTAGGGGAAGAAAGGAAAAAAGAAATGAGGAGACTTCTTGGTTGCTTTCTACAAATTCTCACTTTGCCAGCCAACTGCCGCCCAACCCCCATGGCCTAAACTGGGGGGACCCCTGGGGGACTTGGCAGGAGCATCTGCTTCTGGCCCGGGCCGAGCCTGACACTGGTGCACATGTCACAGAGAAGGACAGCGTTTCCAGGCTGTACAGGTCTGGCTCAGAAGGACTGTCGCGAAGGTGAAGGACTGTCGCGAAGGTCAAGGGCCGGGGATCTGGTCTTCACATGAGGTGAGGCCAGACAGGGAGCAGGGAGAACCAACTTTGGGGGAAAATGGGGAAGTGCCGCCTTGGCAAATGGCTCTGTGCTCAGGCCCAGCTTGGCCCACCTTGCCAGCGCGGACCCTGCCGACTGTGGAAATGCAGCGTGGCGAGTGGACGTCGCGGCCCGAGCGGCTCACAGGGGAGACCTGCCTGAATTGACTGTGCGTGAGGTGCCGTGGCAGCTGCCGTTCGGAGCACTAAACCCAGTGGCCGCCATGACTGTCGGCCTCCGACAGGCTGAACACTCGTCGGCGTCCTTTCCTGCCACTCCTGACTAGAGGGAAAACACAGCGACAGATCATAGAAAGCCTTTAACAATGGGACGGCAGAGGCGACATGGAGGGGACACTGAGCAGCAGCGGACGCTGAGCACTGACGAGGGGCGAGGGTCGTGGGGCAGTGCCCAGCATGGGCTTGTGGCCACCGGTGCATGGGGCGCTGGCCCCCCATGCAGAGAAGACACCCCCCATGCAACCCCCAGGATGAGGCAGGGTCGGGATCGCTGAGAACCAAATTGTTCACTCGTGCAACTTAACCGGGTTAGGGGCAGAGAAGGTGGAGTCCTGTTGGAAAGGAAAGATGGGTTCATCCGCAACATCTGGTCTTGGTCGGAAGCCTCAGGGGACGGAAGAACAGAATCACCTGTCAGTTTTAGACATGGCCCAGGAGTCAGGACACGAAAACCCGGCATCCTCAGGACAGTGTGAGGAGGGCAGGGTGTGTGGCTGGAGGACTGGCATCAAACCAGCTAAGTGAATCAAGCAGATTTCTGACCCCAAGTGAGGAGGTTCTTGGTGTCACACGCTGACGCCAACAGCACAGCTCCGAGTCCTGAGAAAGCTCAGATGCTCGAGGCGCTCCACGAGCCTCTCCACGAGCCTCTCCCTCAGCCACCTAACTGGGCAGCGACTTGGTGACCCGTGCCTTTGAAAAATCAAGACTGAACCACAGCAGGAGAGCGGAGACCAGGTGCCAGGTGGCCGAGTGGGGCTTCTAATTGGCTGAAATAAAAACGTCGGGAGCATCTCACTGCGAAGGGAGAAACCACACTCTCGGAGATGAAGGCGGGTGAGCACACAGCTTGAATGTGACGCCATAGAGCACTACAATGTGAAGGTCCTTAGATGCCACTGGACTATACACTGAAAAACGGCGAAAATGGTAGTTTATGTTACCCGTATGTTACCACAATAAAAAAGGATGATGCCACAGAGAAAACTGAGAAAAGGGACGATATCTTACTTGGGGTTTCTGTCCTTAAAACTCCAGCGGGACAGTGGTGACCGAGTTGAGTGGCATGTGGGTGGGTTTCAGGTCATCTGACTCTCAGTTGGCCCAAATGGGAGGTGTGGTGGGGTGAAGGGGGCTCTCTTGGACACAGGCACAGGGGTGGGTCCAGATGGGAGGGAAGCCGGGGAAGCTCCCTGCACTGGGCCGTCAACAGCAGCCAGACCTGTCTTTCTTTCTATAAAACCTCAGGGGACAATCAAGGTGGCCATGACTCATAACCCAATGTGGTTTTGTTTGTTTGTTTGTTTTGAGACAGAGTCCCGCTCTGTTGCCCAGGCTGGAGTACAGTGGCATGATCTCGGCTCACTGCAACCTCTGCCTCCCGGGTTCAAGCAATTCTTCTGCCTCAGCCTCCCGAGTAGCTGGGATTACAGACGCCTACCACCACGCCTGGCTAATTTTTGTATTTTTAGTAGAGATGGGGGTTCACCATGTTGGCCAGGCTGGTCTCGAACTCCTGACCTCACATGATCCACCCGCCTCAGCCTCCCAAAGTGCTGGAATTACAGGCATGAGCCACTGCACTTGGCCGTTTTTGTTTTTTAAAAATGAATGTTTAATTACACCTACTATGTGCTCCCCCAAATTAAAAATAAATAAATAAGCAGGCTGACATTCACACTGTCCTCATTTTTGATCAAACAGTTTTCTGTCTTCCCCAAGGTAGTTCACTTGGAATGTATGTGAACTCCAACTAATCTGGAGCTCAGAGGTGTGAGTGGGCTATTTAAGGAACTCACTGTAGGTCAGAGTTCTTATCTGAGGAGATGGTTTTCCTATCGGCATCTCACTCAGAGTGTGTGTGTGTATGTGACTGTGTGCATCTATGTGTGAGTGTGTATGTGTAGGTGCAGGTATGTGTGTGTGACCACGTACATACATTTGTATGCGTGTGACTGTATGAGTGTGTGCATGTATGTGAATGTGGCTGTGTATGTGAGTGTGACTATGTAAGTCCATTTGTATATGTGTGACTGTGTGAGCATGTGCAGTGGCATGTGTGACTGTGTATGTGTGTGTGACTATGCATGCAAATTTGTGTATGTGAGCATGTGCAGTGGCATGTGTGTGACTGTGTGCATGTATGTGTGTGGGAGTGTGACTATGCATGCACATTTGTAAGTGTGAGTGTGTGTATGCCCTGGTATGTGTGTGATTGTGTATGTGTGGGAGTGTGACTATGCATGCACACTTGTATGTGTGAGTGTGTATGTGTACTGGTGTGTGTGACTATGTATGCACATTTGTATGTGTGAGTGTGTATGTGCCCTGGCATGTGTGTGACTGTGTGGGAGTGTGACTATGCATGCACATTTGTATGTGTGGCTGTATGAACATGCGCATTGGCATGTGTGACTGTGTGTATGCAGAAGTGTCACTGTGTGGGTGCACAGTGGTATACCAGAAGATATTTCTAACGTTTTCCTGTGGCCCCACATGTGGTTCTAAAATTGGGTCTTTTTTCACTTTCCCGCTGTATATTCTTTGCAAGTTCAGCTTCTCAAAACCATAAAATGTTTAAGGGGAAAAAATGCTGATTCCAACCCTGCAATTTTCTCACTAGGGGCTGGCTGAGGCCTGCCAGGATAGCTCTGCTGGATGTGTGGGCGACAAGATGCCTGGCTCCTGGACACTTCGTGGGGAGGGTGTCGGGCTCTCCCCACAGAGCACTGGAGGATCTCACCACACTTCTCAAAAGGACTGGCCATTAAAGTGCCCTGGGGCACAGTTGCTCGGGTCATCAGGGAGTTCGGTGTTGACTCTCCCTTTGGTCTGGGGCCAGCACTGAAAGAGCCACTCCAGGGCACCCATAGCTCTGCCTCTGGCGTGCGAAGGAGGCTCAGAGGCAGGTGCTGCACACGGAGGGAGCCTCTGGGTGACCAGGGAGTCAGTGACCCCTCGGGGCTGTCCCCTTCCCCCTTCCAGCTGAGAGGCCCTCACCTGTACTGGGCCTGAAGCTACCGCTGGGCTATAGGCCGCGGCCCTGATGGGCATGGGGAATGTTCCTCAAAAGTGTCCTCCCCCCTGCCCACGGCCCGTCTGCATTTGGGAAGACAGAATGTACAGGCAGACCCCAGGGAGATGGGCAAAAGGAATCCACTGGTCTCTAGGAGATGTGGTTTGGGACCCTGGTGGCCTCATGTGAGACCCAAAGGCCACCTTCCTCACGGACCAGGGCCTCACCAACCCCTCATCCCCCGGCTGTCATCTGCAGCGATGCCACCTCTGGGAGCCTCCCGCACTGTTCTGCATCGGCTGTCAGAACCTGCTGCACCTTTCCTTTGTCACGGTTTGTAACTGCACATGCCTCTGGGTGGCCACCTGATAGGCCTCAGCCACCCCGCCTGCCTGCAAGATCATGCTTTTTGCCACATTGTATCCCGAATGCTGTGCACAGTAGGGACTTATCCTAATCCTGCTTGCTTGGAAAACAATAATTCACTGAGACAGGGAGTGGGGTGCCCAAACCCAGGGAAGATAAGATGCAGGGAGATGAGCCACTAAGAGGTTGGAAGGCCACGTGTGGGCCGGGCGGGTGGAGAGATCTCTTGGATCAGGTCTCAAGTCCACAAAACCAAGAGGACAGCCTGAGCCTAAATCCTGGGAGCCAGGCTGAGGTCCCCACGGGAAGGTGAGAACGTGTTTGGGATAAATGTGGAGAGTTTTCAAACTCAGGCAGGAAATCTAAGGTCCCCTGAGCTGGACGCAGGCTGGAGGCGGAAAACCCAACTGAGCATCAGCTGGTTTCACTGCCTCATGTGGGATGAACCCACGTGGGCTCCCTGGGGTCCACTTTGCTGCTGATTTTAGGAAAGCACCAGGCCTTCCTCCCCCAGGGGTTCACACCACCCAGCCTTCTGCTGGCTGGGGTTGTACATGTTAGCAGGCCTTCACGAGTGGGGCCGTGACTTTTCACTTGGGCCCTAGAGCAGCCACGCACGTTGGAAGGAGAAACATACTTCATGGGCTGCCTCCAACCAGGATCCAGATCGGGGCCCGGGTCTCTGCGACACCCTGGAGGTGCCTGAGACAGTCTTGGAAACCGCATCGGATATTCTGCTGGCATGGGCTTTAGGGCTGCCAAGGCTAGGCTTCAGATCCTGGCTCCTCTGCTGGCTAGCTGCATCCTCTGGGCCAAGTTGCACAGCCTTTCTGGGCCCCTGTGTTTTCTACTGTACAATGTGAGGCGGAGTGTGGCAGGATTCAACAAGGGGACATCTGTGAAGTGCCTATAAGCATGGTGTCTGGCACAGGTGGGCTCAATTTCAGGAGGAGTATCTACTGGGACGCCACACAGCAGGTGCACACTGAGAAGGCCCTGCCGTGGCTACAGCAGGAGCCTAGGCTGATTGGTGGGTGCCTGGGCCACACCAACTGTCAAAACAGCATGAAGGTCACTCCCAGCTTTTAACAACATCCTTGAACAATTCAAGTGTTCAAAACCGTGGGCTAGAGCTATGGAAAACTGGGCCTGTCTCATCACTTGGGGGATGGCATATCTTGTGTACTTGCCCAGCCAAACACCTGGCCATGCAAAGTGTGCAAAGGAGGGCCAGGCGTGATGGCTCATGCCTGTAATGCCAGCACTTTGGGAGGCTGAGGTGGGTGGATCACTTGAGGTCAGTAGTTCAAGACCAGCCTGGCCAACATGGTGAAACCCCATCTCTACTAAAAATACAAAAATTAGTTGGGCATGGTGGTGCGCACCTGTAATCCCAGCTACTCAGGAGGCTGAGGTGAGAGAATTGCTTGAATCTGGGAGGTGGAGGTTGCAGTGAGCCGAGACTGCGACACTGCACTTCAGCCTGGGCAACTAAGCAAGACTCTGTCTCAAAAAAACAAAACAAAACAAAAAACAAATCAATGGCAAAGAAGCCACTGGGGTTTCCTAGTTCTGACTTCGGAGGGTCTGGCAGCCGCTCTCTACAAAAGGGAGCTTCCTGGACTCTGGGAGGCTCCATAATCACAGAGACGGGATCGCCTCTGACTTAGCACTGTACCCTCAAAAACCACTTTGAGGACATGCTGCCCCTTGTAGGGGGCTGCAGCTGTCTTCTGCTGTCCAGGCTGAAGGCAGTGGGCGGTTAGGATGAATGAGCTTGGAGGAGAGGCCCTGGCCCACCCCGCTGCCTGGCTGGCCCTCCAAGGATATCATCTCTGGTGGATCAGGGCCAGGTCCCTGGTGGGTGGAAAGTTGGGTGAGCGAGCCACGCAGGGTGACCTTCCCTCATCAGAAGCCTGAATGCTGAGTCGCACTCTGAGCCAATGTCAAATCAAGCAACTGGCAGAAGGGCTCCTATCCCAACAAAGCTGTCTCCCTTCTCCTGTCCTTGGCTTTCTCTCCTCTGCGGCTTGCTGGAACAGCAGGCAGATGTTGGAGCCATCTGGTTAGGCCCATCCCTACAAGGAACATGGGAAGCCCATATGCTTTGGTCTGGGTGGACTGGGAGGGAGATTGCAGGCTGGCCTAGAAGTCTGGCCTCAAGACAGGGAGGAGCTTGTGGGCTCTGATGAGCTCTCCTGCCAGGGATCAATAGCTGCATCCTGAGGCATCTGTAAGAGTAAAGCCCAGGCTGCCCACCGGGCATGGCCCTTCATCAGGTGAGTTGTCTCAGTGTCTGCAGAGCCAGACAGGCAGGCTGGGCCTCAGGCTTTTACTGTCATGCTGCATAAAGAATGGGGACCTACACACTTGTCTCCGCAGGCCTGCTGGGGACGCACCAAATGGGAGCAGACACCTCGGAGGTCCTGACTCTCACTTATTGACTGGAACTGCCTGGCCACCTGACAGCCAAGTTAATAGCCACTGGATTTCTGAGATGAGAAGACATTACGCTGGTACCATGCAG
The DNA here is from genome assembly GCF_000001405.40 of Homo sapiens. NCBI lineage: Eukaryota > Metazoa > Chordata > Mammalia > Primates > Hominidae > Homo > Homo sapiens. The sequence goes on along the minus strand of NC_000016.10, from coordinate 11,168,287 downwards.
GGGATGGTGGGGGTAGGGACAGAGGGGCTGAGGGAGGCCAAGAAAAAAGAAACTAGCACACACTGCAGACACCAGGCCCTGGGAAAGTGCAGAGTTGAAGCCTCAGGGGTCACATTCAGGTAGACATCCATATACAGAAGCCCATTTTTGATCATTTTTGATACTGTGGGTCTTTGCCGGTGTTAACTTTAGGCAAAGAAGTATATGGCTGTTTGTTCACTTAGCTGTTGGCTGTACGTCCTTAAAAATGACAGAAAGGTGACCACAGCTACAAGGGCAAGGAAGCTTTCATCCCCAGTGCAACGGTAAATATGTGCGTTGGGGTGCATGAACACACAACCCTGCATGCCCGCCCCTGAGCAAGCATGAAACGGGATCAAGAGGGCTACTGAGGGTGCGTCTTAGTTTCTGAAAGAAGCTCTGCTGGAGTTTCCCAGCTACAAGCCTGGCAACAGGGGTGGCATCTGCTTGGATGTGCAGCCAACCTTAAATTGGGCTCAGAAATAGCTCAGAAGGGGTGGTCATGCCCTGGAGCAGGTGCCGAGTGGAAGAGGATCTCTCAGTGAGGTGGCTGTGGGGTGACTTTCCTGCCTGGGCCTCGTGAAGTCAATATGAAGTGCAGGTAACATTGTGTGTGGATGGGAGAGACACAGGTGGGTTGGGGTGCTCTGAGCCACAGGCATGAACTGGAAATGCAAAAGCTGGAAGTGCCCAAGAGAGAGGTGTAGGTGCCCAGGGAGATCTTGGCTCCTGGTGCTGAGAGGATGGTGACCAAGGGCCCTCGACCTCCCTGGCTCTGCAGTAGCCCGTGTCCTCCTGCCATGATCAATCAATCCAGAACTCAATGAGAGGTGGGCCACGTGCCCCTGAAATATGATGAGTGAGGGCTCTGGAGGGGAACTTGCAGGAACAGTGAAGGATACTAAGGATCTCCAGTCAGAGGTGCAGGCAGTTGGTGTGACCCCCCGACCCATGGCGGGGGGATGCTGCTGGGGCACAGAACATCCTGCTGGCTCAAGGCCATGGATGCTCATCCCTGCTCCTCTGGCTACAATTTGGGGCCATGTTGTGCCAGAGGCCTGGTGTCTGTACTTCCCCACATCTCACACAGCGAATAGCTCACGGCAGCCGAGAACGAGGAGCTGGTGCATGTCCCATTCCAGGCTGACTCCAGGGGCTCCCATTCACTCCCGGGTTCCCTCTGTGCCATGTCTGAAGTGGAATAAGTTGAAGGATGGCAAGATACGACTTCATCACATCCTACCAAAGAGTGGCAAAGTGCGTGCCTACTCGAACAACTGGACCGCACCACATTTAAGGACAAAACTGGTATGTTACAGAGGAAAAAAAAAATCAGCAGGAACGCGATTCTTTTCCTAGACTGCAAACAATCCCCTTGGGAGACCCCTCCTTGTGACACCTAAGACTGTGGAGGTGATGATAGGGTGGGTTTAGGTGCAGCCCGCCTGCTGCCCATCAGCTCTGCAGTCAGTGACAGCTTCGGTGGGGACCGGCCTGAAAAAGGAGCAATTCTTCCCCATCTGGGAGCTGACCCAGCCTGGGAGGGAACATCAAGTTAGAGGAATCTCTAGAGGCTTCATGTGCAGATCACCTGAGCGGCATCATCCTTCAAGTGCTGTGACAAGGAGGACCTGGAGGTCAGGGGTTTTGGTAATGGTGAGGGATCACGGGGTTCTCCAAATGTCCCCATATCACTGAGTCACGTGGCCAATACCTGCTGGACTCTGGGCTGTGGAGGGGGTGGAGGACGAGCTGGTGCCTCCAGAGTCGCAGTGGCTGGTGCTCCCGCTGCCGCTGGGGCTCCCGCTGGCGGAGGGTGGCGACTGTGAGGACAGGGACGGGGAGCTGTGCTGGTTTATGCACTGGGCCACGGCGAAGCCTGCAAGACAAAGTACCAGGTGACCAAGTGGAAGCAAAGAGTAGGCCTGAGGGCCTCAATGTCATGGTTCCACTGAACAACCCAACCTCAGTTCCTTGAAAGTCCTGCTCTGTTCCCTGGAACAGGCTGACCTCACTGGTCGTGGCCCTGACCCAGCCACATTTTGAAGCTATTTCAAGGAAAAGGTTTATTACAGGTTTATTTCAAGGAACAGAGTACAACCAGCCACAGAGCTGAGTGTGGGGCCATGAGTCGTAAATCCGAGTGCCTGATACTGGCTCAGCAGCGTGCCAGCTGTGCCCTTGAAGAGGGACGTGCAGCCTCGTGGCAAGTTCACCCAGGGATGCTAGATGCCCTCATGGTAGAGTCTCAGGCTTCTGCTGATGGTGTCCAAGGAAGGGCACCGGACCCATGCTCTGAAGTCATACCTGGGGGACCCACGCTCTGAAGTCACACCCGGGCAGGAGGACAGTGCCCTGGACGCTCCTTCCAGAGAATTTGCTCTGCCCTTGAGGTTCTAGGGAAGTCAGGTTCAGGAACAACGAAAGCCCTGGCAAAGAGCTAGTGATGATGGTCTCAAATGGCCCTCAGCATCTCCGGGACCTGGAGGTGGAGTCTGCCCACACGTTTCTGCGGTAAACTGACCCAGCGGGGATGAACGAGCCCCTCATCTTGGAGACACTCAGACCTGGGTGCACCCCTGTTTCCCACACAGAAGCACCAGACACTTGAACAGCTATTGTGTTTCTCTTGAGTCTTTCCCAGCCACAACCTGGAGTATCACTACATACTCCCACTGTTGTGGGAATAAAATGAAAGAACTATTATCACACCCCAGAACAGGGTGTGGCACATGGTGAGAGCTCAGTATACATGTTTGTTCTTTATGTTTTTTTGCGATAGGGTTTCACTCTGTTGCCCAGCCTGGAGTGCAGCGGTGTGATCTCAGCTCACTGCAGCCTTGAGCTCCCAGGCTCAAGTGATCTTCCTGCCTCAGCCTCTTGAGCAGCTGGGACTACAGGGATATGCCACCATACCCAAATAATTTTTTTTTTTTTGGTAGAGATGGGGGTCCCACTGTATTGCCCAGGCTGGTCTTGAACTCCTGGACTCAAGTGATCCTCCTGCTTCAGCCTCCCAAAGTTCTGGGATTACAGGTGTGTGTCACCACACCTGGCCGATACGTGTTCTTTACGATAAATCAAAGCCCCTTTTATCCGGCCCAGGAGCCCCTCTTCTGGTGGACATGTGCTTTTCTGCAGGCCACGACTTCAGCCCCTAGGAGCCAAGCAGGACCCATGGTGATGGTGCTTCGTGGCACAGAAGCAGCCCCAAATTGCGGTGGAGATATGGGGGGGCGAGTCCTCCTTCCAGCTGAGAGAGGGGATCTCAACCCTCTTGGTCACTCCTGCAGCCTTCCCACTCCTCAAGCGAATGCATTCACCACAGCCAGCCCTGGACCCCATTCATGCCACCTGCCCTGCCTGAACTTCACACGGTCCAGCTCTCTACTAACACTACTTCCAGAAGGCCCTCTAGGCCCTGACCTCACCTTTCTTGAAACTCAGGAAGGCTGCAGGGTGTTAGCAGGGGTTGGCATCCTGCAACCTGCTGCCTGCTTGGTAAGTAAAGTTTTACTGGAACAAGCCACGGTCCTTTGTTTACAGAGACTATGGCTGCTTTCTCGATCAGCGGCAGAGTTGAGCAGTTGCCATAGCGACCACATGGCCTGCAAAGCCTAAAAGGCTTTTTTGCCAGGTTACCTGGCTCTGGACAGAAGCAGTGTGCCCATCTGGTGCAGGGGATGACACCCAGGTTATGGCACCAGGGAAGCCTGGGATTTAACCCTCCTCTGCTCACTTCCCAGCTGAGGGACCTTGGGCAAGTCCCTGATGTCCCTCAGCCTCCTTCCTTTCACCTACAGATGGGACCTGCGGCTCAGCTTAGGGCTTAGCAGGACTCTTCTCCGGGCCATCAAGGAGGGGCTATTTCCACTCAGGTTCATGTGAAGCTGTTTTCGTCTAAAGATCAGCTCCTTAAAAGGCAAGGGCCCTATTTATACCCCCAGTTGGGTTTTGGGGGTGACTTAACAAGCGCTGACTATAATGGCAAGTGCATGGGGCCCAGTGAAAGCAGGGTGAGTCTCCGAGTGAGGCGGTCATCCTGAGCACCAGCTCCTCTTGCGTGGAGGGTATTTCCTGCCCGCACCTACCGCAGAGGTCTGCTTGCGGAGAGAAAGGCAGGATGAATGTAGCTGGAGTTCTCAGGAAGAGGCACAATGTGATATATTGTGTGTGTGTGTGTCGGGGGCCCGCTCAGATGAACTATGGCAAACATCCGGCAAATCCAAACACTGGGCAGGAAGATTCCTTGGGGACACTCAGCCGCAGCCTCATGGAACCAGTTTTATAGCTGCTCACTTCTTAATCACTTAGAGCGGTAAACCCCCCAGTTTACAAGCTGTTTACTTGCCTCGAAAATGAATTACCCCTTAACAAATCAAAATGTCAAGATGGCTTTTCCCGAGCTGCCTATTTATCAGGGCCATGAACAGAGGGCCAGCCAGTGTAGTAACAGAGTTGGGATTACACCTTGTATGCTCCCGACAATGACCCCGGCTGGAAGGGATCAATGACATAGCCGTTGCCAAGGTGGTCACAGGCCCATTTGAAGAAGACACGTCTTTTCTCTTGCCCTCTTTAAAGCCATGGTTTATTACAGCATCATAAACCTGGTTTATTATCAAAAGACATCTGCAGTGGGACATGTAGGGTAGCAGATGAGAAGCTGGCACTGCAGTCAGGATGCTTAAATTCTTTTATTTTGGGAATGGGTTGGGATCAAGTCATAGATTGGCAGTAAAATCTGCATGTACTGAGTTAAACAAACAAACAAACAAAAAAATCACCAACTACCGATCCCATCCATTTGCAGGGTCTAGCTGAGCAGAGGTTACTGAACACATCTCTCCCTCACCCACTTCTACTAAAACTCCCACTTCCCTCCTTTCCACTCTCTCTCCCTTTGCCAGTGGCACTGAGACCAGAAAGCCACAGTGACTTTTGGCTTTTTTTTTCCTTTATTTTGCTGGATGGCCAAGGCCCCCCACCTGCAATTTCAAGGGGTTTTTCCCCAAATCAAAGTGGCAACACATCAGAGAATCAGGAGGGTGCTGGGGAGAATTCAGGGTGAATGTCTATGGCCAGAGCGCCCTGTCCTCTGGTTCCTGCTTCATCCCAGTCAGGCAGTCCCTGATGAACTAGCTTTGGCAGAGGTGCCAGAGGCTTTTGGTGTATGAATCAAACACACTTGGGCTGCGAAGTAGGTGCAAACACACAGACAAGCCAGAGATCGTGCGACAGGAGTGAAGGCAAACCGGCCTCCCTGAGATCCTCTCCAGTGATAACAGTCTTGGCTCTCCCTGGGTATGCTTCAAGGACAGCCTGCAAAATGTGTATCAGAGGCTGCATGGACTTTCACACCATCTGACCAATTCCACACCTGCAGCATCCCATGCTGCAGACGACACTGTGGGTGGATGCACATACCGAACTACAAGGATATTCAGCATATTGGTGTGCAGAACAGAGAACAGAAGACAGCTGATAAGTCCAAGAACTGGGGAAAGGCTAAGTGAATTCTAATCCCTCTAGATGATGAAATTCCCTGCTGCCAACCAACACGCTGGTAAGAGAAGACTAAGTGTTGGGGGAAATGCTCAAGATGGAGTCAATGAAAAAAGGTTAGAAAAAGCATGTCCCATATGTTTCCGCTCTTGCAAAAAATTTGTGCTCTCTTTCCCCCTTGTCCAGAGCAGAGAAGGCAGCTGGAGATTTGAAGCTGACACAGTGAGAGAAGCAGGTAGTTGTACTGCAGTGAGTTTTGTTATTTTTTGTGCTTGTCTGAATTTTCCAAGACTCCTATTGTAAACCTTATTTTAAACCAAAAAGAGAAAAAAAAGGGAGGATGATGGAGGGAACACAAACTGCCTGGGAACTGGATAGACTCAAGCTCCCGATCCTAACATCCTCCTGAGATCTGTTCTGCCCTCTGAAGCTCTCTCCCCTGGACTCACCAAGAGCAGGGCCAGGCAGGCCACTCCAACAGTGGGGGGAAACTATGCCCATGGTGAGACACATCCCCCACTTCCCAGGAGCCCCCAGTTTCACGGTCGGGGGGCGCAGCCCAGAGTCTTCCTGTTGCCCTCTGGCCGTGTTCTGCCAGTTATTTTGGGAAGATGAACTAATGAATAACGCTCTGGCATTTGTGAAGCACAAAAATACCAAGAAAAGGTCAGTCTTCTATTTTTAGGCCCACTGACAGAAGGAAAGCTGGGCTTGGAGTCAGAACCCCAGGTTTGAGTCCAAGCTCTGCCCAAACTGACTTCGAGACCTTGGACATGCCCCCCTCCTCCTCTTCTACAGGTCTTTAAGCTTTCCCCACCAATAATCACTTAACCATGTGATTCAAGATTCAGAGCCGGCCAGCAGCCGCCTAGGGGCTTGCACACGAGTTTCGCTTTGCTTATTTATGTTATATGTGTGTTTGTTGGAGGTACCACCATGGACACGTTGGGAGCTTTTACACACAGACCTGGATTTCTGCTTTCTTAAAAAATGAAAAGATCTGGCTTTATGGGGCCCCATTCCTGCAGGACAGCAACGGGAGAGAGATGAGCAGAGCTGGGTCCCTGCTCTTGCAACTTGCCTGGCCGTGTGGGCGTTTGAGTTGATAATCTCTGCTCTTTATGCCTAGATTGTTGGTCAAATCCATAGGACTCAGGGAAGCTGGAACCCCCAGATATCTTTCGAGTCAAGGCCCTCCTACAACCCCAGAATCACTGGGTGTGCATAGGAGTGGGGATGTGGAAATATGGCGATCTGCCTCCAGCAGCCTAGGTCAGTCCTCAGACCTCCTACCAAGAACCACTTGCTCTCAACCTTTGCTAGGCCGTTCCCTCGGTCTGGAGTTCTGTTTTGCTTCTTTTCTGTCTTTACAAACCCCTGCCCCATTCTTCATGGCTCACGCAGCTCAGCATTAGCCTGGGAGGAGTCTTTGCATAAGGTAGGGTTAACTATTCTCTCCCCTGTGCTTCTGCAGCAGCTCTGTCCAACCTTGGGGCCTTGATGGCTGTGTAGGAGTCGGCCTACCTAAGCAGGGCATAAGAAATTTGACTGCAAAGATGTTTAGGTATTTAGTGTGATGATTATCATTACATTAATAGCTAGCACCTGGAATCCTCTAGGTTAAGAGGGTTTTGTTCACTTTATTGGGAAGGCTTAAAACAAAAAAGCAAAAAGAAGAGGGTTTTGGACAGTGTTCTTGATATTGTAAGCTGTCTCTCAATAACCATTCTCCCTTTCGGTTGCAGTTACAGAACCCAGAAGCTAGTCGTGGCCAAGTGACTAAGTTGTGACCAGTGAGATAGAAATGAATGTGGCATGTGGGATTTCCTGGAAAGCTCTTTAAAAGGAAAGGGGGTATATCCTCCTCCATTCTGCTTCCTGGAAAATGGATGCAATGGCTGGAACTCCAGCAGCTGCCCTGAGCTATGAGGATGAATCACACATTAGGGACAGCAGAGCACTGAAAAGGAAGGAGTTTGGGTCCCTGACGTCTTTGTGTATCTCTTGACTACAAGGCTTCTTTTACCCGAGAGGGAAATTAACTTCCCCTTTGAGTTTATCTTTACTATGTAGTTGAACTTAATCTTAACTGATACAGTTAGGGAAAAAACTTTGTTAATGCGGGGATGTGAGTTAAGTCCCCTAGGGACAAGGGACGGGCTGGCTCCCAGAGTTTTTGGTGCAGAAAAAGCTGCCCTGTACCTGCTGGGTGGAATCTAGGTGTGGTGGGCTGAAGGGAAAGAGGGAAAGGGGCAAGTGAGGTGGGGAGGTGACCCGCCACCTAGGGCTTATGAAACACTTGGTCAACTCTTTCCCATGTGGTGCAAGTGGACTTTTTGGGTAGAAACCAGAGATGGGACCGAGTTTTTGTCTGGGTTCACACCTGGTCACAGAGATTACACACAATTGTTAAGACCCAGAAAGAGCGAGGCCCGAGAGAGACTAAAGGGTGGGAAGGGCTTGGATGTGTGTAGGCACAAAAACTAGTGGGCTTGCACCAAAAGTTTTCTGAATCTCCAAATGAGCAGGGACGCCCCCCGACCTCTGTGGCCTGCCTGGAGTTGGTGCCGCTTTGCACTTGGTAATTACTCTGAGGATACTGGCCATGTGACTAAAGTGCAACTATTTCAGGCTTAAAAAAAAATCTACCCTTGGAAGATGTGAAAACTACCTGAGATTATAGGGGATTCCACAGGAACCTTTTAGGGAGCTGAAAGGGAAGGAACCCAGTTGGCTCTGAATTCAATTTGGGGATTCTCCACTCAACTCAAAAGCACTAACCTCGCCCTGCAGCCTCATTCCCTACAGATGCCCTTACATACTACCTGTTTCCAGGAAGGGTTTGAGATGGCTTATGTTATATTTTAAAACCCAAGCCTAAATGCCATAGATACTAAATACTGAAAGCTACTAAAACAAAAAGTAAATAAGAACCCGACAATAAAAGGTGAAAAGTTATATCAGAAAGACTTCAAGCTATGGGAAGCTAATGTCACCATTTAACTCTGAGCTTCCTAGGAGCTAAGACCACAGGGAAAAAAACAGGCGATCTACACGACACACCAATTCACCCACAAGGTTTCTGTCCCATGAAACCCTCCTGGGGCATGTCTTTGAAAGCAGCTTAATGGGAGACACAACTGCCTGACTGCAGATGGAACCTCATTCCTCAAAGATAACGCCCTATGACAGCCCTTTTCAAACATTTTTTCTAAATGGTGAAACTCCAATTTATACATGAGATGAAAATGGAACTGCTCGGGCTGGCATGGTGCCTTACCAAGGAGGGCCTTCCCCTCCCCTTTCTAGACACTTCTGTGGATCCTACTTTTGAAAATCAGACAGGGCAAGGCTGGCCAGCCCGGTAATGTAATGAGGAGGGGCTGGAGATAAAACACTGGTGGTCCTCTCTATCTGTCATCTGTTTCCCTTTATTTAATAGACACACGCACACTGAGAAACCATTCTCTTCTATTAAAACAACAGTGCAGGCATGCTAATACATGCAGTCCATGGGACATTCAGCTTTTGTGCCAGGGAGATGGCAGGGCCTGGTAGAGACTGGGGCAAATCAGAAAGCACAGATTCCAGCTTCTTCTAACTGCTGCTGCAGGAGAACATGGACCTCAGTATGGCCGCAGTCTCCAGTTTGTCAAGAGAAGCTGGATATCTGGATTTTGACATAACACCTCCTGATTTTGAAAATGTTGACAGCTTCATTCATACTCCTTTTGAAAATTAAGAAGTGGGAAACCCCAAGCCAGCGAAGCCAGGCCATCTATCTTGTGAGCCGTTTGTATGCAACCAGAGGGGTCTCCAGCCTCTGTTTTTTTTTTTTCCCTGAGCTGGAGTCTCGCTCTGTCACCCAGGCTAGAGTGCAGTGGCATGATCTTGGCTCCCTGTAACCTCCGCCTCCCAGGTTCAAGCAATTCTCCTGCCTCAGTCTCCCAAGTAGCTGGGACTACAGGCATGCACCACCATGCCCAGCTAATTTTTGTATTTTTAGTAGAGATGGGTCACCAAGTTGGGCAGGCTGGCCTCGAACTCCTGACCTAAAGTGATCCTCTTCCCTCGGCCTCCCAAAGTCCTGGGATTACAGGTATGAGCCACTGCTCCCGGTCTCCAGCCTCTGTTTTTAACCCCAGGGTGTCTGTCATACCTTGGGGCCTCCTTGACCAAACTCTGGAGGTGGGGGGCTTTTGAGTCTGAGGTATGAGACTAAGACATTTAAATCTCAGTTAGAGGTGTGTCAAAGAAGTCCAGTTTTCAATAGACCTCTTTTAGGAAAAAGCTCTAAGATTTGGACAGGAGAGCTGCCTGCCCTAAGAAAAACCTACACTTATTTATGGTTGTTGCAGATTGCAAAGCATAATATAAAACCCGCTGAGGGCTGATTCGGGAGAAGCAACCCGTGCATTTTCCACAGTCTCTGCCGTGAATGAGGACCATGAGGCGTGGGTGCCCTGAGCTTGCCTTTCATTAGCAAATTCATTCCGAGGCTGTGGCTCAGGTTTCTGACGATGCAGTGTTCATATTTTCTCACCACCCATCACGATGCTGGGAAACAGTAAAAAAAAATCAATCGGCCCTGTGACCTCGCACACAAACTGAAGACAGCAAGTGTGCATGGCCTTATTTCTCCCCTTGTCGGCTCCTTCCTTGGATCTGCCCTTTCACCTCCCAGTGCAGCCTGCCAGGTCCCTGGGGCGAGAGATGGGGGGCTGGGAGGTGACTAAGTCTGGGACTTCAGCTGCTGGTGGCTCTGGACAGATTGCGGCTTACTAGAAAGATCTGCAGGTGACATAGAACCTTCTTGTTCGTGCTTCTGACTCAAGAAGCAGCTCTGGATCCTACACCCTGGCAAGATGACAGCAATACCCGAGGGCAGGCGGGGGCTAGGAGCTACTCAGTGGGGGGCTACCCTAGGAAAGCCACCTTAGGAAGACAGGGCACAGGGCCCAAACTACCCACGGCTGCTCAAAGAGCACGTGTTGGGGGCTGAGGAAGCAGGGTTCAGATTCAAGTCTAGCAACAGCACACCGACATGGGCCAGGTGAGGCCTGGGTCCTTGCCCGGGACTCCTCTTAGGAATCTACACAAAAACCAAAGAGAAACAAAAGCATTCACTGACATGTGGGCAGGGTTCAGATAGCAGTGACTCCAAGGGCCTGCAGGAGCCTTGGGGGGCCCCAGAAGTTTCCTCCCTCACTGCTAGGACCCTGAAGTTTGGGAAAGCTTCAGGTATATGCACAGAGACCCCTTTTCAGTATCCCTTTAATAAGTCTCAGATGATTTACTGTTTCAGTGCACAAAACTCTGTGCTTTCGGGGCAATGAAGGACTTGCCCCCAAATGGTGATATCTGGTTTTCTTCCTGTGCACTGGTGCTGAAGAAGCCACTTCCTGTCCAGCCCAGGGCGCAGGTCTACACATCAGGCACCTGGGGAAGGGATGTTCGTATGGCCTCCCGGGCCAAGCCTGAGCTGCCACCATGGGCGACCCCCACATCACTGATCACTGACTAGGCTGCACCTCACAACGCTTAAATACTTTTTATTTCTGATTGCTTTTCAACGGATAACATGTCCAACATACAAAAATAGCTGGGAACTTGCAGAGTCTTTTAGCCTATAGCTCTTTATCCATGGATAAATCCTCTCAGATTTTAAACACTATCCTTGAAAACCTGCAGAAAAGAAAAAATGGTCTTTCAGTATCTTGCTTTCTCTCTGTGTCCTAATTGTGCCCTTAGAAATGTTTTTGCTGTCGGGTGAAGGTCTGCCTGTGAGGGCTGCCAAGTCTAATGCCCCTTTTGCTACCGGCAGGGGGTGGGTGGGGGGGGGGGCGGGCATTTGGGCTGTGTGAATATGAGGAATGCGTGCATCTTACATGAGCACCTATCCAGGCCACAGAGGGTTGGATGGCACATGGGGGACACAGGTGGACCAGATCTTGGAATCTCTCGCAGTGGTGCAACCTTGCTTTGGATTTCTAGAACTGAAGGTCGCCAGGGCTGGGCTTGATTCCCAAGGACCCAGTCCCTGCCTCGCCCAGCCCCTGCCCTCTTCCACTGGTATTACCGTCTGTAAATTAGCAAGCAAAGACCTCCACAACAGTCTGTCAGCCAAGGCACTAGCAAGCTTGGGAGCGGCCATCTGGGCTGCCTCTCTACTGCGGCAGTCAGCAGGGCTGAAACGGCAGCAGGAGGAAGGCGGGTTAGACAGCACCCAGGAGACTCCCAGGCACAGGCGCTCACTGACCCCAGCTGGAGCAGAATCAGGAATGCACCAGGAGCAGGGTGGGTCACTATGGCCCTGCTTGCAAAGGATGGCCCCCCAAGGTTCTGGCTGGCCAAGGAGTGGCAGATTAGTTGTGTTTTTTTTTTTTTTTTTTGAGATGGAGTCTCACTCTGTCACCCAGGCTGGAGTGCAGTGGCACAATCCTGGCTCAGAGCAACCTCTGCCTCCCGCATTCAAGTGATTCTCCTGCCTCAGCCTCCCAAGTAGCTGGGACTGCAGGTGTGCGCCACCATGCTCCACTAATTTTTTTTGTTTTTGTATTTTTAGTAGAGATGGGTTTCACCATGTTGGCCAGGCTGGTCTCAAACTCCTGACCTCAGGTGATCCAGCCGTCTTGGCCTCCCAAAGTGCTGGGATTACAGGCATGAGCCACCATGCCCGGCCAGGAGCGCCAGATTCTTCCCCAGCAAGTCTCTTATCCCATCAGCCCCATTTTGACCTTTTTGGCCAGAAGCAGGGAGGCCGTACAGTGTGTATCCTACACTGACATGTTTGGCCTGCTCCGTGTGTTCTAGGAGGTGGCACTGTACAAAGGGGCCAGGGAATTAGTCTTGATTCTCTGCAAAAGGCACCTGCCGTTGACACATACTTAGTATGCACCCAAGGCAGAGAGCACCATGCCTGTGGACCCATTCCATTTGCTTGTGTTCGCCAGGACTCCGACTTTGCAGGGTGGGGTAGTTAACTTCTGCAGCTGGGTCACCTCACCAAAGTCTCTCCTACCGTGTGTTTTAACAGATTGGGGCTAGGCCAGACCGATGGCTGATGACGTTCTATGACACATCATCTACAACAAGAACTGAAGATACTATCTGGAACTATGTGAGTCAGATAGAATCAGGGAGTATGTGCGGAGCCACAGAAAGGCCGTGATGGATAACAGCACAGAACAAGCTTCAAAAACCCACAGCTGAGGTTGTTAAGTGGACAGGGCTCTGTTGACGTCTGCCCTGGCAGACCTGTGGGACATGGCTAACCGGACGGCTGGACACGAGCCTTCTGCTATCTGCAGGGGAGAAACCTGAAGAGCAGCAACTTGGCTTTAGGCTTGTCACTTTTACTCTGGCTACAGGATACGGTGGTGAGGAGAGTGCCGTGGCTCTGGGCATGTGACAGCAGGGGACCTGTTCACCCCACGAGCCTGTGTCCTCTAAAGCACTGTTGTCACTCTAAAGCAGAGTGACACCACCACACCTTACAGGGTTCGTGAGGATGAAAGCATTAACGCAATCTAAATGTTCAGGTAGCACTCGCTGTTTTGATTCCTCGGCTGGAATTTACGGTGCCTGGAACTTGGGCCCAATGAGGCAATAACTGGGATTTTCTTCTCTTTTTTTGGAGACAGGGTCTCACTCTGTCACCAAGCCTGGAGTGCAGTGGCATGATCCCGGCTCACTGCAGCCTCTTGACCTCGCCAGGCTCAGCTGATCCTCCCACCTCAGCCTCCCGTGTAGCTGGGACTACAGGTGCACACCACCACACCTGGGTAATTTTTCTGTTTTTTGTAGTGGTGGGTTTTATTTATTTATTTATTTTTGAGATGGAGTCCCGCTCTGTTGCCCAGACTGGAGTGCAATGGCACGATCTCAGCTCACTACAACCTCCGACTCCCAGGTTCAAGTGATTCTCTTACCTCAGCCTCCCAAGTAGCTGGGATTATAGGCAACTGCCACCACACCTGTCTAATTTTTTTGTATTTTTAGTAGAAATGGGGTTTCACCATGTTGGTCAGGCTGGTCTCGAACTCCTGACCTCAGGTGATCCGCCCACCTCAGCCTCCCAAAGTGCTGGGATTACAGATGTGAGCCCCCACGCCTGTCCTGGGACTTTCATTTTCGTAAGTGTCTTTAGACAAAGGGGTATGTAGCAAAAGAAATGGCCCAGCTCTTTGGAGAAAAGAACGCAACACAAAACAAAAGTCTTCCTCACATTAGCTGTTATGACTGAAGATTTTAGGAGTTAACAAAGTGAGACATGAGAGAGCCTTTCTAAAGGAACTTTAAATATCTAGGTTTAAAGGATTTATATGAAAATCGTTTACGAGAAAAATGAAGTTATTTTCATCTAGATTCTTAAAAACCTCATGTTACACTGCATTCAAGACACATGACTATTCTATTTGCATTTCTTTGATAGAGAGTTGAATGGATGAGCTTGAACCATATGCAACTGCCAATATTCAACTAACTTGACCTACAGAAACAGCCATTTCATATGGTTCAATCTACTCTAAGTCCATCCCTCTTAAAGATCCCTACCAGAATAATTCATGGAGGATGGGGACGGAGGGAACAGCCAGCAGTGTATTCAAACAAATAAATGGCTTTCCCCAATTCTCCATTTCTCTTTGCCCTGTCTGCGCATGTGTGTGCAGGAGTGTGCGTGTGTACACACCTGTGTGTGTTCCTCTCTCCAGCTACATTCATCCTTTCATTTCCAAAATCGGTAGCTTCAACAAAATGCTTAGAAATAAGGTTGGCACTTATGGGGAGGTGTGTGTCTTCTTGACAGATGACCCACAAAAAGGGGACTTATTAGGAACCAGAAGGGCTTCTCAAATGGGCTAGGTTGCTCTCTTTTCCCTTTGTTCCTCCTCACAAATGCTGAGCTAATGTGTCCAACATTAAAAATCACCCTAGCTATTATGCATTTGTAGTTTTGACTTATTTTTTTAGTATTATTAATATTTCATCATAAAAGTATTGATTTCCTTTAACTAAGAGACTTTAAAGTTTACTGTATTCTTAAGCATGATTTTATTATGTCTTGGGGTCAGATGTTTTTCCCTCCCCCAGAAGGAATGCTTTTCCTTTTCTATAATGTGCGTCAAGAAGAAAGGAGGAATTGATTCACAGAATTCTGCATTACAGGCAACTTTTAAGGAACGTATCTAGTATGTATACTTAGAGTGACGTTTCTTAAACACAACTGTACGTTTCATTGTTTAGCCTTTTTAATCTGTTAGAGGTAAGAACCAAAGCACAACATTTATGTTAAAATATGAGACAGTTTCAAAGAAGCAAATCTGGGAAAATTAAGACAACTCTGGACATGACCCTAAAGCTGTCAACTCCTCACAAGTGCTCCAGGGGTCATAAAAACCTTAGTTTCTATGTTGTCATCCTCTTCCTTCAAGAAAGGCAACAGAAAACGAGAAGGAGTCCTGCTGGCACGGGGACTACCTAGAAAAGGCACCATTTCCCTTTCTATGTAAATCGCTGGTGTCAGATGCCAATTGCACAGTTGGGGAAGGAAGGCTCCGTTTTACAGAACCCATCCAGGAAGCAGGCGGAGGGCAGTAACTGGCAAACAAACACAGCGCTCTGAAATGTTTAAATATTGAACATCCTTTCTCCTTCCTCTACATTTATTATTAACTTGGGCCCACATCACTATGTGCATTGACTTCATTTCTTCCCAAGAACCCAAGACACAATGGACAATGCTCAGAGGCTGCGGGGTCGGGGTGGAGTGGAGATTTGGGTTTCTTTCTTCATACCCTCGCTGGAGATCCTTTCCAGTCAGCCCCACGGTTTTAGAGCCATGAATTCCTGGAAGCGTCTCAGCCTTTCAATGACCCCTGGCGCCCGAACGCAGATGATTAGTGCCCCAAATATTGACAGACTGGACTTTCTTCCCCTTTGACACAGGGGAGCAGTGTCAGAGGGAGGCTGGAGGAAAGATGCCGTCACCACCTGACTGGCGAGATTGTGGGAACGTCATTAGGACAGGTGCTCTATTATTTGGGACCACAGTGGTGCCCTTAGCTTTGACCAGGTAGAAACAATGCTCAGGATGCTGTGTGAATGCTACAGGGGACCTGGTTAAAAACAAACAAAACAACCCTATCTACAGACACCAGTAACTGATGTCTTTTGCTCAGCTTCTAGACAACAGAGGGGATTGGCACTGGCCCTGCTCTGACAGGTGCAACCCACCAGATGTCAATGTCCTGGACCAGCAGCTGAGCAAACACAGAGCTTGGGCCCCCCGTCATTCCTCATGAAGATGAACATTTGGGATCAGAAATAGAAACCCCAAATCTCTCCAGAAAACAAGGCAGCACCTTTTCCTGGGAACAGATAAGGGTAGCAGGAGGACCATCTGTCAGACCCATGCAGACACCAGCCGCCCGCCTGCAGAGGGAAGATCTTGTGGGTGTGCTAGCAGCATGAGCTGGTTATGAGCACTCGTTTTTCCTGGGCTTTTAGCTGTTCAAGTGAAATTGTCCCAGATGACCGGCCTAAGGCTTCCACTTTCTTTTAAAAGACAGCACTACATTTGAGATCGATGTTTTCCCCTGAAATGCAGGCTAAATTTATCCTTCCGCGCATCTTGCTCTCTGGTCTCTGTGCTAAGCTGGCCCTTGCTGTGCTGAGTTAGGCATCTGCTGTTCAATGCTGGTTCCTAGCCGGCAGTACTCAAGCACCTAGTTCTATCCTTTTGCTCATCACACACACAAAACCCCCTGGTTCTCTGAGAGATTCCTTTGCTGCCTCATTCTCTGTAGTTCCGTTAATTAAGCTCTCACTTCCCGGGTTCCTCACCCGTCTCCAGCTCTCAGAACTACCCTAAAAAGCTATCAAAAGTTGGCTCCATTTGAAAGGCTCCAGAGAGCCCCTTCCCCAGCCGGCCCCCGCCCCCCGAAAGTGGCTGAGTACTCATTACTTGATTGCCTTTTGCAACAGTGAGCTGGTGCAGGCTGCCATGAGCTTAACGGACTGAACTAAATCAGAGAAGTCGCTACTCTCTCCTGGGCTCCCTTGGCAAGCTGCCCTGTGAGTGAAATTGCACTGATTGATTTAATGCCTGAGGCCCAGAGGGCCCAGTATTTCTGAAATCTCTATTCATCTATACAGATGCAAGAGTACATGCCCCAAACAGACATTTTGAGCTACGGTTTCTACTTTGCTATTAACCCATAGACTCTCTCTCTTTTTGGCAGGAATGAGAAATAAAAAAGTGACTTGATAGAAACAATGCCTGTGCACATGCTGGCAGAGGCGCACACATATGTGCAGAGGACTTCAGCCTGGAGCACTGGGCAGGAGTCATCTGAGAGCCCAGGTGAATGAAGACAAGGGCCCAGGTGTGACCAGGTGGGCATCCCCCTACTCTGCTTTCTGGAAGGCAATTTGGCAAGGTGCCACCCAGAGCCTGACAAATGGACAGTCCCCCTGACTCTAAGGAATGGTTTCTGGAGGAATAATTGGAAATGTAGACCAAGATTTCTGAATAAGGATGTTTGTCATAGGGTGCTTCATAAGGTAGTAGAAACAACGTAAGTGGCCAGTATAAGCGGATTAAGTAAAATCTGGCAAATTCAGACTGTTTTGTGTTTCACTGTGTCCCCTTCAAATTCTTAGGTTGAAGTCCTAACCTCTAGTACCTCAGACTCAGAATGTGACCTCGTTTGGAAATGGGGTCATTTTACAGATGCAATTAGTTAAAATGAGGTCATTAGGTTTGGTCCTAATCCAATATGTCTGTGCCTCCTAAAAAATGAAAATTTGGACGCAGATTTTCACACAGGTAGAACATCACGTGAAGATGAAGGCAAGACTGGGGTGATACTTCTATGAGCCAAAAAGTAGCAAAGATTGCCAGCAAAACACCAGAAGCCAAGGAGGGAGGCCTGGACCAGAGTCCTCCTCACACCCCTCAGAGGAAACCAGCCCTGCCAATACCTTGATTTTGCACTTCTACCCTCCAGACCTGTGAGACAATCAATTTCTGCTGTTTATGCCACCCAGTTTGTGGGACTTTGTTATGGCCACCTCAGGAAACTAACACTCAGACAATGGACTATTATGCAGTCATCAAGAATGAAGTTTAGAAGAGGCATTTTACAGTACAGGGAAGTGCTTCTGACATGATGGCAATGTTGTGAAAACAAAACCTTGTGACTTGGCAGTTCTGCTTCTTGTACTGCACGTGCACACAGAGAGAGGTGTGCCCAAGGATGCCCACTGCAACGCTGCCCGGGATAGAAAAAGACTAGGATGACTGAATCACTCAGCCAAAGAAACGCAAGTAGCCAAGCTTTGGAATACTATGCAGCCGTGAAAAGGAATGTGTGAAATCTGTAAGTGCTAACACAGATTCCTGATTTACAGTGGTGTCTGAAAAGAGCAAGGTGCAGCAGGGTATACAGAATTATGATTTTATTTAAGGGAAGCCCAAACCTTAACACAATTACAGATCCATACTTAACTCCTTATCCTAAACCTCTGTGGCCAGATATGTCTTGGAATTTAGAATCTTTAGGAGGTAAAAGGCCATGTAGGGCACACATAGGTATTACGTTACACTGTCAGCTGGGTCGTGAGCAGCTAAAACCAAACACTGAATTTTTGCAGAAACGAAAACATAAACTCACAATTACTGGCATCAATGACTCTAATAAACCCGCCCATAAATACCTGAAGGCAGGTTTTGGTTTTGCCATCATACGAGTTAGGAAAAATATTTTGATTTTCAGAGCTGTTTGGGTTTCAGAATTGCAGAGAAGGGGTGGTGGCTCTGTTCTGTTCATCAGCTCTGGCACATGTATGAAATGCAACTGCACAGAGAAGGGTCTGGAAAAATAAAAATAAGGCAAATGATGACTGAGGAAGGGTGGTAACTGATGGGGTCTTAAGTCGCACCTGCAATGTTGCAATTTTTTTTTTTTTTTTAAGACAGTCTCACTTTGTCACCCAGGCTGGAGTGAACTGGTGTGATCTTGGCTCACTGCAACCTCTGCCTCCCAGGTTCAAGCCATTCTCATGTCTCAGCTTCCCAAGTAGCTGGGATTACCGGTGGGCACCATCATGCCCAGCTATTTATATTTTTAGTGGAGATGGGGTTTTGCCATGTTGCTCAGGCTGGTCTTGAACTCTTGAGCTCAGGCAATCTGCCTGCCTCAGCCTCCCAAAGTGTTGAGATTACAGGCATGAGCCACTGTGCCCAGCCTGATTTTTTCAAAAATCAACAATCAACTCATGTATTTTTTTTTTTAAATGAGAGAAAGAGACAAAACAGGGAAGACAGAAGTGGAAAATAAACAGAAATATTAACAATGCTTTCTTCTGGGTTGATAGGATTGTGATTTCTTCTTCCTGTAGCTTCTCAGTTTTCATTTATAATATTCTACGTTCATGTATTAATGCACAAAAATTAATACAACGGGTCTGCAGTAATAGCAAAACAGCTGACCGGTTCCATCCATTCCTGTTATCAGCTCATCCCCAGGGCCTCAGTGACCCCATGGGGTCAAGTCCCGCTGCCTGCCTGACTCACCACCACTGGTGACTTGTGCTCCGACAGCCCCACACCTCCCTGGCTGTGAAGCCTGGCCCCTCCCCTGGCCTCTGCTAACATACTGGCCACTTTGATTCACCATCTCTCTTTCTCCCTGTCCTTTATTTTTCTGCCCTCTTTGGCCTTTGATTGCTTTTTGGGAGTTTATCATATTGAACTTGTATCCCTTTCCGGGAAACTCTATTAGTTTTTTCTTCCCTTTCACAATTAATAAATAATCATGAGAGCCCTTCTATGGATAGAAGTACATCCTGCCTCCTACACAGAACTGCTGGAGCTTCTCTTTTGTGGCTCTTCTGGGCCTGAGCTGAAGCGCACATCACCTGTCACAGGAGGGAGAGCATTCTGGTGCATCGCTGTGCTCGGAGAAAGGGTGCCAGCCGTTGGCTCATTATTTGAACTGCTCCTGGTCCTACAAGATGGCTGTGCTTTCCTGGCCATACAGGGGATGGAGCACTGGCCTGGGAGTCTAAAGGCTGGAGTATGGACAGGGAAACGGAGGCGCATAATATAAGCTAAGATGGTGGGCTTTGGTGGCAGACAGACATGGGTTCAAGCCACAGCCCTGATGCTGACTGGCTGTGTAATGGAAATTGTAGCCTTGAGCCTCCATTTCCCTGGCATAATATGGGGGAAATAATCCCTATGTCATACATCATTGTGAGGATTAAGTGAGAAGAGTACACACAACCTTGCTTGGCACAGTGTCTGATATGCAGTAATTGCTCAATAAACAGTACCTGTATTGTCAAGTTCTAGTGCCTCCAGACCTCCTCCACCAGGAGGTGGAGGTTTCTACCATACAAAAAGGCCACAACTAGCCCTAACTACATCCAAGACATAACATGTGGCATTTGAGATGACATTTTTAAAAGTCATTGGCATGAGTTGGACGTGGTTGCCGGCATACCATCTAGCAGCACCAGGAAATAAGTTCCGGAACAACAAACAGGTACTGGTCACCTGTTTTCCATCTCAAATCCACAACACGAACTACTCACCGCACTTCTAATGTTCACAGCAGTGATTCTAATTCTTTCTTTCCCAGAAATCATGAATCTGAGGTCAGACCACAATCAACAGAGATTTCTGGAAAGGTATGAAATGCAAACTTATCTCATAATTTACAGGAAAGAAAAGGAAACAGGAGGCTATTTTACCAGTAAGAACAGAGTTTTTTTCTCAAAGTCAAAAAGAAATGGAAAAAAGGCACGTTTTAGGGAAGAGAAAGGGTGCCAGGTGAGTCTGGATTGCATCAAGGTTTCCAAATTATTCCGGAATGTGTTGCAGGTTCCAACTTCTTTTTTTACATTTGGACTGCTTTAAGGAAAATGTTACATACATTGAACTATTTTATGATCAAAATGGGACACAAATGAGATAATCTGGTCTTTATGTGCTGTCGGATGACAGCTTTGTGACAGTCTGACAAGTTGAGAGCTGTATTTTTTAATACAACAGTTTCATTGAGATAGAATTCACATACTGTACAATGAATCCATTTAAAGTGTACAATTCATGGACTTTAAGTGTATTCATAGAGTTGTGCAACCACCTCCACAATCAATTTAGAACATTTTCATCCCCTACCTAAGAAGTTCTGAGTAGAGCTTGCAGCAGGGGATTACAAACACTTTACTCCTAACCCTGCTCTGCAGAACAACCTGGAACCTCGCCTTCAGAGAACCTTGCCCTCCAGGTTCTGTCGGCCATTCTCTTGCACGTGGCTCAAAACATTTCATCTTCAAATCAGGCCCAAGTCCAAGAACTTTCCCTTTCCAAAGAATTCATTACAGGAAAATATCCCAGGTCAAATTCCTCCTTTTGTACTAATGATGCGAGTAGTCAGGGCCACGGCAGGGCATGCTGGGCTGAATATCTACCTGGGATACAGGACTGGGGTCTCAGCTCCCCTTATCTGGCCAGGGCGGAAATTGATGACAAAGGGGAATTCTGTGCCTAGCCAAACTGTTGCCAGGTGTCAAACGGGCAGCAACATATTCATTCCTTGGGGATTGGGCAGCCTGTGGGCTGAGACATCAATGCTCTCCTGTCTATGGCAGCCCCTGTCTGGGACACAAGGTTCTCGGCGCTCTTCCTCTACCTCCTCCTCCCAGGTCAACATCCTTTCCTCAGAGAAGCCTTCCCAGACACCTGGTCTGGGTCAGATCCCCTTACTGGACATTAACTCAGCATCTGCCAGTTCCCTGAGGGCACCAAACATGGTGGGAAGTTCTAGACTATCTAAGGTGTCCACAGTGCCCATGAGCTCCAAAGGGGCTGATGTGTTTTGTTTGACTAACCCCTGAGTCCCCAGTGAACAATGTTTAGCACACAGAAGGGGGGATTAAAGATCTGTTGGCTCCACCATCCATCCATCCCTCTCTCCCTCCCTCCCTCCCATCCGGCCATCCACCCATCCATTCCTGCACCTCTATCCATCTATCCACCCAGCAGCCACCTACCCATTTACCCATCTGCCAGTCCATCTATCTATCCAGGCTTCTATCTATCCCTGTACACCAATCAATCCACCTACCCATCCATCCCTCTCTACCCATCCATCAATCCCTCTACATCCATCCATCCCCTCTCCCTCCACCTCCATCCTTCTATACCCATCCATCCTTCTACACCCATCCCTCCCTCCCTCCCTCTACATCCATTCATCCATCTACCCCTTTACCCATTTATCCATCCTCTATATTCATCTATTTATTCATTCATCCCTCTATATCCAAATATCCATCCATCGATCCATTTATCCAGTACTTACCAAGCACTACCTATATGTCTGGTATAGCCCAGGACTTGGAAATTCAGCTGTAAACAAAACACAGTGCCTGTTTTCCTGGAGCTTACAGTTTGATAATGGGATGGGACAGGGCAGGGCCAGTCAAGGAGTAGAAAATGTCAGGAGAGGTTGAGTGCTCTGAAGGAATGAGCAAGGTAGAGACCCCTGGAGTGCTGGGAGTGGGGACAGGGTTGCCACTATATAGAATATCTGGCAAGACCTTCTGAGATGGTGAGGTCTGAAGAATGATCTGAAGGAAGCAAGGACAGAGCCACATAGGTACCCAGGGCGACTTCTCCAAACAGAGGCCACCCAGGTCAGGGCCCTCCAAATAGGAGCATACCTAGCAAGGTCAAGGCTGCGGAGAGGCCCCTTAAGTTGCCTTGAAGTGGGCCAAGGGGACCATGGCGGGGGTGAGGTTAGTGTCAGGAAGTGCAGAGGGACCAAACTGTGTAAAACGTGGGGCTACCGTGAGGACTTTGGCTTTCATCTGAGTGATGGGAGCCAGCGAAGAATCTAAGTAGAGGAGACACTTGACCCGACTCACACCCTGAAAGGATCTTTGGTGCTAAGAATGGACCATAGAGGGCAAGGAGAGCAACAGTGGGGCTGAGTTTAAAGCCACCGGCCCAGGCTTGGCCAAGGTCAGGAGTCAGCACACAATGCCCTGCGGGCCAAATCCAGCCACCTGCTGTCCTGCCAGGGAAGACTGATGGGGGCACAGCCCCACCCACTTGGTAACGTATGCTCTACAGCTGCTTTGGCTGCAATGGGAGAGGCTTGTTGCGACAGAGACCATATGGCCCTAAAAGCCTGACTCTCTGCTGCTTAAAGAAGTTACCCAGCCCTTTGCCCAGGAGACAGGTGTGGTGGTGAGAGGTCCTTGTCAT
Organism: Homo sapiens; assembly: GCF_000001405.40. Classification (NCBI taxonomy): domain Eukaryota; kingdom Metazoa; phylum Chordata; class Mammalia; order Primates; family Hominidae; genus Homo; species Homo sapiens. Next base: position 11,145,477 of record NC_000016.10, on the reverse strand, counting down.
GACTGCATCTCCCAGGTAGAGCTGACAGGCTTGGGGAGGGACTGGATGCAGGAGTGGGAGAGGCCGCGGATGACATTGGCTTTGGTCCTGGACTAATGGGTGGATTTGGGCTCCAGCTGTGTGACTCAAGGAAGTGTTGTTGGCTGCCTCTTCCTTCCAGCTAAGTGTGGGTCATCGGGCCCCACGGGTAGCCCGCCCTAAGGCCGGCCCCATCAGTGACTGTTTTCCCGCTCCAAGGGCTGTGTGTGGTCGGAGTAGAGTGGGACCTTCGCCCTCTGCTTGAAGCCCATCAGCTATTCCCTGGGCCCTCCAACCAAGTCCAGGACAGGTAATCGGGAGCAGGGGCCATTCCCACGTGGCTTTATCTCCTGCTGACCCCTATCCTCAGGCTGCCTGCAGGACCCATGTGCACATGGTGGTTTTCACAGCCCGCTCATTCCCCCTGCCGGGATGCACCACGTGAAACCTAGCTCATCCTTTAAGACTTCCTTCCAGAGCCTTCCCTGCTCTAGGTCTGGTACAAAAGTGAGTTAGCCCCAGGACACCATGAACTCCATGAGGGCAGGGCCATCCAGAACCCATTTCCCAGTTCTTAGCACAGCCGTCCCCCAAGGCATGACAAGCTTTGTGGAATTGGCCTCTCCTGAAACTGGCCCCAGCGCACAAAACATCCCACTCCTATACCCAGAATCCCTCCTACCCCAAGCACGCTAGAGCCACTGCTCCTACAGAAGAGAATGTCACCAACGGCCCTCTCTTCACTGTGACTTAACTGGGTTAGGCCTGGATGTTGGGCTTTTCTAAAAGCTTTCAAGGTGATTTTAAAAATGCACAGCTAGGGCCGAGGACCACAGGGCTGGCCTGGCTCAGGCGTGGGCCTCAAGCTGGGGAAGATCCTACAGGCATGAGGGCTCCGTACTTCCAAAAGAACCATGCCTCTGGGCACCTAGGCACTGTTAGGGCTGCCTGTAGGTCCCTCTCAGCTGAGGGGAGGGTGGCTTTTCTTTGCCATTGTGAGGTTCCAGTTGAGTGGCTTCCTGATCATCTAGTTGGCTGTCCCACAGAAGTTGTGGAGGTACAGGACGGAGAATGAACACAGCTGTCTGCCTGGAGGAGCAAAGAGCTGACCCAAGGGCTATGCTGAGCTGAGCAGGCCTCGTCACCCCTGGCAACAGGAGACTGAGGCCGCTGTCCAGCTGCAGGCTGCAGGGACGCCCCAAGAGGATGGATGTTCACTCAGCTCCTTGCTCTCCTGGGATAGCATGATTTGCTCATTTGGGTGCAGTTCCCTACCAAGTTTCAGAGATGTATTCACTCTAAGGTGGATAAGGTAGCTTGGGAGATGACCAGCCTAGTAGTATTCTGAGAAAGTGCCGAGCGACAGGGCTAGGAGGCACTCTCAAGGCAAGGTTCTGGGTTTGCAGATTTAAGGTCAATGACTTAGAATTATCCTCCAATGGGCTTGATAATTATGGGGTTCTGATCCTTCTGGCAGGCCTCTGAGCCTTATCAGTAACAACACAGGATAGGGAATAAGAATAAAAAATGAGAACACAGAGCAGGAGGCCAGGGTCAGGCCAAGCCAGGATAGGACACTGGCTTTGCTGTGCACTAGCTGTGCAACTCCAGGTAAGTTACTTAACCACCCTGAGCCTCAGAAAACCTCAACTGCAAAATGAACATATGCCTACCTTTCCCCAGGGAGGTTCTGACGATGAGCTAATGCATGAATGGAAGATGCCTTTAACAGCTTCAAGTGCAGAAGGTGTCACATCGATGGGGACCCAGGGGAGCCTACTCTGCTCTCACCCTGGGCGCCCCTGCACATGCTATTCCCTATCCTGTCTGCTCTGAGGAACACTCCCACGATCTGCTGGACGGCAGATGCAGCTGACAGCAGTAGCTTCACTTAAGCCCTTTGTTTTAGGTTAAATGAAGGTTGCCAGGTAGAGGTTGCTAGGGGGAGGGTGCTAAGGGAAACTGCTATATAAGTGGCATGGTTTTTACAAGCGGCTGTGGCTTTCCCACCCAGCCTGCTGCCACTGGACTGACCCTGTACATTAAGTCCTTGATGAACCCTATGTCTCATTTGCTGGCACCAGGTCTCTTCTTCAGCCTCTGGAACCTGGTGCCATCCCTACTGAGGTCAAACGAGGACTGGCATGATATCTGCCCACTCACCTGCTCAAAGATGTCTTCCCCATCCCTACTAGACCAGCCAGGCTCTGTATTATAAATGCATTAGTAATGGGTGTTATTAGTTGAATGCTGTCTGTCACTCTCACAAGACTGCAAGCTCACCAGGTCACCAACCCCAAGCACAGGGCGTGGCACACAGTAGGTGCTCAATAAATGTTTACTGGATAGGCCGGGCACAGTGGGTCATGCCTGTAATCCCTGCACTTTGGGAGGCCAAGGCCGGGTGGATCACCTGAAGTCAGAAGTTCGAGACCAGCCTGGCCAACATGGTGAAACTCCATTTCTACTAAAAATACAAAAATTAGCTAGGCGTGGTGGCAGGCGCCTGTAATCTCAGCTACTTGGAAGGCTGAGGCAGGAGAATCACTTGAACCAGGGGGGCGGAGGTTGCAGTGAGCTGAGATTGTGCCACTGCACTCCAGCCTGGGTGATAGAGCAAGACTCTGTCTCCAAAAAAATAAAAAAGTTTACTGGAAAAAGGAATGAATAAAAAGACAAGCCACTGCTTTCCTCAGAAGCCTACCTCTGTAGATCCATGAAGACAATAAGCTAAAGAAGTCCCAAACTCACATCACTGAAGGGCTTAACTACACTCTTGGCCAGACCCAGAACCTTCCAGAAAGATTCTAAATTTGCTCCTGACCAGCAGACCTTAAATCTCCACTGCAGAGGCTCCTGTGCCTGGGCTGCACCAGTGTGTACCACTGCAGGTCAGTGCCTTATTATGATTTTTAAAAGAGTTCTAGCTCAGAGCCAGCCGGGGCTGTGAAAAGCAGGAGAAAAAGCTGTTGACACATCACACCTATCGGGCAAATGCCACTCGGCTCATGAAGCCTAGACAGCTGCTTAGTGCCAAGGGCCAAGCACAGGCACCTCCAGGCCTGCTTGATCACAGCGCTCTGACAGGCGTGCCCAGGAGCCACGCATGTGAGGCTGCAAGTATGATCACAGTGCCCCCAGCTTCCAACTACAGCTCCCCCAGGGCAAGGCCAAGAATTTTGTCAGGTTCCCGGGCCCTGAGGAGGATCCCTGGACACTGGACTGAGCAGACTGTGGGGGTCCGATGGCCTAGCAGTGGGTTTCAGCAACACCACCTACCACTGAGTGACTTCGGGCAAGTTACCTCACCTCTCTGGGCCTCAGCCTCCTCCCCCGGTAAGTAGGGAGAGTAACCATACCTGCCTCCCTGCTGTGAACCTGGGCTGTGGAGATACTTAGCCCAGTGCTGGCAGCTCGATGAGTCTCACAGAATGCTCTGTCAGACATCCCCAGTGCCCGAGTCATTTAAACCTTTCAACCTCAGGACAGTGTGGGGGCCAAGTGCAAAGCACACTACTGCTTCCTGTTGTGTGACCTGCGCTGGTCAGCTCACCTCTCAAGCCTCTCCCACCTCACTACGCTCTGCGGTTACTGAGATCACAAATGGGAAATGCTTTGCCTGTCCCAAGCTGCTACACGATGTGCAGAGGCAGCGCCGTTCTCAGGAGCAGATCTGTCATAACCAGGCACGCTGTCCCCACCGCCATCACTGACCATGCTAGCCAAGGGCACCTCCCACATCCCAGACCGTCCCTCACCCAGCTGCCCTGGTTTCTGGTGGGACCCCAGTGGCCCCGCACTGCTGTCTCCAATCCACTTCCCACACGGTACGTGCAAGGAGCTTGGACAGACATGCGTCAGGTCCAGCCACTTCCCTGCTTCGCGGCCCCGAGGCCACCCAGAGCACGCAGAATGAAACTCACATGTCTCCTTGCACCCCTCCAGATCCCCCACGGTCCCCGACAACCCAGTGCCCCCCACACCCCGTGCTCTGGCGGCATGAACCCTCTGGGTGACTTGCCCTGTTGAGGCCCCCACCACTTCAGGTATCCCCCTGGCCCCATGGTCATCCTTTTCCATGTCTGCCTCCTGTGAGTGAGCTGTCCTCTGCACGGGGGCCTAGGACGGGTTGCAGGAGGCACTTGGTGTGCACTGGCTGGAAGAAGGAACCATGCCAGAGATGGTGACTTCCATGGTGGCTCCAACAGGGCAGGTGCTCAGAACTCTACCTGCCTGGTGCTGTCCATATGGCTGGCAGAGCCCAAAAGCACTGGCTAGAATACTTGGGAGGACCCTACGGAAAAGCCTGGAGGAGCCAGGCCAACTGCTCTGCAAGTGACTCCAGCCAGGGCCATGAAGCTGGGAGTGCTGGCTTGCCACCCCTGAGCTTGCGACCTTGGGCAGGCAGCTCTATCCGTCTGAGCCCTGGCTCCCTCCTCAACAGCAGTGGCCATTATGACACTACGATAACGTGAAGCACTCACATGTAAAATGCTGGCCCAGCTAAGCTCCTGCTGTGTGAGGCAGGTCCTATCATCAGCCCCATTTGAAAGAAGGGGACACAGAGGCTCAGGAGCTTCACAGAACTTCCTGACATCACATAGTTGTCTAGGGGTAGGTGTGGATTTGAACCTGGGGGGTCTGGCTCCAGGGTGTGTGGCCCTAGCCTCTTGATTGCAATGGCTTCCTCGGCAGGGCTGTGGCACAGTTTAAACAACACAATGGCTTACACCTGGGCACAGCAGGTGCACTGATGATGGTGGCTTTCAAGCTGCTCAAGTCCGGCAGCTTGAGCAAGCCTTTCAGGTGCTTCGTGTTGGGTCAGCACAAAGGGCCACTCTGTGGGACATGGTGGGGACAGGAGGACAGGCCAGATTCTGCATTTGTTCTTTGCTGGATGTGGAGAGAGGGCAGGATGGGAAAGCCATGGCCTCCACCAGGCCAAGCACTGCTTTGAGATGCTAGACCACTGTGCTGAGCCCGTGGACATTTCCCTTGGGCTTCATGCTGGAAATCTGGCCAAAAAAAGAACGTTTTTCTCCCCAAATGCCCAAGACTTTGTAAATGTCAACTATTTCAGAGCATTTTCCGGGTTACTAAGAGCGGTGGTGGGGGTTTTTGAGGAAGGCTCATTCCATCCACACTGACTCTTCCTGCCACCCAGCCATCCGTGAGGTTCAACAGGACATCCGTGAGCCAGGAGGCTGGAGTGTGCCTGGAACCCAGCACCGGAGACCCAGCTGTGGGCCGGTGAGGTCATCGTGCTCAGAAAGCCACAACAAAGGGGCACGTAGGTTACCCCAGAAGCTCTGCAGAGCCTTCAAATCAACTTAGCAGGAAGAGAAAGAACAAAGGACAAGAGATAACTTTTGTTCTCAGGAAGCCGGTAGAAGAGGTAGAAGAAGCAGGCACCCTCTCCAGGGATGAACTTTGAGACTCCGGGCAGGGGACCTTGCTTTCTGACTCTTGCTTGCCCCAGCTATAAAAGTAGGACTAATAACTTTATACAGTATTTACATACTTATCTCCTTATTTTGTGTAAAGCACCTAGCCCAGTGCCTAGCACATAGTTGGCATTCAATAAATAGGATTTTTATCCTGGGACCTTAAATAAGTCTGTAAGGCTAGAAGTAGACCACATATGCCATGAGCCTGAATTTTACCAGCTAGCAAATATTTTCAGAGGAGTCACTGCACTTCACAGTCCAAACTTTGCAGTTCATACAGTTGAAGCATCTGCTCCCCAAATCACGCTGTGAATTTCTCACCCTCAACATGGAAACTGAGGCGGCGACTTTCAAGGACTGAGCTCACAGCAGGGAGTGACAGAGACAGTAAAACAATCCAGCAGCCAGGCTGATGGGTTTTGGAATGTGTTTTTGTGATTACTCTGAGGCTTCAGCAAGCAGGCTGTGTAAGTGTGAAGAGATGTTGCAAAACAGCCATTCCTATCACACTGGGATAATATTGACTTTTGGCCCTTTGGGAATTTGAGATGTTAAAAAAAATAATACTGTGTGTGTTTTTGGAGAAAAGCATATTTATACTAAATGCCATGGCTGGACAGCTGCAAATAAAGAAAACTGTATTTTAGTCATGGGATTCTGGTTATAGAGAGAAAAGAAGTGTAGAAAGCTGTAACCTCAGCAGAGGTGCCAGGAGGTGGGAACAGAACCCACTGGTGTCTCCATCATGCCAAGCTTGGAGGTTCTGTCTGAGATGACAAGCCAAGCTATGAGTGGGCCACCCCGGAGACCCCCACCAGTTCCTGGGGACCCTTCTAGTCACCACAACTCCCGAAGGCCTTCTGGACAGAACAAGACCCACAAGACACACAAGGACTGTTGGGTCAGAAGTTGGGATCATCGAGATGCCCTTGCTAGCTAAATGCACAGAGAACATTCGGGGAGGGAAACCAAGCCTTCTTAAGATTTTGCCTTAAGCTAGCTCTGTGGCTTCCCACTCCCTCAGTCAAATTGGTCACCAAATCCTGTTAGTTTCTCAGCGTAGCTATTTCTGTTTTCACTTCATGGTTATTTACCCTGAGGAAACCCTTGCGCAAGGGCACTTGGAGATGCCTATTTGTTAAAGGACAAAAAATTGGCCACCACCTAAACATCCATCAGTAGGGGACTGGCTCAATGAACAGTGGTTTGACCAGATGATCGCAGCAGTCAAAATCGAATGAGGGTGCGCCTGCGAACTAAAATGAAAAACACTCCAGGATACGCTGTTGAGTGAAAACAGTGGTCATTTAGGTTTTTTGAAACAAGCAATATAATCCTATAGTACAAGTAAGTGGCAAATGGCCAGAGAAAGGTAAGGAAGGCCGCACCCCAGCCTGTGGGACTTTTCTCATCCGCCCACGGGCATCACCTGACGCACAGCTGTGAGCATGCAGTGAAGGGGCCAGAATGTGTCTTGTGGCCTTCCCACTCCACCCTTCTCCTCTGCCCTTCCCAACTCCAGTCAGTTAAAACCCAAGTCCATTTTGCCACCCATGTCCCCTGATCTGTCTTAGAACCTTCAATGGCTTCCTGCTGCTTCTAGGATAAAATTCGAACCATGGGGCAAGCTCACAAAGCGCTTTGCTATCGGGCCCTGCTGAGCTTCCCAGCTCTCTGTTCATCCCTACCCTGCAGCCACACCTTTGCATGTGCCAAGCCAGAAGCACCACAGAGCCCACTAGCTGGCAAGACTTGCTCACAGTCCCTCCCCCTGACCCCAGGCTTCTCTGTAAGCCCTGTGCAGTGTTTATTTGATTCATCAAGGGCCTTAGTAAACGCTTGCTCAGCCAACCTTCCTTTTCCTGACCCTCGTCAACATGTTTGTCATGTCACTTCCTTGGAATTGTAAAAGTTCCTTTAAAAAATGCCAATTCTTTCCCTACCCCAATTCTTCTCCACCAGGCGGTCCCGTACCCTGGCCCCCAGGAGCTGCCGTGCTTTGAAGAGGCCATCAGCAGCATGAAGGAAACGGCCACGTGGAAAATCAAATGGCTTCTGCCTGTCTCTGAGGCACCATTATTGCTGCATCTCTGCCTTTTGATTCAGTTGGTTTTTCCCATTCTTAGTGGGTCCTCACGAACTAACTCTCCTTCCCACCAACTGTGCACTCGGCAATACTGCTTATTTGCATTTCCCTTTTTTTTGAGAGGGAGTCTCGCTCTGTTACCCAGGCTGGAGTGCAGTGGTGCGACCTTGGTTCACTGCAACCTCCACCTGCCAGGTCCAAGCAATTCTCCTGCCTCAGCCTCCTGAGTAGCTGGGACTACAGGCACACACCACCACGCCCGGCTACTTTTTGTATTTTTAGTAGAGATGGGATTTCACCATGTTGGCATTTCACTTTTTTTTTTTTTTTTTTTTTTTTAGATGGAGTCTCGCTCTGTCACCCAGCTAGTCTGGAACTCCTGACCTCAGGTGATCCACTCGCCTCGGCCTCCCAAAGTGCTGGGATTAAAGGTGTGAGCCACCACGCCCAGCTGGCATTTCATTTTCTTGGATCCCAAAGGCACTCTAATTCTTGGGAAGTGGTTCCCAAACCTTGTTCCAGGGGATTGTCTTTGAGCTAGTCAGAGAGATTTTAAGGCAAAAATCAAATCAAGATGGACTTTTATCAACTTACATACAGAATTAAGGGCTAGGAATTTTTCGTTTCTCGGTTTTCTGCCATAAAGGGGCCTTCACACCTTGGCATCTCCTATCACTTGTCTGTTAATGAGAACTTGCGGTTGATAAAACAAATGATTCAGAAGCAAAGAAAAAAAACACCAACAGAAAAGGCTTAGGATGTTTCCTTGGGTGATTTTATGGACTTTTCCTTTAGATACAGACTTGAGACACAGATGCAAGTCATGCTCTCTGATGACTTCTGTACTCTTGGTTCACACGATGGAGTAGAATACAGCAAGAATATGTGGGGTTCCCAAAGCTCACCTGATTTCCAGGTGTTCTGCCTCTGAATATGCTTCAGAACGGAGGGCATGGCGGTTCACGGAGTGGAAACCAGGGAGCCCTGGCTGGCCACTTGTGAGCTGGTAACACTGGGCACTGAGGAATGACACTAGCTTCCCAGAGCTGTTGTGAGGCTCCGGGGGACTGCCTGGCTCAGATGGGCGCAGTGCCAATGATGGCAGTCAGCACCCCAGGGGACAGGATGTGTGCTGGGCTGGAGGCCCAATTTGTGCTCTTCTCCAGCCCTGGCTCAGCCTCTGAGAGCTGTGGGGCCTCAGGCAGATTACAGGATCTCTTCTGTGTGAGGAGGAAAATTCTGCCTGCTCTATTACACCCCGGTGTTTTACCAACGCCCAGGGAAAGTCTTTGTGAAAGAGCAACTCTGTGCCACTGCAGCATGTCTTTGTAATTGACAGCAGAAGGACTACTGCATTCGTAATTTTGTTCGTGCTAATTGATTAATGTGTAGAAAAGGAACCTATTTTCTGGGGTCCCAAGGCTCAGCCCTTAACTAACAACAACAACAACAACAACAACAACAAAATGGCAAGAGCAGTTAACCTTTGCTGCACGTTTTATATGGGTCAGGCATTGTTCTGGGCACTTAGGTGAATGAACTCATTTTATGTCACAAGAGCCTAATGAGGTGACACTTGTATCCCATTTTTTGTTTTTCGGTTGTGGTACACATAACAGAATCTACCATCTGAGCCATTAGTAAGAGTACAGTTCAGTTCTTAAGTCCACTCACATTGTCGAGCATCATCCCTGTTTCTTATATGAATAAACTGAGATCCAACAAGGTGAACCAAATGGGTCAAGGCCACCTAACAATTTTCCCGTGGAGGTGGAAGGCTGGGACTTGGGCCCATACTCTTTGGCTTGTGCTGGGTGCTTTCATTCTGCTGCTTCTCACCTGGGCAAATACTCTGCTGCTGGGAAAAGAAACCCCATTGTGAATGAACAGGAAAAACAATGAAAAAAAGGATGCTGGGATTGATCATGGACACCCTGGGGTGGGAAGATTTGGTAAGTTCGATCTTTTCTTGGTGTCTTCCAGTCTTTTCTGTTATGCACTAGATGTGCTTGACTAGGAGGCTGGAGGATGAGGCTGGAGAGCTCTATCCTACGTGTGGGGCCAGGCCCGTGCTGGTGAGCACACGGGGTGTGTGGCCAAGCCACCCGCTCTGCCACTGACACTGGCCTGTGCTGTGCTGCCGGCATGGCTGCCCTGCTGCGGGCCCACCCGAGCCTACAGAACATTCTAAGGCATGGCCCAGGTCAAATGGCAGATTGCATATGGGGTTTGTTCTCTCCCCCCACCTACTGCACGGGCTTCTCTATTAGCAACCAGGGAGTGTTCCCTGCCATCTGACACACTCTTATGACCAGAAGGCTCCCGGGCATACAGTCGCTTTGGCAGTATGAGTTAGGTAATGACCCCAAAGAGTGAAGCAACACTCAGTTCTTTGGAACTCTCTTCTTCCCCTCCCTCCACCTCCCAGAAAAGCATCTGGGCAAGATGGCTGGCCCTGCCTACTGTGTCCATATTTAGCGAGAGAGGGCTCCCCATGACAAGTGCTACTGTGTCTATTGGGAAAGTGTCTTTGGGGGGCATGTTGTGAGTGGGGAAACCTTGCAGGCCCGGATCCGGGAACGCGGTTCCTTCTCTGGCTGTGTGAGCCCAGCTCCAGATTCCCTGAGGCTCTCTCTCTCCACAGCTGCTCTGGAGCCCTGAAAAGAGGCTTGGCAAACAGGAGACCCCTTGGACTCAGCTCAGGGCTGATTTTTGAGTAGGATCTGTTCCCCACACCCCTGCCCCACCACTTGAAGGCTGATCTCTTAGAGGCAATTGCCAGAAAGCTTTGAAAGGGGCTCAAATCCTGCTGCTTTTGTTCAGGCAGGATTTTGAAGTCATCCTTCTGCTTTTTGTTCATGCACACCAGGGACAAACCTGTGCAGGAACGAGCCCTGCACCGCTAGCCTGGTTTGGAAGTGGTGGTCTCAGGACGGAGCATCTTTCTGGATTGCTGCTTTGCAGGTTTGTCCTTGAAACACTGGAAGTGGGTCTTGGGGCACGAGGATGTGGGCCTATGCCAGGGTGGATGACGGAAGAGGGGAGTAGGGAACATTCTGTCTAGACCAGGGGCATCCCTTGAGGCCCCTCTCTAAGGAGGGCCTATCCTACTGATCTCTGACATTCTGAGACAGGCAGAGCTGCCATGCGAAGTAGCTCAGTCATTGCAGGTTGAGCAATCCAAATCTGAAAATCCAAAATCCAAAACTTTTTGAGTGTCGACATGACACTCAAAGGAAACACACATCGGAGCATTTCAGATTTCGGATTTTTAGATTAGTGAAGCTAAACCAGTAAGTAAGTATAATGCAAATATTCCAAAATTCCCCCAAATCCAAAATTCAAAACACTCATGGTCCCAAGCATCTTGGATAAGGAATATTCAACCTGCACCAATGCCAGCCTTGAAGCAAATGGGATTTAGAGGCAGGAAGGGGAGGTACAGATCTCAGCCTATCTCATGTGAGCTCTGCAGTCTTGCTTTGAGCCTCAGTTTCCTATCTGTGAGGCAGAGCAAGTGATACCAGCTTCCAGGGTGGTCGGGAGGATAGAATTTGTGCATATAAAGTGCCCAACATGGTTAATTCTTCCAAATTATAGCTCACACTTCCAGAAATAGATACAAATTTTTCTGTCTAAAATATGCTTAGAGTTGGAGCCGACAACGTAGTTTTGCCTGGTACCAGTGAGGCCTTAGGTGGCTGCTGTTAGGCCCTTCTTTCAAAAAAAAAAAAAAAAAAAAAATCAGAAAAGGGGAATTCACATTAGCTATGAATTAAAAGTTGGTTCAGCATGGTGGTGGGACTCAGGGTCTGACGCTGGAGGGAGGGTATCTGGTGTGACCTTGGGTAGGCCACTTTCTGACCTGCTGAAAGGGAAAATGGTAACATCTTCCTTCTGAGGGCTATTGGGAAGCTCGAACAAGAATAATGCATAAAGTGCTTAGCAGCTCAATAAATTTTGCTTTATAAAAGGCCTGAGGGTAGGAATCAAATTTCCATAACTCACGGACCCGCCTCACTAACCTGCTGGCCCAAGTCTCTAAGCAGTGAGCTGAAGGCTGGGAAAGGGTTAAGACCGGGCTGGAGAAGCTGGAGGAAGCCCCAGGTCCTTCTTCCTGTGTGACTCCAGAAAGGGTATTTTTTGCCTTGGGGAGCTACAAGGAGAGAACTGGCTCCAGTTTTATAATCAGAAACAAGAAAAATAAGAGGACTAAAAAATTAGTTCCTGGAAAATGCCACCATGAGATGACATTAGCACCTAGGACGTTATTCTCAGGGGAGGTCTGAACTGATGTCTATGAATGAAACATCAATTTTCTTTTTGCCTTTTTGGATGGCGGTCAGAGGCTTTGCGGTCAGCTCAGCTGGCTCATAGCACACTGTCATTTCTGCATTCTTCCTAAGTTACTCAGCTGCCAAGGGCTGCCTCTGGAACCGGCGAGGCTTTTCCACGGAACTATTAAGTGCTCTGGGTCACGTGACTGACCCTGCCGGTTTAGGTGCCTTTGATAAAGATAACACCGGTGAAAAGCAAGGCATGGCCCAGATACTCAGGAGAGTCAAAAAAAAAATTTTTTTTTTTTTTTGAGACAGAGTCTCACTCTGTCACCCAGGCTAGAGTGCAATGGCAAGATCTCAGCTCACTGCAACCTCCACCTCCCGGGTTCAAGTGATTCTCCTGCCTCAGCCTCCCGAGTAGCTGGGACTACAGGTGCCCGCCACCACACTGGGATAATTTTTGTACTTTTAGTAGAGACGAGGTTTCGCCATGTCGGCCAGGCTGGTCTCGAACTCCTGACCTCAGGTGATACAGGGGAGTTAAATATCTACCACAAGACAGCTGGAGCCCCAAACCCAGTAGGAAGCTGGGACAGGAAGTGAATAAAGTCCAGCTTAGCCCTTAAGGGATGAAGTCCAACTTGCCAGCTCACACCCAAACCACCACCAACTGGCACAGGGTACCAGACCTGAATAAGACAGAAATACCCTGGCCTTAGGGGTTTACAGTCTGTTGGGAAAACAAGACTGAACAATTCCTCCAGCCCCATCCTCTGTCCCCCAGCCTCCCATCCACCAATGCATCCATCCGCCCACACATCGGTATTCACTGAGCAACTACTTCATAGGCATCCATGAGCACTGTCAAGGACAAGACAAACGAGGTTCCCCACAACCCTGTACCCACCCCCTGGCCAAGTGCCTTCCATTCTAGTGCAGGATAGTGTCAGAGAACAAGGAATACAAGAGGCAATTTCAGCTAAAGCTAAGGACTATGAAGACCATGGGAAAACGGTCTGGCAATTCCTCAGAAAGTTAGATTGTCACATGACCTACTTTTTACTCCTAGGTATATACCAGAAATAACTGAAAACAAAACAGGCGTTCAAACAAAAGCTTGTGCACGAATGTTCGCAGCAACCCATTCAACAATAGCCAAAAGGCAGACACAGCCCAAATGTGCATTGATGGATGAAGGTGGAAGCAAAACAACGTCTATCCATATAATGCATATTATTCAGCTAAAAGAAGGATAGATGCACCTTGAAAACATGATGCAAACTGAAAGAAGCCAGGCATGAAAGGCCATGGATTGTATGATTGATATGAAATACCCAGACTACGTAAATCTATAGAGACAGAAAGCAGATTAGTGGATGCCAGGGGCTGGATGGGGGCGGGGGCGGGGGGGGTGGGTGGGCGATGACTACTTAATGGCTATGGGGTTTTCTTTTGAGGGGATGGAAATGTTTTGGAACTAGAGGAGAGGATGATGGCACAATCTTGGGAAGGTTCTAAATGCCACTGAATTGTTCACTTTCAAGTGGTTAGTTTTATGTTGTGTTAAATTTCACCTCAATTAAAAACAAGCTGCCGTGCAGAGAACTAGGGTGACCTGGGCACTCAGGGAAGGCCCCTTTTTGAGGTATCGGAGCAGAGCCCTGAGTGCTGAGAAGGAACCAGCCATGCAGAGGGCTCCAGGCGGAGGGAAGCACGAAAACAGAGGCCCTGAAATGGGACGCACTTGGCCCTGGTGAGGCACAGCCAGCCAGCCAGTGCGGCTGAAGGGCTGGATTGTGTCATCTGCAGAGAGCCGAGGGGAGAGAGGGCTGGGAGCTGATCCCAGAAGAGGGCAGGGGCCAGACTGCATGGGACCATGGGCCACAGAGAGGGGCTGGTGACAGGAGGGGCTGGTGGGTTTTAAGGAGAGAGCAGCAGAAGAGGCAGAGAAGTCCCTGTCCCGGAGTTAACAGGCTGGTGGGGAGCGGTTGATGGTAAACCAGGTGGGAACAGGTCACTTTTTTGTCATGTCACTAAGCCCTCATCTGCAAGGGCCAGGAGATGTCAACCTGCCTGGCTGCTCCTCTGAGCTGTGTGCTCTGCCAGCCCTTCCCACACCCACCAACCCACCAGGGTAACACCTGTAAGCAGCTCTGGTTCCCTGCGGCCTCCTGAAGCAGCCTCTGGGCCAGTAGGAGCCCAGAGTGAGGAGCAAGGCTGTTCTGGGAGGCCGTAGCCCCTGACACCCCTGGGTCATTTCTGGGGAACAGCTTCTGCTCTGGGGTCTGCTGGTCCACTTGGAGTTTATGGAAAGGGTGGCCTTGCAGGCGAGTTTTGGACACCCTGCCCATCATGACAGATTCTATCTCTAGAAGCAGCTGTTGCCATGGGCCAGGTCCATGAGGCACTAACCACAGCAACATGGCACTCAAAGCCACAGAGTGCTCAGGCTAGAGTCTAGGCCTGGCCATGCCTGCCCACCCCCACATACTGGCCGCCACTGACCCCCCTCCTTGGCCAGGCGCACGCACAATCCCTCGTGAAGCTGAACATTCTGTGAGGGTGAGAGCCATCAACATAAAACCAGCCAATAAATAGAACTTGTGATTTTTTTTTTCTGAGCCAAATGGAAGAAGAAAAATACACCAAAGTGGCTAGTCACCTATTAGCCCTGATTTATACACTACTTTAATATCTCATCCAAGGAAATGAAAGGCATATTTTCATCAAATACAATCGTTTATAGCTTCTAAAGGGGAGACAAACTGCTCTATGACAATTACCTGGGCCCGCAGATAAAATCGGAAGATGTGTCCTAATAAAACACCCTTGTCTGGCAGCCACCCCGAGGCAGCAGCCAGAGTTGTTTTCTTCCTTGTGAATTATTATCTAGGCAGAAGCAAGGACTCCATGCGCTGTGCGGCCTATGGGGAGGGGCACCATTGTGGAGGGTGGGAAGTGGTCACGCCCCAGCACCCACGGGCCCTTGATGGCAATGGTGACATGTCACAGTATCAGAGGCCAACCTGGGCCAGGTTTCTGATGACCGAATCTCCCTCCACTGCCCGGCTCCCCGTGTCACTACTCTGTGGCTTCTGTAAAACTCTGAGTAGGAGGAGGGTGGTGAAATTCAGTTGATATGCAACCAACCTAAATCTGTCACCTGGGTACATGGTCCTTGGACACACATCTTGCTCGCTTGGTGACAGAAATTTAGCCGAGGGATGCTGCTTAAGGTCTTCTCGGTTCTCAGTTCCTTTGTGTTCCCTTGTCAAAGTTCCATGGACTAAACCACCAAGTATCTAGGGCCCCAGAGGGACTTTCCTTGTCTTCCCGTGTTCAGAGAAGGGAGAAGGCCTTTGATGGGCTCTGTTCCAAGGCTGAGCAGATAACAAATGCAGGCTCATTCTTCACTCAACGATACTAAGTGGGGGCACAGAGCTAGGCGCTGAGATGCAGGGTAAACAGCACAGAAGGTTCCCACGCAGGCAACCCTCTCTGCAGGGGAGAAAGACTATGACCAGGCACACAAAGGCATCAGCCAGGTAAGGAACCTCAGTGCTGTGGATAAACGGAACCAGGCTAGGCTGGGTGCGGTGGCTCACGCCTGTAATCCCAGCACTTTGGGAGGCCGAGACAGGCGGATCACAATGTCAGGAGATCGAGACCATCCTGGCTAACACGGTGAAACCCCATCTCTACTAAAAATACAAAAAATTAACCGGGCGTGGTGGTGGGCGCCTGTAGT
This sequence comes from Homo sapiens, assembly GCF_000001405.40. Taxonomy (NCBI): domain Eukaryota; kingdom Metazoa; phylum Chordata; class Mammalia; order Primates; family Hominidae; genus Homo; species Homo sapiens. The sequence goes on along the minus strand of NC_000016.10, from coordinate 11,129,898 downwards.
ACCAGCTACTAGGGAGGCTGAGGCAGGAGAATGGTGTGAACCCGGGAGGCGGAGCTTGCAGTGAGCCAAGACTGTGCCACTGCACCCCAGCCTGGGCGACAGAGAGAGACTCCATCTCAAAAAAAAAAAAAAAAAAGGAACCAGGCCAATGCAGTGGCGGGAGGGGACAACCCTAGCCAGGAGCTGATCTGAAAAGGCCACTGAAGAGGCGGCACACAAACTAAGCCTGAGCCGTTAGCGGGAGGCAGCTACACCAACATCTGGGTACAGACATCCAGTGCAAGGCCCTGGGGCAGGGAAGGCCACAGTGATTTACAGGAGTGGGTCTCAAAGTGTGGTCTGGAAATCCTTGTTTTCATAAAAATAGTAAGACATTTTTCTTTTATGTTCATATTCCCAGGGGTGTACTGAGGAGTTTTCCAGAGGCCACAGAATGCATGCTATCACAACAGACAGAAAACAGAAGCAAAGAGGAGAATCCAGATGTCTTCTATTAAGCCAGGCATTAAAGAGACTTGCAGAAATGTGCAAGATCAATTTTTTTCTATGTTTTGGAAAACAGAGTTATTGTTCATAGAAAACTATGTTAGTTATGCATATATGCAATGGGTTTATTCAAGAAGTATATATTGAAAGCATTTCTTAGTTTTAATTTCTAATGTCATAAATATCTATAAATATAATCTATCTAAATGAAAGCTCTTTAAGTTCTGTAATACTTTTTAAGCAGATAAACACGTGGGTGCTGAGGCTAAAACTCTGAGAAATGCTAGCTTAGAGGAGCAGCAGGGGCTGGCAAGGCTGGGGTTGGGGCTAGAGTGAGCTTGGGGTTGGGGGAACTTCATCTGAGAGGCCAGTTGGGGCCGGATCTCACAGCCACCACCCAAGATCAGAAGGAGAGATGTGGATTTTGTTCTAAGTGCAACAGGAAACTACCAAAAAGCTGGAGGCAGGGGTATGACGTAATCTGATTTAAGTACTAGAATGATCCCACTGGCTGAATGGAAGCTAGGGATCCTGAGAAGGCTTCTGTTGCAATCTTGGGAGATCTGGGAGAGGAGATCTCGGATCTCAGTATTTTCTGGAGGCCAAGCAGGCTGGTGGGTGTGGAAGCAGGGTGAAAAGTTTTAAGAATGATTCCAAAGTGCTGAGTGGCTGCTGCTGTGGGGGACCCTGACTACTGAGATGGGGGTGGGGGCAGCCTATGCTCCCACCATGCCAAGGCTCAGGGATTTCAACTTGCTCTTCAGGACACAGCTCTGGTGCCAAGCCAAGGTGGGAGGGCAGCGAGGCCTCCCTCTTTGCGGGGGTGGTGTGATAAATAAGAATGTCTCCATCTCACTCCTCATAGCTGAGTGGCACTTCCAGGGGCAGTCAGGGGAGACACAGCCAAGGGGTGGATGCTGCCTTCAGCAGCCACCTCTGACTTGCTGTTGTCCCAGTTGGCACAGCCTCACACTTGCTGACCCTGGGACCAGCAACAGGACATGGGGCATCCCAGCTGTGCCAACCACCCCGGCAGGCAGGCCCAGGTTCTGGAGCCGGGCCACACTCCTGGCATTTGATGTTCTCACCCACCGGTGGAAGGCCAGGCAGGGTAGAAGAGGTAAGCAATAAGTCATCCTAAAGCATTCTGCAAACAGAGAAATGATCATGTAGATGCTGAAGAATGGGCCGCTTGGCTCCATGTATTTATTTACATTCTACCTTGTTCCAAAAGGGCTCAGAACAGAAATAAGGCCTGGGCTTTTCTCTTTAACCAGTAAGTTCCGAAACTGAAAGACGCCTCAATGACCCTAAAGAAGTCATTTCTTACCAGGTCAATTTGTACTTAGTTAACTTAGACTCAGTCACACTTTATATTTACTTAGCAATCATAGCCACAGAACACGAAGCAACCTGCAGAATTTTTTAAGCAAAGAATCCTCCTGACCCTGAAACAGGCAGAATCATCTCACATTTCATCACTGAAAACAGGCGGTGCCACAATCAGTCTCTCAGCCTAAGATTATTTTTTTCTTTTCTTTTTGAGACAGGGTCTCACTCTGTTGCCCAGGCTGGAGGGCAATGGTACAATCATAGCTCACTGCAGCGTCAACCTCCTGGGCTCAAGTGACCCTCCCACCTCAGCCTCCTGAGTGTAGCTGAGACCACAGGTGCCCACCACCATGCCTGGCTAATTTTTTATTTATACTAGACACGATGTCTCACTGTGTTGCCCAGGCTGGTCTCAAACTCCTGGGCTCAAGCAATCCGCCTTGTCTTAGCCTCCCAAAGTGCTAGGATTACTGGCATGAGCCGCCATGCCCAGCCCTGAGACTGGATTTAAGAAAGAAACCAATCACAAGCTGTGGGTGGCAGAGTGAATTGGTGTACTGTTTTCTAGAGTTCACGTTGGGACTACATATATCAAGATTAAAAACCTTCCCCTTTGGCAAATTCACTGCTAGGAATTTATCACACAGACATGAGAAATTTGCACAATTACACAAAGACACCCTAAGGATGCTCACTGTGACACTGTAAGAGCAAAACACTGGAAATGACCCAAATACGAAACAGCAAAAAAGATTTTTTTGCCCATCCATATGACAAAATACCATGTAACAGTTAAGGAGAATTAGGTTGATTTATACGTGTTAATGTGTGACACTTTCTATTAAGGAAGAAGTAGCAAGGTGCAGCATCAGACATACGGTATACCCCATGTGTAAAAAACAAACATATGCATGACATACAAAGAAATATTTCTGGAAAGACAGGCAAGAAACTGTTAACAATAGTTACTTCTGAAGCAAAGTAGACTTATTTTTCATTTGATCATCTCCTGTCTGGATTTTAAAAAATCATATGCCTACGGTATATACATATAAATAATGAATTATCAAACAATGAAACTAAAATAAATCACATGGGGGAACCAGGACTCGGGTTTTGAGCAGGTTCCTATGGCTGCGTTTTGTTCTTAAATCAATAACTGCTTTTGAAAACATTTCACAACACTTGCAACTTAAGTTTGAAGCCCTATATGGGGAGGGGTTAAGTTGTGAGGGAGAGCTTGGCCAGCGCTCTAAACTTTTGCAACCAAAAGAAAGGCTCTCTTTCGAGGGATCGGGGTGCATACGGATTTACTTAAAGCAGACATGTCAGAACAGGAAGGGGAGAACTCGGTCTTCTGGAGAAGTGGTCCTTTCCACTCTGACAAATCAGCAATGGACTTTCCATTCAAGTTTCTGTTTTGGGAGGAGCGGAGGAGCAGGGTTAGAGATGAGCTGTGGCAAAAGTGGGAGGAGACGCCCTCATATGGAAGGAGTGGACAGCTGACCTGTGGGCAGCACGGCCTTCTTTTGAAGTCTCACTTCTTCAGGGGGTTGTAACCGGAACCAAACACACTCTCTCTTTCTAGTCATCTTACATGGAGAAGGAAATTACTCTCCCACAACTTCAGCACTAATCATTTAAATGTTTCCAAGAAATTTCCAAGAAAATTCTTAGTCAATTCTGAGAAGTTCTTCCACATACCCAACAAATCTCTGGAAAACCAAACCAAACACTAAAGGGAAAGCCAAAATTTATTTTGGGGGCTGTGTTTAATCTTGCGCTGTGCTTTGACAAATTCTAAGAAGCTGGTGCTGCCAGCCGACGGGGCTTCTGAGAGAGGAAGGGCAGCTCACACAGGCTCCACAGAGAGAAAGACCTTGAACGCCCACCATGATGAACGAGCTGTGGCGCAGGGCGGGGGGCTGGCTCACCTGGCACCTTGTCCACCGATGCAAACACGGAGCGCTGCACTGTGGGGTCGCTGCTGCCCCGGCGCCCCTGGTCGTAGAAGCGGAAAGGCAGGTGCTGAGTGGAGGTGGAGGAGCCGAGTCCAAACCCCAGGACTTCAGTGGTGGGCTGGATTGGGAGGTCCAGGAGGGCTACGGTCAAACAATAGCATGGTTCACTCTGAGCATGTGGGATAGAGGGGGGTGGTGAGAATTTGGGGGGGGGGACATCGTAGTGGCTGTGGCCCTGCCAGGCACATCACTTGGGAGACGCCAAGTGGGCGGCAGGCAGCCTCAAGCTGCAGAGACCAGTGGAACATCAAAGTTCCCACTGAGGCTCAACGCACAAGCGGAAGCCAAGTGAGGGCTTCGGGCCAAGGTTGAGACCAAGGAGAAAGGGGTTTGAGCCTGGGCTCCTCGAGTGGAATGGAAGCTGGGTCAATTTCCACTTTGGATTCTCAGCTTCCATGTGTAAAGGACCCTGACAAAGGCTGTTTCAGACCCCAAGCGAGTGGGGCCGAGTCTGCCCAGAGAGTTCACACGTATACGTGTGTATGTATATCCGCACATGTGCAGGAGCATGCGAAAATATGGATGTGCATGTACATGTGTAACTCTGAGTGGGTGTTTATCTGTCTCAGCCACTAACCTCCCTTCCATAAATAAACCTCCCAATATATCCATACGGAGGGGCTTTTTAAAATCAATTTAAGAAATACCCAAGGCTTTAGTTCTAACAGCCACTTTACAGCATAATTCTCAATTTTCAAATGAAGTATTTGGCCTTCATGCCAGCTGTGAGAAATTGCTTTACATGAAGAAAAAAAAAAAACTCTCTGAAAATAAATCTTAAAAGAAAGGGCTGAATGATTTAAGTCACTTTGCACATTACAGAATGCTTCAGTAATGATTTTGTAGGCCAAGTTTCAGCTAAGTGAGAAATGAGACGGGGACGACAACGTGGGACGCGGGCCTGTGCAAATCAGCACAGTAAATCATCGCATCGGTAACGCCCAGAAACTGGCCCTCTGAGGGTTTATTTTGAGACAGGGTCTCACCCCGTCTCCTAAGATGGAGTGCAGTGGTGCAATCATGGCTCACTGTAACCTCCACCTCCCAGGCTCAAGTGATCCTCCCGCCTCAGCCTCCCGAATAGCTGGGACTACAGGCGTATGCCACCACGCCTGGCTCATTTTTGTAATTTCTTTGTAGAGACAGGGTCTTGCCATGTTTCCCAGGCTGGCCTCGAATTCCTGGGCGCAAGTGAGTTACCCGCCTTGGCCTCCCGAAGTGCTGAGATTACAGACATGAACCACCGTGCCTGGTCAAGGGCTTATTTTAAAGTTATCCCTTGAGAAAGCACCCCCACATCCCCAGGTAGGCTTAAAATCCTCTCAGCAGCCACCAGGATGAGCACTGGTGCCTGAACTGAATGGCACTGGGTATCTTGAGAAAGACTGTCATTTTAGGAGTTGACAGCATGCCTTCCCCCCACGCCGAGGAGAAGGCCTTGCCTTCCTGCCCAATGAACGCATCTCCCTCATTTCTGTGACTTTCCTTGTAATAAATCCTGGCCTTCCTAATACTGGGCAGTGTTGGGCTTCCTCAGAAATTCACCGCAATCCCCGTGAAATGTAAAATGACTTCCTTCCAAGGGTTCCAGCCTTTCACCAAGCAGGGCTGCCTCTTATAAGAACTGGGAAGGGGAAGGAGGAAGGGGTAAGTTTACAGTAGGAAGTTCTGCCTGTGGGTTCTGCCTGTGTGACTTTGGGCAAGTCCCTGAGCCTGTTTCCTTCTCCGTAAAATGGGCAGAGCAGGCCCTACAGAACTCCAGAGTTGTTTTAAGGATCGGAGGTGGTAGAGTAACGTCAAAGCACTTTGTTAACATATGCTTGAGAATTTCAGTGTGAAGGGCTGAGAAGAGTGGTCCCACACTGACGTCTACTTATTGCTGGCCTCCTGCCTGCTAGGGAGAGCTCCTCTTCTCTTCCATGCAGCCCTAGAAACTCACCAGAAACCAAACACCCAGGAAATGGAACTTCCTCGTATTCGTATATAAAACAATTCCTGAATCATACGTGTCTTCTTCTATGCTATGGGGGTTCTCAAGGTCAGTGTGAGAACTACAAACAGCCCTGACCCACCAAGTGCTCAGAGGATGCCCTGCCAGGGTCCAGCCACTCACCAGCTATTCTCTGCATCTTCATGCGCCTTGCCTGGATGCGGCCTTTGGCCAGGCGCTGCTTGGCGATGATGCAGCGGATGTGGTCTGAGAAGATGAAGGTGGCCTGGAGGATGGGGAAGGGCTTGGAATGGGGGCTGGACGCAGGCTTGTGGATGGTGATGTTCAGGGCACGGCTGTCGTCCTCCACGCCAGTCACCTGCATGTCCTGCACAGTGAGAAGCAAAGGAAAAGGCATTCGTTGGGTTTGGGAGGAGGGTGGCTAGGAGCTGTGGCATCATGAGGCATCTAGAAAGAGGTCTCCAAATTCATCTCTGCTTTTGATCTAAGATCGACAGCCTCCCAAGTCCAACAGAGTCATGGATGGGCACAAGGCAGACCAGGCCCAGTGGGAGAGGACAGTGTGGGAGGAGGCACAGAGTACCCCAAAGGAGCGGATGCTGGTGGTGGTGGCTGGTGCCTGTTTTCCATGAGGACTGGGGTCAGCTCATGAATAACAGCGTACCCCCACAAGCCTCTTCAAGGGGCCACAGGTAACACCACAGGCAAACTCTTACTTCTGAGAAGCCAGAGATAATGAACCAAAATTACTATTACCATCTGGCATGATCTCAGATATAGTTGCTCATCTACTCATCAATTTCTTCCTTATTTCTTCTAAGAAGGGGACATCGTTGGCAACCATTTGTATGTCTTTGACAAACTTCTGGTCCCCAAAGGGAAAAGCTAATCCTGAGAAAGGGACAGGGGCTGGGCACGGTGGCTCACGCCTATAATTCCAGCACTTTGGGAGGCCGAAGTGGGTGGAACACGAGGTCAGGAGTTCGAGACCAGCCTGGCCAAGAGGGTGAAACCCAGTCTGTACTAAAAACACAAAAATTAGCCAAGCATGGTGGCGTGCGCTTGTAGTTCCAGCTACTCAGGAGGCTAAGGCAGGAGAATCGCTTGAACCCGGAAGGCAGAGGTTGCAGTGAGCCGAGATCGAACCACTGCACTCCAGCCCGGGCAACAGAATGAGACTCCATCTCAAAAAAAAAAAAAAAAAAAAAAAAAGAAAGGGATAGGGAAGGTCATTGAGCAGAGATTTGAAGGAAACTGTGTTTCAAAGGTGGAGAATAAATGAACATGTAGCAAAATATAATAAAGACAAACCAGTCTAAAACCTCAGAACGGACTCTGCATAGACAATCTACTCCCATGAAGGTTTGAGGTGATCTGATATAAAAGCCTGAGAGGGAATGAACACAAAAGTCAGAAATGTTAAAGGAGGTGGGGACAACATTGGAAAAGGCTCACAGAGGAAGATGGTTGTGGTTCTCAGGCACTACATTTGGCACAGGCTCTTTGGAGATAACACCCCCATCAAAACGCGGCAGTAAGATCAGATGAGGCATTCTGCATTTAAAGCAGGGAGTCTGGTATAGTAAAGACCTGACAAATAGCACCCATTGGAAGACGGCCAAAAAAAAAGGTTTATGTGGCTTTCATTGTCTGATGGAAGACACATATTAATTCTTCAGGGGAGAAAAACACTTGCCTGACACTAAATTCTAAAGGAAATTAATCATAAGCCTAGATAAAGCCTAGATAGATAAGCATAAGTCACTTAATGGATAATGTCTTACATGGAGTGTTTCTTTTAAATGAAAGATTCTTCTATAGTTGTTTCTCACACCACACTTTGTAAAAGACACTTTTACAATAGAAAGATCCTGAAGAAGAGGAGGCTGGGGAAGAGGCTGTAACAGTAGCTTCAAGTATGTGGGTGGTTCTCGCAGAGAGCAGGACACAGACAGCAGGTCAGGCTGCGGCAAGGCAGAGGTGGGGCGGCCTGAGCCAAGGCCCTTCCAGAAACCAGGGCTGGCTGGCAAAGAAATGGACTGCCTTGAAGTAGGGCAAAGTTCAGGCCTGAAGTGTCAGCTGGACATCCAGGGACAAGGGGTATGGCAGAGGGGCGACCTGGGAGGCTGCTTTCAACCCTTCTGATTCTTTGCTTTATTCACTCAAAGAGCTGGTACTAGTTATCTATCACGTTGACAAACTTTTTTTTTTTTTTTTTTTTTTTTTTTTGAGACAGGGTCTCACTCTGCCGCCCAGGCTGGAGTGCAGTGGCACGATCTCAGCTCACTGCATCCTCTGCCTCCTGGGTTCAAGCGATTCTCGTGCCTCAGCCTCCTGGGTAGCTGGGATTACAGGTGCCTGCTATCATGCCCGGCTAATTTTTGTATTTTTAGTAGAGACGGGGTTTCACCATGTTGGCCAGGCTGGTCTCGAACTCCTGACCTCAAGTGATCCACCTGACTTGGCCCCTCAAAGTGCTGGGATTACAGACACGAGCCACCACGTCTGGCCCACGTTGGCAAACATTAAAAACAAAAAAAAACCCAAAAAATCCCCAAAACCCAAGCCCCAGCTTGGTACTTGGCAAGTTAGAGCCTAGCTCTGCTGGGGTGACGTTGAGCGGAAGGGAATTCACAAAAATGCCAGTGGCAACAATCATTTTAGAGTGGTATTTGGCAGTGTCTACTAACACTTAAAATTAGTACACCCCAGCTTCTTGGTATCTGCCTAGGGAAACCTTGCCCAAGTGCATAAAGAAGTAAGAGTGATTCTGTTCATGGCAGCACCGTCTGCTGAAATAGCAGAAAACTGGAAATAGCCGACACGGCATGGGTTAAGTATGCCTTGCTATAGTCACAAAGCAGTGAAAAAGAATACCAGGAAGTCTGCGTGTACTAATGTGGCTGGCTCTCCAAGACACACTATTGATATTGAATGACAAAAGCAAAGTTTAGAACATATTCAATGTGATATCATAAAAAACACACACATACACTCTCAAGTATATGTATATAATTTTTAAAAATAGTACATGTAGTTACATTTATATATGCCTTTGGCAGAAAAACAGATCTGGAAAGGTCACACTGATAATGAAGATTATCTCTGGTGGAGGGGAGGTGTAAGAATCGAGCGTTTTGGTCAAAGAGGACTTTGCTCTTATCTGTGCATTTATGTGGTATTTTAGCTTTTTTTTGGGTGACAATTTGTTCACATATACCTTGTATAATATCACTACAAATTAATGATAAAGATGACAATTGTGTGTGGTGTGTGTGTGTGTGTGTGTGTGTGTGTTTGTAGCCAACTGAGAACAGATCCCAGAGCTCCTGGCCATCTTACCTGCAATAGGCCTGCAAACTTGACCACTCCCCAGCCAAGCCTGGACACATCAGGCTCCACCAAACTCATCTGGTAAATATCCACAGCCAGGAATCGCTGGACCATGCCGCCATCCTTGGTGATCACTGTACATGCAATCAAGTCGCTGTTATCTGGGAGGAGGAAGGTGAGAAGAGAATGAGGCACAGTCTGGCTGCCCAGGGTGATGGAGACACCAAAGCTGACTCTCATTCTATCAGGAGCAGAGCTCAGTGGTTAGAGCCCAGGCCTAGAGTCACACAGACCTAGGTCTGAGTCCCTTCTCTGACAGTTATGCCGGGAAAGTTTCTTTTCCTCTCTGGACCTCAGATCCCTCATCTGGATAATAAAGAGAATGCACACTCCCTCAAACTGCTACTAGTTAGGACTGATATAAAGCATATAAAGTACATAAAGCATCTGTCCAATGTTTACTGCATGTTAGGTGCTCAAGCCGTAGCTTAAAAACAACCAGCATGGCTGGGTGCCGTGGCTCACGCCTGCAATCCCAGCACTTTGGGAGGCCAAGGCAGGTGGATCACCTGGGGTGAAGAGTTCGAGACCAGACTGGCCAACATGGTGAAATCCTGTCTCTACTAAAACTACAAAAGATTAGCTGGGTGTGGTGGTGGGCACCTGTAATCCCAGCTACTTGGGAGGCTGAGGCAGGAGAATTGCTTGTATCTGGGAGGTGGAGGTTGCAGTGAGCCAAGATCGCGCTCTGCACTCCAACCTGGGCAATAAGAGCAAAACTCCGTCTCAAACAAAACAAAACAAAACAACACAACACAAAACAAAACAACAAAACAATCAGCAATCCAAGAAAGAAACTGAAGATGACACAAACAAATGGAGAAACATCCAACGCTCATGGATCAGAAGAAATGATATCGTTAAAGTGACCATGCTACCCAAGGCGAGCTACACATTCAATGCAATTCCTATCAAAATACCAACATCATTTTTCACAGTATTAGAAAAAAAATCCTAAAATTCATATGGCACCAAAAAAGAGCCCAAAGAGCCAGAGCACACCTGAGCAAAAAGAGCAAAGCTAGGCCAGGTGTGATGGCTCACACCTGTAATTCCAGCACTTTGGGAGTCCGAGGAGGGAGGATCGCTTCAGCTCAGGAGTTGGAGACTAGCCTGGGCAACACGGCAAAACCCCATCTCTACAAAAAATGCAAAAAATTAGTTGAGTGTGGTGGCCCACACCTGTAGTCTCAGCCACTCAGGAGGCTCAGGTGGGAGGATGGCTTGAGCCCAGGGTGGTTCAAGGCTGCAATGAGCCATGATCATGCCACTGCACTCCAGCCTGGATGACAGAGACCTGGTCTCAAAACAAACAAAAAAAGAGCAAAGCTGGAAGCATCACACTACCTGACTTCAAATTACAAGGCTGTAATAACCAACACAGCATGGTACTGGTATAAAAATAGACATATAGGCTGGGTGCTGTGGCTCATGCCTGTAATTCCAGCACTCTGGGAGGCCGAGGTGGGCAGATCACTTGACGTCACGACTTACAAGGCCAACTTGGCCAACATGGTGAAACACTGTCTCTACCAAAAAATAAAAAAAATTAGCTGAGCGTGGTGGTGTGTGCCTGTAGTCCCAGCTACTCGGGAGGCTGAGGTGGAGAATCGCTTGAACCTGAGAGGCGAAGTTGCAGTGAGCCAAGATCGCACCACAGCACTTCAGCCTGGGTGACAGAATAAGACCTTGTCTCAAAAAATAACAAAAAGAAAAACACATGGACCAACAGAACAGAATAGAGAGCCCAGAAATAAAGCCACATATTTACAGTCAAGTGATCTTCAATGAAACTGATAAGAACATACGCTGGGGAAAGAACACCATCTTCAATAAATGGTGCTGAGAAAACCGGACAGCCATACGCAGAAGAATGAAACTGGACCCCTCTTTCTCACTGTATACAAAAACCAACTCAAGATAGATTAAAGACTTAAATGTAAGACCCAGAACTATAAAAATCCTAGAAGAAAATCTGGGGAAAACTCTCTGGACATTGGTCTATGCAAAGAATGTATGACTAAGACCTCAAAAGCACAGGCAACAAAGCCAAAAATAGACAAATGGAACTTACTTAAACCAAGAACCTCAGTAACATTTCAGTGCTTCTTTAAAGACTAATGGCAGTTTACAGTTGTGATGGTTAAACTGAGTTCACCTAATTAAGTAAAGACAGTAAAGCAAGAGTCCCCTGAGCCATGACAGAATCACCAAGCCCTCAACTCAGGGTATGACAATTTAAAGCCAAGCCCTGCAGTGGATGTTGTACATGGATGGGCATTGGATGTGTACAGCACTTGGCCCTTCAGAACCAGTTTTCCCATTTGTAAAATGAGAATTAACGTCCCTTATCTTGAATTGTTTGGTGCGTTAAATGAGAAAAGGCGGGAAAAGCATGGGGTCTTGTGCATAGGAGTCCTCTGCATATGCTAGGTTCCTTCTCTTACTTGAAAGTTGTCCCCAGCTGGGTGCAGTGGTTTGTGCCTGTAATCCCAACAGTTTGGGAGGCCAAGGTGGGTGGAATGCTTGAGCCCAGGAGTTCAAGACCAGCCTGGGCAACATAGTGAGACCCTGTCTCTACAAAAAGCAGAAAAAAAATTAGCCTCACAGCTACTTAGGAGGCTGATGCGGGAGGACTGCTTGAGCCCAGGAGGTAGAGGCTGCAGTGAGCCATGAGTGTACCACTGCACTGTAGCCTAGGTGACAAAAGCGAGACCCTGTCTAAAAAAAAAGAAAAGAAAAGAAAAAGAAAGTTATCCCCAAATTCAATGTCTAATTTAATGTCTACCCTTGACTTGGAAATCACCAGGGTAACATAGGACCATTAGATCTATGGTCTACCGCTGTATGCAATCCTCTGCCACTTATGTTTTAAACAAGAGAGCTCAGTCCGGAAACAACCTAAATGTCCCCAAACAGGAGAACTATTTGAGTGCAATTTTTTCCCACCAGATGCAAAATTATATACCCATTTAAAAATTGTTTAACCGAACTGTGGACAGTGGTTACCCATGAGGAGTGAAGTGAGAATTGGGGGTAGGAGTGTGTGTGTGTGGGAGAAGTATTAAGGGGAGAACTTTCATTTTTATTCTATGTCCCACTCTACTGGGACATTATTTTAAAATGAGAAAAGTATTCAAGACATACTTTCGAACACATATAATAAGCCCAAGTTAAAAATCATGTTTTACAAATAATTGCAATGACTGTGGAAAACATTATAATTTTAAATGAAAGATGATAAAAATGTTATTACCAAGAGTTTTGTATGTTTTAAAAAAAACTATCCCTACAAAGAAATACTAGTACAGAGAAAATGTGCCAAAACATTAACAGAAGCCTCTGATTAGAAGAGGGTAGGTGAGATGTTTTGTTGTTTCTTCATAGTTTTATTAAAGTATAATTTACACGCCATAAAGTTCACCTATTTTAAGTATACAGTTTACCTATTTTAAGTATACGGTTTGAGTTTTAGTAATTTTTTTCTTTTTTTGAGCATAGTACCCAACAGTTTTTCAACCCCTGTCACCCCCCTGCCTTTGGCAGTACACAGTGTCTATCGCTGCCATCTTTATGTCCATGAGTATCCAATGTTGAGCTCCCACTTATAAGTAAGAACATGCGGTATTTGGTTTTCTGTTCCCACATCAATTCACTTAGGCTGCCAGCTGCATCCATGTTGCTTCAAAGGACACGACTTAGTTCTTTTTTATGGCTGTACACAGTATTCCATAGTGTATACGTACTACATTTTCTTCATTCAGTCCACCATTGATGGGCACCTGGGTTGACTCCATGAGTCTACTATTTTGAATAGTGCTGAGTTTTAGTATATTTATGGCTATGTATTACCACATCCCAGTTGTGGAATACTTCCATCACCCCAATAGGTTCTGTTGGGAGCACATTAACCAGATATTTGGCTCAACTTTATTAGGGGAGGAGAAGGGTAACATGGGTGGTATCAATTTTGGCCAAAGCACACGATAACAAACTGGGCTCATGCATTCTCCAAGGATTTCCCCCCTCTCCTTTTTCAGTTTTCATCCTGATCTAAAAGCACAGGTAAATTTCTCTTTCCTTTCTCGGGTAACCCCCAGCAACATATGCCTCGGTTCAATCCTCCGACAGTGTAACCTGTCTGAGATTCTGGTTTCATGTGGATGTCACCCAGTTGGTCCTCTCGGTCTTTACAGGCCTCGTGTTTCCCTCTATTCTCTCCAGCACATGACCCCCGAAGTCAGCCAGGTACCCCCACAGCAAATCCCAGCTCCAGATAGGCTTTACTGAATTTGTACCTTTTTTTTTCTTTTCTTTTTCTTTTAGACAGTCTTGCTCTGTTGCACAGGCTGGAGTACAGTGGCACAATCTCAGCTCACTGCAACCTCTGCCTCCTGGGTTCAAGTGATCCTCCTGCCTCAGCCTCCCTAATAGCTAGGATTATAGGCAAACACCACCACGCCTGGCTATTTTTTTTTTTTTATTTTTAGTAGAGACAGGGTTTCACCATGTTGGCCAGGCTGGTCTCAAACTCCTGGCCTCAAGTGATCCGCCTGCCTTGACCTCCCAAAGTGCTGGGATTAGAGGCATGAGCTACCACATCTGGCCCAGTTGTGCTTTCTTATTATCTACAGCAAGAACCTTCTTTCCTTTCCCAACAGTCCAGCCGGGTATTTGAAAATATTTTTTAAAAAACATATTTTAGGGCTGGGCACGGTGGCTCATGCCTGTAATCTCAGCACTATGGGAGGCCAAGGTGGGAGGATTGCTTGAGCCCAAGAGTTCATCCTGGGCAACATAGTGAGACCTTGTCTTTAAAAAAATTTATAATATATATGTTTTAATATATTATGAAATATATTATATTAACATAAAATGTACAATAGTATGTTTATCTTATGATGAATTTTTAGTTCCATACTGGATGATTCTCTAGATGACTAGTCTTCTACATTATTAAAAAAGGAAGTCATCATATTCATTCTTATAAACATTTTCTTTGTGGTAGGTAGGGTTTGTTTTCTTTACTCAATACTTAAAACAGGCCGGGCGTGGTGGCTCATGCCTATAATCCCAACACTTTTGAAGACTGAGATGGGTGGATCGCTTGAGCCCAGGAGTTCCACACCGGCCTGTGCAACATGGCAAAACCTCACCTCTACTAAAAGTAGAAAAATCAACTGGCTGTAGTGGCATGTGCCTGTAGTCCCAGCTACTCAGGAGGCTGAGGCAGGAGGATCACTTGAGCCCAGGGAGGTTGAGGCTATAGAGAGCCGTGATCACACCACTGAACTCCGGTCTGGGTGACAGAGTGATGAGCCCTGTCTCAAAACAAACAAACAAAACTTAAAGCATTTTCTCAGTGGGAATCTTTTAAAAAATACTCTTTAAAAATAGAACAAAAACAATAAACATGTTCTTTCCTTTCTTTCTCTTTCTATCCTCCTTCCCCCTCCTCTCCTTTCCCTTTCCTCACTCTACACAGGACAACTTGACTACCTTCTGTTTTCACATTCACAAAAGAAGTTCATCTGAGAGTTTGATCTGGGAAAACGGACACAGTCATACACGTCAGTGTCAATGGGGTTTGTCCCAGGCAGTGCGACTCCCTCATAGAGCCTGGCTGCCTGAGGGGCTTCAGCGGAAGAAAGACCTGCCACCTCCACCACAAAGAACAAAAAAGGAAGGATAAAACCCCAGAACGGAACAGCTTTCAGAAATGTAATTGAGACATCAAAGCCCTGTGAGAACACAGTGAGAGATTTCATAAGAAAACTAAAATGCGGCCACACCAGTGAGACAGGAAGGATCCCAGGGAGGGAGCTCTCGCTTTTCAGAGGCTGTGGGGCAGTTAAGGAGAAATGAAGCGGCTTCTACAGATTACAAGCAAATGCTATCCGCAAGGGAGATCAAGGAATTGCGGGTTTTGGGTGACTCCTTTGTGGGTCCCGCCAGTATCATTTTAGGGAACTCCTGTACCCTGCCCCAGTCCTCGGCTGCTCCACACCCTGGCTGTGGAGCCCTGGGGGACACAGGCTAGTCACCTTGGGACTGCCATGGGGTCTTGGGTTGAGGAGAAATCCAGGAGAGAAATGCTGAATGGAATCCAACTCGGCCCACCCTCTAAAGCCTCTGCCTGCAGGCTTCATGCATGCATTTGGGAGCCAGCAGGAGTATGCTGAGTGCTAAGGTACCATGGGAAGGACTTGGTGGCAGACGGCTCTGTCGTGGTATGTGGCAGCCTCCCTGCCTGACACTCAGGAGTGGCCATGGCAAGGAGAGGCCAGTGCAGCTGACAGGTGACATGAGACTGCCTGGTCATCCATCCACCATCCCCAGATCTCACTGCCCATCGAATCTCCAATTCTACAGGGGTGGGGCTTAGGATTCTATTAAGAAAATTATCAGAAGACAATGATCAGATCAATTATCCCTATGATTTAAGAGGCCAAAGATACAGTAGTAAACGTGAAGGATTTGCATAGGCCATTCACAGATGAGGGGAAGGGGGCAGCCAGGAATGGGGATTGCCAATAAACACACACACACACACACACACACACACACACACACACACACACACACACGGCCATCCTCATGGGAAATCAGGAAACAACTCAAAATACCATCTTCTGCCCATAGGATTGGCAAGAATAAACATGTCTGATAACATCAGGTATAATGAGGATGCAGAGAAACTGGCATTTCTCAAAAGCTGCTAGTGGGAGAATAAATTAGCATAGCCGTTTTGAAGGACAAATTAGCATTATTTATTAAAACCGAAAGTTTCACATTCTATGACCTAGCAATTGGTATGTTCCCAAGAAAAACACTCACACGCGTGGGCTAAAAGACTGTGAAGAGTCAATTTTCCAGCAAGAAGGGAAAGCCTAACTAAAATGTGTTTATTCCTTCTGTGTAACACCAAGGAGCAATGACATGGAATGAATTCGCCTTCCAGAGAGTTCAAGAGAGCCAAGTCTCAAGAACATACGATGAGTAGAAAAAGAAGCTCCAAGGTGATTTTAGTTTCTTTTTCTTTCTGTTTTTTTTCTTTGAGACAGGGTCTCACTCTGTCACCCAGGCTGGAGTACAGGGGAGCGATCATGGCTTACTGCAGCCTCGGCCTCACAGGCTCGAGTGATCCTCTCACCTCAGGCTCCCAAGTTACTGGGACTAAAGGCATGCACCATCCATGCCCAGCTAATTCTTTATTTTTTGTAGAGATGGGGTTGTGCCATGTTGCCCAGGCTGGACTCGAACTGCTGGCTCAAGGGATCCTCCCACCTCAGCCTCCCAAAGTGCTGGAATTACAGGCCGATTTTAGTTTCTACACACTGCTCTGATTTTCTAAAGGGAAAATAGGTATGTTATTTGCACACTTAAAATTGAATAAAGAAATAAGTGAGTCTCTTTCCACAGCTTTACACAAAGGGACTCAGGTCTTTATGAGGCCCAGCCAGGGTTGGGGAGCAGCACTAGGCCAAGCTGCTGGCCAGCCGGGCTCTGCCTGATCATGCAGATGATAGACAATCACTGAGAACCAGGTGATGGCGTGAAGCCAAGAGCTCTCTGACAGCACCCTTGGGACATAGCTGTGGATGTTTCCAAGTGTGAGTTCTTCTCACAGTCACACCTGTGAGTTCAAGAGCTCTGGTGTCCAGTTCAGCTCACATGTGCACGTGCACAGTCTGGTGCCTACTGGGGCCAGGCTCTGTACTAGGCACTAAGTACCTATACTGAGAATGAGGCTTGGCCCCCACCAAGAGGAGTTCAGGGCCCAGGTGGAAGGCTAAGGACCATGAAAGGCTGTGCAGACCAAGCCTCCATTCTGGGGAGGAACCAGGCCCCACAGGCAAAAGGTAGGATGGCAGATGTCTCCATCTTACCCAGGACCCTGAAGGTATGGCATGCCTCCTAGCGGAACCTTGTTCCAAGGAAAGGTGACATAGCCCTCCTACTCCCAGGCACTACCTTTTATTTTTCTTTGGGGAGGGGAGAAAATTTGCTGCATGTCATATGTATGTGTGTGTGTATGTATGTATGTATGTATTGACTGAGATAGGTCTGTCACCCAGGCTGGACTGCAATGGTGCAATCATTGCTTACCGCAGCCTCAAACTCTTGCACCCAAGCGATCCTCCTGCCTCAGCCTTCTAAGTAGCTAGGACTACAGGTGTGCCATCATTCCTGGGTAATCTTTTTTTTTTTTTTTTTTTTGTAGAGATAGGATCTTGCTATGTTGTCCAGCCTGGTCTCAAACTCCTGGATCAAGTGGTCCTCCTGCCTTGGCCTCCCAAAGTGCTGGGATTATAGGTGTGAGCCACCACACCTGACCCATTCTATTTTATTTGAAAATATTAAACTTATCAACCACTTTCACTAGATAACACATTCCTAGGTTCCCATTTTAACAGGTATAAAACCTTTTTACAGTGGATAATAAGTGTCTCCTGTGCCCCTCTGCAGAGGCAACCACTGCACGGGCTCTTGTTGCCTGTCCACTGTGCATTTTCAAGCACTCATGGGGCTATGTTCTCCTCTCCATTTCCTTTCTTAAATGGTGGCATGCCACCCACACTGCCTACATTGTACTTTTGACACTTCCTGATGGCACATCGGCACTGAGACACTCCTTGTGATTTTTCATAGCTGCGTTCTCTCCCACGGTAGGGAGAACTCTACACCATTTAACAGCTCTCCAACTGGCAGACATTCGGAGTGTTTAGAAGCTTTTGCTACAACATTCAAAGGAACATTCTTATTCATACGCACATGCGAGAGTAAATTTATAGCAGCAAAGGAGAGCTTATGCTTAATTTTTCTAAAACATTTGTATTCTATTAAAATAAATTTCAGAAGGAAACTTCATATCATTACCATGAATGGAAAAACAGAATTACTTACAATCATTAAGGTAAACATGAAAACTGATTAGAGGAGAAAAGACCATTTATTAAATTACAGCCTAATGCCTGCTCTTTTGATAAAAAGAGGAAATCTGAGTTACAGAGTTTCTACGACAAACTAGTCTGAATCTGAGACCTTCTCCTTGGTGTAACAGCACAGACTAGAGGGGCACTGAAATGGATTTTCTTACGGACTATACTTTCCAAAGATGGCCACAGCAATATTTCTTACCTACATGTTCTTCTCATAGTGTGACTTTGACTCTCCTCCCATCAAGTGGTGGGGTCTACCCTTCTCCTTGAACCTGAGTGGGCCTCAGTGATTGTCTAGACCAAAAGAGTACCAATGGAAGTGATGCTTTGTGATTTCTGAGGCAAAGTCATAAAAATGCTCTTGGAACCTATCCACCATGTTGTGAGGAAGCCCAAGTAGCCATGGAGACACCCACAGAGAGAAACCAAGGTCCAGGCCCACAGCCAGCTCCCAGTCTATACACGCCAGCTGATGCCATGTGGAGCAGAGTTATTCCCATTGAGCCCTGGGCAAATTATACATTTGCTAGCAAAATGAATTCCCATAGTTGTTTTAAGCCATGAAGTTAATATATGTGGTTGGTTACTCAGCAATAGATAATTGTGATGGTAATTTAATTTAGTGCTACATCCAGGCACATCTAAAATTCTAAAATTCTTTCAGTACCACCAAGAAGCTACATGCTGCATCTCAGAAGACTGGCCTAGAGAAACAACTCAGGATTGGCTGTTTTGGGGACCTTGGAAGATCCTGCAAGTATTTAGCAGAATGAAGGGAAACTAGCACAACCATTTCCCAACACAACTTTAAGATGCTGGGAAGGAAGAGGAGAAAAGGAAAAAGCATGAAAGAAAAAGCATGCTGTTACCATGAAGAGCAGTATCACGGCAACTTGAGCTTTAGCACTGTGCAGACTGGGTTTAAAGCCCAGCTCTGCCAGTTATTAAACTGTGTGACCCTGGGCCGATCACCTCCCTTTTCTGAGTCTCAGGTTTCTGCCTTATAAGAAGAACACTTAACCACCTGCAGGACTGCCCAGGGTATCTGGGAGGGGCATGGGGCTGTGCCCAGCATGCATCACAGAGGCAAGCTATGGTGGTCATTGTCAGAAGTGGTCCTAGTGTTCTCCCAGCACAAGTCAAATTGCTCGGAAGTGCCATGACATTTCTGGAGCCATGACTCTCTCGTTGGAACCCTTCTGCCTAAGGTACTCATGTTTTCTGAATGCAAACTCTTGACTAAATGAGTCTCTTCAGAGGGAGAAAATGAATCATGGTTTTCGGTTGTTTTTCAGAATTCCCGTAAGGTCATGGAATATGCAAGATACACAGGCCCCCCGGGCTCTGCAGTGAGGCCTCCCCTGACCCCTCATCCCTGGCTGCTCCCCCAGTCCCTCTCTACATTTCCCTAATCCCCAGCCCCATCCCAGTGCCTGTCATTCTTGACTGTGTTGAAGCATCCCTGTCCAGACTGTAAGCTCCCAAAACAAGGGGTCCTGACCAGTATCACTAGCTGCTGTACCCTCTGGAGGGGGTCTGGGCAATGGCTGGTGCTGAAGAAGTATTTGTGGATGGGATGGAAGGAAGCTAATGTCTTTTGGTGCTCCCACTTGGAGGCCAGGGACTGCTCAATCAACTGTTCTTTTAGCTCCTGGGCTGAAGCCTTCCCCTACAGCCCCCTCTGACAGGCTGTAGCCCATTACTGAGCGATAAATGGGGCTGACTGACTTTTGCTGTATTTTAATAATCCCTTCACAATAAAATACGGATGCCAATCCATAATTTAATTCTTAGCATTGGTGGCTCCAGCTGCATTTAGAATGCAAGTCTTTTTCCTTACAGGGGGATATCCAGGCCAGCAGAATTCCAAGGCTTTGAAATCCAACAGCCTGTTTTAGGCTACGGCTGGAGTTTAAATTAGCAGTTCAGTAAACATTAGCAAATCTTTCAAGCACGTGTGGTTAATCAGAGGTCAGGAGGGGCTGAGGAACAGGGAACACTGATCCCTTGAGGGAAAGGCAGGCTCACCCTGGAATTCCAAGAGCAGGGCCCACAGCTGATAGGACACCTGGAGGGCCCGTGGCTGCACGTGTGAGGGAGGGGCTGTGGTCTTGGCCCCTCCACACACCCATCCAGCCTGACTTGTTTCTATTCCCGAGTCTGCGCTGGTACCAGGGATTAGTGAGGGGGAACTGCAGTGGCCTGTGGGTGGTGCAGGGAGGGCAAAAAACACTGAGCATTGCTGGCTTTCACCGGAGTTGGGGATGCAGCACCATTCCAGGCTTTGGTTCTCTAAAGCCATGTACTGAAAGATTATCAGGGCTGAGTGAGGTGGCTCATACCTGTAATCCCATTACTTTGGGAGGCCAAGGCGGGAGGATTACTTGAGCCCAGGAGCTCAAGACCAGACTGGGCAACATAGCAAGACCTCGTCTTTACAAATAATAAAAAAATTAGCTGGGTGTGGTGGTGCACACCTGTGGTCCCAGGCTGAGGTGGGAGGATAGCTTGAGCCTGGAGTTCCAGGTTGCACTGGGTCATGATCGCACCACTGCACCACTGCCTGGGTGACAGAGTGAGACTCCATCTAATAAAAAAAAAAAAGTCAGGGCTGTTTTGAATCAAGGCCCCTGCTCCCAGTTTTTTTTTTTTTTTTTTTTTTTTTGAGACAGTCTCACTCTGTCGCCCAGGCTGGAGTGCAGTGGCGCGATCTCAGCTCACTGCAAGCTCCGCCTCCCGGGTTCATGCCATTCTCCTGCCTCAGCCTCCCGAGTAACTGGGACTACAGGCGCCCGCCACCACGCCTGGCTAATTTGTTTGTATTTTTAGTAGAGATGGGGTTTCACCATGTTAGCCAGGATGGTCTCGATCTCCTGACCTCGTGATCCGCCCGCCTCGGCCTCCCAAAGTGCTGGGATTACAGGCATGAGCCACCGCGCCCGGCCCAGTAGTTTCATCAATGACAATGGCTGCTGGCACCAAGACCAACCTTTATAAAGTGCTTTTATATGCCAAGCCCCAACTTTCCACTTGACATGGTCCCAGATCCTATGAGGTGGCCACAAACTGCAGCAGGACAAGTGACTTCCCCAATGACACAAACTGATGAGTGACATATGTGGCTGAGGGATGCAGCCAGATGGCCATGTGAACTTCACACTCTCCTGAACAAGCTGATCAAAACCTGGCATTCCAGTCCCCTGGCTGAGGCCAGAGAGAGCACTCATCTGCCTCACAGCCTGGTGCCCCCTCTACCTGGGCTAGCTGCAGAGGGTGGGTGGGAGATGTTGGCTGGTTCTGGCAAGGAGACAGTCAAATGATGTGAGCTCTCAACAGGCAAGCCCTGAGGGTTTAACTCCCTGGTGGCCAAGGATCTGAAGCCACCTCCATGCTCCTGGACTGCCTTGGCAAGGTCCCCCTTTCACAGGGCACTTGGTGGCCCCTTCGAGCAGGAGACCTAGTTCCTTCTTTGGCTTAGGAAATGCTGTCTCTCTTCTACCCTTGAGAGTTTCTCTTCCTGGCATGCAGGAGAGACTGAAGCTGGGTGTCCGCCCCTTGGGCTCTTTTCAGATGCTAGAATCCATCAGTTAGCAAGACCAGTCAGCAGCCTGCCCTCATGGTGCTTCAGACCAGCAGAAGGATGGCTACCCTTCCAAGCTGCTGGACACTTGGGGAATCAGCCTCTGTGGGATGGAGACGGTTCTTTGTGGCACAGAATTACATTGGTGACTTGAGGGAAAATCAGCCTCGCATGCCTCCCTGATGACAGAATGCAGCTGCAGGAGGGGCCTTGGCCACCATACTGCACTGCTGGGGAGTACCTGGTGAGTCACGGCTCAGTGCGGGGTGGAGGGGAGAGGAAGCCTAAGTGGTCCGAGGGGTCAATCAACAGCCCAGGAGGACAGTGCAATGCATCTCTCCCAGGTCACCACCCTGTCAGAATCCACTGAAAACTGAAAACAGCAGCCATTCTGGGGCATAAACAAATCACGTTTCCTTGGGAGCTAACTTGAGTGCTTTGAAAAGGAAGCCAGTGCTGATTCCAGTGTAAGCCCAGCAGAGCTGGAGTGACAAGGAACTGGGCCCTGGTAAATTCTACAGATCACCTGAAAGAGGCAGAACAGCATGGTAGGACACCTGGACCTTCCTGAGCCTCGACTCACTCCGGTGGGGGACTTCATAATCCAGGACACTTTCAAGACAAAAGAAGGGCTGAGACTGTTCCCACCGAGGGTGTGAACTAGCACACTCAATTAGGTTGGCTGCTTCTCCTGACAGTCAAATCAATCCTTTGAAGAAAATTAAGTAACCATTTCTCCATCAACCCAGCAACAGCTTATGGGTTATTTGCTGCAAGTAGCAATCAATTACTTTTTCTTCTTTGTGGCTCCCTAAAGCATTCCTTCCCAGCATGAAAAGGGGGCAGTTGTGAAGTGTGATATTTCCTGGACAGAGAGTGGGTCTTGGCACCTTTCTACTGCCAGGCCTATAAGCCGCACCCTCTAACATGAAGAGGAAAAAAAAAAATGTACTGGTGGCATTTCTGGGATTTGTAAAGGAAACCAGCAATGAGGTATGTAGATAATGGGGTATTTGTTGAAATTCAGTTACCCGGGGAAACTGGGACCTACTGCTTGGTTTTAAGGTTTGAGCTGTTCACTGGGCGTCCCACTACAGGTGCCACACTGATGTCCGGGCCTCTGCCGCCTCTCCACACCCCTCTGCCCACACCACCAAGAGTAACCGGCAGAGCACTGTTAAGAAAACTCTTGTGTTCTCCTAACACATTCCAGCTCCACTTCCCCACCAAGAAGCACAGGTCTGAATGCAGGGGAAGCTGTGCAGGGCAACAGTCCCAAGCCGGGCCTGGGCCAAGTGCCTGGAGTTGAGTGGTAACTCTGCCACCTTCCAGCTGTGGTGACCCTGGGCATGTGACTTTGCTTCAGTTGTCTCATCTATAGGCGGGGGGTAATAAAATAATTTTATAGCTCTACTTCATGATATGCAAGCTGGAGTATTTGGGGAGAAGGGTACTGAGGCCTGCAATTTACTTTGAAATAAATTTTTAAAAAGATTCACTTCCTCACCTCTAAGGAAAAGTATCTTAAAAAAAAAAAGAAGAGAAGCCAGGTGTGGTGGCATGCAACTATAGTCCCACAACTCAGGAGGCTGAGGCAGGAGGATTGCTTGAGGCCAGGAGTTTGAGGCTACAGCACTAAGACTAAGCCTGTAAACTCCAGCTTGGTTAACATAGCCAGAGCTATTCTCGCCTGGGAAACATAGCAATACCCCATCTAAAAAAAAAAAAAAAAAAAAATTGGGCTGGGTGTGGTGGCTCACACCTGTAATCCTAGCTGCTTCGGAGGCCGAAGTGGGAAGCTCACTCGGGCCCAGGAGTTCGAGGCTGCAGTGAGCTATGATCAAAACACTGCACTCCAGCCTGGGTGAGAGAGACTCTAACTCTCCCCCACAAAAAAGTTTGGTGGATAAAGTAGATACGTGATAAGACAAGTAGACAAGTATGAGGGTGTTCACTATACAATTCTTTCAACTTGGTTGTATGCTTGGAAGGTTTCAAAATAAAATTTTTTGGGGAAAAATGGACTTCCTAGCATTGTTGTGAAGTTCAGGCAAATTACAACAGATTTGACACAAGGTGACTGGTCAGTATGCAGAATCTGCACTCAAATTATTAGTTTTCTGGCCTCCTTTATATCACTTTTGTGTGATGACTACAGGATCCTATCATTGTGAAGATCCATTTTGTTCCCAAGTTGAATAGCAAGGATTTGAATGGAAAGAGTTTGGATGGAGCCCTCTGTAGGACTCTTTCCAGAATCTCTTAACTCTGCAGAATCTTCATGTCTCCCAGCACACTCAGGGCCACTGAGGACACTGTATCAATGCTCACTTTACAGATAGAGGTGGATAAATCTGTCACTGGCTCACTCAGCAACTATCTGAGCAGTGGCTGTGTGAAGGGTTGGCTGTCTTTGTGACTGGTACACGGCCCAGGAGCAATAACTAACTGAAAGTGCCATTTTCAGGCAGGGAGCTGAAGGCTTGGGGAGGCTGGGTGCCTCAATCTCAGGTACCCACAGGCTGGGGGAAGTGCTAGCTTTGGGCTCAGCTCTGTCTGCTTCCAAAGGTGGGGTTTTCCACAGCTACTTCCTTTCTCTCAGTATGAAAGGCACATGCCATGTCTAGTAAAATGAGGTGACTGGTTTTCACAGTGGCCAGGAAAACCAGTTGTGTGTCTTCATCTTTCCCCCGTGTCAAATTTTAAGACTCTTCTTGGGAGAATGGAGGATGAGAATTTTACCCTCCTTGTTCCCATGTGTCCAGAACATGTATGGGGGCAGCCTCTCTGACTGCTGAAGTCTACTTAAGGATGAGCAACTTGCAAAAGCTTCACTCCTTGTTCCTCTTCTTCAATACGTGCAGTTCACAGCTTGACAACTTGGTGAAAACACAATTACCAGAAACCGAGTCCAAGGGAGCAGCAGTTCCAAGTACAGTCTGGCATATCCCCTTATCAAGTGACACCCAGCTGCCAGAGACACGATCTCATCTTACAATGCATCGGTGACCACACTTATCTCTGCTCTCGGAATGCCACATTTGCATAGTACATTGCATAATTTCCTCTCTGAAAATGGCCCTGTTTAGCATGAGTAAATAAAATTGCCTAACTCTGTGAGGCAGCCAAATGGAATACTTGAGATTTCCAAGAAAAGATCTGAATACTTAAGCTCATTATGCAGCCAGATAAAGTCACATGGAATCTAGGTTCACACAGCTCCTCTTCCCCGCTGTTCAGCAGCCCAGCAGCCCAGGAACAAGGGTATCCTGGTCTTCGGAAGCCCTCTGTGATGGCTCTGCTCTGGACCTTCCACAGGATGTGGTCAGGGTCTCTCTACCCCATTTGTGCCTAGGGCTATGGGGCTACTGTGTGTCGGGTACTGGGCTACAGGGATGAAGAAGGCAGATGCATCCTTACACTGGGTGACCCTTCAGAGGCTGTTTCCTTATCTGAAAAATGAGGACACCCCTACTTTGTAGGAATGCTGTTGGGAACAAGTAAGCTGGGGTGCAGAGAGGGCTTGTGATTTTTCTCCACCTTCGTGGTATGGGCCCACCTCTCCTTCCTCCCTCTGGAGAGAAGTTCTTGAAGATGGGGCTACATCTTCTCTTTCCCTTGGATTTCCTCTGTAAGGCACCTCATCAGAAAAGTACACAAGGGTATTCCAGAGAGCAGATCCTGGCCCAGGGTATTCTCCTTCCTTAGGGGGTGAGGTCCCCAGGCAGAGGACATAGTCTAGAGAATATGTTAAAACCTCTGGGATATGCTGGGTGTGGTGGCATATACCTGTAATCCCATCCTTTGGGAGGCTGAGGTGGGAGGATTGCTTGAGCTCAGAGTTTGAAAACAGCCTGGGCAATATAGTGAGACCCCATCTCTATGACTCCTAGGGAGATAATTTTAATAAAAAAAAAATTAGCTGGGTATGGTGGCACATGGCTGTAGTCCCAGGTACTTGGAAGGCTGAGGCAGGAGGACTGCTTGAGCCCAGGAGGCAGAGGTTGCAGTAAGCTGAGATTGTACCACTGTACTCCAGCCTGGGCGACAGAGTGAGACCTTGTCTCAAAAAAACCCCCCAAAACAAAACTCACCTCTGGGATCTATATTACTAACACTGCTAGAGAAGGCATCTGTGGGTGCCACACACATCTGTGGGGGATCCTGGTACCCACAGATGCTGGCCAGACCTCAAGGAGCTCTTCTGGTCAAATGGATCTGAGCCTGGCATTCAAGGCTCTTCTAAGCAAGGAGGCATTCTCTCCTGCTAACATCCAACCCAGATTCTCCTCCGACATAGGCCAGTTGTGGGGAAGAAAAGGCTTCATAGATGGAACCGGTACACCCATTCATCACTGCCTCAGACTTTTCATTCAAACATTTCTGGGGGTGCTGGACTCTGCTTGGCAAAGAGGACCACAGAGATGGGTAAGACTTGTCCCTCAGGGGTTCCTGTCTAGCATGGGAGCCCAAAGAAGTGACAATTACATGCCATGGGACAAGAGCCACAGCAGGGGAAGACCAGGAGGATGTAGACTGCTGGAAGACAGGCCATGACACAGCCCAAGGGTCAGAGAAGGCTTCTTGCAGGAGGTGATTTATTTTTATTTTTTTGAGACGGAGTTTTGTTGTGTTGCCCAGGCTGGAGTGCAATGGCGCATTCCTGGCTTATTGCAACCTCCACCTGCCAGGTTCAAGTGATTCCCCTGTGTCAGCCACCTGAGTAGCTAGGACAACAGGCATGCGCCACCACGCCTGGCTAATTTTTGTATTTTCAGTAGAGACAGGGTTTCACCATGTTGGCCAGGCTGGTCTCAAACCCCTGATCTCAGGTGATCCGCCCACCTCAGCCTCCCAAAGTGCTGGGATTACAGGAGTGAGCCCTGTGCCCAGTCAGGAGGTAATGTTTTAAATTGATCTTGAAAGAAGCCCAGCAATGGGCCAAGCAGAGGTGGAGAGCAGCGCCACTGGGCCTCTCTGGGGGGACTGCTGGCTCCTCCCCAGCATATTCTTGGATCTGACCCTTGTGGGCCCAGCACTAGCCTCCCATTTTCCACCAAACCTCTGGGGTTTGAGGCTCTTCACCTCATTTCCGCCAGAAGGTCCGGGGAGCATTCGCTTGCCCATCTCTCAGGCCCTCCCTCTGTGTCTGTCCCTGAGTTTCAGCCTCCAGGGACAGTTCAGCCTTGTGGTGAAGGCACAGTGAGGACCAGGCCGCCTGCTGCTTTAGACTGAGCTCTGCCCCTTACCAGTGTGGGACCTCGGCTTGTTGCCGTCTCCCCTCTGGCCCTCAGGTACCTCATCAGCAAATAGAGGTGATATTAACAATACTGTCCCTATAGTGTTACTATGAAAACTCAATGATGTTTGTAAGGTGCTAGGATAGTGCCTGGCACTTAGGAGTAACAGCAGCTCTCTGAGTTCCACCCAGCAAGAACCAGCAGGATTTGGTGGGGAGAACACTGAGCTGAGATGGAGAAGGGGCCTGGGTCTGATGCCCAGTGGGGCCACTTACTAGGCTGTGTGGCCTCAGTCAGGGCAACCGACCTTTCCAGGTGGACCTCAGCTTCCTTGTCACTCAAATGAAGCGGTTGGGACTAAACCACATGCCTCTTTTCTGATGGGAAAGAATGTCTAAATTTCATACCAGGGGACACATTTATAGCCGTTTGGCAGAAATTAGTTCACAGAGTGAATGCTTACCGGCACAGCAGTCTGATTTTTAATTAGCTTGTGGGAATTCAATATACTTCAAACATTAACAGTAAAATATAGGAGACCTCTGGTGGAGACAAGCTGTACCTTTGGACTTAAACAAAAGCGTATACCTCACAAACCAAATTCCCTGCTTTACGTTTTTAATCTTTTGTGTTCAAACTGATTACTAATAAACTTTGGGCAGCAGAGCAACATTCTGGAAGCATGTGATTTAAGTGAAACGCAATCTTATCAGCACAGCTGTGTGTAATACAATACCACACCCCCAATCAGATGGCCTTATTTAAACTACGTTTCAGCCATGGTAAAAATGGAGAATCTCAAACTATTTTTCCCTCTGAGTTTTTAATTCTTTTAAAAATGAACTAGGTGCGGTGGCTCACACCTATAATCCCAACACTTTGGGAGGCTGAGGTAGGCAGATTGCTCAAGCCCAAGAGTTTGAGACCAGCCTAGGCAACATGGCAAGACCGTGTCCCTACAAAAAAAAAAAAAAAAAGCAAAAATTATCTGGATGTGGTGGTGTGCACCTGTGGTCCCAGCTACTCGGGGGGCTGAGGTGGGAGGATCACTTGAGCCTAGGGAGGTCAAAGCTACAGTGACCATAATTGCATCACTGCACTCCAACTTGGGCAACAGAAGGATACCCTGTTTCAAAAAAAAAAGAAAAGAAAAGAAAAGAAAAAAATGAACTTGTACACGAACTACTTATGAAATTCATGAAGGGCAAAATAAAAAAGGGAGCTCCATTCATTCAAGAAACTTTTATGGAGTATCTTCTAGAACATTAGTTCTATGAGGGCAAGGATTTTTGTCATTTTTGTTCACTGCTCATGGCCAGGCACACGGTATGTGCTCACTAGACGTCTGTGGAGAGGAGGGATGCCTACCTTGGACATCCAAGGTGTTGGAGAGACAAGATAAAAGGCTCAGTCCCTGCTCTGTAGGACCTCACAGCCCAGTAGGGAGAAAACAGAATGAACAAGACACGCAGAGTGTGACACGCAGAGTGCGACAGTCAAGGACATGCAGGGAAGGGGCATGTACCATGGGCCAGAGGCAGGAGGGAACATGGTGAGTTTGGGAAACTCCTGTCCTTTGTTGGGGCTGGGATATGAGGAAGAGGGCAGTGAGGACTGTTGGGGGTGAGGCTGCGGAGGGTGGGGACCCATCAACAAGGGTGGCTTATTAAAGCCACACCTAGGACTATAAATAGTTGCCCAGGAACTGGGGACACTAGGAAGATCACTGCGAGAACTGAAGGTTTTTGCCTATCATTATTCAGTGAAATGTAACTCAGGCCCTTAATTGGAAGCTTATAATGAAGACCTGGACTGGAACTTAAAATATAACACGAACAAAGAGTTTACTAAGCATATTAAGAAAAAATAACATGACATTTGTTCCTTTATTTATTAATTCATCAAACAGTTACTGTGTATCTACTATGGGCCAAGCACAGTCCCAGGTACTAGGGCTGCAGGGCTGAAAATGAAGGTCTGGCCCTCACGCAGCCACAGTCTCAACAGACAGACCATAAAGCAGTAACTGAAAGAAATCTGTGAGTATAAACTGTACCAGCACAATGGAAAGGTATATTCAACCCGTTACAGACTTTGTTTAAAAGTTCATCTGCAAACCCTGCAAATAAACTCTTCAAAAGTTCCAGCCACTTGCAAACATATACCCATGCTAATTTCAGATACTAACAGTTACAGTGTAATATTTAATAAGCATCTGACACTGAGCTAAGCACTCAAAACCACCCAGCCCAGGCAGTACCATTATCTGCACATTACACATGAGAAAGCTGAGACCCTGAGAGGGTCAGTAACTGACTTGAGGTTGTGCTGCTAATGTTATCTTCCGGGAGGTCAATTCCCAGGACCCCAAGCAGGAAATGCCCAAGTGAGTCAGGTCCAAGTCCCTCCATGTGCTTGAAACCAAACCCCAATCTTGTAAAAAGATTCTCTGGGCCACACTAAGTTAGTGAAATCTGGACCAGAAGGGTAAACCACATTTGGCTGCCTGTGCTAAGAAAGAGATCAGCAGCTTTCACAGCAGGAGCAGGGGTGACTTCACTTTGGCCGGGCCGTGTGCATCACCGCCTTCAGCTGCTCTTGCTAATTTCTTGGCAGAGGAAATCCACCAGCAGGCGGAGAAAGGGAAAGGTGAAAGAGAGACAGGAGATTTTGGCAGGACCGTAGGAGGGCATGATAGGTGGTGAGAAAGCCCAGGCTCCAAATTGCTGAGTCCCCCGCAGTCTTACCTCCCTGTTAAGGAATGACTGGCTCTGAAACTCCTGCACCTTCTTCAGCTTGATGCACAGAGGCAAGTTCAGAGCTAGGAAGCCATGGATTGAATTTTTTTTAGGCAAAAGTTAAGAAAAGAGCTAGTCAGGCTGTCCAATAGTAAATAAGTGTGTCATAGGCAGAGCCACCGTGGTCAGACAGTTGGCAGGGGTGTAGAGCCTGTGTACCCAGTCAGCCGTGCCTCCAAACCCCAGGTGCAACTCTGGCTAGATAGGTAAGAATCACAATCCCCACTGTCTCTGCTTCCTGCCACATGCTGGACACTTAAACACAGCACAGGCTCTGGGCCTCTACTTTCCCATCTGTAAACAGGGGTGAAAACAGCACGTGGGTCCCAGGCAGGGAAGAATGAAAGCAGAGAGCAAGTGCCCAGTCCACACCTCTGTTACTGTTACCATCCTCACTTTGCCCCGTCCTCGCACCTGGGTGAGGAGGTAGCCACACAAATCTGGGCTTTCAGTTCCAGACGAGGACGCCTGGGCCCCAGCAGAGTTGACAGCATGCAGCCACACACTAGAAAGTGACGGAGCTGGGATCCTGAAAGACTCCAAACCCTTGCCTTTCTTGTTTCCTGATTTTACCCCACCTGCTAGACAGCGCTGCTGCCCAAAAGGACTTTCTGCATTGATGGAAATGTCCTACGACCATGCTGTCTAGTACAGAGCCACCACACATGTGGCTATTTGCATTTCAATTAAAATTAAATACAATTAAATATCCTTTTTCCGTTGTCTTGCTATCCACGACTGAGCACTTGAAATGTGGTGTGACAGTGGAACAGAAATGTTTAATTTTATTTAACCTTAATTTTCATTAATGTAGATTTAGACAGCCACAAGTGGCTACCGTGTTGGACAGCGAAGGGTTAGAGGGAAGAAAACGAGACCCTGTCCACTGTGTGGGACCGTGGGAAACAGCTCTGCTCCACGTCTGCCGATGAGCCGTGCATGAGAATGACCTGTCCTGGCAAACCCGGGTGGCATGAAGCAGCCTGGCCCAGGGCCTTGGAGCTCCCTGACCTGGAAGGAATGGGGCGCTCTGGCCACATGCACTCTTGGCTCACTCAGCCTGGGGGTTATGACTCCCATGCCTCACCTTAGCCGCCACGCTCTCTGCAGAGCACACAGAAAGCCCATTCCCACACAGCTGTCTCTCCGTGTCACAGAGCAAGTAGGTATGATCAATGGGCATGGGGTGCCACAGGTCTCACTGCTGGAAGGGATTCCTCATGGGTCACCTGCCTCCCTCCACCCTGGCCTCTGAGGATGAGCAGGGTCTGACCTGCTCACTGCCTGGGCATCTCTCTGTCCTGGCCCCCACATAGGACTGGGCCCAGTGGAGGGGTGGGAAAGGCTCTTGAACGAAGGAGTTGAAAAGTTACTCCCACACACAGCACTTGGGCGAGAATGTGCAGGCAACTGGAAAGGCTGAAGCTCACACACAGCGTCTTGGGAGAGATCCAGGGTTCCTCGAAGGGAGGCCCATTGGCAGCCTGGGGCACCCGGTACTGGGACAAAGTGCAGATTTTAGGACTCCAGCCCCACCAGGCTGGTTCTCAGGGTGCAGGGCCCTGGAGGGTCTATGGACAAGTGGTTTGGAGACTTGTCAGATCCCAAATACCATTATGGATGGCCACACTAACGCCCTCACGCTCAGCTCTTAGGAAGCCACAGCTGGGACCCCACGTCTCCTTACTGAAGAGGCTGACAGTTCTTGAAGGTGGAGGGGACTCAGCAGCAACACTAAACAGGCTGGGATGCAAATACCTGGTAGCAGTTTAGAAGAAAAGGCTACCTGCCACTTGGTCCCCTGTCCCTTTCTGCATCCTCGGCGTGCACAGGCACGCATTCTCAGTACACAGGCTCACATGGCCGTTCCTTGGAGATGGGGCTGAGCAGGATCTGACTTCTGTGTCTCCATCTTCTGGCTTTTCTGTTGAGGGGTGGGCACTGAGAACTCATTGTTTGCCACCATGCTAGTGCGTGCTGCAGAGGCCTCGGTTAATCCCTAGAGCGGTGGCTCCCAAACTCTACTGCATGTAGGATCACCTGGGATCACTGAAAACAGATGCTGGCTCCTGCCCCCAGACAGTCTGATTTAATTGGTGTGGGGTGTGACCTGGGCACCGGGCGCCTTAAAGCTCTCCAAGTGATTCTACCACACAGCCAAGTCTACATACCACTTGGCCTTGTGGCATCACTTGTGGGAGGCAGACCTCCCTACACCTGTCGCCCGTGGGCCAGCTGAGGAGACAAACCTGCCCAAGGTCATACCCTGAGCCAACACTGAAGTTGGTGGAGTCTGATCATAGGTTTGTGCTCCTGCTATTATAATGCAAGGAACTCACAGCCCATGGATAATTGAAAAACAAAGCAAAGCACAAAATCCTTTTCCTCATCACACTCTCAGACACTGGGGCAAGACGTTTCAGGCCATTCATAAAACAGACGTAAACCAATGGGGCCAAAAAGCTGCTGGATTTTTCACACACAGGGAAAGCTCACTGAAAAAACACCAGTAAATACGGAGGCTGTAATGCAACCCCAGGACTGATGGATTGCTCATAACATCCCCGGGAGTTAATTAGAACAGCCCTGAACTCAGTTCTGTGTCGGTGCTCCTTGCCATTAATGATTCAGGTAAAGAAGGAAGTAAAATAATAGGGCAGGGAAGGAAATTAATTGAACTAAGCTTTTTAAAAATATTTC
The DNA here is from genome assembly GCF_000001405.40 of Homo sapiens. Classification (NCBI taxonomy): domain Eukaryota; kingdom Metazoa; phylum Chordata; class Mammalia; order Primates; family Hominidae; genus Homo; species Homo sapiens. The sequence continues at coordinate 11,097,455 of NC_000016.10, read as the reverse complement.
TGATGCATCAAATTCTAATGAAAGATTAACACACACAATGGAAATATTAAAAGGCACTTACAGAGGCCCCCAAAACACAGAGAAAGAAACCTGTCAAGGGCGAGGGAGCTGATTAAATCTTTCAGATAAGAAAATTGGTAAGGGATGTGAGGCATTTACTCACAGTTGTGAATTTTCATCAGGAAAACAGCCCCTGGTTACTCACCCAGCTGCTCACACTGGGACAGCCTTCCTGGAGGGCAACTTGGCAATTGGCAAAGAAGTCTTTCAGCTGGGCATGTCCTTTAACCTGTTCTAGAATTTTAGGTTACCGCCGTTCTCATGGTTGGGTGTAGAGATTCAGCTACAGGGAAGTTCAAACTTGGGGTGGGGAGGACTTAAAAAGGGAAAAATTCACAGATACTGGGAAACTAAATCTTGGCAGGCCCTCATGGTGGCATGTTATACAGTCAGTTTTTTAAAAATGCTGTTAAAATGGTGGTTCCTAAACTTTAGTCATTTCCTGACCATCCTAAGGATTTTTTCCTAGTTGTACCACCTGTACCGTTTATGTGATGTTTTCTTTAGATTATGTCCCTCCCTTTGTATTGAAATTTATAAGGAAAATTTCATTTACATCAACGCAAAATCAGCATCATCTTTCATAGAAGACATGATTACGTACATGGACAAAATATTCCTACATTTGCCAACCAAGAATTGCCTCAGGCACCACCTCTGGAAAAGTCTTGATGAGACACACAGCTTGGTGATGCAGGGACAAGGCACCCCCATAAGGCCTGGAGTGAAAAATTAAGGTTATCGAACAGCGTGCACAGGGTGACCTCATTTTTGTAAAATGAACTCATGTGGTTATCTTTGGGGTATGGTATGGTTACAAGTGTTTTTTAAATGCTTGTTTCTCTTAATTTTCTACAGTGAATAGATAATACTTTTATAATCAGGAAATAAATTTAGAAAACTTTCAATGGTCTGTATTCCTCCCGTGGGTCTCTGTGTGCTTCTTGGGACACAGGTCTGGAAGAAAACATACCCACTGTGACTGTGGTTATCCAGGGAAGTGGGATGAGGAGGGTGGACATTACTTAGTTTTTATTTTATTTTACTTTTTGAGACAGGGTCTCACTCTGTCACCCAGGATGGAGTGCGGTGATGCCATCACAGCTCACTATAGGCTTGACTTCCCGGACTCAAATGATCCTCCCACCTCAGCCTCCTGAGCAGCTGGGACTATAGATGAATACCACAACACCCAGCTACATAAAATTTTTTTTTTTTAGAGATGGGGTCTTGCTATGTTGCCCAGTCTGGTCTCCAACTCCTGGGCTCAAGTGATCCCCCACAACCCTCGCCTCAGCCTCCCAAAGTAACTGGGATTACATGCGTGAGCCATGGTATCTGGCCTTAGTTTTGTTTTCTTACAAAGACAAGGTATTTGCACAGTATTTGTGTAATTAAAAGGTAATGGCTGGGTGTGATGGTGTGCACCTGCAGTCCTAGCTACTTGGGAGGCTGAAGTGGGAAGACTGCTTGAACCCAGGAGTTTGAGTCCATTAACTTCCAAAGTGAAGGTCTCCTTTGGTGCCAATCTTACGCTACAGCTACGCTTCTAGCTCCCTTTTTTTTTTTTTTTTTTTTCTTTTTGAGACAGAGTTTTGCTATGTCACCCAGGGTGGAGTGCAGCGGTACGATCTCGGCTCATAGCAACCTCTGCCTCCTGGGTTCAAGTGATTCTCTTGCCTCAGGCTCCCAGGTAGCTGGGATTACAGGAGCCTGCCACCACGCCCAGCTAATTTTTGTATTTTTAGTAGAGATGGGGTTTTACCATGTTGGCCAGGCTGGTTTCGAACTCCTGATCTCAGGTGATCTGCCTGCCTCGGCCTCCCAAAGTGTTGGGATTACAGGCGTGAGCCATCGTGCCCGGCTGTAGCTCCTGTCTTACTCAACTGTCCAGAGCACTGTGGCAAACCCTCAGCTATGCTGACTGCCTGGACTCTGTTCCTGGAGTGGTCATTCCCAACACACAGACCAGAGCTGGCCCGTGGAGAGAATGTCAGGACTGATCAAGGTGAAAATGGGGAGGTGGGGGGAGCCCTGCACCCAGAGTCAGAACATGATGTGCCAGGCTGCTATGAGGGCCTTTCCAGCCGTGACCCCTGCACAGCCTTTTTTCTTTTTCATCTTCTCTTTCCTTTCTTTCTTCTCTCTGGTTCTTGCTCTAAAAGCACGACCTAGAAAAGGCAGGCTTTCCACGTTCCATAACATTACCGCCCACTTTTTCCTGCTATTTACATCAAAGATCCCAAGCTCACACATTTGAAACAGAATGTCATTTAAAAGACTACCCACTTAAAAAAAAAAAGAAAAAAAAAGATTAGCAACTGTTCAAATAAGAAACAAGTCATGGAAAATGTGACTTTCATTCTAGTTCTGCTTGATCACACCTGCTAAGAAGAAAGTAGAAACTTCAAACGCATCACAGGTACTGAGGGAGCCCAGAGCTGCAAAAGGTTAAGTGCTTTATCGGGGATCATCCAGTAGTAGGAAACTTTTTCCATTATGTGCTTAAAGGCCCACAGCCCCTTTAAATAGCCCCCTGCTACCTCATAATAACGATAACTTGATTCATTCTACAGGCTTTATTGATTTAAATGTGATTCACGTAAAATTCATGGCAACCATGCAAACCTAATTTTTCACATTTGAGCTACATTAGAAACTACACGGCAGAGGCAGGAGGGAAATGAGAGAAGGCATATTCGGGCAGTGGGGCCAAGGCAGGCATGCAGGGCCCCACAGGAAAAAAGGGAGAGATTTTTCTAAAGAACTCAGATGCAAAAAGAGACACACAAGGTCAGTTCTTAAGAAAGGAGCTTGCCTGATGTGGCCTGGAAAAAGTTGTAGGGGGGGAGGTGGTGCCTGTAAATGCTTCAAACTTCAGAGGCAAGGCCTTGTGTGGCTCTCAGCTGCCCCTCCTCTGAGCAGCTGGAGCCAAGAGGGCCCGTTAAGCCACAAGAGCACTTCTGCCTCCTCCCACAAACCTCACATCTGTAGATGAAGCCGGCTCTGGCTTCCAGAAGGTTTACTGCAATCACACCTTAGGGCTGGAAACTTATCAGGCTCGGCCTGCCCAGGACAGGCGCAGAGCTTCTGAGTCAAGCCTCTGGAACCCCTGACTCATGTTACCCTTCAGTTTCCCCTTTGAGCCCCTGGAGCCTTCATCTTTGGTCACCTGAAGGTGACACAGCAAGGTGGTTCATTAGGACAGCCACAGGCTGGGAAGGGGCCCTGTACAAAAGAGGAAGTACTCTGGAGGAAAGGTTGAGACCAGGGCATGATTTAGAGGAATGGGGTCAGTCCTGCTTCCTAATGCCACAGTTACAAAAGAAGGCAGAAATTAACCACCATGGCTTCTACAAGCACATGATAGGACCTGCCTGTCGTCCAAAGACCCTCGTCACCCCTCCACCCCAACAGGCTAGGAAGCCTGTGGGTCCTCCCTTCTAACCAAGCCTGCCCCATCCCTGAACGCACCGTGGCTTGGGTCACTGTCCTCTCACCTGGGGTGAATGAGAGAGGCATGTTTCACCAGCTGCCGCCTCCATTCTTGCTACCTCATCCCTGCTAACTGTGCCATGGAAGTGGGCTTCCTGGAGCTGCTCCCAGCCCACTTTCCTGTCCTTCAGCAGGGCCCCTTCTCTGCACTGCCACACCCTCATATCCTGGCTCGCCTTCTACCTCCTCTTGCTCAGTCTTGTACACGCCCTGCCCTCTTCCACCTGTGCTGTGCCCAGGGTGCATCTGCCCACCCTCGGCGCCTGGCTGATATTTACTTCTTCAAAAATACGCCCACTTTGCTTTAAGACAGATTCATTTGGTGACTCCTCAGTGCCAGGCGGTATAGATATGAAGAGAAAGGTGACCAGTCACTGCCCACCTTCCAACCCTTGAGTCCGGGCAGAATCACTGAAGTGTCCAGCAGGGCATGCTCCCGGCCTGTACACTGGAAGCCTGTTTGTTCCTTTGCCTGAGTGCCACAGGAAGTGTCAGCTAGGGTTTAGGAGGCCTTGAAGCACTTTTTGAGTCCTAGACTCATACTCACTGGGACGAGTATGGCCACGGTAACCGCACTGGCTGAGGAAAAGTGGCTTTGTTCTCCAAATGTCCCAACTCCAGGGCCCAGGCTCACTGTGAGGGATGGCAGGGAAGGGCCACTCCAGTGAAGCCTACTGCCCTTCTCTCTCTCACTCTGCTGTGCTGAGCAGGTCTAGCTGAATTCATAAGAGATGAGGGTGCACACCATGTGATGCCCCAAAAGCACCATGAGAAGGGGGTGCAAAGGCTGTAGGAGCCAGCAGGGAAGTGGAGGTGGTGGGGGGTACAGGAGGAGGAGATCCCTGAGATGGGTCTGGACAGATTGCCCAGGTAAGGATGCTCCTCATCCCAGCTCCTCCCTGCTCCATGGGGGCCTCGACACTGGGGTAGGGGGAGCTTCCTGCCTCCTGGCCTGTCTCCCACTAGACTGGGGACAGTCATGATGATGAGGATAACGACAGTCACCATGCATTGGGGATTCTATTATGGATCAAACGCTTGTTAGTATATTTAATTGTCACGACCACCGTGTTTTATAGAAGAGGAAACCGAGGCCCACAGAGTTTCAGAAGCTCGGCCGAAGTCATACAGCTCATAGACGACAGACCCAGTCCTCAAACCCTGATAGATTCTGACTCCAGAGCACCTACTCTCACCATTGTGCCACGAACAAAAGGAAGGAAGGAACCAAAAGTTTTGGGGACAGGAACTGAAATCAGTTATGTTCAAATCTGTATTTGCAAAAACGTTCAAGGAAATGCTGGAAATGCCTGCAAGCCAGGGATTGGTTTAAGCATGGGCTTTTTTGTGTTTGTGTGTGTTTTTGTTTTTGAGACAGAGCCAGGCTGGAGTGCAGTGGTATGATCTTGGCTCACGGGAACCTCCCGGGAGGCTGTGATCCTCCCGCCTCAGCCTCCCAAGTAGCTGGGACTACAGGCTCCCACCACCACACCTGGCATGTGTGTGTGTGTGTGTGTGTGTGTGTGTGTGTGTGTGTGTTTGTTTTTGTTTGTTTTTTGAGACAGGTCTTACTCTATCGCCCAGACTGGAGTGCAGTGGTGTGATCTTGGCTCACTTCAGTCTTGACCTGCTGGGCTCAAGCGATCCTCCCACCTCAGCTTCCCAAGCAGCTTGGACTACAGGTGCATACCACCACACGTGGCTAGTTTTTCGTTTTTGTAGAGATGGAGTTTTGCCATGTTGCCCAGGCTGGTCTCGAACTCCTGACCTCAAGTGATCTGTCCACCTGCCTCCCAAAGTGCTGGATAAATTACAGGCGTGAGCCACTGTGCTTGGCCTAAGTGTGTTTTTAAGGAGCTTGTTTTCTGTCGATAATGGAGGGCTTCTGCACACTGAGTCCAAGCAGACCCTACAGTGAGAGAGGGCAGCCGACGGGGAAGCCTTCTGAGGAAGCAAACCCATGGCAGTCCCAGGGTGTCAGAACACCCCTGCTGAGTACCTGTTACTTAAGCACACCTTTCCTGCAAAGAAAAGTGGGGTAACTTACGAGGGGGAGCTCAGGCATCAAGTTCAGCTACCCGTGGGTTACCAGAAAGCCTAGCAGATCATCTGCAGCCTGAGTCATGGAACTTGAGCTTACACCTATCAGAGGCCTGCTGTGTTTCAGGCATCGTGCTCAAAGCTTTCCTGACAATTTTCCTCATTTTTCAGATGAAGGAAACCTGAGGCTCAGGTTAAGCCATGTGCTGAGGTCACCTGGTTGGCAAGCAGCAGAGGTAGCTTGAATGCTGGCGGTCAGACTCTGCGGAGTACCCATTTACCCACTAACTCTACCCATCTCCGAGCCAGCGCCCTTCCCTGTGCAGTGCCAGCCCCTCAGGACAGCCCTGCAGAGGTGGGGGAGGCCTGAGACTCAGTAGGTGCAGAAGGCTGCCAGGGCACACAGCCCCACCCGCCCTACGAGGTGAATCACAGCCTTCAGAGCATGCTCTTGCCTCTACCTGCTGCCTCTCAGGCGCCACTGGGGCCAGACCCGGGGGCATCCACCACAAAGTAAGGCTTCTTCATCAAGTGGCCGATACTGAATAGGCCTGTGAGCTTTTACTGAAAGCCACACACAACTTCCCTTTTACCCTTTGAAATAAGTGATATCATTTTCAACACCAGTTATCCATCTCCTGTGTCTTTTAATAGAAGCAGCTCATGGTGTGAGTTGGGGGAGATATAAACACAGGAGGGAAAACTGCTTACCTCACGTCTTTATGGAGAAAGGAGATTAGGCGCTTTAAAGGCAAAATCCTGGCTAGGCTTGGTGGCTCACGCCTGTAATCCCAACACCTTGGGAGGCCAAGGTGGGCGGGGTGCTTGAGCCCAGAAGTTTAAGACTAGCCTGGGCAACGTAGTGAGACCTCATCTCAAAAAATTAAAATAGGCTGGGCACCGTGGCTCATGCCTGTAATCCCAGCACTTTGGGAGGCTGAGGTGGGTGGATTACTTGAGGTCAGGAGTTCAAGACGAGCCTGGCCAACAAGGCAAGAAACCCTCTCTCTACTAAAAATACCAAAAAAAAAAAAAAAAAAAAAAAAAAATTAGCTGGGTATGGTAGCGCATGCCTGTAATCCCAGCTACTTGGGAGGCTGAGGCAGGAGAATCACTTGAACCAGGGAGGGAGAGGTTGCAGTGAGCCAAGATCACACCACTGCACTCCAGCCTGAACAACAGAGCGAGACTCTCTCTCAAAAACTAACTAAATAAAATAAAATAGAAACAAAAATCCAGAGAGCCTCCTAAAACACTGGACTGTAGATTCTCTGGACCTCCAGGCAGGATGTTAGGTAAGCGGGGAGTTGCGGAGAAATGTAATAGGAAAGTGGTCCACTGTGAAGGCTTCACACACAGGCTCCCCGGCAATGCTGCAGACAGCCATCAACATCACTCCGCTGCCTGAGGACATCTGGTATGGAAGAACTCCAGCTGGGTTGTCCATGGTCCCTTTCCTGACAATGGCCCCTAAGAATCATTCCATGAATCCACAAACACAGGAAAGTAACAGCCCATTCTTAAGCTCTTCTTCAACCCAAGAATTTCAAAGTGAAATTCTGACCACACTTGAGGTCCAGAGTTCGAGACCAGACTGGGCAACATAGCGAGTCCCTGTTTCTATTTTTTAAAAAAGTGAATGTCTGACAGCTCACTCCCATGACTGACGCAGCCTGGTCGTATGAGGCAGGTCCCCCTTCTGCGGTTCTTCCAGGGAACCAGAATGCAGGGGACGCATGATTCTACGCAATGGAGTGTTTGGTGGAGAACTAAATAAGCAAGCGTATTTCTGGGACTATTTTAAAATAAACAACGACCAAGCAGAGTTAGGAATGTCTAAACAGATATTCTGAGTGTAAAGGATGGTGGAGGTTTGAGAGAACACAGCTGTGTGGCCTCCAAACACACATGAAGGAGGCAGGAATTCCAACCGCTGGAAGCCTTTTCTGGCACCTCATTGATGAGCAAAGGCAGGGATGGAAAAAACGGAGCAGAGCACAGGGTTGACTGGTTTGGACCGGTGCCTGGCGGTGGCTGGGTGGGCCAGCCCATGCTGCGAGTCATGCCCAGCACCCCTCAGTAGGCTGCCCTATCATTCTTACAGATGCCATTTCCTGAGTCGGGCCCTTCCCTGGCCACCTGGGATATATGGGAAGAATTCCCATAGCCACTTCTGACCAGGTGACCAGGCGACCAGGTGGACATGCTCAGCAGATGGGTAAGCTTCTGCTCGTCATGCTGGCACAGATGACAAAGACCAACAGGGGCCAGTGTGGGACAGAGGGGAGGAACAGGCATTTCCCTGCGCTGTTGGCAGGAGGTTTGATGGGCAGCTTCTTTTATGGAGGGCAATTTGAGCAATTTCACAGCTAGGACTGCCTCCTGACAAAGTGCTGTGTTTGTGAACTGAGTTGCTAAAAGGCTGACCCCTCAGCGTTCTGTAACATGGACAATTGGACACAGCCAATGCATATCAACAAGGGTGATGCACAAGGGATGGTCCCTCGGGTGCTTCCATTTAATGCAATGACGGCAGATAAGCCCACCCTCATACCCTGATGTCCCGACGCAGGAAAACCCCACTTTAAAGTGCCAAAACCAAGTGCAGAACAAGATGTCCATGGTCCCATTCATGTAAAAACTACTGCTACTGTCATTCATTTAGTAAAAATTTAGTGGGTGTCTACTAAGTGCCAGGCCTGTGGCTGGGCTGGAGTGACCGTGGTGAACAAGACAGCCCGAGGCTATCCACCCAGAGGAATACGTATGTGTGCAGGTGCGAAGAGCTTGGTCCAGAAGGACACCCTCCCCCTCCCCTGAACGGAGGCTGGGAGTTCCTGCTGGAGAAGCAGGTGGCCTGGGGGGAAAGGGGGTACTGTGGGTGGCTGGGGAAATGGCAGGGCACTTTCACTTTTTACTCTACAAACTGCACTGTTTGAGCCTTTTACAATGTGAATATGTTTCTATATTACTTGGTAGCCTAACAAGTATGCCTTTAAACAACAAAAGGAAAACCCGAAATTACTAACTCAACGGCAGGACCCCCACCCGACTCAGCCCAGGACGGCGCCCACTCCATGGGTAAGTGATGGGTACAGATGGCAATAAGTAAGCCAATTTTCCAGCCAATGCTAAGGTTTTGATCTGGCAAACTTCTGGGTCCTGTGAAAGGAGCAGGGGTGCCAAGCACTGCCTCTAGCCGCACATCACAGCCCTCTCTGGAGAAGCTCTCCGCGCGTGGCTGGGGGCCTGGTGCACTTCCTGCCCGAGGCTGTGCACCAGATGGCACAAATCCCACTCCCTGAGAGCACCAAGCTTCCTACCCAGGGGTCGCCATGGGCCTTCCTTGGCGGCCTTCTTTGGGTGTGAGAAATACACCAAGGTCTTTCTGGGCCCATCCCCAACGAGGCTTTCACCCACACCCAGCTGAAGATGGTACACAGATAATGGCCCGGAAGCATCAGCCACAGCACCTGAAGCAGAAACATTTCAGATACCCTGGTGTGGGACAGACTGCCTCCCACCTGGCAAGGATGAGCTGGTTCTGTGGAGTCCTAGCTGTGGATGCTTGGGCTGGTCATGTGACCTCTCAGAGCCTCTGGCCTCAAAAGCATGAAACAAAGTTGTTAGCTGCTGCAGAAGTGCAGGAGGATTCCAGAGGATTTCTTTCATCTGATTCAGCAAGGGCCCAGTCAAGCACCTGGCACAGGGCAAGGCCACATGTGTGATCCGCACTGAGGGACTGGGGCTGTCAGCACAGAGGCCCCTTTCGAGACAGAGAGCCCCCAGCTGAGAGAAAGCTCTAACAGGGTGTTCTGTATGGAAAGAGGATCTGAAGGTAGCAAGAGCTCTGAAACTCTCAGGCTGCAGAGGCTTCAAAGGCTCTCAGACTTGTCCCAAGAGCTCCCAGGTGGAGGAGCCCAGGGCGGCTGCACAGCGGGGGAGCTCTGACCAGCTTCTCAGACACTTCCTGCCTCAAACTGGGTAGGCCTCCCCTCCCAGCCACCTTGTGTGGAAGCAGCACAGTGACCTGGCCAGCGACCTGGGCAAGCCCCGTCCTCCTCTCTGGGCCTCGGTGTACCCATGTAAAAGCTGACCGATGAGCTTGGGAACAGATGCAGAATCTGTCCAGCAGAGCTGCAGCCATTCCTGGTGATTGTGAGAAATAATTCATATCTGATTCTCCACCCTCCTGGAAGAAGTGTTGGTGAGGCAGATATAGAACTTCCTTGCCTGAGGCCAAAAAGAACCTGGGGTTGAATCCCACTTTTACTTGAATACTACTTTTACTCAAACACAGGGCTTAACCCAGCCTTCTAAACCAATGGTCTGCCAAGCAAAATCTGTCCACATTTAATATCTATAGGTAGCATAAAAAAACAAGTAGTAGTTTAGGTTTGTTCCACAAATTTAAAATTACAATACTGCATATTAAATGTGGTTTGTTAACTGCTTCACTCTCCCTGTGCTGTAGGACGAAAAGTCCAGCCTAACACCTGGGGAGGCAGGGCTTCCTCCTGGACGTGAGAGTGGGCCTGGCTCTTGGGACCGGGTCCAGGTGAGGCTCTGTGGGCAGGCAGGGGTCCCAGGGGAGCCTTAACAAGTCCACCTTGTGTGCAGACTATAGGGGGCAGCAGGTGGGGGATGGGGGTGGGGACAGGGACCTAAGATGGTTTTAGATGGCACCTACGTGAATGGTTTCTAATTTTATCTCAACCTCTATTTAGCTTCAGATGTTGTGAGAAAATACATATTTAGTTTATGGATCTCCTGATTTCACGGGTTTAGGTTTGGACTAGCTTAACTTACTCCATCTTGCCCTGACAGGGATAAATTGTGAGTACATTCAAAGAAAATTACTAAGTAAGTGATCACAAGGTTGGTTCTCTGACACGGCAAACATCTCAGGTGGTGCTGGAGGGCCTCCCCCTGAGGATTCCTGGTGCCCAGACACAGAACTGCCTCTGTCGAGCTGAGGTGACATGAACTGAATTGAAGGAGATGGGGTAGCGCTGACTTAAAAGATGACACCAGGCTCTGGAAAGGCAGGAACTGGGCATAAATGTCTCGGCTCTCAATCACCTGGGGTCAGGAGTTTGAGACCAGCCTGGACAACATGGTGAAACACCATCTCTACTAAAAATATAAAAATTAGCCAGGCATGGTGGCAGGCGCCTGTATTCCCAGCCACTTGGGAGGCTGAGGCAGGAGAATCGCTTGAACCTGGGAGGCGGAGGTTGCAGTGAGCAGAGATAGCGACACTGCACTCCAGCCTGGGCAACAAGAGCAAAACTCCGTCTCAAAACAAACAAACAAACAAACAAAATAATGTCTCGGCTCTCACCATCCCCATCTGAATTCCACTTTGGCTGTCCTTAACAGGAAATTACCTACCAGTGAGGTACTATCCGAAGCCTTACCATATAGCAAAGCACTGTTAAAACAACATGGATCGCATCACTGAATCCTCATAATAATCCCACAGTAAGGGGGAAACAGTTCCTAGCCCCACTTTACAGATGAGGTGGAGGAATTTGTCCAGGTCACAGAGGTAGCGAGTGGGGATCTTGAGCCAGGTGGGGTGGCCTCAGGCCTGTGCTCCTCCCCACCAGCCCCATGGCCTCCACTGTCAGCCCAGGGCATGAGCCCAGGGCCCTCCTTGAGCCTCATCCTTGGTCCAGTGCTTGTGTGCACACCCCAGAAGCCAAGGAAGCCAAAGTTCCCTGGAAACAAGCCTAACTACCAAAACAAAGGCAATAACAGTAACAATGCACTTTCAACAAACAGTGGCTCTGCGCTCCACACACTTCATCCTCACTGACTCCCTGTGAAGCGGCTATTACTTAGGATTCTCCCTACTGCCCAGAGGACTAGCTGAAGACCCGAGAGGCCTCCAAGTCACTTCCCACAGGTACTGATATGGTTTGGATGTTTGTCCCCGCCCAATCTCAGGTTGAAATGGGATTCCCGGCCAGGCACAGTGGCTCACGCCTGTAATCCCAGCTCTCTGGAAGGCTGAGGTGGGAGGGTCACTTAAGCCCAGGGGTTTGAGACTAGCCTGGGCAACAAGATGAAACCCTTTCTCTACAAAAAATACAAAAATGAGCTGGGTGTGGTGGCGCACACCTGTGGTCCCAGCTACTCACATACAACACTTGGGACCAGAGTCCCACACAGTGGGATGAAGCCACTCAGATCCAGACAGGAGGCTGTTCTTGGCTCTAGAGACCCAAGGCTACCACAGGACAATAACAACTACCAAGCACTTATAACACACGGCACTGTCTTCAGCCATTTCAAATGCATTTTCTCACCAAATCCTCCTATGTTATGTTGTTGGGCCTCATCATCTCCATTTTACAGCTGAAGAAACAGACACGCAGAAAGATGAAGAGGACAGCCAAGGCCTCACGCACGTGACAAAGCTGGGTCTTGGCCGAGTCTGCCTGCTTGCCAGCGTGCTGCCCCAGCACCTCCACGGGCACTCAACCTGAAGCAAGCGTGCTTTCTCCTTCACTAACCCATCCCGCCATCTGTTTCTTATAAGCCACAGATGTGCCCTCTGACCATCCAATTAAGGCCTGTGGAGTGAAAATGGGCCTGTCACATTCTTCTCTGACAGCCAGGCTGAAAGCCCCCTTCCCGTGATCCTCCTGGAACCCAGGGTGGGGGCTTCATGGCCTCGTCTGTAAATGAGTCCAGTGCTTGGTGCTGGCCGAGAAGGGTGGCACAGAGGTGCCTTTCAACCCTTCAGACAACGACAGGCTCCTGGGGAAGAGGGGCTTCTGGTGCTGGCTCCCTTCCCCCAGGCCTGACAAAACTCCGACTCTCTCTCTGCAAAAGGGCTGCTGATTTATATCCAGGGCCAAGGAGAGGCCTCCCCAAACTCAGGGCCCTCATGGGCCGTGAGTTATTCCAGCCTGCGTGCAGCCTTCTGGCCATGGGCCCTTTCTGCCTTCAGAATTGATGGCACCATATTAATTTTCCTCGAGGTAAATCACCACCCAGCCCCGGCTACCTCTTTCTCCACAGTGTCTTCGAGAGGCGCTGAACAAGGGCAGGCTTTTTCAGGGGAATGGAAGGGGCACCAGGTGGAACGCGAATGATTTACTAGATATTCTGACATGTCGATTGACCTTTCCAGTTTAAAATTGCCTCCCTCCACAGTGGAGATGACTCATATAGCCGGCGAGTTCAGAAGACTAATGCTGGGCCTGCGAATTAAGTCTTGATCTTATTCCAACTTCTCTGTGGAGAAAGAGACCCACGCAAAGTGTGTCAGATGTCTGTCAGACCAGGAGGTTTACAGGCTTCCTCTAGGGCCCTGGAGTCATGGTCTATTTTTGGAAAACAAGGCCAATGTCCTCATTTGTGGGCTCGGACCCTAACCCACTCGCATTTCCATTCATTCATATCTGGCCTGTCTTCACTGAGTACCTGCTACACTGTGGGCCCTGGGATCCAACTTTGAATAAGAATTGGGGTTTCTGCCCCCAAGCAGCTTGGTACCCACATGAACCAAAGAACCACATAAAAATAGAAAATCACACACAGTGGGAAATGCCATGAACAGAGAGAGATCTGGTGGTCAGGGAAGATTTTGCTAGGAAGTAAGCTGTCTGCAGAGTTGAAGGTGTCAGGGAGTTGGCCAAACACAGGGGACCATGGTGGCAGGAATAAGCATCCCAAGCAGAGGGATGGGCCTGTATGAAGGCCCAGAGCTGAAGGGGACACACTCAGCAAGCAGGGGACTAAAAGGGGTGGTATGGGTACATCCCAGAGCCAGGCCGCGGGGCTGGAGAGAGGGCTCAGTGTGGTCCTGCTGGGGCCCATACGGCTTGGGCTTGGACTCTGCTGGTGGAGAGAAAACCAGCAATGGGGGGCTGGGACAGAGGCAGTGCTGTGTTCCCTCAGGTTCCCAACCTCCTGGACAAGGTGAAAAGCTGGTTTCCATTCCGGGTAGAACACACACAGGCAAGGGGAGACCACAGCCATCCCCTTGAGCCCTGTAAGACAGACTCTTCATGTCAGGTCCCCCTGGGCCAGCCTCCCTGCCTCCCAGCGGACAGGGGAGCGCCACAGGCAGCAGGAGGCTGGAAGTGGAGGGCTTGCCCCAGTTCAGGAGAGGACTGGGGCTTAGGGCCAGGGCCACCTGTTTATTCTGGGCTCCTTTAGCCCAAATCAGTGTTGGAGGAAACTGGCAGATATTATTACATGGGCTTAGGAAGGAAAGAAAAATGGTTGGGTGATGCTAGGATGGAGTGAGAGGAGGTGAAGCTTCGGAGGAGACCGAGGGCTCTGGAGCTGAGTGGCCCTGGGGTCACGTGCTACCTGGGCCCCTCCCACATGGGGCCTCCACACTTAAATCCTCAGTGCCTGGCACATGATGAGCTGCCTTGGCCAGGCACAGTGGCTCCCTCCAGTAATCCTAGCACTTTGGGAGGCCAGGTGGAAGGATAGCTTGAGCCCAGGAGTTTAAGACTAGCCTGGGCAAAATGGCAAAATACTGTCTCTACAAAAAATCAAAAAAATTATCCAGGCGTGGTGGTGTCCACCTATAGGCCCAGCTACTTGGCAAGCTGAGGTGGGAGGATTGCTTGAGCCCAGGAGTTTGATGCTGTAGTGAGCCACGTTTGTGCCACTGCACTCCAGCCTGGGCAACAGAGCAAGACCCTGCCTCAAACAACAACAAACAAACAAACAAACAAACAACAACAACAACAACAAAACAAACAAAACCTCAATCCCCCTACATGGTGAGCTGCTGATGAGGGGCAGCTCTTACTAAGCAAACCTCCTTGGCTGGCTGTGTGTCTGCAGGACTTCTCAGAGCCTTTGTCTGGGCTCTCCAGGGGTCAGTGTTGTTGCAGGGGCTGGGGCTGAGGGTAAACCACAGATCTATGGGAGGAAGAGCTGCAACCTTAAACTTAGATGGGGAGCTCCCACTCTCCCTAACTGGATGGAGAAGCTGTTGATGCACAGCTGGGCTCCCACAATTTCCAGTGCTGAATATAACCCCACGCCCACACACAACTAAACAAAACTAGGGTACAGATTTGCCAAATATGGAAGTTTTAAAATTTTATATTCAGGGCAGGCAGGACTTCTACCTCAAGCCAGCTGTGAGTCTTAGGCCTTAAAGGAAGAAAGCGTTCCTTTCCTTCCAGAAGAGAGAGGTGGAGGAGAGGGAGCACCAGCTTAGCTTGATCGCCAGGGCTGAGCTGGCCCAGGATGCAGCAGGGCCTCCATAAACGGCTGCTGAACGAATGCACAGCCGCTCCGGCTGCCTTTACACACCACTCATTCCCAATTCACCAGTAAACCCACTGGGATAGAAGCCTCATCAAGTCTTACCTGTAGCCCCAAATTTTAACCCAAAAGAGTTCCTGTCTTTGGTGTCACCCAGCATCAAGATTTGGGGTGGGCTGGCTCCTGTTTTCAAGAGAAACACTTTCCTCACAGCAGGAAGAGAATTGAAAGACCGGACCCTAGGTCTTCTGGCAAGGAACAGCCTCAATGGGGAAGTGGCAGCCACCTGGGAGCCCTAGGGCCCTGGCCCTGCAGGGGTGAGAAACTGTCCACGAGCAGATCTGCACTTGTACAGAGCACGCCGTCGCGATTTCCCACGTGTACAGGTGTACATACACACATGCACACACTCACGTGTGCACACAGTTTCTAAGGTTATTTTGGGTTTGTTTTTTAACAAGAGCCATCAAAATCAAGGGAGACATGCACGAACCTTCACAGAACTTCAATTCTCATACATATACTTGAGGCCTGAATCAGAATGTTTTCCCATCACAGTCGACAATATTCTTCTTTTTTTTAGACGGATTCTCACTCTGTCGCCCAGGCTGGAGTGCAGTAGTGCCATCTTGGCTCACTGCAACCTCTGCCTCCCAAGCTCAAGCGATCCTCCCACCTCAACCTCCCAAGTAGCTGGGACTACAGGTGCATGCCACCACACCTGGCTACTTTTGTTCTCATTTATTGAAAAAACAAAAAGGCACATTTATTTCATTTCATTTAAAAACCAACCACTTTAGTCAAGAACTAGCGTTCTGCAGCGGACCATTTAATGACTGGAACTCTCTAATCCTTTCCTGGAGAAAGGCCTCTTTCAAAAGCCAACTTGGGCTTTTGGTTAAAATTCCTCCTGGCTCAAATTGGCTGGAGAGAACCCCTATGCTCTCCTGGCTTGGAACTGCTGTCCTGTAAGAAATGATAGGGCCCTATGGCTTGAGGAATCCAGGGAGTGGGTACCTTGTGACTAGGTGGGGAGGGGAGTGGAAGGGTCAGATGGCCATGGAGGAGGATTTTTGAGCCTTTTAGTGCAAAAAGGAAAGGAGAGCTTGGGGAGACGTGAGCCAGGGCTACCTGGAGGAGCCCTACCTGGAGGCGCCACAGCAACAAGGACATGGGTGAATGGAGAAGACGGGCAAGAAGGGCAGGATGTGGCTGGGTGCCCAGGACAGAGGAGGCAACCTGGGAACATCAGCGGGCTCAGACCAGGGGCACCCTAGAGATGGGAGTAGAGTGGAGAGGGGGCTGAGGGAAGAATTTTAACTTGTACCAACAAAGTGGGGCTCTTTTGTCCAGACAAAAGGACAAAAGGTTGCTGTTTCTGAGACCCAGGGGCCCACTGGGCATGCCTCCACCCTGCACCGGGGCTGCAAGGTCAGAGGGATCTGCCAAGGACAGGGCAGGAGGTGGGGCCCAGGCCATACAACTGAAGAGCATTTGAGGGGTAGCTGTCTCCTGCCTGCCTGTTCATCTGCTTAGTTCTCCAGGCTTCCTCAATTGCAGCGTGTCCCGCAGAGCCTCTGCCTACCCTTCCAGCCCCATCTGCTGCCAGTTTCTGCATCCCACCTGGGGTGGGCTGTAATAGCCCCCAAAGATGCCCACGACCTAATCCCTGGAACCTGTGAACATGCTACCTTACAAAAGGGATTTCATGGGTGTGACTGAATCAAAGAGCCTGAGCTGGGGGAGCTTATCTTGGATTACCTGGACAGGCCCAATCTAATCAGAAGGGGTTCTAAAAGTGAAAGAGTGAGGCAGACGAGGAGGTGAGAGTGATGCAGTGTGAGAAGGACTCATCCTGCCACTGCTGGCTTTGAGAATGGAGGGAGGGGCCATAAGCCAAAGCACAGGCGACCTTTAGAATCCAGAAAAGGCAAGAAAACAGATTCTCCCCAGAGATTTCGGGAAGGACCAACACCTAGACTTTAGCCCAGTGAGACCCGTGGCAGACTTCTAACCTCCAGAGCTGTAAGAGAATAACTGGGTGTTGTAGAAATGTGTAGCAGCAGCCATATGAAACGAATGGACCGCCCAATGTTCCAGACACGGGCTACTGACCTGGTAGCCAAACATACCTGTGTGTCTTCACTGCAGATGCCCCCTCTGCCTGGAAGGCCCTTCCCCAGGTTGTCTGCTGCTTCACACTGGCTCAGAACAACCCTTGGCTCAAAGGCTCGGACGCCCAGAAGCAATTCTTGTCCCTGTTTACCCACCCACCCCCAGCAAGGGCCCAACTACTCTGTATTCTTCTTGATCCTGCAGTTTCCAGCAGAGCACCTGCACCCACCTGCTGAAGTGCATCACTGTGCTAGATGCCTGAAGGGAGGAGGGCTCTGTCCTGTCCTTGTGTTTCTGGTGGCTAGCACAGTGCCTACCATTCAGCAAATGATGGATGGACGCGCACGGGAGTGGGTGAGGAAACACTCAGAGTCCCTGTCTACAGTCAAGTGTGCAATCTGCAGTCTGGATCTTGTGTTTCTGGTGGGAAACAGATGGGATCTATTATGGTTACTGTGCTATGATAGGAACAAGATGCCATGATAGGAAGGGAAGCCGCTGAAGCCAGGGGCCCTGGGAGACCTCAGGAAGTGGCAACAGGGGCTGCATCAATCTAGTCTGGAACCTTCTGCTAGACACTGCTTGGGACTCACATTTCCCAGAGTCTGCCAGCATGGCTCATCAGACTGGAGGCAGCAAAGGGAAGGGGGCCCAGCAGGGAACAGTGAAAGCTGTAGATGTTCATCAGTTTTGCTGCTCTGAAGAATGCAAACCATAGCTGGGAGAGAGTCGAGTTTTATGAGAAACCAGTTAAAGGCTAAAGGTTAACCGGAGTCATTTAAATGACATGCATATTTCCTGGCTTTGCACAGCTCTGGAAAACCCCAACTGCATTTAGAAAAATGCAAAGTGTATTATAAAATTCAAAGGCCAGGGTATAGGTAGTAAAAAAAAGATAAATGCAAAAAGATAATGTGGATGTGCCAAGTTGAAAAACCAGGAAGTTGCATGCGGCTTTTCTACATGAGAATTTGGAAGGAAAAGGAAAGAAAGTCTATCTCACCTTGAACCTTGTATAAAAAATGGTGGCATCCCAGTCAGTCCAAAGGCTGGAGGGAAGATGGGATGAGAACTTTTGGCTCTTAATTATTAGCAAATGACTAAAAAGTTGTGAGGACTGGGGGAGGCCAGCTCAGCCCCAACAACTTCTGAGCCTCCATGGTCTGGCTGGCTGACTCTGGCCTGGACAGTCTCTACTCCTAAGGCATTTTTATGACTGCCTGAAACAAAACAGGCCATTTCCAAGACTGGCACTGGTTCAGAACAACCACAAGAGATAGGGATGGCTGGAGTTTCAGTGCTGCAGGGAGTTTCAAGTTCTGCAAGGGAATCTCCTGCCTAGCCCATGCAAGTGATTATACACAAGGCCAAGCACAGAATGGGTTCAGCTACCTTCTGAGCACACATGTAGCTGTGTGTGGGGCTGCAGGGCTGCAGGGCTGGGGAGCATCCAGGAGGCCCAACCTATTACGCAGGCCCTTCCTCTCAAGACAGGTGCCCAAGGCTCGAGAGGGCAAGTGATTTGTCTTCAAGTCAGGTAGAGGCACACTGTATGCAAGCTTAACTTCCACAAACTCAACTACACGGATGCAGGAAAGTGGAGAGGAGAGGGAGAGAAGCGTAAACAGCTTAAATACCACAGGCCTCTCGGGCTGCCAGACCCATGAGGGAACCTTAGGGGCAGATGGGAATCTGCCTCCCTCATGGGCTTGGCTCTTCCTGCCTATCCCTTGAGCGCCCCTCAAAGTGCCCAGCATGATTCTCCCTGGTAAAGAAACCAGGATTTCATCTGACATGGCCAACCTCTTCCTCTAAAACCTGCTCAACGACGGGGTCTACTGCAGCCCTGCAGTTCAGACTGGCTGTGCCGGACCCACTCCTCATTGAGAAATGTCATTCACCCATGAGGGATCTGTGAGGGTGACTGGGACGGCAGGTGGTTTCCACCTGAGAAACTGACTTTGGAACTTAGAGAGATGTGACTGCTGTACCATGCTACCAAAGCCAGCCTTCCTGATGGCCTCTGGCTGATTAGCAGGTGGGCAAGGAGAGTTCCTAGAGGGAACTAGAATTCATGGAAAGCAGCAAAGCAGACACTGAGTGCTGAGTTCCAGAACATTCCTCACTCTGTCTAATCCCATGGTTCTCAACACTGGCTATGCAATGGAATCCTTTAGGGAGCATTTGAAAATATAGATGTCAGGGCCCCACCCCGGAGCCAGTGACTCAGAACCTTCTGGAGTGAGGTCTGGGTACAGATTGTTTTCAAAGTCCTGCTGGGCCAGAAACCACAGGGCCTTCGCACCACCCACCCTCACGCTTGGTCACAGCTCTGTCCTGGCCTGGCCTAGGAGCAAATCAGATGCCCCTAGAGCGGTTCCCCTGTGGCAAACACATTTTCACTTCTATTTTCAGGCAGGTCAAAGTAAAAATGAAAATTTATGCTTTTACATGTCCCAAGCTCAGTATTCTGTACATTTCTCTAAACACACACACACACACACACACACACACACACACACACACACACACGTTTTTTTTTGTAGAGATGGAGTTTCACCATGTTGGCCAGGCTAGTCATAACTCCTAGCCTCAAGTGATCCGCCTGCCTCAGCCTCCCAAAGTGCTGGGATTACCGGCATGAGCCACCGCGCCTAGCCATATTCTGTACATTTCTTAAAAGTTTAGAAGTATGAACAACATTTGACATTCATTTGAAAAATCTGTCCAGGCCGCCTGCAGCACCACGCATTGTGCTGGTCACCAGCAATACAGAGACCCCTCACACCCTCCACCAGAGTTCTTAAGTCTTAAATCAGGATTTTGCTCTTTTTGTTTTTGACAGGGTCTCACGTTGTCCCCTAGGCTGAAGTGCAGTGGCTCGATCACAGCTCACTACAGCCTCAATCTCCCCAGGTTTCAAGTGATCCTCCCGCCTCAACCTCCCAAGTAGCTGAAACTACAGGCACACGCCACTACGCCTGGCTAATGTTTTTTCTTTTCTTTCTTTTTTTTTTTTTTTTTTGAGACAGAGTCTCACTCTGTCACCCAGGCTGGAGTGCAGTGGCACAATCTTGGCTCACTGTAACCTCCACCTCCCTGGTTCAAGCAATTCCCCTGCCTCAGTCTCCGGTGTAACTGGGATTACAGGCGCATGCCACCACATCCGGCTAATTTTTTTGTATTTTTAGGAGAGACAGGGTTTCACCATGTCAATCAGATTGGTCTCCAACTCCTGACTTCAGGCAATCCGCTCGCCTCAGCCTCCCAAAGTGCTGGGATTACAGGAATGAGCCACCACGCCCGACCTTTTTAGTAGAGAAAAGGTCTCTCCATGTTGCCTCGGCTGGTCTTGAACTCCTAGGCTCAAGTGATCCTCCCGCCTCAGCCTCCCAAAGTCCTGGGATTACAGGCCTAAGCCACTGTGCCCGGCCCTGCTCTTTGTTTTTAAATAGATTCTAATGATCAGTCCTTGTGATTTCAGGTGCTTCCTAAGCCTCAACTTTAACGGGGATTTAGGATTCAAGGTCACAATACTTTTCAGCGTTTCTGCCTAATCTGAATAGAACCCATCTCCCTCCTACAAGAGGGTGGGAGGAAGTGCTGCTCCATTCTTCGATTCCTGATCTCCCCAGCAGGCCCTGGGGTGGGCTGGAGAGTGTGCATTGGCTGAGGGCAGGGTGGACCTGGTCAGTGGCTGGGCCAGACTCTGGGGCAATTGGCAGGCCAGCTTCCTGGGCTGGGAGAGGTGATGTATAGGAGAGATGGCCTTCTCCTGACTTACACCTTCCTTAAAGGTCGCGCTGTCTGTCACTGGTTCAGAGATTTGTTTTGGGTGTTCTGTGGTTGATCAGATATCAGGGCCAGAAGGCAACCCTCCCCTCCTGAGGCCTGAGCAATCACCGGATCCTGTGTCAAATCTGGTGGCTGGGTTCACTGGGGAAGGTGGGCGTGTGATGCAGGGGAACCCAGCAGCTTCAGGGTGAGGAGCTGTGTGTAGGCGGAGCCCCAGACAGCTCACAGAGTGGGCTGGAGCGAGGGATGTCTTGAAACTCAACGTTAATCCTCAACCCCACTCCCCCCATGAATTCCTGTTTTCTGTGGCGGCTCTTACTGCCCTCCCCTCCCCGTCAGCCAGATGTTGTCAAGGAGGCTGGCTTTGGCAGCCCTGTGGGGCAGAGTGGGGGTTTTGGGGCACCCTGAAGCCGGTGGCCCAAGGGGGAAATCTCTTGAGCTCCGTATGACTGGGCTAGCACAGTGAGGAGCAGATGGGGGGCACACATGGCACAGTGAGCTGACACCACAATGGGAAGCCAGGACCACTGAAGGGTCTGACGTCTATTTAAAAGGATTCTACTGGCTGTTGGTGTGGAAAGGGCAGAGGAGGAAGCTGACCCCCTAGTCCCAGTTTTCTAGAATCCCCACCAGCTGCAGGGGAGCTAAAGGCAGTGAGACGGAGCTGGGTTCTCTATCTATGTGATGCTTAAGCTGGCAGGATTTGCTAAGAGCTTGGTCACAGGGATGAGAAGAAACAAGGATATTCCAAGGTTTGGCTGAATAACTAGAGTGATCATTTCTTGACAGAGGAGTAGTGGGGTTTGGATGAGAAACCCAAAAACCAGCTTCTTTGCCAGCCCTCGTCAACTGGGCTCTATCAAGACGCCAGGCACAGTGCTAAACACTGATAGGCAGCGTCTCATCCTCCTGACATCTCATCCTCCCAAGCACCTCATCCTCCCCCTGGTCAAAAAACATGCCAAGGCCAGGCGCAGGGGCTCACACCTGTAATCCCAGCACTTTGGGAGGCTGAGGCAAGAGGACCGCTTGAGCCCAGGAGTTTGAGACCAGCCAGGGCAACATAGCAAGACTCCATCTCTATAAAACATTTAAAAATTAGCTGGACATGGTAGCACATGCCTGTGGTCCCAGCTACTCTAGAGGCTAAGGTGGGAGGAGCCCTTGAGCCCCCGGGGTTCAAGGTTGCAGAGAGCTATGATTATGCCACGCACTCCAGCCAAAGCAACAAAGTGACACCATGTCTCAAAACACACACACACACACACACACATACACACACACACACAGACACACACACACACACACACACACACACACACAGACATATCCAAGGTCACAGTGCTGGGCTGGGACTCAACCGCCAGCAGGACCCCTGCCCCTCCCTGGAAGCCCTCTGGTGCAGCTGCACCCAGAAGCTGTCCACATCCCAAGGGTTGATGTGCCTCGGAAGTTACTGCTTTTTGAGCAAATCTAAGCCACTAAGTCCCTTCCTTTGTGAGAAATCAAAACCATGGTCCCATTTCCAAATGTGTGGGAAGGACTGGTATTTTGAAAAAGTATTTCAACTGTAGAGTGCCTTCAGCAGAAACAATATAGATATTTTTTCTTGAGATAGGGTCTTGCTCGATTGCCCAGGCCGGAGTGCAGTGGTGCAATCATTACTCACTGCTAATTTTTAAAAAAATTTTTGTAGAGACAGGGTCTCACTATGCTGCCCAGGCTGGTCTCCAACTCCTGGGCTCAAGCAATCCTCCCACCTCAGCCTCCCAAAGTGCTGGGATTATAGGCATGATCCACTGTGCCTGGCTTAAAAACAATAATTTTAATAGGCAAAAAAAGCTCAAACAGTCTCCACTACTCAAATGCCTCATTTCTCTAATGCATAGAATTGAATCTAGAAATCCTGCTTTGTAAAGGAAAAAAGAATAATTTGTGTGTGTGTGTTTTTCAGAAGAACTGTCCTAGAGCCACTTCAATACATCAACAACAAAAGAGGGCACAGTCATTAGGTGACCTTGTGATCTCAGCAGAACATGTCTCTCTAATGTGGCTCAATTATGATTGTAAGTTTATAAAACAGGGAAAGATTACAGGAATATACATTAAACCACATCAATGAATGCCACTGAGGAAAAAAAAATAGGTCCAGCAGACAGGTACCAATCAAATAATCAATACACAGGAAACAGCTACATCACCCTCTCCTTTAAAAGAACCAAATAATACTGCAATTGGATTTACTTAAAAATTTTCCACTTGAACAAAACTGACAGCTCTATTACAATCCCATTTCCAGTCAGTTTATAGGATACAAATTTCATTTCTCCATATTTCTACTTCATTTCTGAAAAGTGGCCAGCAACATTATTCATCAAGTACACAGGGAAGAAGTTTAATTCATAGAGAGGGGAAACATTGTGAATTCCATGTTTTCCATTTCCTTAGAGAATTGGTGGTTTAACTGAAACTTGATTTTTTTCCCAATCTGTCAAGTTCAGGGTGCCTGCCTCAAAGTGGGGTAAGGAAAAAGAAAAAAGAAAAAAAAGAGAAGAAAAGAGGAAGCATTTTAGCCCTTAGAGAGGTTAAATAATTTGGGGTAGCTCAAACGTTGAAATCAAAACAATCTACATTTTTAGAAAATGCCAAGATGGGTTTAAGATACTTGGTATATGTCATTAGAGGGGGACAAAAGTCTGCAGTGGGAACCTGACTATTCAAATGTATGTTAATGATGAACAAACATCATTTTTCTAACTCACAATCCAACTGCCTGAAATTACTCAAGATGAGATTTGGAAATGCTATTTCTATGTTAATGAAAGTCCTTCAGTGTTTATGAATAATTACAGTGACTGCTAAAGCTTTAATCAGTTCAATCCAAGAAGCCTTGAGTGTCTACTATGTGCCAGGCCCTGTGCCAGGCCCTAGGGATATACAGAGCGGTAAGCGCACATCTGAAATGTGCACAAGGCACGTGGAGCAGGAGGAAGGAGGCTGGGAGGGCCATCCAGGCAGGGGCGACAAGGGCAGGCAGGCTGTGTCCAGGAGCCTGTGAGCAGCCTGGGCACTGTGTGGGCAGATGCAGCAAGACATATGGGAGAAGAGGAGTGTCGTGGGTAGCTTGGGCCGCTGCACTGCGAGGATCTGAGAGTTTACAAGCAGGGACA
This sequence comes from Homo sapiens, assembly GCF_000001405.40. Lineage (NCBI taxonomy): Eukaryota > Metazoa > Chordata > Mammalia > Primates > Hominidae > Homo > Homo sapiens. The sequence goes on along the minus strand of NC_000016.10, from coordinate 11,073,531 downwards.
TGATGGCGGGTTAGGCGCCTTTTACATACTGGGCATCAGGATGGATGAAGCAGCGTGGCGCAAGGCCATGGGCTGGGGTAGAATGGGGGAGATACTGGGCAGGGGAGAGGTGTGGAGAGGCCAGACCAGGGATGGGGCAGAGCTGTGGAGTCCAGGGAGCTGATGATCCCCCGATCGTGAGGTTGGAGGAGGGTTGGGAGTGATTCCAAGTCAGCAGGTCGGGTGATGAGCAGCTGCTCCATTAAATGTCTACCTGTGGAGCGACCCCATGAGGACTGAGGACTGTGCTTCCTTTAAAGACAAAAACACGGGACCCCGGGGGTGGGGGCAGAGAACAGGCCAAAGTGCCACAAAACCACACTCGCCTTGCAATCCAACTCTTTGAATGCCATGTACATACTTGCCTCTTGGGTTTCATGTTAACATTAGTCCACTTCAGAGTCAGCACTAAGCAAACCGCTTCTCCAGGGCCCATGCCTGGATGCTTGAACTAAATTGCCCCCAAGGAGCCATCTGGGTCTGATTCAAGTTCCCACCCCATCCTGTGGTTTCAGCTCTTCAATCAGACGGCACCCACTTTCCTGAAAGTCATCTTTCCAAGAACCTTATTATCTAGTTAACAAGCCTGTGTTACCTCCTCTGCTTTTCAATGTGTCCCCTGGACAGAAGCAGTCACGAGGCTGTGCTTTGTTAGGATTCCGACAAAGAACCCTCCAAAGAGAACAGACATATTTCAGTGCCCAATATGCAGTCAAGAGGAAGAATTGTAATGACTGTTTCTATCACAAACACTTGTGTACACTTAGTGTGATGCTGAGTATTTCTGATGGACTTTTCTCTTTTAATCAACAGAACAGTCCTGAGGTAGGCACTATTAGACCCACTTTACAGATGAGGAAGAAAGGCTCAGAGAGGTTAACTAATTTGTCCAAGGTCACACAGCAGGAGTTAAAACCCAGGCTTTTCTAAATCTGGGGCTCCAGTTCCTAAACATTATACTCCCCATCTATTAAATGTTGGATTTTCAAGGACTGGATTATCTCTCTCTCTCTCGTCCCTTCCTTTTTATTTTGAAGATTTTCAAATTCTCATAAAAGTTTAAAGAATAGAATAGGCCAGCTGTGGTAGCTCACACCTGTAATCCCAGTACATTGGGAAGCCGAAGCAGGAGGATCACTTGAGGCCAGGAGTTGGAGACCAGCCTGGGCAACATAGAGAGACCCCATCTCCACAAAAAATAAAAAAATAGGCAGGCATGGTGGCACGTGCCAGTAGTCCCAGATACTACAGGCTGAGGTGGGAGGATCGCTTGAGGCCAGGAGTTCGAGGCTGCAGTGAGCCAAGACTGTGCCACTGCACTCTAGCCTGGGGGACAGAACGAGATCCCGTCTCAAAAAGAAACAACAGTGTAACAGACAAACATGTACCCTTCACCTTGATTCATCACTTGTTGACAGTGGGCTGCATTTGTCTGCTCTCTCATTATACCCGCACACACACACAGTTTTATCTTCTGAATCAGTCCAACATTATAGGCATCAGACACTTTACCCCTACACACTTCAGCCCATACTTCCTAAGAACAAGAACATACTCCCACAGAACCACAATGGCATTATCACACTCAAGAAAGATAATATTAGCCAGGCCAGGGGTTCTGCCTGTAGTCCCAGCTACTTAGGAGGCTGAAGTAGGACTGCTTGAGCCCAGGGGTTCAAGACCAGCCTGGGCAACACAGCGAAACCTCATCTTAAAAAAAAAAAAAAAAAAAAAAAAAATCAGCCAGGTGTGGTGGTGCACATCTGTAGTCCCAGCTAGTCAAGAGGCTAAGGTGGGATGATCACTTCAGCCCAGGAGTTTCAGGTTGCAATACTGCACTCCAGCCTGGGTAACACAGCAAGATCCCATCTCTTAAAAAAAAAAAAAAAAAAGAAACGTAATATTGACCTCAATTATATTACTCAATCACAATCCATATGCAAATGTCTTCAGTTTGCAGAAAAATGTCCTTTAAGGCTACTTTTCCCCCTCAATCTAAGATCAATCCAGGCTGACAACTGTCATGTCACTTTGTTTCAATTATCTAGAAACAGTACCCCTCTACCTTCGTCCCCCTCTTTTTTGGTCTTCCACAACATTTACATTCTTGAAAAACTCAGGTCGGCTGTCTTCTAGAATGTTCCGTATTCTGGATTTGTTTTTCATTGTCTTTCTCATTTATGCCACTCATTTTCACTAGGATGAGAGGCACATGACAATGCCTGGGTCATCAGCAAAATAAGCCAACACAGAGAATTTTCCAGAACTGACAGGACCACAAAACTAGTACTGGTTTTACAAGAGAAAGAAATCAATGAGCTCACATTTTCACAGACTGACAGTCAAACCACATACTTGCTTGGGGAGCTTCATAATACTTTTGCTGGAAACGAATCTCCAGGCAATCCGATGAAAATAGCCAGGGACTTCCACTCTGCCTAAAAGCTCTTGTCTGCAAAGAAGCTGGGGCGAAGCACGCAGAATGCTAGGAAGTTGGATCCTGCAGAATCTTTATGATATTCACATTAATCCGCAAATGAAGAATAAACAAACAGGGCGATGTGGTCAGGATTTCAAACATGGAGCAAGAATTTGGGGTACGGTTTTCGTGTGTGAGCTTTCATGGGCCTCGTGGTGCCCTCCAGTGTACTTGTGCTAGGGAACAAATGGTTTGCAGGTTGGGGTTGGTAAGAAGGCACAGTCAGAGCAAAGACTCTGAGGTGGGTACATGCCAGGTGTGTTTGAAGAAGAGCAAGGAGGCAGAGACAGGGAGGTGGTGTCACATAATAAGCCTCAGGGGTAAAGGTCTCTGTTTTTTATTCAGACTGGCATGGGAGCCCACTTTGAACAAATGAAGAACATGATCTGGCTTCTCGTTTAAAAGGAAGACAGTTCATGCTGCTGAGAATAAACTCTAGGGGACAAAACAGAAGCAAGTGACTGGGCAAGAGACTACTGCAATAATTCAGGTAAAAGATAATGGCACAGCTGGGTGCAATGGCTCATGAATGTAATCCCAGCACCTTGGGAGGCCAAGATAAGAGGAATGCTTGAGCACAGGAGTTTGAGACCAGCCTGGGCAACATAGTGAGATCCCATCTCTAGCTTAAAAAAAAAAAAAAAGGCCGGGTGCAGTGGCTCACGCCTGTAATCTCAACACTTTGGGAGGCCGAGGCGGGCGGATCACGAGGTCAGGAGATCGTGACCATCCTGGCTACACAGTGAAACCCTGTCTCTACTAAAAATACAAAAAAATTAGCTGGGCGTGGTGGCACGCGCCTGTAGTCCCAGCTACTCGGGAGGCTGAGGCAGGAGAATGGTGTGAACCCGGGAGGCGGAGCTTGCAGTGAGTGGAGATTGCGCCACTGCACTCCAGCCTGGGCAATAGGGTGAGACTCCGTCTCAAAAAAAAAAAAAATGGTGGCAGTTCAAACAAGGTGCTGGGAGAAGCTGGGAGAGAAGGTAACATCCTGACAATACAGTCGTCCCTCCATATCCATGGGGACTGGTTCCAGAACCCCTCAGAGGACACCAGAATCCACAGATGCTCAAGTCCTTCATATAAAATGGTGTCGTATTTGCATATAACCTATGCACATCCTACCACACACTTTAAACCATCTCTAGATTACTTATAATAACTCATACAATGAGATGGCTATGTAAATAGTTGTTATGCTGTACTGTTTTTAAAATCTGCTCATTTTGCATGGTTGTATTTTTTTGTTGTTGTTTTTTAAAAATATTTTCAGTCTGGGTATGGTGGCTCATGCCTATAATCCTGGCACTTTGGGAAGCTGAGGCGGGAGGATCGCTTAAGCTCAGGAACTTGAGACCAGCCTGGGCAACATAGTGAGACCCTGTCTCTACAAAAGATTAAAAAAAAAATCAGCTGGACATGGTGGCACGAAACTGTGATCTCAGTTACTCAGGAGGCTGAGGCAGCAGTAGGATTGCTTGAGCCTGGGAGTTGGAGGCGGCAATGAGCTATGATTGCACCATTGTATTCCAGCTTGGACGACAGAGCGAGACCTTGTATAAAAAAAAAAATAGTAATAATAATAGGCCAGACACAGTGACTCATGCCTATAATCCCAATACTTTGGGAGGCCAAGGTGGGTGGATTGCTTGAGCAGAGGAGTTTGAGACCAGCCTGGGCAACATAGTGAAACCCTGTCTCTACAAAATATACAAAATCTCAGCCGGGTGTGGTGGTGCATGCCTGTAGTCCCAGTTATTTGGGAAGCTGAGGTGGGAGAATCACCCTAGCCTGGGAAGTTGGGGCTGCACTGAGCCGTGATTATACCACTGTACTTCATCCTGGGCAACAGAGTGAAACCCTGTCTCAAAATAAATAAATGGCCAGGCACAATGGCTCATGCCTGTAATCCCAGCACTTTGGGATACCAAGGCAGGCGGACTATTTGAGGCCAGGAGTTTGAGACCAGCATGGCCAACATGGTGTAACCCCATGTCTACTAAAAATACAAAAAAAAAAAAAAAAAAGAAAATTAGCCAGGCGTGATGGCATGCACCTGTAATCCCAGCTACTCGGGAGGCTGACACATGAGAATTGCTTGAATCTGGGAGGTGGAGCTTGCAGCGAGCCGAGATTGTGCCTCTGCACTCCAGCCTAGATGAAAGAGCGAGACTCTGTCTCAAAAAATAAATAAATTTTAAAAATTAAATAAAAATAGAAATGTTTTCAATCTGTGGTTGGTTGAATCTTCAGATGCAGAACCTGAGGACACATAGGGCTGACTGTATTTTGCGGCAGAGGCTGAATAGGTCTGCTGACCAACTGGAAGTTGAGCTTGAGAGAAAGAGGGGAGTCAGGGATGAGCCTGTGGTTTTTGCCACCAGCATGGAACTGCCATCAACTGTCTGGAAGCCTGCAGGGAGACAGGTTTTGTGGGAAAGCTCACATCTTGTGTTTGTGGTAACCAAGAAATGTTGGGCAGGTAGCTGAGTACACAGGTCTGGAGTTCAGCAGAGACTCTAGCAGCTGGGAGAAGGGTTCACTCCCATGAAGAGGAGCAACTGACTGCTGCCTGTGGGGATGCAGGCTCTGCGTGGACAGACTGTCACTGTCTCATATTCAAGGTGATAGCTAGGTTTTTACGATAAAATATCCTGATTTTAAAACATTAGCAACATAAAATTCGCTTGCAAATGCTTTACTAGCCATGAAGCTACATTTGTGGGCCCACCTGCCTGAGGACCAGCTGTTTGCAACCTCTATATCCACCTTATTGTTCTGCCTTACAATAACCCTGCAAAGTTGGGCATCGCTGTTCTCATTTGATCAATGAGGGAACTAAAGCACAGAGAGGGGAATAGATTTGTCCAAAGTCACATGGCTAGGAAGAAGCATGGCTGAGATTCGGTCTGCATTTGTCTAGGATCCAAGGCTTCCTCCATAACCGCAGCCTGACTTTTAAACAGGCAAGTCCTGGCCTGGAAACAGCCAGAAGGAGAGCAAAGGGAAGGTCCACAGCAGCCTGCCTTGCCAGGAGGTGAATACAACCCAAATAGTTGGGTTGTTGTTAATAATTAGCTTCAAAGGTACGACGGTTTGGAGAACACGCCGGATCCAACTGGATGGACCTCTGTGCAATAAAAGCCCCTGTACCTAGGCCACAGAGTGGACAGAGCAGCATTCAAGACAAGTCTCTGGGGCAAACCAGACTGTCCGAGCCTGGTGTGGATGCCAGCTTGTGGACACCACCTCTTAGTTCATGCCTTGTAGGCCTGGCCTCCCCATGGGGCTCCCTGCTGTAATGCTGCCCTGACCCATAAATCTCTTCCACTGAGGCCAGAGAGGGCCTTTTGAGATACAAATCTGATCACATCAGCTAGGTAAAAACTTTTCTCACTGTTTTTAAGATAGAACCCTGAACACTTGATATGCCCACAGGGCCTGCATGGCTTCCTACCCAGCCTCATCTTGCCAACCACCTTCACCCTCCCACTCCCCGACTCTGTGGCCACACTGCCGTCTCTCATCTTCCCCAAATCCCCATCGGCCCCAGGGCCTTTGCTTCTTCTGCGCCACTTCTCGGCACCCACACCCCCCCTGCAGCCCTCAAATGGGCCCCTCCTTCAGAAGCCTCCCTGACCTCCAGCCAGGTTAAACCCCGTCACCTGCTCTTAGAACAGGAAACACGGTGGTCATCTGAGTTTGATCTGTGCTGCTGTGATTGGAGTTTGCCTTCCCCATAAGCTTGGAAAGACAGAGTCACTGGCTTTTGCTAGAGTAATTGGTCTGCACTTGCTTTTTTTAAAAAAAAAAAAAAAAAAAAACAAAAACAAACAAAAAAAAAACCAAAAAAAAAACCCCCACAACAACAACAAACCCACTCCCCATTAAAGCACAGTATGTGTGTATACAGTTGCCACTACTGTTTCTTGGAAAGACTACCCTCGTTCTGAAATGATGTGCTACCTACTCAATATTAACAATGTCTTTTCTTTTATGGAATGATTGTTCATAAATGCTTTTTTTAAAAATGACTACTCGGTAAACAAACAAAAGTTGGCGATCCGTCCCCAAAAGCTTTGTTTTTTATTTTTGTTTTGATGCTTTTCTGGGCTATGAAATCCTAAGGGCTGGGACCTACTGTTCTGTACTTGATGAGTATTTTCCAGGCCCCCAGACCCTGGGAAGTATGTTCAAGCCTGGGAGAGCACTCACACCCAGTGTACAGAGGTCTGCTTATTCACAGACGTTTCTCTGCAGGTTTCAGGACTTCCCTTACACACCACATGATCTAACACACTGTCGCGAGGATCTTTTGAGGAACAGCCAGCTAGGTTATGCCAGGCAAGAGTAAAAATGACCCAAAATTGCACCATGGTTACGTCAGAAGTCTCAGACAACAGAATATCATGCAGGCTACTAAACACAAGAGTTCTGAATCTATGAAGTAGCGAGGAGGCTTCCGGACTGCTCCCCCGCCCACCGGACATCCTGGCTGAGCTCCCTCATGGCACGTCTCACCTGGCCGCCCGACCAACTTCAGCACCTTCTGCTTGGAACCAGCTCCTCCTCCAGGATCAGCCCTGCTGATGACAGAATCACCATCCTCCCAGCCCCTGCCCCCTGGACTGCCCCAAGCTCAGAACCCCAGAGTTAACCGAGCTCTCTGGCATCGCCACTGCAAACTGTCACAAAATGCTGTACCCAGACTGTCCCGTCCCTCTTTGCCCACTAGCACTGACCCCTGGTCCCTGCCACAGCCTCCTAAATGGCCTCTCTGCAATTCTGTCAGGCACTGTTCTAGGCACAGCACAGATAATGCTCATCTACTCCTCCCAGCAAGTCCTATTTCACAGCTGTGGAAACTGAAGTGCCGGGAGACTCAGTTCCCTTAAGGTAATACAGCTGGCAAGCAGAAGGCAGCAAAGCTGGGACTTCCATCCAGGCACAGTCTGGCCCCTGAGTCCATGCTCCTCGCCGCCCTGCTGCAGGCCTTTCTAGCCCCCAGTGCAGCTCGAAGGCCCCTTCTGGGACCGTCTGACCAGGCAGTGCCAGCTCTAGAAGTGTCCGTTTGGGACAGATGTCCCTGTGAGAAAGCCCTGTAGTTGAGATCTGGCTCTTCCCAGCCACTGACCCACTCTTGCTACTTGTGTGCCAGCCACCCAAGTTTCTGTGAGGACCCTGGGACACAGCACCCTCTCTCCCACCTCAGCCTCACCTCTGCCATCCTTAAAAGGCAGTCCTCATTTCTGTGCTTTCTCGTAGAAGCTTCTGGTCCCTCCTGGCACAGCACCTCTTCAGAGAGGCCTTCCCTAACCAGCCCATGAGGATTTTCCTCCTGGTTATTCTCCAGCATGGACCCTGCTCATCACCTCTATGGAGCCATCCCAATCAGTCTGTGATCATGCATTTACTTAACCTACCTGTTAGTGGTTGCTCCCTCCACAACTGGAAACACCTCAAGAACAGAAGTGAAGTCTGGCTTTTGCTCACTCTCACATCTCAGCTCCTAGCACTGTGCCTGGCATACAGCAGGTGCTCAATAAATAGCTGAATGCATGAATGGGTCTTCATTGAATGGGCTTCACGAATTGATTTTAGAAATCAGAATACAAGTTAGATACATGTAGCACATGCTATGGCTGCAACTATGTGAATGTTAGGTGCCCACATGAACAGGCTGCAAGGAAACTGGACACTGAACACACCTGGTTGCCAGGTGTCTCTTTGGGGTGTATGGATAATGGACAGATTTCTCCCCTATTGTGGTTGCTCATGATATTTGGAAACAGGCAAGAATCCTTTAAGGAGGCTCTGAGGTCAATCCCAAGGAATCTGTGGTTTCTCCTCAAAGCCTGCTTGTCCCTGTTCAGGAGGCACACTGGAGTGAGTGAGTCTCACAGCCTAGACGGGATACAGCTCCCTTCCTCTGGCCAAAGCAGCCAGAGCTATATCTTTCTTACCCCTCAAAACAGTGCCATCATCCGAGCAATGACCTGAATGTCTCAGGACACTGTTCTCAGAGTGTTGCTTAAGCAGAAAATGCCAGCCCCATGGAGCCCAGCAGGATGAGTTTCAGCTTGCGTATTCAGCAGCTGCAGCAGGGAAGCAGCCAACTCCCACTCACTGGGCACCTACTAAGTGCCAAGCATGGTGCTGTGAGCTTTACATGTGATCTCATTTGAGCTCCTTGGAAAGTCTTTTAGAACCCTGTTTTGGTTTTGTTTTTATTTTTTTGAAAGAGGGTCTCACTCTGTCCCCCAGGCTGGAGTGCAGTGGCATGATCAGGGTTCACTGCAGCCTCAACTTCCCGGGTTCAAGAGATCCTCCCACCTCAGCCCCTCAAGTATCTGGGACTACAGGTATCTGCCACCACAACCGGCTATTTTTTTGGATTTTAGTAGAGACAAGGTCTCACTACGTTGCTCAGGCTGGTCTTGAACTCCTGAGCTCAAGTGATCTTCCCACTTCAGACTCCCAAAGTGCTGAGATTACAGGTGTGAGTCACCACATCCAGCCCTAGAACCATTTCAAAGGTAAGGCTACTGAGCCTCACAGGCATGAAGACTCTGGGGAAGATTACAAAGATGATTACTCCAATGATGCCAGTGGCTGCAAAATCAAATGTCAACAAGACCCGGGCGGCAGCACATGGGTGAGCACAGGCCCTGTCTACAGGCCCCTGCACCCTGGCCTCCATTCCAAAGCAGCAGCTGGGGCTGGGGAGGCACTCGGTTTGCAAATGGTGGCAATCAATTCCATTAAAAGGAACAATACAAAGTCCTTCTCTGTTAGAGAGAGGTATTTCTAGATGTAATAATATGATGTCTTCCATTTGCTTTAATACACTGTGTGGGTGGGTGGCGTATTTTAAATAGACAGATGAAAGGGCAGATAAAATAAAACTTAGCTAAATGGTAAAAACTGTTGAAGCTGAGGGCTGGGTATATGGAGATTCATGATGCTATTTTCTCTAGAAATCCACTGTTTTATCTAGTTCCTCCCCTCTTCCCTTCCCTCCCTTCCCCTTTCTTCCTCCAATCCCTCCTTCCCTTCAACTTCCTTCCACTTCCCTCCCTCCCTTCCTCTCTCTCTTCCTTCCCACCCCAGCCCCCCATCACTCCAGCAGATGTGGCACACGTGGCTGCCAGTTCCTGACCTCTGCCCTCTGCCACTCTCCTCTCTAGTGAAAAACAAAACAGGCTTCACTTTAAGCATGACCAGTTTGCCTCTTTGCTGAGTGGTGACCACATCTTTAATGCTCCCCATGAGAAGCCACCTTTTATGACAGCCGGAGCTCGGCTGTCACACCCAGCCGAGAGACCTGCTGCTGGTCAGCAAGCACTTGGGGTGGCTTCTGGGGAATATCCTTTACGCTGTTGTTTCTTACTGAAGTGTGACAAGGGGCAGTGAATACACTTTACGCCACCTCTTCCTGCTGTTTGGAGACAGCACTCCTTTAAGCCTAGCAGACCACATGGAGTCAGGTAAATGGTGAGCAGTCCCTAACATTTCTCCCGGAGTCAGCTTTCTCAAGTTCATCAGGGAGACAAAAACATGCCCAGCTTCCAGTCATGCAGCAAGCAAGAATGGCTTCACCTGTCCTTCACCTGTATTTTGTATACAGAAGGCGTTTGGTCAGATTGCACACTAGGGTGATTTTCCCCCACAATGGAAGGTGAGGAGAAGCTCCAGCATTTACAATCCCTCCCTCAAAAAAAAAAAAAAAAAAAAAAGGAAAGAAGAAAAAAACCAAATAAACCAACAATACAGGCATATCTTATCCTAGTACCACGTGCTTCCATAATCCCTACTATTTTCTGAAAGTCGCCCTCCTTAGCAAAAGACATAATTTGCAATCAGGCTGGGCAAAGACAAACAGCCATTACTTTCTTAATGGCCAACTACCCAAAAAGGCTCAGTTAAGTGATCTCAACTAGCAATCTAATCAATTAAAATTGATAAGTGAAAAACTTTGAACCTTTATTCCAGCAGGCCATTCCTAGGGGGAGGAGAGAAGGAATGTGAATTCCCAGCATAAAATTTAATTCCATTTCACGGATGCAAACATTCTTGCTGCCCTGATGAAGTGCCCCCTCCCCACTGCCCTCCCCCACCCCCCCAAAGCAAGCTCTTTCTCTCCTTGAATCAAATCAGAGAAAGACTGGTTTATGATTCTTTGCAGCCAACTTGATCAATTTAAACCCTTAGAGAAATTCCTGTGGCCATTTCTCAAGGGCAAAAGGGCCAAAGGAGTTGGGCAGCAGGCAGAGAGGCGTCACAGCTGCTTTATTCTTCCAAGAAAGGGAAAGATAAAACATAAATAAGGCCAGAAAAAGAAACCAGACAACCAGGTAACACACAATACTCATTCACTGAGAACCTCTACGTGTCAGGCGGCATGCTATGCTCTTCACACGCATGACCTCCTGTAATACTGACTACAGTTTGCTGAGTACAGTTACACGGTAGGCACTATGCTTGGTCACGTGATATTTCATGTTCTATTTCATTCAATCCTGAAAACAATTCTGTATTTTAAGAAAGACCATCTCGTTTTACAGGAGACGAAACGGAGGCTGTGGGGGTCCTGTCATTTGTTCAAGGGAATACAAAGCAGGGTCTAGATCACAACTCTATAGTTTTGTCAAAACTCATTGAATTATACACTAACCCTTGGGGAGTTTTTTTGTATATAAATTATATCTTAATAAAGCTGATTTAAAACAGCAACAACAGTGCTACAGAGAGTGGCCCTGTGCTGTTTCTGCCCACCCAGCCACCATCCCTTCTTTGGTGGCTTTCCTTTGAGGGTCGCCTCTTCCCTCTCTCAGGTGATGGGGTTCAAAAGGAACTGGCCCTCCCTCCCTCCCAGCTCCAAGGCTGGGCATGCGACCCCAGCTTAGACAATCAGTGAGTCACATTCCTCTGACCACTGGCTGGTTCAGGGATGGTCATGTGCCCCAAGCTAGGCCAATAACACGTCTACCCCAGACTTTAGAGAATTAAAGGGAAAGAGAAGCTTCTCTTTCCATCAGGGCTGTGTAGCTGGCTCAACAAATCTTGGGGCTGCTGAAGGCCATCTTGCCACTACCTGGTGAGAGCCCTCCTGAGGATGAACAGAGGAAAGCAGAGTTGGGAGACGGAGGAAGGCAGCTTCCTGATGACAGTGTCTGAGCACCCGGATCCAGCCATGCCTGAAGGTAGCCTACTCCTGGACTTCCCAGTGACATCAGCCAATTTCCCTTTCTTTTCCTTAAGCTGGTCTAAGGTGAGTTTTCTGTCTCTTATAACCAAAGACTCCTAATATACCACAATGCCGTTAAGAAACAGAAAACCATGCTGCTCATTAGTGTGCCTGTGCCCTGTAGCAAATGGAGGAAAGAGAAAGCTATACAAATACGAGAGGGGTTCCAGGAACACGGTCAGGCTTTATGCCCATTGTCTTCTCTAAAGCTGAGCCTCATGCTGCAGATGAGAACAATGAGGCACTACACAGCGGAACAAGTAGCTCAAGGTTATGGGCTGAGCACGTGGTTCTCCAGCCTCCAAAGCCTTCATCCTTACCTAAACACTGGTGTTTTGCTTTTTACAAGTTTCTTTCTTTAGCAGCAGAACCCTTTTATCATTAGAATCATATAGAAAATGCTTAATATATAAAACCAACCAAACCGATGCCACTATGTTTATAGGGAGGACAGGAACCCTGGAGTTTGTTCACCCTTGCTTGAGCCTCCAGGTGCTCTGCAGAGACTTTTTAGAGAACCAGCTGTGTGAAAGCAGAACCCTCAAACTGATCTCAGAGAACCCAGGGGCCTTTTCTTCAAAACCTGCATGGGACATGCACACCGCTGGCTCAAGGTCACAGCTCAATAATAGTACAAAATGTAGGTTGCACACTGACCCTCCCAGTGGCGTGTGAATCAGCAGAGTGGTGTCCCATGTCCCATGTCCCCCAGCCCCCTGCTGTGACTCAGAGCAGCCAACTCACTCAGATCCAGGACATCATCAGTCTTGATCAGGTCCTCCTCCCGAGTCAGCGGCAACTGTGTCTCAGGCTCCCCTCGCAATTGCAGTGACAGGGAACGCAGCATGAAGAACACCCGGATGGCCTGGACCAACAGTTCAGAGAGCAGAGAAGAGTGAGATTGCAGAGTCATTTCAGTGAGATGCCCCACACCCAGAAATGACACCATGACTCTCTATTAAAAAAGAAAGAAACGCAATAAAGCCCACCTCTTCGGGTGTTTTGATTCTGGTACGTGCTTTTATAACAAGACAGAAAAAAAAAAATCAAAGGGGGAGTAGCCTGTTTTCAGTTATTCACAGGTTCAGGTTTGGGTTACTTTACCTGAACTGAGCACCCGTCATCTGCCAGGACCTTGTCCCCAAGTATCAGGTGACCTTCATAATAATCCCTGCCCAGCAGTCAGCCCCATTTCACAGACCGGGCAGCTGAGACCTAAGAAGGTGAAGTGACCTGCCCAGGCCATGCTTCCAGCAAGGGCTAGACCCTGAGTCTGTCTGTCCCAACCAAACCAGCATGGGCTCTGGAAAACCCAATCACTCCAAAAGCATTTCAAGGTACTACCTACTGAATACGGGGGTGGGGCAGACAGAAGAGGGTGAAATGAAATGCCTGTGGGCTGCAGGGCCTGAGACCTGAGGAAAATCCTACCCTGGGTGAGTCTCTTCAACTCCCGCTCCCTTGGTCTTACGACAGGGGGTGTGCTGCTGACGGGGCAGAGACCTCGCACCTAGCAGGTGGGCAGTGACCTTGGTTCCCTGAATGCCCCTCAGGCTTTCCCTGCCAGCAGACCAGGGGCACAGGTGGATCCACCAGCACAGGGATTCCTGGCCCATAGAAGTGGTGTCTGGTCAGAATTGTGTGGCCACCAGGTACTTTCAGAGAGCAGAAACAAAGCAGAGTCCCAGCAGTCGGAGCCGTGTGTGCAGAAAGCAGCCTCCAGCCCCAGGACAGGCTTGCCCACCAACCAGAGCAAGGAAGCAGAGGGGCAGTCCACAGAAAAGGCCACCTGCAGGCCTCTCTCCCTGAGGCACAGCTGCTGGGCCTGACTGAGGGTGCAGTGCCCCATGGGGACAGCTCCAGAGTCAGACACATGAGGTCTACATCAGATTCCCAGTTCCACTAGGCTGGGCAAGTCCCCTGACTTCTGTGAGCTTCCTTTTCCTCATCTGTAAAATGGGCATGATAGCTCGCATGCCTGCTAGGAGGTTCTGAGATAACGCAGGAGGGAAAGCAGCCAGCACAGTGGGGTTGGGGGGACAAACCACTGTCACCACTAGGGAGCTGCAAAGGCGAATCCCAGTGCGCCTTTGGGTCTTCTTGTTTATGGCTCTGAAGGCTGCAGTCTGGACCTAGGTGAGGGGAGGTGCCCTCTATACAGCAGTGTGCCTCCCAAAACTAGAAAGGGGCCAAATTACTGTCTGCAAAGAGGTGCACTCACACTGCCTCCTCATACCCCAGGCAATGAGGAGCTGGTCAGCCTGCTTACACCCAGTGCTGCCTTGCGCCCTAACCAGTGGGAGACCTTGGAGCAACTTCCTAATGTTGGAACTGGAAGAGCAATCCTATCTCCTGGCCCTATGCTAAGGTAGTGCAGTCCTCTGTAAACCAGAAAGCACTGGAGAAAGATCAGCTCTTAAGTTATAATGATGATGATGGTGGTGGTAGCATTCGTATCTGATTGTCAACAGTTTTTAAAAGTACAGTCTTCATAAAGACATCTCTAACAATTGGGAGAAAAAGAAGTGTAGTTCCATTAAAAAATTCAAAAGAACTTCTATTTTTTAAGCACTTACGGGGTGGCAGGAACTGTGGGCACCTTATTGTAACTTGAAGATTTTATGGAGGAAGAAACAGAGCTGAGAGGGGCAGAGTTATTTCAGCTCACACACCTGCTAAGTGGCTGAGCTGGGTGTGAACTCAGGAATGTATGACATGTGTGTCACTTAACCAAGTGCACCAGGAAACTTAAACATCCATGGCAGTCCAAGTACAGAAAGCCCAAGACGTGGGTGGTCACTTGAAATATTTGGCAGCTTGAGCTCTCAAATAAGGAGTCATGACCATGAGGATGAGAAAGAAAGGAAACGGCCCATCACAGCCAGGTCCAAGTCAAGGAGACGCTCATTTCTGTGCCCAAACGCCTGTTCCTCTTGGGGTTTTGAAGGCAAATAACTCATGCAGGACCAGAGCAGGTGGGTAAGAAAACAGAAACGTGTGGCTTTCTGCAGCCCACCACTCTGAAAAACTGTAACCTTTCAATAAATACTTTAAAAGTTCAGAATTTGGCTCCCAATATAGGCCAATATCTGCTTTTGCCTTGCAAACAACACATGGATAATAACAATCATCATCATAAATATAAAATAGAATATAATACACATACAGTCAGCTCTCTGTATCCATGGGTTCCATATCTGTGGATTCAACCAACTGTAGATCAAAAATATTAAAAAAAAAAAGGGTTGCATCTGTACTCAACTTGTACAGACTTTTTTCCTTATTATTCCCTAATCAATACAGTATAACAAACTATTTACATAGCATTTACATTGTACTCAGTATCATAAGTAATCTAGAGACGATTTAAAGTCTACAGGAGGATGTGCATAGGTTATATGCAAACACTACGCCGTTTATATAAGGGACTTGAGCATCTGTGGATTTTGGTATCCTTGGGGGAGCCCTAGAACCAATTCCCCATGGATACCGAGGGATGACTGTATAATAAAATCTCTCAATGTTTTTCCTGGTTCCTGCCCCAACTCCTAAGAGAAGGAAGGACACATGAGAAGCCATGTCCATGAATCTGAGGCGGGCCGATTCCCACAGGGCGGGGAGCTCCACTCGAGGCAAAACCTGGGCTCCCATGGGGGTAGGGGGGTTATAAGGGCCTGGTAGGCACATTGGGCAGCCCCACAACTCTGTAAATTCACAAAAGAAAGCTAAAATATGAGCATAAGAGCCATAAAATTCACCCCACCACACCCAAAACAATAAGCACTCTCTTGATTCCCCATGGCCTGCCGCATACTATGCCAGCTGTACGGGGTTGTCTCATCTAAGCTTTTAATGACTCTGCATGGTTCCTATTTTACAGATGGGGAAACCAAAGCTGAGCAATGACAGGCAGCCTGCCCAAGGTCAGTTAGTGAATAACTAGATTCCAAGCTCTGTGTTCTTCCAACCACACTCCTTGACCTCCAAAAGATTTAAGGCTTGGGACCCAGGGTTTTATTGAGCGCTTTTCTTTGCTAAATAAAGACGCAAATTTAAAAGTATTATTAAAAAGGAAAAATAAATTATTATTCTTTCAGATTCTTCCATAGAATATCAGGAAGGACTGACCCAGGAAGAACAGGTTAGATTTTGAAAAGGATGACAGCTGACCAAGCTCAAATATAAAGAGATTGCTCCAGTTTCTTTGCTTCAATGAGTCTGGAAGCAAATTCTGGCAAACTCAATGTCACCGGGGAATCAGTCCAATGAGCAGGGGAAGGTGGGTGGCTCTGTAGTCAGACACACTGTGGCTCAAGCTGGGGCTTGGTAATCACGTGACGTGCCCAAGCCCAGGCTTGTGTTCTGGAAATGGGGCACCCACCGTGCAGGTACAACGGGATGGCACCGGTGATGTGCTGAGCCCACGAGCTGGCCTGGAACAAAGGCTCGGTTTTCACCCTCCTGCTTCCTTGCTGCATGTGCAAGCTGCCTAGTTTAGGCGACAGTCACTCAAGTTAGAAGCCCACTGAGGCCATGTAGCTGTGAAAGTCAGTCATTCTTAAAAGAGGGCCGAAGCAGTTTAATGTGGGCACAACCCATCGGGAAAGCAATTTGGCAATATGCAGAGGGTCATGAAAAAAACACATTCATACCCTTTGAACCAGAAATTCCGCTTCTGGGAACTTATCCTAAAGAAATAATTCAAAAGAAAGAAAAACACTGTATTCATGAAGCTGCTCATTATAGTTTAGTTGAAAATAATGTAATACTGGAAGCAACGAAAATGTCTACTTGCAAGAAAATGCCAGATGAACCTTTATGAGGCCATAAGAAATGAGACTTATTTAAACTGTGACAACATGAAAAACTTCTTGTGCTACGACGAAAAGAAAGAAAAAGAAGGGATGAAAGCAAGACCACAGTACACTCTTTTTACAGACAAAGATAGGAGGAGCACAAAAGATGTCTAAGTATTGTTTGTTTAGGGTGATGAAATCATGGGAAAGACTGTTCCCTTTACTTTTGAAACTGCATGAGATGTTATTGTATTTTCTTTAATGTATAATACACATCGAAAAAATAAAGCAAAATATTCTATTTCCTCAAGGCCAATAGTGATAAACACAAAAACTGCTTGTGGTTTTACAAAGGAACAGGGAAACAATGTGGGGACAAATAAAACCTCGTGCAAATATGGGTGTTTCATAACCGCTTCCAAGATGACTATATACAGATGGCTAGTGGCTTAAACTTGGATTTTGATATTCACCAAAAAATCCTATTCCTAACTCTCTTTTCTCTGGCATTAAGCTTTGGTAGATTTAGATCATGAAAGACCCTATTTCTTTCCCACCTTACATACTAGACTGCTCCATCTCTGTTCAGACAATGCTTCCTGAGCACTTACTGTCTGCCAGGCCCTGGGCTTGTCACTTCACAGCCACACTCGTCTACTCTGGGCAACAGCTGAGAGGCAAGACCCACGAGGGACCTGAGGTTCCGGGAGGGTGAGTGGCTCGCTCAAGCTCATGCAGCTGGAGTTGGGATTTGACCCGTGGTTGGTCTGACTGACACCACTGTTTTCCTTCTTCACTGCTTCTCTCAGGTCCCCCTACATGTGGGATGGATCCAGCCTAAGCCCAAAGTTCTGCTCCAATGTTCTCACTGGACCCCAACAGCTCCAGTGACCTTCATTTCAACATGAATTTCCCTTCTCAGCTGGCATGGCTCAGTGGACCCCTTGCTGTTTTGGTCTTATTTTATATTATTTGCTCATCATTCTTGTCTTGCATCTTACTCAGAGCCTGACACCTAGAATATGTTCAACAACTATGTTGAAAGAAAGAATAAGTGATGTGGTTTTTAAAATGCAAGAGAGGGCTGGGCATGGTGGCTCACGCCTGTAATCCCAGCACCATGGGAGGCCGAGGCAGGTGGATCACCTGAGTTCAGGAGTTTGGGAGCAGCCTGGCCAACAGACTGGGGAAACCCAGTCTCTACTAAAAATACAAAAAAAATTAAAAAATCAGCTGGACGTGGTGGCTCATGCTACTGTAGAGGCTGAGGCAGGAGAATCACTTGAACCTAGGAGGAGCAGGTTGCAGTGAGCCGAGATCATGCCACTGCACTCCAGCATGGGTGACAGACTGAGACTCGTCTCAAAAAAAAAAAAAAAAAAAAAAAAAAAAAAAGCAAGAGGGAAAACGGCGTTATCGTGAGATGCCTCCCCACGGCCTGCAAAGCGCTACCACCATCCTCTCCTGTAGCTGCGCTCCTGCCCCTCCCTCACTTAACTATGCTCCTTGAACATGCCACACTTGGTGGCATCTCAGGGACTGGATGTGTGCTGTTCCCTGTTTGGAAAGTGCCTCCTTTATCACTTTAACCTTCCTGGCTCCTCCTCATGCTCCAGGTTTCAGCTCAGATGTCAACTCTGCAGAGAAGCTCTTCCGATCACTCTATCTGCAGGAGGAGCGCTCCTCAGCCCCTGGCTATGGCATGCTGTTTCTTTCCTCCAGAGCTCTGACTGTGAGTTGATACCCAACCTGCTATTCTCTTACTTGTTAATAAACTTTACCTCACTAGGTAAAAAGAGCGGTCCAGAAGGCAGGGATGTGTGCTCACTCATTTCTTCACCCCCAAGGCTAACACAGTATTTGGCACATAGCAAGAATCTAGCAGCTCTTTGATGAATCTATGAATATTTAGGAATGATTTGCCAGGAGAATTGTTTGAACCTCTTTGACAAGTCCTTAAGGAAAATAAAGGATGGAGTTTCTAAAAAGGATCAGCCTCCTTTAAAAAGTCTACTTGGTGGAAAAAAAAAAAAAAAAAGAAAGAAAACCTTTGAATCCAAAGGGGTAGCTTGGAATGTTCTTTGGATACAAGCAAAAAACTTGAAACGAACCACATAAGCCCTCAATTGCTTGCTAAACCATGTAACTTCCTTTAGCTCAGATTCAAAGCACATTGGTGTGTTCTGATTTCTGAAGTGGGCTTGAAGAGCTAAGCTTCTGGATGATTCTAGATGGCTACCTTGCAACAGGAACCGTAGTGAGATGAGTGGCCAAAGCCACCCTTCAGAAAGAAATTATTAAAGTCACAAAGGAAGCTTTTCTAAAGTGGATGCCTTGGCTTTGAGGTAGCCTGGCCTCTTTTATATCATTCTGCTACCCAGGGACCCTGGGAGGACTTGAGAGTTGCTTTTGGAAACTTGTCAGACAGGCAAAGAGACTCTAGAGAAGCTGAGATATTCTCTATCTGTGCTTCAGCCAGCCACTCGGGTTGTGCATCCTATCCAGGACAAGGGAGGTGGGCAGCACAGCCCTGGGAACCTGCAACTCTGTGACATGTGAGGGGCAAAAAGACTATCATCGAGACCTGCCATTGGCTTGCTGCCGAGTCCTCACGATAACTCTGGAAAGGCAGGCACATTTTACTTGACAGATGGAGACAGCAGCTCAGAGTAGACAAGAAGCAACCTCCCTTCTGCCACATGCCTGACAAACTGGCCCCTGCATTTCTCCCATCTCTCGCCTGTGGATCAGGACCATCTGCCCCAGCCCAGCAGGGCATGAGGTCATGAAACTGTGTTAAGAGGTGACAGCCAAGGTTCTCAAGGGGCTCCAAGGCTCCCGTGATCTGGCTCCTGCCAGCACCCCCAGCCTCATCACATCCTCCTGTGGGCTCCAGCTGCAATCACTGCCGTGTTGGTGCCAGAATGTGCCACCTGTCTCTGGGCCTATGCCTCCCTATCTGATGCCTGTCCCACTTCCTGCTCCAGGTGGGATTAGTGACCTGACCTAATGCTGCTTGAATAATGGCCTGAGCCACATGACCTGCCACTGTCTCTTCCCACTTTGACCTCTAAGGCTCTGATTTCTTCAGGACTGGGGCTGTGTTTTTGCTGTCCCAGTGTCCTGAGCAGAGCCAGCAGATCTCAAGAAGGCAGTGTGGGAAGCAGTGGATCAGAATGCCTAAGAGTCTAGGTTCTGGGGGCCACATTGCCTGGGCTGACTTGTGGCTCAGCTACTCACTAGCTGGGTGACCTTGAGCAAATCACCAGACCTCTCCATGCATCAATTTCTTCCCCTGTGGACAGGGCGTGGTGGTTCACATCTGTAATCCTAGCACTTTGAGAGGCCGAGGTGGGCGGATCGCTTGGGTCCAGGAGTTCAAGACCAGCCTGGGTAACATGGCAAAACCCCATTTCTACAAAAAATACAAAAATTAGCCGAGTGTGGTGGCACACACCTGTAATCCCAGCTACCCAGGAGGCTGAGGTGGGAGGATTGCTTGACCCCAGGGGGCAGAGTGTGTTGCAGTGAGCCAAGATGGCACCACTGCACTCCAACCTGGGTGACAGAGCAGGACCCTGTCTAAAAAAAAAAAAAATTCTTCCTCTGTAAAATGGGGATAATAATAGTGCCAATCTCCTAGGATGGTTATAGAATTTAATGAGGAAATTCACATAAAGAACTGATTTGAATTGATCTACTTCATAACAGAGGCTATGTGTTCATAGAAGTGGTAAGAAAAACCCTGATGAACTGTGAACCAAAAGAAGGTAGAGTGTGGGCTGGGTGTGGTGGTACATGTCTGTAATTTCAGCACTTTGGGAGGCCAAGGCAGGAGGATGGCTTGAGGCCAGGAGTTCAAGGCTAACTTGGGTAACTTAGCAAGACTTCATCTCTATAAAACATCTAAAAATTAGCTAGGTGTGGTAGCTTGTGCCTGTAGTTCCAGCTACCGACGCTGAGGTGGGAGGATGGCTGGAGCCCAGGAGTTTGAGGCTGCAGTGAGCTATGATCGCAACACTGCACTCCAGGATGGATCACAGCTCACTGCAGCCTCCAAAACAACAACAACAACAACAACAACAAAAAGGCAAAGTGGAATCCAGAGCAGCAGTGCTCAGCGTTCAGTCCTCTGGACCTTCTGGCTCAGGGGTGCGGGGGGATCTCCCAGGTGGGGCCTTCTTGGCACAGGATGCTGTAGCCCTGGCTGGGGGTGAGCACGTCAGCATCATGAAGCAACACATACACATCTGTCAGAACCAGTCCTCCAGTGAAAGCTGATGCCAGGACGTCCAGTGCAAACACTGCCACCCACAAACAGAATCGTGTGCCTGGCAGGGAGGACATGGAAGGAAGGCGTCAGTGGGCCGGACAGGGTGGGTCCTGCGGTGAGGCTTGTGGGTTTGGTCAGACAGTTGGAAATGTGGATTGACTCAAGACACATGGGTCCCACTTCCTCTGCACCCCCAGGCTTCCGAGGTAGAACCACCAGCTGCAGGGAGGAAGGTTCAGACTCCTCGTGTCTGAGGTGCAAATGACAGGTCATTCCTGTTTTGCAAAATCCAAAAGTGAAACACCTCTGTCACACACGAATTAACTCAGATGATAAAGGCTGACAAGGGGAGCTGTGTGCAATGAATTCCTCTGAACTATACACAAATACTCATGTCTCCAGTGAATGATTTTCTAGGAAAAGGTGATGGTGCTTTCTAAGAAAGAAACTCTGATCTTACCCGGGAGATAAAATACCATGAACACCCCTGAGGACACTGCTTCCTAGAGTACCTGCTTCGGAAAAAAAGGGCTGATAACGGAAGCACACACTGCAGCTGGTTCTGAGAACTAATCTTTTCACACATATCTGTCCTGCAGGCTGGTGAGATTCACATTTAATTTGACTGTGTCCCAAGAGCAGGTAGATGCCTTAACATCGCACTATCTCTGGGGGTCCTGAGACCGCTGGGCTACGATTTCACACCAACCTCACCTGCACTGGATGTACCGTGCTCACCCCCGATGGTTCACAGAAAACTGGCCCCATTGCCTTACACTCCTGAGCTCAGGGCTTGTCTGTCTGCACTGGTGAAGGCTACCTCTCTGCAGCCAACACTGGGTGCCAGATGCAACGGAATGCCAAACCCTACTTCCCAAAGGGTAAAAACATGCCTTGGAAAGTCATGCCTGGGGGCAAATGGGTACTCTCTATCCACTGTCTAAGCTGTGTTGAGGGCAGGCTCTTGACTTTGACAAAGAAGCCCTTTCCTCCCTGGTCTGGGAGTGGTTCTGGAGAACAGTGGCCCAGGAGATGACAGGTCCTGTGCTCACTCACCCGCCGGGTCTTCTCCACATCGCCACACGGCAGCCGCTTCACGAAGTCAATGCCCGTCAGTGGCGTGCCTGTTGGGGGCAGCAGGATGGAGGCGTCCATCATGAGATATTCCACGTTCATGGGCTTCATCTAGAAGAGACATTACAGGAAACCTCAAAGCAGATTCCTTACTTGGAAGGAGGAAGGGGCCGGGGGAGGTTGCACAGGCCCCTCGCCTTCAACCGCATTTAGTAAATGTAAATGAGTGATCTAAATCCTGGATTTAGATTGAAGTAAAGCACAGAGGCAGCCAGATAAGGGAGCAATATGCCTTTTGGTTTTCTAAATTGCAGATTTTTCCTTTAATTGAAGCAGCAGCTCAGACTCTTGAGAAGTTGCATCCTTGCTGTGAAAAGCTTGCTCCTCTTCGCATTCTCTCTCCACCTCAGCAGGGACAGGGATTCTCAGCAGGAGGCCAGGTATGCTTTATCCCTGTGGGTGCAAGCCCGTCTGCCACCTGCTTCCTCCTCTCTGTCCTTCCAGTGATGATAACAGCTATGGCGATGGCAGCTTCCGTTTAACGAGAGCTGATTCCGCTGCAAGCTGTGACCTAAGGGCTTTTGAGGAGCTGCTTCCCACTTTGCTGATGAGGGAACACAGTCTCAGAGAAGCAGAAAAATGGATCCAAGGTCGCTCAGCTGGTGGGTGGCAGAGCCAAGACATGAGCCCAGGCCTGTCTTGCTCCAGGGCCTCTGTGATTCCCACCCTAGGACCAATGTTTCCCCTTCCTTCCTTGTCCCCTTCACATCTTACCTGGGATAATATAACACAATCATTATTGGAGCATCTACTAAGTGCCAGGCACGTGCTGGGATCACCTCCTGCTGGACGGCAGGTGCTGGTGGGCCCATCATAAAAGGGACACTGAGCTCAGAGGAGGAAAGGCGCATGCCCACGGCCACTGGGCCAGAGCTGACGGCCTCTTTCCACACCACCTCTGCGAAGCCTTCTTTGAGGACTAAGACACAGGGTGACATCCCCTCCCTGCCACCTCTCCCAGATCTCTGCTGCATCAGTAGTAGTAATCAATGCACACGTGTTGTTGAACACTAACATTTCATTTCCCTGGCTTCACAGACGAAGGGTAAGCTTTCTGCAGAATTCATTTTACTCTTTCAAACATCACAAGCTTTCCTTGTGTCTTCTCTTTTCAGAAAGTGGGCTTCAAACATACCACTTTCCCCCTCCTGCTAGGTAAAGCTGACTACATAGGGCAGGGATGTAGCGAGGGCTCAGTGGCCCAGATACCTGGTGCTATGGTTTGAACGTGTCCCCCATAGTTCATGTGTTGGAAACTTAATCCCCAGTGTGACAGTGCTGAGAGGTAGGGCCTAACAAGACGGGATTGGGTCTCATGAATGGAGTAATGTTGTTATTGCAGGTGTGGCTCAATGATGGTGAGAGTGACTTTGTTATAAGAGTGAGTTCTGTTCCCTCTTGCTCTGTCTTGCCCTTTCGCATTCTACCATGGGATGATGTGGCAAGAAGGCCGTCGCCAAATGCTGGCACCTGATATTGGACTTCCCAGCCTCTAGAACTGTAAGAAATTTCTTTTTTTTATAAATTAAGTCTGTGGTATTCTGTTATAGCTGCAGAAAACATACTGAGACACCCGGTGAATGGGCCAGAGGGCCAAGGAGCCACTTGGTGCATGCTGCTTGCCTTCTTCTTTTGGACACTTTAAGTACTTTCCTCCAGAAGCCTGAGGTCCCCCACTCCAAATCCTCTAACCCCGCAGGGGTGGCAGTTCCTGCCTCACTCATTCACTTGCAGCTCCCTTCCCCTCTACTCCTGCTGCCCCCTACAACCTTCCCAGTGAACCCCTCAGGCCTGCTGGGGGCAGAGCTAGGCCATCACCTCACTGAACCTTTTGCATTAAACCAGAGGCAATAAGGGAAATGAAGGAAAGGTCACAAGTCATGGTCTGACTTTGGTACAGCAGCTGGCCTTGGAGGGCCTGTCCCCACCCCCTTCCACTCAGAAGCTGCATTCCTGAAGGCTGAGGACTGATTTTCAGATACAGAGCAAGGGCGTGGCACCTTTGTATTTCTCTGGAATGCCAGGCATTGTATAGGACACACAATACATGTTTGATTAAAACAAACAAACAAACAAACAAACAAAAAAACCTGGGAAGCTCCCCATGGTGGGAGGGGGAGGAAGTATTTGTTGTGTATAGACCCATGAGTATTTGTTGTTGTGTATGGACCCATGAGGCCTCTTGTTGGCTATTTCATATACAGCCTGGGTGGCTATGAGGTAGGGATCCCCCACCTTACGGATTTAAAAAAAAAAATTGCCAGGTGCGGTGGCTCACGCCTGTAATTCCACCACTTTGGGAGGCCAAGGCGGGCGGATCACGAGGTCAGGGGTTTGAGACCAGCCTGGCCAGCATGGTGAAACCCCGTCTCTACTAAAAATACAAAAATTAGCTGGGCGTAGTAGTGGGCGCCTGTAATCCCAGCTACTCGGGAGGCTGAGGCAGGAGAATTGCTTGAACCCAAGAGGCAGAGGTTGCAGTGAGCCGAGAACGCACTACTTGCACTCCAGCCTGGGCGACAGAGCAAAACTCTGTTCGAAAAAAAAAAAGAAAAAAATCAAGGCTCAGAATTTCAGCAATGCACTCAAGGTTGCATTGTCAAAAGCAGACACTGAGCAGGGGTTTAAGAGCTCAAGCTTTCCCACATGGTCAAGTGCCATAGAAGCCTGACATTTCCAAACAGGAAACCAAACTGTAGGAAATGACATTGCAGGGGGATGTCTCGGGGGTAAGAGGAAATAACAAATGACAACTGAATCCCTTCCACTCTAATGAATGGTCTGAAGGGTGGAAGACTGAGCCTCTCTCGAAGGGGCTGGAGGAATGATGAGGGGCTGTAGATGAGCAGCCCACGGGGGCCTGGCACAGGGTGCTGCTGGGGTGTTTCTGGAGATGACTTATGCCAATTTACACCTTTCCCCTGAAAAGGCTCCACGGCAGCCTCAGACATGCAGTGACAAAGGACGTGGTGAGGGCCCAGCTGTCCCGATTCCTAGGGAATGGGCTGCGAAGCCAAGGAGCCAATTAGTGCACGCTGCCTTTTTCTTTTTGACACTTAAAACACTTAGGTTTATTATAAACTTCCCAAATCACACATGCTTTGGTGGGTAATATCCACAAGAAGGATCACTTATCACGTACTTATGGAGTACCTAGCCAAGGGCAGGTGCTGGGATAACAGAGACAAACGCGCAAAGCAGAGAAAGCTGGGATCTTCTGAACCTATGGCTTCCCGCGATTCTGCCTGCGGGAGGAGGAAGGAAGCCCATGTGCTGGCACTACAGACTGGAGGGAGAGCTGCATGCTGAAACATTCCAGTGGAGCAGCAAACAGGGAGGCAGGGACATAATACATGGAGAAGCACGGGGGATGCGGGGCTGGGCTGTCCTCCTCTAGAAGCGTGGCTCTGCCACTCACCGGCCGGGCAGACTTGGGTACATCACTAGACCTCTCTGACTCAGTTTCCTCATTAGCAAGTGATATGGTTTGGCTCTGTGTCCTCACCCAAATCGCACCTTGAATGGTGAGACACATGAGAATCCCCACGTGTCAAGGGCAGAACCATGTGCCGGTAACTGAATCATGGGAGCAGTTTCCCTTATACTGTTCTCATGATAGTGAGTAAGTTCTCATGAAATCTGATGGTTTTCTAAGCATCTGGCATCTTTTCTCCTTGCACTAATTCTCTCTCCTGTCACCCTGTGAAGAGGTGCCTTCCACCATGATCGTAAGTTTCCTGAGGCCTCTCCGGCAATGTGGAACTGTGAGTCAATTAAACCTCTTTTCTTTATAAATTACCCAGTCTTGGGTATTTCTGCGTAGCAGTATGAGAAGAGACTAATTCAGCAAGAAAGGGACAATGGCAGTAGCTATTACCGTTGGTTGGTGTGAGGATGAAGAGATATAATCTGTACAGCATGCTATATACATCCAGCACAGAGTAAGTCCTCAATAAAATGATACTGTCCCCAAAATTACTATTCATAGCAGAGAATCATCCTGATTCATCGGACACCTCCCATGTTAGAGGGAGAGAATATAGTCTGAAATTTTAACAGTGGTGGGGATCACAAGACACCATTCTAAATCTGCTTCCCCATCAATCTGTGCTATTTGGTCACAAAGCCCTAAGTCAAAAAACTCCCTCTGGGATGGGCAGGGGGAGCTTGGCAGGGACACAGGCGCACACCAGCCCAAGTGTGTCCCAGCCCCTCACTTACTGTCATGCTCCTATACTCATCTTCAAACATGTCCAAAAAAATGTCTTCTCCCTAAAAAGAAAGGAAGGGAGGGAAGAGGAGATTATTCATATTTTTTTCCATAAACAACAGAGTATTATAAACTCTAGTTTGTGGCTTTAGAGGCCATCTGTTTCTCATTAGTGAGTTCTCGTAAATCACCAGGAAGTAAAATGCACACGTGAACACAAACACACACGCTCAAATGACAGACCAAATATCAAATTGCACTATTCAAAATTTTCTCCTTCCTTTTTAAGTATATGGAGTTAGAATTCTTCTGTCAAAGCAGTTAATTAAAAAAAAAACTACTATGTAGGATTAAAATATAGAAAAGGCTAATATTTCAAGTGTTTAACATTATCTATTTTGTCGAGAACGGCTGGAGAAATGGACAATCCTGTTTAAGTTACCACATTAAAGATACAAGGCTCCACACCTCTGGAAGGAAGAGTATAATTAAATAAGTTTAACATTACAATTACATGGCTTGTTCTATTTGTTTATGAGGAGTGCTTTCGGGGTTATGTTGTTCCTCAGGGTCATGACTGCCTGGGAGGGCCCCTTCAGAACAGCACGGTGGGCATAGTCTTGGTTCTGATACACATAACCAAATCCAGCTTTACACCTCTCGCCTCCTTGTTCCACTGCATGAATGGCATGTCTGTCTAGGGTATTGTGAAGATGAAATGAGTTAATGCACATGAAATGCGAGGAGGCACAGAACCTGTCACTCGTTCAGGGTTGGGTCAGTGTGAGCACTCACTGTCATGGTAATCTCTACTGGACAATGACCCTTAGAACTGCTGCATCTCTCTCACAAGTTCTGAATGAGACACACACACACACACACCCCACACTTGGGGTGGGAAAGGGAATAGATCCTTTTTAGGTTTTTTCAGTTGTCAGAACTACAACTAAATTTGAATATTCTTGTGTGACATAACTACCACCACCAGGAAAGACAATTCCTGAAAACATCTAAAAGCTGCTGAGAAATTATACTTAGGGTATAATAAATGTTATGGGATAAAAGTAAGAAAAATCTGGGTTGGGAGAAGGGATCCAGAATTTAAATAAAGCTCTCCTTTTGTTAATAATAAAGAATAACCCTCTGGGAAAATGCCTACCTATATGTCTTTCTGTTTTTGCAATCCAAAAGCTTTCTAGAGGACATAAACTTAGGGCAGTTATACTGGAAAGAGGTTCAAAGATGACTAATGCAACCCTGAGGTTTCTGCTTTCTCGTGGGCTTTGCTAGTGAGGGTGTATCCTCACTTGGAGGCCAAGTGCGGTTTGGGATGTTCTAAGGGGAAAGTGGGATTTCCTCCTCAGTGTGTAGGGGCCCACCACGGTGCCACCCTTGTCTGGGTATGTCCACTGCTGCAGCTGGATGGGGTCATCTGAGCCTGGCAAGGTCGATCTCCAAATCATATAACCTCATTTTATCTCAACAAACACTGACAATAATGCAGTCGCTTAAAACGATTCCTGCAAAGAAACAGCAGCTTAAAGAGGGCTTGAATAATGAAAGTACAGGGGACAAGGAAATGGCAGTGTTGCCACCTTCCCCATGTAGGAGGATCTTCATCAGCCACGTTAAGAGGGGAAACCATCACTCGCAGGATCTGCAGAGACCTGATCCGGAGGCCAGCAAACTAGAAAATGACTACTTGACCTATGGATTAATCCACCATGGCTGACGAGTGATGAGCCTTCCCTGAAAGACACATGAGGCTGGCAAGGCCTGAGTGTTTCTGCTCCCCACCACCCCCCACCACCCAAATTCATATGTTGAAATCCTAATTCCCAAGGTGATGGGATTAGTAGGTAGGGCCTTTGGGAGGTAATGAGGTCATCCAGTAAGATGGTGCCATCTATGAGAAAGTGAGCCTTCACAAGATATCAAATCTGCCTTGATCTTAGACTTCCCAGCCTCCAAAACTGACAGAAGTAAATTTCTTTTTCTTCTTTTTTTGAGATGGAGTCTCACCTATCACCCAGGCTGGAGTGCAGTGGCGCGATCTCAGCTCACTGCAAGCTTTGCCTCCCCAGTTCATGCCATCCTCCCACCTCAGCCTCCCGAGGAGCTGGGACTACAGGCGCCTGCCACCATGCCAGGCTAATTTTTTTTGTATTTCTTAGTAAAGACAGGGTTTCACCATGTTAGCCAGAATGGTCTTGGTCTCCTGACCCTTGTGATCTGACCGCCGCAGCCTCCCAAAGTGCTGGGATTGATTATAGGCATGAGCCACCATGCCCGGCCCAGAAGTAAATGTCTATTGTTTATAAGCTACCCAGTTTATGGTGTTTTGTTTTAGCATCCCAAATGGACTAAAACATATGCCTTAAAAGCTAAAACAAAACCACGGCAATTAGTTTTTTTTTTTTTTTTTTGAGATGGAGTTTTCGCTCTTGTTGCCTAGGATGGAGGGCAATGGCGCTATCTTGGCTCGCCGCAATCTCTGCCTCCTGAGTTCAAGTGATTCTCTTGCCTCAGCCTCCCGAGTAGCTGCAATTACACGCATGCGCCACCATGCCTAATTTTGTATTTTTAGTAGAGACGGGGTTTCTCCATGTTGGTCAGGCTGGTCTTAAACTCCCGACCTCAGGTGATCCACCTGCCTCGGCCTCCCAAAGTGCTGGGATTACAGGCATGAGCCACCATGCCTGGCGGCAATTAGATATTTATAAAACCATCTGGAACCTGAAGACAAAGCTCTGCAAATTTTTCAGATACTGAAAGTCATGGTGGCACTTTACAAAATCTCAATAAACGTTAATAGAGGTTTAGAAGTCTGTATAAGGTTTCTTAGCACATATCAATATAAATAATATACATGTATATGGTTCATAAATTCATATGTAATTCATAAGTAATTTTATATGTGTAAGCATATATAACTTATGAACATAAGTGCATCATATATAATTTATTTATATGTGTTTATACGTACGTAGTTCATAATTTACATATAATTATTCCCAAATAACCAAATCCATGTATTACTGAGAAACAAATTATCATATACTGGGGCTGAGTCCTCAAAAATTTTACTGATAAGACAGCTTGGACAGAAAAGTTTAGATATTGCTACTCTAGGGACTATGAAATTGAGCATTTTTATTCAGTAATTATAGGCATAAAAAATAACTGAAGACATATAACGTTTATCTGCATAGAACCAGACACCACACTTCTGTTTCTACAATACACACCATGCTGCTGTCCATCTGTGCTCTGCCAATTACCTTATAAAAATGTCGTACAAGGTGAACACTTTCTTCTCTCGCACCCTGTTAAAAGAGAAGGAAGGTGTGAAGGAGGCAGGTCTCATATAGGTGAGCAAGTCGGGCAAACTACGAATTCTAAAACATGAGTGTGTATAAAACAGATCTGGACTAATATCCTTAATGTATAAAATGGTGTTTTTTTTTTTTCCCTTTTCTTGAGATGGAGTCTTGTTCTGTCACCCAGGCTGGAGTGCATGGAGTGCAGTGGTGTGATCTTGGCTCAGTGCAACCTCCGCCTCCCAGGTTCAAGTGATTCTCCTGTCTCAACCTCCCGAGTAGCTGGTATTACAGGCACCCATCACCATGCCTGGCTAATTTTTGTATTTTTAGTAGAGATGGGGCTTCACCATGTTGGCCAGGCTGGTCTCGAACTCCTGACCTCAGGTGATCTGCCCGCCTCGGCCTCCCAAAGTGCTGGGATTACAGGCACGAGCCACCATGCCTGGCCTATAAAATAGTTCTTAATGAGAGAGAGAGGAAAGGAGACAGAGCTCAAAATGAAAATGGGGAAAGGATAGGTAATTCGATTGTAATGGCATGAGAAGCTGTTAATATACAGTTAATTGGGGGAAAATGGGTTATAAAATATGGCCATCATGACTCCTTTTTTATTTTACTTTTCCAAGACAGTCTCAATCTGTGGCCCAGGCTGGAGTGCGGTGGTACAATCATAGCTCACTGCAGTCTCAAACTCCTGGGTTCAGGCAATCTTCCAGCCTCAGCCTTCTGAGTAGCTGGGGTTACAGGCATGTCCTGGCTAATCTTTTTTGTTTTTTTAGAGATAGGGTCTCACTATGTTGTCCAGACTAGTCTCAACTTCTTGGCCTCAAGTGATCCTCTCACCTCAGCTTTCCAAAATGTTGGAATTACATGCATGAGCCACTGCACTTGGCCCAACTACATTTGTATAAGACAAAAAATTCATTTGTAAGCATGTGTGTGTGTGTGTGTATATATATACACAAACATATATACACACTTATAAATGAATTTTCATTTACATATGTAAATAGATGTTTCATTTACATATATTCACATGTACATATTTACATATTACATATGTAAATATACGTAGTGTATAATATTTACATATTGTATATGTAAATATACTTCTTTATATATATAATTATTTGCTTATAATACTTAAATATATTATTTACATATATAATATGTGTGTGTGTGTGCACAGACACAGACAAAATGTCAACTATAGTTGTTACTTTTACCTTTCTACTTCCTAAATTTTCTAAAATAAACATAGAAAATAAGAGGTACCATAAAAGCCACTGAAAATTTAACATATATTTTAAACACAAAAACCATAATCAATGTGTGTATGTGTGTTGATGTGTTTGTATGTGCAAAAAAACTTTTGTAATACCAAAGAAAAAATTCAGAAATCCTGAGGACAAATACAGAATCAAATAATTGCAACAGAAACTACTAAAACTCAATTAAGTGGACTCTTCAGCGAGTCTCGGCTGAAAGGAAGTCCCTGCTGAATAAGTAGGTTGGAGTGGGGTCTCAAGAGAGCAGCCCCTGCTGCTTCTAGCTGGTGACCGATGACACCACGGGCCAGGGCTCCTATCTGGATGCCAGCAGCTTCCCTCCTGTCCTCCTGTCCCTCTCCCTTGGCCCACAGGAAGGAGGAGCGGAGAGGGCGTTACCTCCAGGCAGGCCAGGTGCACGTCCTTCATGATGCAGCCAGCACTCATCAGGACTTGCTGCTTCAGAAGCAGGCAGCTCAGCTCCAGCGTCGCCAGCCGGATCTTCCCATCTGCAGAGCACACCAGGGTAAGCCTTGCACACCCAGGGTGGGGCGCCCTTAAACCCAAGACTGCTGCCTATCCACGTTGAGGCTAGCAGGTCACATGATAGACCAACTGCTCATGGCTCCCAACATCCAGTGGGGACACAGTGGGAACCCCCCATGCCCAAACCATTCCCCATCAGTTAGAATTCAATGTTCTCCATCAAAACTACCTATACCAAATACTTCCCTGAAGTCCCTTTACTGACAGGGTGCAGGAAAAAGAGGGTGACTAAACACTGTTGAGGCCTGGAAAGTGGCCCTGCACCCCCACTTCCTTTAGAGAGCCGCCAGTCCCACTCTGGGTCATGTGATTTGGGTGGAGCTGATCCTCCTTCCCCGTTCCAGGGTTGGGCACATCACCTGGCCAGTTGGGGTGCTCCATATTCCCTTGGTCCCAGTGACTAGGTAAGAACCAGGCAAGGGAGCCAGTCAGAGCCAGTAAGGCTCAACCTCACAATCTGCTGGAACTGCTGGGTTAAGAGAAATTCTCCTTGTGCCGGGCTGAGCAGAGGACCGTGGTGACGCCCTGAGGGGCACAAGCATTATAATCTATATCGGCCACCTCCTCACCCTTGCCAGCATTTTTAATCTTAGTAAAGTATTCTACAAATATCACTTCGAGATCTCTCTTCCAACTAGACTGTTCAAATCTAAGTGTCTCCCGTAGAGTAAGTCTAGAGTCTCAGTGCAGAAAGGGCTAGCTGGAGGGGCTGGCATTTATCTCGTCAACCCAGAAGGTGGCAGAGGCCAAAGGTAGAAAAATACTGTTTGAGCCCCTGGATCCAGCTTTGCCTGAAGCTAGGCCTCAGCAGTCTTTATAAGCTAACACAGCTTTGTCTGCTTGTATTGTTTAAGCCAGAGTGAGTCGGGTTTCTGTCAAGACCAAGAGAGCTCTAACACAGCTTACTTACTATGCTATTACTTACTTACCACTGTGAACGAGGCACAGTGCCGAACACTTTATATAGGTCCTGAAGGAATCTCTATAAAAACCTATTGCAATGAGTGCTGGAAAGATTGAGGCTTAGAAAAGTGAAGTGACTTGTCCTAGGTCTCATAGCTGGGTAGTGGTAGACTGCAGGTGCTCAGAAAGCCAAAACCCGCATCTGGCATCTCTCCTAGAAGCATCTGTAACTGACTGACTGAAGGACAACTGCTCTTATGCAAACTCCTCTGTGGGTCTTTCAAGTTTATTTCTGGTGAAAGGTCCCACTGTGGAGAGGAGGAGGCCTTCAGGCTATGCCTCTAAGGCCTTGGAAACATCAGAGACCACGATAGGTCACTGGGAAAAAACTAAAGGCAGATACACCCCTCTGCCCACCTCCCTGCCAGTCCCTTTGTTAATGCATTGTAAGTCAGGTGAAAATAAGTGAGAAAAGGGGATCTGCCTAAAAAATGAAACAGCAGGCCAGGCGCAGTGGCCCAACCTTGTAATCCCAGCACTTTGGGAGGCCGAGGTGGGTGGATCATGAGGTCAGGAGTTCGAGACCAGTCTGGCCAACATAGTGAAACCCTGTCTCAACTAAAAATACAAAAAAATAGCTGGGTGTGGTAGTGTGCACCTGTAATCCCAGCTACTCAGAAGGCTGAGGCAGGAGAATCGCATGAACCTGGGAGGCGGAGGTTGCCGTGAGCAGAGATCACTCCATTACACTCCAGCCCAGGTGACAGTGCGAGACTCCATCTCAAAAAAAAAAAAAAAAGAAAAGAAAAAGCGCTATCACAAAAAATAGGTCTTCCCAAACATAATACAAGCCCCAGGGATGACCAAGGACTGGGTGGTCTCGGCTCCATCGGCTCTCCTGGCCCCACCCCACTCAGCCCCAGCACTAGCGTAACCTCTCTTCAGCTGCCCAGTCCAAGTGAGTTTTTCTCCAAGCGCATTCTCACTCCTACCTGTTTCCATACCTACCCACAACTGTTGCTGGTAACAAAACTCTGTCTCCTACGTCTACTGGCCCGTTAAACCTTCGAATGTTCTCCCCTCACTCCACTGTCAGCCTAGTTCTTTCTCATAATATTACCTTGGGCCACCCAGACATAGCGGGGTGGGGGCGAAAACATTGACAATCTCAGCAAAAGAAGGGCGGGGTGTGGAAGAAGAAAGATGGTTACCAAGTGGCAGGGGATGGGATGGCAAAAGGAGACCCAGAGCTAAGACACAGTCCCAGCAGGCAGGAGGGCTGGCCCAGGATGCAGGGGTTGAGAGGCAGAGGGAGAGGTTGGGATGGGCCCGGATTCTCAGAAGGCTCAGGCCTAGCACCCAGGGCTCAGGCTCCCAGTGGGGTCTGCTTCCTACAACTGCGTGGCCCTGTGGACAGACAACACCCCAAGTGGGCACCTGGCTGGGCAGCGTTGTTCATGATCCTGATGAGTCTTTCAGCTAGCGGGTGGTTGTAGGTGGTCTTCTCGGCCGCATTTGGCACGGGGAGCTGGATTCGCTCTAATTTTTCAGGATCCATGCCTGGAACAGAGGAGAAGGATGTAAGTGGAGGCCTCCTGACTACCTGACCTCCTCATACCGAAAGGTCCTGTAGAGTGGGGTTTCCTCAACTTCAGCCACATATGTTCCCTCTTGGTGATTTCTTTTCCTTTTTCTTTTCTTTTTTTTAGTTTTTAATAGAGACAGGATTTTGTCATGTTTCCCAGGCTGGACTTGAACTCCTGGGCTTCCCCAAGTGCTGGGCCTCCCAAATTGCTGGGATTACTGTTGTGAGCCACTGCGCCTGTCCCCTCTTGGCAACTGCTGTCATGACTGGTTGCTGTTGGTGCCATAACTTATCGCAGAGCTCTCCATAAACTGAACTTACATAAATGTATTAAAACATACATTTTCTATTTCTTATAAATAGGAAATCAGGATTGATGCAATAATTGCCAGTAATAATATTTTAAAAATCAAAAAATGTTTTTGCATGCTAGCCAATGACTTTTGACTGCCTACTCATGGTGGCCCAAGACCTGATCTTTGTTAAAAAGGGAGGTTGGCAGGTACTTAATAGTGTTGGAGAGAAGCTAGCCCCAAATGGTGGCATTCTCCTAGACACAGGGAAGGGAGTAGAAAAAGGGGACACCATCCCATAGCACAACTCACTGCCACTGTGTGCCAGGTCTGAGGGCCACCTGAGGCCACTCCCGTATTACGCACCTTCTACGCTTGAGGAAATCCAGGCCTAGAGAAAGAGAGACTAGACACGAAGGAAATACAGTCATCCCCAACAATTGTGCCCTCAAGCTTTTAATGACAAACTCAAAAGCTGAGCCCCACCCTCAACACATGTAGGAGGAATCAAGTTGTGAGCCAGGTGAGGCAGAGGCCACGCCTGCCCCTGAGGGTGACATTAGCAGAAAGACACTAAGCTAAGCCTTTCTTACAGAAAGGTGCACATATTAGGTTGGCACAAAAGTAATTGCAGTTTTTGCCATTAAAAGCAATTGGAACACCGCAATTACTTTTGTGCCAACCTAATACAATGACACCAATACAGCAGAGATCTATCATTAAGAGGCAAGGGAATCATTTTTCCTCCAGTGAAAATTCAACAATTCTTCCTGCCAAAACTAACAGCATTTGAAAGATAAAATATTAGATGGGGGTGGGGAAGGTAAGTGGGAAAGGAAAGAAGAACAGGCAAGTGTGTGACTTTGAGCCCTGTTGTCATTTCTCCTAAAGAAGCACACAGGACCTGCAGTGACAGAAGACCTGTTAGGGCTACTAGAACAGTTCCTGCCTGGAGTAAGAGGTCTTCAAACTCCTTATCTGCTCAACTGACGTGGCTCTTCAAAAATACACTTACAGAAACAAATATTTTGCTTGATCCAAGCTTGGAGAACTGAATGGATTATTTGCGCTTGTACCACGTCTTTTCCTGTTACTCTACAAAAGGGGGAAAGGTGGCACTTCTCGGAACTCTTAAAATACGGTCCCTTGAGTACCAGATGACGCTTCATTTAGAACCTTGACAAAATAGTGGAAGATAGCATTGAAGAGATGATTGTCTGGATTCTAAGTAACTCCTGCACATGCACATTGATGTAATAAGAAGTAACAATATATCTTGCTTTTCTGAATTCCTTCCAGCTCCCAGAAAGAGGCTAAGTCATACCAAGGAGATGACCTGGGTGAGGGACGGCCTAAAGACTTGAGTAGGGTAGTAGTCTCTCTCATGCCCCAAAACGCCCCACAAATGTGGGTTTCCTCAAAAAATTTCATTGCAGTGAAAATTTAATTTGTGGCTTCTGTATCCCATGTTAATGCTAAATGTGTAACTCTGAAGGATTCTGGCTTATTGAATGGCAAGAAGAATGTCAACTGAATCTTTCTGGCATTTGTTTTTTCCAGAGATGTTAACACTGTCCTAACATCTCTCTACTCGTTAATTTCTGGCCCTTTGAGAACTGCCAGTCAGTGGTTCTGGGGGTGGGGGTGGGGGTGGGGGTGGGGAATAAAAGCTCCTCTGTGTCCCAGGTGCATTGCCCAACTTTATAACCCATCAGCAGTCACTCCGCTTCAGAGAGGATAGCAGAAAGGGCCTGGCTGCTCGCTCCTTCTAGAATGGGGCAGTGGCCACAGAACCATGGAAAGAGGCAAACTAGGACCAGGCCTTGAATTTCCAGAGAGAGGTCCATTTTGTTTCTTTCCTATCATTGCCCCTCCGTCTCCTTAGAATTTGTGGACAGTGAGGAAATCTGGGGCAAGCTCTTTTCTTGACAGGAAGAAAAGCGTCCCAAGATGATCTCGACTTTTCTCAACTCTCCGTGAAGGGAAGGTCCCAGAGGATAGAAACACTTCTCTCTGTACCAGGTTCCAAGTCCAGCCTTTTCCTTTCATGAGGAAGTTAAGGCCCAGAGTTGTTATGTTGTTTCCCCAAGGTCACAGAGCAAGTCAGAGACACAGCTCAAACCACTTTCAGGTGATCCCGAAGGTGGGTGGGGTCCAAATGGGAAAGGGTGGCAGCACCCACACAGCCAGCCCACCAGGAGCACACAGGGGGCCCGTCCTCTTGGGCTGACAAAAGCCACCCCTCTGTGTCCCTGGGCTCACCCTCTCTTAGGGGGACAGCTGGGTACAGCAGGAATGAGAAGCCTAGCGGTGGGGTGCGGGAGGAACTTTGTTTTGATACTTTACCTCTTTGAACCTCAGTTTCCTCACCTGTGAAGTGGGAATAATTATGGTAACTACCCGCCCCACGACTGCTGTCAGGATCGAAAGAGAAAAAGCACTGTCACAGGCCAACAACTTTATCTCTCATTATTATGCACAAATGGGAATTTTTAGTTTGAGCACTGCTTAATGCATGGATGAGAATTTTTAGTTTGAGCATGACTTCATGTGTTTCCTTATCATTCGTGTTATAAAAGGAAAGTTAGGCCGGGCACGGTGGCTCATGTTTTTAATACCAGCACTTTGGGAGGCCAAGGTGGGCAGATCGCCTGAGGTCAGGAGTTTGAGATCAGCCTGGCCAATGTGGTGAAACCCCGTCTCTACTAAAAATACAAAAATTAGCTGGGTGTAGTGCACATGCCTGTAGTACCAGCTACTTGAGAGGCTCAGAAATGAGAATTGCTTGAACCCAGGAGGCGGAGGTTGCAGTGGGCTGAGACTGCGCCACTGCAGTCCAGCCTGGGTGACAGAGCGAGACTCTTGTCTCAAAAAAAAAAAAAAAAAAAAAAGGAAAATTAGAACAAAAGAACACAAGGATAAAACCTAACAAGAGCTAAATCAAGCTACAGACAGCCCAAAAGAGGCATGCTGAGCTGCTGGGGGCCCCTCTCAGGGGGCGAGCTGCTCAGGTTGGATCCTAAAGGATGAACAGGAGTTTGCCTTGAACTGGACAGGGAGGGCCAGGACTTGCCAAACCAAGGTGGGACTGCAGGGAGTGGAGCAGACCCAGAGAGGTCTGGGTGGGAGAGAGCCGGGGAGGGGGTGATGAGGTGGAGGATGGGGGAAGGGACAGGCAAGGCTTCGTGCCAGGATCCTGGAGGGTGATGCAGTGGAGGGGCCCAGGAGAGGCAGCTAGCGGGCCGTAACATAATCTGGTTGTGCCCTGGCTGACTGGGGTGGTTCCATTCCCCTGACTGTTCCAAGTGGTCTCCATGCTTCCGGCCCTTTACCCCAAACTGACCTGCTAGTGCCATGCAGTCCATGTGAGGTAGATTTTACCACCAGCCCTGGGAGGCAGAGAGCAGAGGTGATTCCACACAGCACACGGCAAAACTATATAACAGAAACCCCTCTGAACATCTCCCTTCTTTCCCCAAAGCTCCTTCTGGGCCAGGGGCCCCATTCTCTCTCCCAGCTCTTTTTCCCACCATGGCCTTTAAAATCCTCTCTTTGACTCCAACTATCCAGTGTTTTGAAGGAGGCCTTATCATTTACCAAAATACTCAGTCAAAACAAACAAACAACAACAAAATCACCAGTCTCTCTGGGGAAGGACAGAGTGTCTTTGGAAGGAAGGAGGAGAGGATTCTGCTAAGATGACAAGATTGCCTTCGCATGGTAAGCTCTGAAGAAATGGTGACCATCAGCCAGGCATATGACGTAGAATGCTTCATTTCATCCTCATGACATTCCATGAAGTGGCTAATAGTATTTCCATTTTATAGACGAGGAAGCTGAGGCTCAAAAAAGACATGAGCTTGCCTGGGGTCATGTGGAGAGTGGAAAGCCCAGCCCTGAATGCAGCCATGTGGCTCTTACCTCCCTCCTCTCTGCCGTGTACCATGATCCCCGCTGGTTAACGCTCTTTCCCTCCACCTTCCCAAGCTATGTATGTCATGTGATCTAGTGGTGTTCTTGGCACAAACACAACAGTCCATACATTTTTGCTGAATTAATTTTTTAAAAAGTTAAGTAGTTTTGATCAAATTTCGGGCAGAAGATTAGACAAATCTCAAAATGAAGGGGAAACATACGTAAAATAGAAGCCACCATATGACAGCTGTGCAAAAAAGCCCAACCATCACCCACACAGAAAACATGCTAGAAAGAAATACGACACTGTCAGCAGTTGGTTATTTTAAGGTGGTACTATCAAAGGCAAGTGAAAAAGCAACTTATTCTCATTTTTGTTTTCTATAACAATCATTGCATGACCATCACTGTACTTAGGATGGCATTTAATTTGTGGCGAACATTAGATTTAGGTTTAAGCCTCCTGCCTGAAACAACCTGGTGGCTGATGGTTCTGAGTGGCTAAGGTCAATGTCACCCTGTAACAGGGGCATGCATGTGAAAGGTAAGACGGCTCCTGTGTGCAAGGACATACACACAAACACACACACACACTCATACACACACAGACACTCATTCACACACGCATGCATACCCCGTGGTTTTTGGTCACAGAAAGGCAGGTTTTGCTGCAAACCCAATAGCTTCTTTGCCAGTCATTTCCCTCTGACAGAAATAAACACTGTGGATAATATATTATCCTATTTGCTTCAACTCTTAAGTGCTTTGTGACAGACAAATTCCAAAGAAACCCTGCTGCACTTCACGGGAGCACTAGCTCATTCTGGCTTCCAGCAGACCACATGTTCCCTGCCCCGCCCACAGCCCTGCCTTAGGGGTCAGAGCCTGAGCTGCCCACCGACTCAGAACGGGTGTCCCCTGTCCACCCGTGGACAGGGGTGGAGGGCGGAACTCTCAACTAACTCATTCAAAGAATCCAAAACAGAAGGGAAGGGTGTGGCCCCACAGTGTCAGTAACTCTTACTAAGCTTCCCTCTCAGTTCTGATATCTGGATTCTTCCCCCTTAGTAGTAGCCCCCATTTAGGGTAGAGAGGTAAAAGACCCAGACCAAAGATGCATAAGAATAATTAGACAGATCTGGATAAAGACACCACGAGAACACCAGGTAAACAGTTCAAACTTTTTAAAAACGTCTGTTGACCACACAAAGTCTCCTTGGCTGCAGTCACACAAGTATTACCAGCTTTGGAAGACTATAGACCAAAGATTTCGAAAGCTAACCAGATGTTGGGCCGATTTCCAATGTACTTCTAATTCTGGTTATGTGTCAGCCAAGATCCAAACTGACGTTGTGCAAGTTCTCCGCATGGCAAAAGCTTCCCTTTAGCCTATTACCTTTCAACCTTTTCCATATCGCTCATCCATGTTCCATTAACTTCTCAGCAAAACAAAACACAAAACACAAAGAGCCCAAGACTCCTTCTTCCTGGGTAAACAATGACAAATGGAGTGGCAGGAGTAGAAGGTTGGTCACTGAACTGGGGAACCTTCAAGATACAAAAGCTGTAAAACTCACCCCCATCCCTCCACCTCTGGCCCAGGACTCAGCGGACTTGATAGAAGAGCGAAGGCTGCATTTTCTATTACAGAAACAAACCAGAATTCATTATGTGGCCCAACTGAATCACAACAAGCGCCTTCCGCCAACCGGTCAACCCTTTCCACTGTGGGATATTCATTTCGGTGCAGCATCTAATCTATTATGATTACTGGAAGGCCTGAGCTCACATTTGGTTTTTATGAACGTGGCTTTTATGTTAAAATTGACTATGAGGAAAAAATCTATGAGAAAGAGACCAGGTCACTTGGGACCTGATTTGGGGGGTAAGGATCTGGAAAAGTGAGGCTGAAGGTCAAGTGCAGCCTGATCAGCTGCTGCATAACCAAAAACCAATCACTCAACCAACCTCCACCAGCAAAGCCCCACCAAATGCAGACTCTGTGCTCACAGGCCAGGACTGAGCATAAACCAGGTGGCAGCTCCCCCACGAGGCAGCTTCCCCAGGCACCTGGGCCTCAGGGCACCGGACTTGAACTTTTCCGTTTCTTCTCCAAACCTACTCCAAGGCCCATGCTTGTTAGTTCTGGAAATGGCACTATTGGTCACACAGGGAAAGGAGTCAGGAACCTGAGCCTTACCCAGGCTCCTCCCTTCATGCCCCCTCCTTTCAAATCAACCAGAACCCCTCACCCCTAGCCTAGTGACTCTCCTTGTCTCCTCATCCTAGTAAATGCACCCCCACCATTGCTCAAGCCAAATCACAGGAGTCATCTGACTCGTCCCTTTCACTCGACCCCTACATTCAATCCATCAGCACGTCCTGGCTCTAGCGCTGAAATAATCACAAGTCCTTCCAGTTTCCTCTACTCCCCAGCCAGCAGCCTAATCCAATCCACATTATCTCGCCTGGATGACTGCAACAGCTTCTTAGCAAGTCTCTCGGTGTTCCCTCCTGCAACTCATCCCCACCCCCAGTCATCTACTTTCTGTCTGGTAGCCAACGTTTCTTTTAAAAACTTCCATCTGACCACATCACTGTCCTACTTAAAAATTCGGTAGGGGTTTCCCATTGCACTTGGAGAAAAAATGGCAATTCCTCTTCAGGGCCTTCAAGGCCCTTCATGACCTGGCCCCTGCCCGCCTGGCCAGCCTCACCTTGGCCCACTTTCTGCTCCTTCCCACCCCGGGGCCTCTGTACATGCTGCTCCCTTCACCTGGAGGACTCTTGCCCCAGGTCTTTGCAGAGCTGGCTCCTTCTCACTCTCTGGGCTGTGGCTCTGCTGGTCCTTCCTCAGAGGAGCCCTCCCCGACCACCCTGACTAGCACCTAGTAACCCCTGCAGCACAACCACTAGGCTTCCTCATCACTCCACCCTGTTCATTTCCTTCTACCATTTGTCACAGTCACAATTAATCTTCTTGTTCACTTCAGTGAGACTCATCTGGGCTTGTTTGAGTGCCTATGACGGGGCCTTGCCCTGGCAAGCGCTCAGCAAGTATCTGCTGAATGATAAGAAAGCCTCTCAGTTTCACCTCTCATCCCTCCCACCCGCTGGCTGAATTACTGCAAACCCATTCTGAGAGGTGCAGAGTGGGTCAGCTCACTAACTGACCAACTGCCCCCCAGCAGCCCCACACGGCTCATAGGAACACAGTTCAGTCGCTGCCTGTGCCACCCCCTGCAGACTGGCTCCAGATGCCTGCCT
This sequence comes from Homo sapiens, assembly GCF_000001405.40. NCBI lineage: Eukaryota > Metazoa > Chordata > Mammalia > Primates > Hominidae > Homo > Homo sapiens. Next base: position 11,032,253 of record NC_000016.10, on the reverse strand, counting down.
CTTGGGGCACCCGCTGCCTCGGACATGCTGCCACTCACCCTAGGGAACGGGCAGTGATCTGATGGATATGCCACAGGCTCTCATGCCCCTTCTTGCTCTGTCCTCTACCATAGCCCGGGTGTCCTCAGGAAACGGGTCCTCACTCCTGCGGGCAGAGTCCATGCTCACCACCAGGCAAGTGACCCTCTATTGTGCTGACAGCCTCCTCGTAGGACTTTTCTGTCCAAGAATGACTGATGCTTTCTTGGGCAAGGGCCTGGGTTGGTCTGCCTGGAGTTTGTAGTCCCCATGTTGAGCACACTGCCTGGCACACGGCCGGTGCTCCACATGCATTTGCTGAATAACTAATTACATGAGGAAATTCATCAGAAACTGCAAGCTATTCCTCCTGATCACTTAAGCCTCCAAGAGGCCTCTCCTGATTGCTCAGGCGGATGTAGTACCCTCTACCCTCAGCCTGCCCCACCGCATTACCTAGTTTTATTTTCACTGTTGCACTTCTCGCTACATGGGATTATTTTACTTGGTTACTAGTTTACTGTCTGTCTCCTCTAAGAGAATCCAGATTCCATGAAAGCATTTGTTTGCTTCACCACTGCATCCCCAATACTGATCCCAGTGCCTGGCATCTAACAGGGGCTTCCAAAATATTTGTTGGAAGAATGAATGAATCAATACATGCATAGCATTAGCAGAAAATGGGAGAAGGAATTCAATTTCCTTGAATATACAGTTCTACTCTTCCAAGAAGAAATTCCCAAGAAAAAGAGGTAGGATGCCCAGGCGGGAACACAGGTGAGTGGTCTCTCCAGCGCATAAGATGGATGAAGGTGCATGGCAGCACACCCAGTAAGCCATGACGTCTCTGCTCCCCGTACAGGTCAGGGCTGCAGGAAGGAAGCCCATGGAGAACACCAGTCACCAAGATGAGGAGCTTGCCCACTGTCCCATGGAGCCTGGCATCTACACCACACAGACAGCACCTTCTTTGCTGAAGCCCTGAGCTACAAGCTGCCAGGAAGAGATGGCCTTGGGGACGTGCCACATAGCTGAGCAGCAACCAATCAGCAAACTCTGGCTGAGCACTGACTGAGTGCCAGGCGGTAGGCTGGGTACTGCAGGGAGCACATGGTTTCTGCCTTCCAAGGCCTAGCAGTCCAGAATGGGAGAGAAAAAATACAGAGAAAAGGCGGTATTAAAAAGTGCCACAGGAACCTCATGGAGATTAAAAAACATCTGGTCTTCCCAAGATGTTGTTATGAAAATGAAAAGACATGCCACAGACTTGGGGGAAATCATTGCTAAATGCCTCTGATAAAGGACTTGCATTCAAAATACATAAAGAACTCTCGAGGCTGAGGCGGGTGTATCACTTGAGGTCAGGAGTTCGAGACCAGCCTGGCCAACAGGGCGAAACCCTGTCACTACTAAAAATACAAAAATCAGCCGGGCGTGGTGGCGCACACCTGTAGTCCCAGCTACTCTGGAGGCTGAGGCAGGAGAATTGCTTGAACCTGGGAGGCGGAGGTTGCAGCGAGCCAAGATTGCACCATTGCATTCTGGCCTGGGCAACAGAGTGAGACTCCGTCTTAAAAGAAACAAAACAAAAAAACCCAAAAGTCTCGAAACACAATATTTTTTTTACTCAATTCAATTTAAAAAACGGGCTAAGGATTCGAAAAGACTCTTCACTAACAAAGACATGTATGGCAAAAGAAACACATGAAAAGATGTTCAATGTCATTAGGGATATGCAAATTAAGATCATAAGATACCACTGCAAACCTATTAGAATGGTGAAAACTAAAAAGGTGGCCACACCAAATGTTGGAAAGGAGGTAAAGGAACTAGAACTCTTGTACACTGGTGATGGGATATAAAATTATATAGGCATCTTGGAAAACAGTTTGGCAGTATCTTAAAATAAAAGCAAACATACACATATCTCCCATAATTATATGGGAAATATGATTCAGCCATTCCATTCCTAGGTATTTATCCAAGAGAAAAGAATGTATATGCTCATACAACTCTCTGTATGGGCATACATTGTATGGGGCCACACAAATGCTCACAGCAGCTTTGTTTGTAATAGTCCAAAACTGGAAACAACCCAAATTTCCATTAACAGATGAATGAATAAACTGTGGTATGTTCATATAATGGAATGTTACTCAGCAAGAAGAAATGAACTACAGATACACACAACATCATGATGGATCTCAAAATAATTAAGTGGATTGAAAGAAGCCACATGAAGAGGAGTACATGTTGCATGACTCTGTTTATACAAAATTTTAGAAAGTGCAAAACTAATCTAGCATGACAGGAAGCAGACTGGTGTTACTTGGGGAGAGGGGTGTGGGAAGCAAGGGAGGGGAATGAGGAAATGTTTGGGATGCTGGATTATACACTGCCTTGATCATGGTGATGATTTCACGGGTATTTACATATGTCAAAATATTAAATTGTGCACCTTAAATATGTTCAGTTTATTGCATATCAATTAGACTTCAATCCAACTTTTTCTTTAAAGGTGCTATGCTTCTGGCCAAGATGGACTGAATTTATCCTACTAATTCAGGCAACTTAGAAAGCAAGACAATATATACAAAACAATGGTTATCAGACTCTGGATGAACAGGCAGCATAAGAGAGAGATCCCTGAGAGGGAGAAGCACAAAGGCAGTGGCCCAGTGATTGCTCCAGCTTGCTGTCCAGTGAGAGTATCCGGGCCTCAGCAAAGGGATAGAAAACCCAAAGACTGTGGTTCTCTCAGAGAAGGCAGAGTCTGGAGTTCAGGGAGATCAAGGGGTTAAAATTCATGGACAAGATAAATGAAGAGAGAGCTGCAGAGAGAGAGCTCAGACATGTGCAGAGGGTTCCTTTAGAACCTTGCTGTGTTCTGGTCTGTGCATGCACATGAAGAAAGGGAAAGACCTGCCAGAATGAAGCCTGTGGAACAATTCCTGGAGCTCACACTGGGGGGGCCAGTGTGGAGAGACCACCTCACCATGGGACACAGTAGAGTCTCAGAAGGGTAATGTCTCAGTAATAGGGCGAAGTTAGCCCTAAACTGAAGGCTGTCTGGACCAGCTCTCACAGAGCTTAAAAGCAAGCCTCAAAAAAGGATCAAACCAACTCCAATTAACTGAACCATCAGCCCAAAAATATTTACAGGAAGAATCCAGCATCCAACTGTGAAAAACCACAGTAACTGTCAACCAATCAAAAATGACCAGGCATGCAAAAAATGGGGGAAGGAATCCAAAAGCAGGAGAAAAATCAATAAGAGAAACACAGCTAGAAATTATACACATGACAAAACACAAGAAATCAAAAGGGAAACTGTGTAAAATTTTAAGCTGAATGAACCTCATATGTTAAAATTTACTGGATGCAGGTAAAGCAGTGCTTACAGGGAAATTTATAGCATTAAAGTCATAGAGAAGAAAGGTTTAAAAATCAATGACTGGAAAGGGAATAGCCTGAGGGATATTTTTCTGATAATGAAACTGTACTATCTCCTGATTAAGTGGTGTTCACACCTATCCATACATGTCCCAAAATTCACAGAATTAAATACAAAAATGAGTTAATTTTATGGTACGTTAGTTTAAAAAAATAAGCTGATTTGCTTAAAAAATCAATGATCAAAGCTTCCTACGATGATTAAAATCAATAATTAGAGCTTCTTTTTTTTTTTTTTTCCACAGCAGAGACAAGTGAACCTTTATTTTTATGCCTTTCTTCCTATGTGTATTTCAAGTCTTTTTCAAAACAAGGCTCCAGGACTCTCCAGATTCAATTATGTCCTTGGGCTTGGTCGACTGCTGCAGGAGTCTTAGGGAGCCTTGTACAAATGCTAGAGTGACTCATTTACCAACATTAAACCCTAGGATAGATGCAACAAAGCAGGACTCCTTCCTCCATGGAATGTGCCGATTTCAGACGACGCAGCACCCAATGTAGAAAACACTGGAATTTTTCCTTGGAACTAGACTCTGATGAGAGGTGCTTGACATGAACATAAGCTACTGTCTTTTCTTTTTGTTGAGACAGAGTTTCGCTCGTTGCCCAGGCTGGAGTGCAATGGCGTGATCTCAGCTCACTGCAACTTCCGCCTCCCACGTTTGAGCGATTCTCCTGCCTCAGCCTCCTGAGTAGCTGGGATTACAGGCATGCGCCACCATGCCCGGCTAATTTTTTATTTTTAGTAGAGATGGCATTTCTCCATGTTGGTCAGGCTGGTCTCGAACTCCCAACCTCAAGTGATCTGCCCACCTCAGCCTCCCAAAGTGTTGGGATTACGGGCGTGAGCCACAACGCCCAGCCAGCTACTGTCTTTTCTTTGACCCTTCCTTTCCAGTTTTTGAAGACAGAGCAGGAAATAATCTTCTCTGAAGACACTTGATAAAAATTCCCAAAACAACAAAACACATGCTTCCACTTCATTGATCAAAAATATACTGCAGTTTGGCACCTGGGTCTAGTTCAGCTGGCGGATGAGCTGATTGATGCGTTCACCCCGATAGCCAAGTGTGCCCATCTCCTTGAGGAAGCCCACTCTATTTTTGGTAGCATGATGGGCCACTGAGAGGTGGAAAGGGCGCAAGAACCATGAGATCTCCTGGAAATGCTTCCCTGGGAATGCAATTTCATGAATGAGGTCTTCCAAGCAAATGATGCCAAACTTCCCCAGGTGCTCCTCAATCACTGTGTTGTCTGTCAGAGGGATGGTCTTACTCTTGACCTTGGCTTGTCCACGTTTCAAAATGAGTTCTCGGACAGACTTCAGATTTGGAAATCCCCAGGTCACATAAGTTTCCACTATACGCAGCATTTGTAGATTCTGGGGGGTGACTTTTACAAAGACACCACTAAAAATTTTCTTTAGGCAAAGTCTTGCAATGGTTCTCTGCACCAGTAAACTCACGCCATCAATCCTTTCGATGCGTACAACAAAGGCCAAGGAATGTTTATCTGGCAATTCCACGGCATGAGGTTTCACTTCTAGTCGTCTGAGATGCACCTTGTCAGGTTTCTGCTGCCAGTAATCATGTAGGAATGATTCCAGTAGCTTAAACCTGAGCCCTTTTCCTTTCTTCTGCTCCTTCTTTGCCAAAAGTTCCTGCTTTGCCTGGGTGGCTTTGAGTGCCTGATAAGCCTTCCTCTTTTTCAGGAGATTTTCTGGAACCAAAGGGATTTTTCTTTGCTCTTCCTCCGCCATCTTTCTAGTGGTGCAGCTACTGATCATGCGCAACCCCACCACATGGGAAAGACAGCACGCGCGCTGTTTACTTGACCATAGAGACGTCTGTTCTAGCTCACGCTGGAGGACCCAGTCAGCGTTCACTTAGCCATAGTGAGCCATTGAGGTCCTGCTAACCCCCATTCCTGCCAAAAGTTGCACCGCTTCCAGGGTTTTTAGAGCCTGTGTCATTTTTAAAACCCAGCCCTTTTCTTGTAAGTTACAGTTTCATCACAAGCAGCTTGGCTGTGGACAATAAAGTGCTTCCCACAATGCCTAAAGCTTCTTTATAAGAAGTTATAAAACAAAAAGTAAATTAAATTGGAAGCAGCAGAAGGCAAAAAAAAAAAAAAAAAACCCCAAACAAACATAAGAACAGAAATCAACAAAATCAAAAACAGCAGAACAATAGAGGGTAGCAATAAAATTAATAATCCTCTAGCCAAAATGATTAGGAAAAAAAATGAAGACCTAAATTATCAATACCATCAATCAGAGAGGGAACATCACTACAGATCCTACAGACATTAAAAAGATAATAAAGGAAAAACATAAAGTTTATGCCAATAAATTTGACAGTTCAGATGAAATGACAAATTCCTTAAAAGACACAGGTTACCAAAGCTCACTCAAGAAGAAATACGTAACCTTAAAAAGCCCTATGCCTACTGAAGAAATTGAGTGGTTAAAAACCTTCCACCAAAGACAACTCCATATTCAGATGGCTTCACTGGTTTAAGGAATATTTATGGAAGAAATAATACTACAAAAATTCCTCCAGAAAATCAAGGAGAAGATAATATTTCTCAATTCATTCTATTAGGTGAGCATAACCCTGATAGCAAAACCAGACAAGAGAATTACAAGAAGACTACAGACCAGTATCAGTCATGAACATAGATGCAAAAATCCTTAATATCTATGATTTGCTCACACATTGATAAAAAAGAATGGCAGTTCTCTATGGATGTGAACCCATGTGCTGAAATATGATGATGTGAGCAGAGCAAGGTAGAAAGCACAATATGGGTATCTCCATTTACAGCTAAGTGGGCAGTCATACAAATAAAACCATATATACTCCTACTTGGGTTTGTTTGGCTATCTTTAAAAAGACACAAGAGAAACCGGTAGCAGGAACTGCCTTTGAAGAGGAGAGCTGGGGTCAAAGGTGGGAAACTTTTTCCCTATATACCCTTCTGCCACTAATCAACTTATTTATCATGATTAATGATTTAAGAACACATAAACTTAGTTATATCATGTATGTTCTAATGCCTCTAGCCATAGGCTGTCTTAGTAAAACCCAACTCTATCTACTCCCCAATAAGCTTATAAAAAACCTACTAAAATATCACTTGATTTTTTTTACTATGCCAAGCCTAGCTCTTGGCAGGGGTTAGAAGGAATATTCCTGAATTCTTCTTTGAAGAGATTCTGATGTGGAGGTTTCAGAACGTGCCCATGTCAAGCCAGGTGGGGCAAACAACAGTAACTATTCCCAGGGGTCGGCAGCAAGGCGGTGAATGAATGAATCCCAACAAAACCTGTCAACCCCATGGGAGTTGGATCCTGGCCAAGTAGCCTTAATAGGGGAAGCCAGAGAACCACACCTTTCTTCAGAAAGGAAACCTATGCTTCCACCAAGTCCACCCAGGGTCTATTTCAGCTCTGAACACAGAATAAGAACACCAAGTGTTATAAATAGCAAAACCAAGATTACAATTTGACTGATTTCAGTTCTGATGTTAGGAAAGAGGTCAGACGCTAAGTCAGTTGTAAATCAAGGGGTCAAAAGAAAACCACAGGGTGAATATAGTCATCCTGGGTTAGGCACTCAAGTCACCTTCCTCCATATTGCCTGAGTAACCAATTCCTGTGGCTTCAGTTGGTAGAAAAACACCTGAGAAATTCTAAAGAAGCTAAAGAGGAGCGGGAGTCAAAACCAAAAAGGACCACCAAAACCAGAAAGGAAATTCTGTACAGAAAGCACCTTTCTTTGTCCTCCATGCAGCAGAGGGGAAGGATGCTATGGGTATGCAGGGCCCAGCAAGGAAGTCAGGCAAGGCAAGGGTGCTTACCTTTATTATGAGACATGGCATAGAGGAGGCAGAGCACGAACAGGGCATGGTAATCATCATCCGGGCTGTCCAGCGCGTGGTACACCATATCCAGGAAGGGTCTGGAAAAGAGGAGGGGCATGTATGAGCCTCACGGTGCACAAGGGTGAACACCTCCCCTCTCTAACCTGCACATGGGGTGCTAGCTGCCTTTGACACAGCTCTTTAGGCCACAACTGTGTGCCTGGTCCAGCACCACGCACTGAGGACACAGACAAATGAGAGACAGGCTCTGCCTGCGGAAGCCGCTATCCAGAGGGGAACCTGACCAAGGAACAGACTGCTTGCTTAGTCACACAACAATCATTCACCAGGTATTCCAGACACAGGGAATCAATTATACAAACTCCCCACACCAAAGCTCCCGTGTCAGCTGGTAGACACAGAACAAACAGACATCAATGCAAAGTGATGTGTGTCACAAGCCAATGAAGAAAACAGGACAGTGTGATGTCACACAAGGCACAAACAACAATCCAAACAAGTTCAAGAACATGAGCCCTAGTGCCAGACTGTCTGGGTTCAAATTCTGATTCTGCCTCTTCTTAGCTTTTTATTCAGCAAACCCTTGGGCAAGTCACATAAAACCTATTTCCCCATCTGTATGGGGTGGAGTCCAACCTTGCAGGATTATTGTGAGGATTCAAGCGCAATGAAGACTGAAAAGCATTTAGCACAGGGTCAGGCACTGTGGACGGTGCCAATGCATGGGAGCTGCTATTTGATTTCTATTTTTAATATACCAAGGGCACTACTTCATGATTTCACTTTGGCAGGGTCCTGACCCAGCAATTTCTCAGGCTGACTTTCTCTGACTGCGAAGAATCGATAGTGAGGTCTCTCACCTCTGATGCTTTGTGGGTGAGATCTGTAGAGAGGCTGCAAAAATCGGAAATGGCACATCCCAAATGCTGCCTTTCCAGGTGAAGGGCCTCACAGAAAAATACTCTTCAACACCAGGAGAATAGAATATGCACAGGTCTGGCCCACAGGCCAGAGGCTCTGATCCTCCCACTGTCTGTGGCTGCCCCCTCTGAATGCCAGGCTGAGGCCAAGAGAACAGAGCACCTTCATGAGTGACCAAGGGCACATTTAATTTCTGGAAGGACACCCAAGCTCCAATGAACATTGGATGCCTACGGGGAGTGAAAGGGGACTGGGGAGAAACAGGGAGTGTTCACTATATAACCTTTGACACAGTTTTGAATTTTTGACTCTATACATGTATCTCTGATACAAAATATTTCATTGAAAAATGCAAAAAAAAAAAGTAGGAAAAATGTACTTGTCATAACATTTCAAACACACACGTGACACACAAAAACTAAAAAAAAAAAATGAAAATCTTAAAGGGGACATTTATGTTCCATCCCCATTTCTCCACAGCCCCAGATGGGGCACCACCTTTCAGATGTGTTAATAGTTTTGCCATGTGTAGATTTGGGTTTTGAAAGCCTCCAGCAATAACACTTCCAGACTTAGGAGTAGGATAACATTTTCTTGTAAATCAGCTGCTTGAAATTTGGATTATATTTTCATTTGGGAATAATATGAATAACCAAATGCCAATAGCTGGGTGGGTACCATCTTTTATGAGATGAAGTATCATAAAACCATTAAGCGTTTTGTTTACGCAGGGTAGAATAAGGTGAAAAGTTTGCTTGGGAGTTGATATTAGATGGAAAAAAAGAATACAAAATTATAGACACAATACGGTCCAAGCTTCTGGGAGAAGGGAGGGTGAAATTCCCAGAAAGTTCACATCGGAAAAAAAAAAAAAAAAACTGGTAAAAAAAATAACCAAAATGGTAGTCCCCCTGATTCTGAATGTTAGCAGTGAAGACTTTTTCCCCCTTTATGCTTTTTAAGATTTTGCATACTTTCATAATTTTAAACTTTTTTTTTTAAGAAAAGAAACGATGTTTCGAAAGCTTTAAGTTTCTTAGGCCTATATATACATATATATATATATATATATATTTTTGAGATGGAATCTCGCTCTGTTGCCCAGGCTGGAGTGCAGTGGTGTGATCTCGGCTCACTGCAAGCTCTGCCTCCCGGGTTCACGCCATTCTCCTGCCTCAGCCTCCTGAGTAGCTGGGACCACAAGCGCTCGCCACCACGCCCAGCTAATTTTTTGTATTTTTAGTAGAGACGGGGTTTCACCGTGTTAGCCAGGATGGTCTCGATCTCCTGACCTCATGATCTGCCCACCTTGGCCTCCCAAAGTGCTGCGATTACAGGCATGAGCCACTGCACCCGGCCTCTTAGGCCTATATTTAACCCCCAGTGCAGACAGAGCCCATAATATATGGGGAATATAAAAACAGTCTGTTTTTTACCTTGCTGTTTCTTGGGGCAAGTGGACCAACGCCAAGATCCAATTCACAGCCTAGAGAACAAACAGCCACCTTCCTTCCCACTCCCTGCCTCAGGAAGGCTGAGGCAGGAGGATTGGAGGATCACTTGAGGCCAGGAGTTCCAGACTAGCCTGAGCAACATAGTAGGATCCTGTCTTTGCAAAAAAAAAAAAAAAAAAAAAAAAGGTAGCCAGACATGGTGACTCTGGCCTGTAGTCCCAACTGCTCAAGTTGGGGGGACAGAGGGCAGTGGCAGTTTCTTACAAGCTGCAACTCGATACCTTGACAAAGGAGAAAGCTGCTCTCCACCTGGGCCAGTCTCTAACCCGGCATTCAGTCTCACAGTCTAGCAGAAATCTGGCCTGGAGGTTCCCAGGACTGCATGCGGCCTAACTCAAGGCAACTGAATCAGCTTCCATTAGAAGCCATGTGCTTCAAGATGCCCAAAGTTAAGAAACAATCTCAATCAACTCTAAGAAAACCCTTCTCTCCACCAAAATTCAGAAAAAAAGAAGTCATCAACCCCAATATTCAAACATAACATTTTGGTCTGTTTTTTTAACCCTTTTTTTGGTGGCGGGAGAAATACATGGGTGTTTCTCTTCCATTAGCAAAGCCACAGTATTACCATACTACGAAAAGTATGTTCTCTGTTTCCATTTATCAAACCCTAAGGAACTGAACACATCATGACAGTATTCACCTAAAAGCAGCAGCAGATATTCTGAGCGAGAGTCTCATTCTGTTGCCCAGGCTGGAGTGCAGTGGTGCAATCATAGTGCATTGCAGCCTTGACCTCTCTGGCTCAAGCAATCTCCCACCTCAGCCTCTCAAGTAGCCGGGACTACAGGCACCTGCCACCATGCCCGGCTAATTTTTTAATATTTTCGTAAAGATGGGGTCTCACTATGTGACTAGGCCAGTCACAAACTCCTGGGTTCAAGTGATCCTCCCCCCTTGGCCTCCCAAAGCGCTAGGATTTCAGGTGTGAACAACCATGCCTGGCCTAATCCTCCATTAAGCAGATACCTCTTCCTTTGCTTAAGCAACATCCCACTACTGGTTATTTGGGGCTCTTCTAATTATTTATAGTCTAAAGAATGCTGTGCCAAGGTTGTCCCCAACCGTCTGTGTTTAGAATTACTTATTTTTCAGAGCTTTGGGAGTTACATTTTTTGCTGTGAAGCAAAATCTAAAAGGTCTTTGTACTCCACTGTTTTTTTATTTAGCAAAAACTAAAAATGGCTCCCTTGCACATCTGATAAAAATTAATCCCATCTGTTAAGTCATTGAAACATTTGCCAAGCAAAGAGACAAATAAGATGTGGAGGAAAAAAATTAGTGGACTTCACATCTTCACTTGAAGTTGGATTACTAAAGAGGATGGGGGGCCGTGTGTATTTCCACCACCCCTCCCTAGGGGCTGAGGAAGTGAATGCCTCGCAGGCTGACAGAGAAATCCTGGTGTGGTGCATTTATGAACAGGAAGGTAGTGCTAATCAGGAGGCTGTTGCAGGGGTCTGTGCAGTGGGGCTGCGAGGTAAGGAAATAACTCTGAAATGAAGCCCTGCTACCAGCTACCAGCATACGCTGGGAGTAGCCTTCCCTCCAATCCCATTGTGGAGGGGCTGGTGCTATGGCAAGGTTCCAGGAAATGTGGGGTCACCCAGGTTTAAGAAGATGTAGCTACAGATGGCCATCGATGAAATGAACAATCAGGCAAAAAGTCAAAGGTGGATGGCAGCACCAACTCATGTGGCCAAGTCAAGAGGGCAGGCCCTATAGATGGGGTATGTGTTTGTGTGTGCAGGGCAGGGAATGAACCAGGCAGGGAGATCCAAGCCCAGCTACTGAGGGGATCCTTCCTTGGAGCAGCAGAGCATTTCTAGGAGCAGCCAATGTGAAGCAACCCATGTCCTTTAGACAGAGCCAAGCTCCAAAGTGCCAGGAGCAGGGCAGGGAGAGAGTTGCGCTATCCTGGCGAATCTCTTTGCAAAGGAGTGAGCATTACAGTGTTGAGTGATGGCTCCGTCTCCATGCTTCTGGGTGGCCAGAGCTGGAGAAGCAGGGAAAGAAAGGGAGGCAGCATGGTCGGGCTGAGGGACAGAAGAGGCTCTGGCCCTAGGGCTCAACCTCCCCACTGAGCCCTCTCCTCTTCCCTGAGAGAGCACTCAGCATCGACCTCTCGGGCAGCTACCTGCTCCATTGCGTGCTCTCAGAGCAGGTGGCGGCGGCGCTTTTCTCCTCGTCCGTGGTGTTCTGCTCCTGCACGGAGGTGCTGGCGGCCAGCTCTGAGAGCTTGCTACGCTCCATGATCACCATCTCGATCTCTGGAAGCCAAAATGGAGACTGGGATGAGTCCAGACAGCTTTTCAGCCCTAGATTTATACACATGCTCATGTTGGAGAATAAATATGCATAAATGACTCCAAACACATCAAGCACATGTCCGACAGCAGCGACCTGAACACCAGAGACACACTGGGGTGGAAATAAGACAGAGGCCAGAGCCTCTCTTTCCATTCATCACAGCAACACCAAGAAACGTGTTCCTGTCTTTGACAACAAAACACAAATTGCAATCATTTATTCTATTTCGAGAGTTTAAAATCGTCTTTTTTACTTTATTGATACCACATTTCCTTCCCAAAGGATTTCAGGCAGCTGAGAAGATATGACATGTGGTTGATAAACATAATCAACCTCACTGACAACATTCTAAAGCTCCTTACATTTTTTTTTTTTTTTTTTTTGAGACAGAGTCTCGCTCTTGTCACCCAGGCTGGAGGGCAGTGGCGCAATCTCAGCTCACTGCTACCTCCGCCTCCAGGGTTCAAGTGATTGTCCTGTCTCAGCCTCCTGAGTAGCTGGGATTACAGGCGCTTGCCACCACACCCAGCTAATTTTTGTATTTTTCGTAGAGACAGAGTTTCGCCATGTTGGCCAGGCTGGTCTCGAATTCCTGACCTCAGGTGATCCACCCACCTCGGCCTCCCAAAGTGTTGGGATTACAGGCGTCAGCCACCATGTCTGGCCTAAAGCTGCTTACATTTTTAATAGAAAGCTCTGATGTGACTGAAGCCTTTTGTTTTCCTTTTTTACTTACAACTTCCAGAAGGCAGAGAGAGATTAGGAACCTCATTTTTTCTCCCCATTAAACAAGGGTAACCTGTAGCAATCAGCTTAAGCATGGTGTGCATTTTTATTTTTCAGAAAAAGTTATGAACCACCAAAGAAAACATCTTGAATTAAAGATGGATGAGGGTTGGGCTTTATGGTGTCCCCATCAGAGTTCTTGGCTGTGCGGGCGTGGACTTTCAAACAGTCAGCCTTTGGAACTCAGAGTTCACATCTTTTTCCCCACCTTCGGGAGACATACAGGGGGTTAAAAGAGATGACAAAATGTGAACCTGCACTTCTGTTTCCAGAGGGATGTGAACACATACCTTGGGCTCAGACACCGCCTCTGCCATGGTCTCCCTCCCCCCGGCTCATGCAGGGACGTCTGCCACCTCTTCTGCCACCCTAATGTATTCTCCACACAAACCCAAGTGATTTTAATGAAATTAGCTCATGTCACTCCTCTGTTCAAAACTCCCAGTGCCTACTCATCACTCTCAAGATGAAATCCAAACACACGGCCTGGCCCCAGTCCACCTCTGACCTTACCTCCTGGCCATCCCTGCCTGGCTGGCTCATGCTGCTCCAGCTGTGCTGGGCTTCTCACTATCTCTTGAACATCCCAAGCTTGTCTCCATTTTTTTTTTTTTTTTTGAGATGGAGTCTCGCTCTGTCGCCCAGGCTGGAGTGCAGTAGCATGATCTCGGCTCACTGCAAGCTCCGCCTCCCAGGTTCACACCATTCTCCTGCCTCAGCCTCCTGAGTAGCTGGGACTACAGGCACCCGCCACCACACCCAGCTAATCTTTTGTATTTTTATTACAGACAGGGTTTCACCGTGTTGGCCAGGATGGTCTCCATCTCCTGACCTCATGATCTGCCTGTCTCGGCCTCCCAAAGTGCTGGGATTACAGGCGTGAGCTACCGCGCCTGGCCCAAGCTTGTTTCTATCCAAGGATCTTTACACAGTAATTTCCTCTGCCTGGAAGGCTCTCACACCAGGTCTCTCCTAGCCAGGTGTGACTGGGGTGCATCATTCAAGGCTCAGTTCACATGTCGCCTCCACGGAGACATCTTCCTGGACGCCCTCTTCACCTGTTTTTTTTTTTTTTTTCTTTTTTGAGACAGGGTCTTGCTCTGACACCCAGCCTAGAGTGCAGTGGTGTGATCATGGCTCACTGTAGCCTTGACCACCTGGGCTCCCGAGTAGCTAGGAACACAGGTACATGCCAGCACACCCGGCTAATTTTTTAGTATTTGTAGAGATGGGGTCTCACTATGTTGCCCAGGCTGGTCTCAAACTTCTGAGCTCAAATGATCCTCCCACCTTGGCCTCCCAAAGTGCTGGGATTATAGGCGTGAGCCACCACACCGGCCTTCACCTGCCTTTTTTTTTTTTTTTTTAATACCTCTTTAAAAATTGTTATTAACTAAACTAAACTCTACACTTTGGGCAGATTTCATTAGTTTTTCCCAATGTCTTTTTTCTGTTCCAGGATCCCTTTTACATTGAGTCCTCATTCTTAGGTTCCTCTGGATGTGACGTTTCTCAGACTGTCCTTGCTTGTGATGACCTGGACATTTTGAGGAGTACTGGTCAGGCATTCTTGAGAGTCCCTCACTCTGGGTTTGTGCAATGTCTTTCTGCTATTTAGACTGGGGTTACAGGTTTTGAGGAGGAGGACCACAGAGGGGAAGTACCCTTCTCATCACATCCTATCAGGGCACATACTATCAATATGACTTATAACTGTTGATGTTAATCTCCAATACTTGGCCAAGCTAATGTTCATCAGCTTTCGCCACTGTGAAGTCACTTTTCCTCCTCCTTCCATACCATACTCTGTGGAAGAAAGTCAGTAAACACAGGCCACACTTAGAGAATGGGACATTAGGTTCTGAAACGTCTTCGCGTATCTCCATAAATTATTTGGCATTCTTCTGTAGAGGAGATTTGTCCTTCCTCCCCCTTATCTTGATTTTACTTAATAATAATAGCATTCATTGTGACTTGGCTCTTACATTCTCTATTGTTCTGCTTCTTTACTGTCTGCCTTCCTCCACTAGAACAGGGGTTTTGTAGCTGTCTTATGTGTCTTGTTCTCCACTGTCTAATCCAGTGTCTGGCACAGAGTAGGCACACAATAAGTATCTCTTGAAGTGATAAATGAGCGACTGGTCTAGCCCAACACGAGATGTTTTGGCAGCGGGCCCGAGTGGCAATGATTCATGGTAGCTGTGATCTGAGGCGGGGTGGGCCACTCCCCGACAAAGTCTGTGATCAATGTGGTCACAAAGTGTTCTCGTGGGGAGATATCTCATGCCCCAAGAGACTCTCCCCAGACTGTTAGGCATGACTGTACCTGCAGGCACCCCTTGGCATGGAGGAGCACCCCCCCCCCCGCCCCGATATTCACATGGGCCCCGGCCCTATGTGAGGTTCACTCTCACCATCCCCCTTCCCTCCCATCTGATCTGAAGTCAGATGTCAAAGATCAGAGTCTCCCACAGGGCGGGCCCCATCACACAGGTGGGAGCCAACAGTGCTTTCTAAGTGGTGTGTGGACAAATGCTTTGTTTGCATAGTTTTGTACTTATTTCATTGTGCATTGGAAGAAAATTCTAGCTGCACAGAAAGCCTTCTGTGGATATTAGTGCTTAGAATAAGGCTAAATTTTGGGAAAAAAACAAGTGAGTCAATTCAAAGAAAGCTATCCAGTAAACAGCAGAGCAAACAGTACACAGATATGGCCAAGAGCTGGAATGTGGGCTGGGCGTGGAGGCTCATGCCTGTAATCCTAGCATTTTGGGAGGCTGAGGCAAGAGGATCCCTTGAGGTCAAGAGTTTGAGATCAGCCTGGCCAACATGGTGAAACCTATCACAAACATTAGCTGGGTGTGGTGGCGGGCGCCTGTAATCCCAACTACTGGGGAGGCTGAGGCATGAGAATCGCTTGAACCCAGGGGGTGGGGGTTGCAGTGAGCCAAGATTGGGCCACTGCACTCCAGCCTGGGTGACAGAGTGAGACTCTGTTTCAAAAAAAAAAAAGAAAAAAAAAGAAAAAAAAGAGTTCGAACGTGGTGCAGACTGCTGTCGGGGAAACATAATTCTCTTTCCCTTCTGCCATTTTCACCTTCACCAGCCTCCTTCAGGCACCTAGTGTCCTCCAACTACCTTGGCCATCTCCAAAGTGGGTATGGACCTCAGTGGGCATGCAAGATGATTCCCTAGGCAGTAGGTCTTTTAACGCTTCTCATCTTTTAAAATCTATTTTGTTTTATACTGTCCATAATACTAGCATGATCATATTATATATAATTTATAATACATAAATTTTTACACATATTTGGGAGATGTATGCTTAAATGTCATATGTATAGGTTTGCTTGTGTTTACTAACAAGGCTTGCCATCAGACATCTGAAGACTCCCAAGCAAGCCTGTGAGGCTAGCCTCCTCCTCGTCTCCCAGCCTCTGGCCTCTGCCCCATGAGGCAGAGGACGTGGCATAGGCCCACCTCCCCTACAGCTGCAAGTTCTCCTTCCCCAGGCTCAGCTCTGCCCTGCTTGGTTGACACAGTGGGAACTCAGCTCCAAGTACTTCCTAAGGTTACAGGGCCAAGCCCCAGCACCCTGGCCTGGAGGCCAAGCTTTGTGACGTAGTTGTCCCCTTTCTGGCTTAATCTCGTTGGACACCAGCAGAATTCCGGAGCAGAGAAGAGGGTGAAGACAATTCAGCACCAAGCTCATCCAACTTTTTTTTTAAGCAGCTGAATACTAATTTGCAGGACAATTTTCCAGGGCATCCCACCACAGTCAGCAGATGAGCGCAGAGCTGCTCCAGGAAAGGGTGGTGGGCATCAAATGCCTCTGACTGCCGTGGGCTCCCTCGTGCACTCCATGAGGCCCCTTTCTGGAATTCTACGGCTTCACACAAAACTGCTTGAAAACCACCGTCTGGTCCAACCCTGGATATTGAGTATGAGTGCACAGAAACCCACAAGTGCAGTGATTCTTAACACAGCTGGAAATGCAGCAGCAAAGCCAGGACCGCTCCCCCTTCCTCACCCCCAACCCCCGTGTCACATCTTGACGCAGAACCAGACCCACATGGGCCTCTCCACACAAAATGGGATTTCCACACCCTGGCTGTGACACCTGTGCGCACAGCTGCACCTCACAGTCCTCATCCAGCTAGCACAGCTGTAGAGTGAGTGGCTCCACTTAATTTTCTAGATGAATGCGGATCAGATCTTCAAATGTCAAGGAAAGGTTTCTTGCTCTTCTTTTTGATAGTTTTATCCAAACAACCCTTATAGGTACTGAAACAACCCTTATAGGTCTGCCAATTCCCTGAAGCTCTATGCAAAGTGCTATGTGGGCATGGGACCAGTTGGTAGCAGGTTTTTGGGGGAAAGGGCTCCCCAGATTCTCACTGCTCTAAAGTGAGTATCATCTTTAGAAGAGGACATCAAAGAGGACTTGACCTCCCCTGATGATCAGGGTCACAGGGAACCTCCTCATAGTGCTACACCTGAAGTTGGCACGGTTCTGTGCCACTCCGGGCCCCAACTCCAATTGTCCCTGTTGTCACTGGCCAGCCTCCCTCCCAAGGTGCGGGCGCCACACTGCTGCCACCAAGGAAAGCAGCTCAGTAGGCTATGTGGATACAGAGTTCCACCTATGGTCCCCAAGGCCGGGACTGAGGCACTGAGGCTGGATTTCCAGGGGGCTCTGACTGAACCTCAGTTATGATACTATTTGGAGTTTGAAGGGACTGAAGCAATAGTTTAATTTGCTTGCTTTTATGATTTCTGTCACGTCTCTGTGTTACCTGTACTATTTTTCATTTTATTTGAACTATTACTTTTTTTTCACTTAAATACAGCTTAAAAGGAAAGTTTAAATCACCGTTATACTCTACAACCTAGCAGCCCACTTGTAGGTCTTTCTCCGCAAGACACACCTCTGGAAGTATGCAACTGCACATGCACAAGGATATTTACTGTAGTATTCTTTGTAATTGCAAAATACTGGAAACTACCTAAATGCCCAGGCATAACAGACCGATGGAATCAACTATGGTACATACACACAGCACAGCTGTGAAAAGGAATGAAGAAGATCTGAGAAATGATATGGAGTAATTTCCGGAGACATTGCTAAGTGGAAGGAACACATATGCTACCCTGTATGTAAGAAAGGAAAAGAAGAAAACATACACAAATCTGCTTATTTTTACAGAAAGAAACACAGGAAGGAGACTTCTTCAGTACACAATCAAGTTGGTTATCTATAAGAGATGACAGGAATTAAGTGGAAGGGAGGAAGGATACTTCAGTTTGCTAATATTCCATGCATTTTTAAAATGAAAATTAAATCAATGAGAATGAGAAAGAAGAAGCCTAAACTGGAAATTTTAAAAAAGAATCCAAATTTCTTCTTCTTCTTCTTCTTCTTTTTTTTGAGACAGAGTCTCACTCTGTTGCCCAGGCTGGAGTGCAGTGGCATGATCTCAGCTCACTACAACTTCTGCCTCCCAAGTTCAAGCAATTCTCCTGCCTCAGCCTCCCGAGTAGCTAGGATTACAGGTGTACGCCACCATGCCCGGCTCATTTTTGTATTTTTATTTATTTATTTATTTTTGAGACAGAGTCTCACTCCATCGCCTAGGCTGGAGTGCGGTGGCGTGATCTTGGCTCACTGCAACCTCTGCCTCCCAGTCTAACGGGATTCTCCAGCCTCAGCCTCCCCGAATAGCTGGGACTATAGGTACACATCACCATGCCTGGCTAATTTTTTTGTATTTTCAGGGCTCCACCATGTTGGTCAGGTTGGTCTCGAACTCCTGACCTCAAATGATCTGCCTGCCTTGGCCTCCCAAAGTTCTGGGATTACAGGTGTGAGCCAGCACACCTGGCCTCATTTTTGTATTTTTAGCAGAGATGGGGTTTCACCATGTTGGCCAGGCTGGTCTCAAACTCCTGATTTCAAATGATCCGCCCATCTCAGCCTCCCAAAGTGGTGGGATTACAGGTGTGAGCCACCATGCCTAGCCTGAATCCAAATTTATTTTAAATGAATACCAAATCCACTCTGAATGGGGAAAGGAAGGATGCTCAGATTAATCCAAGTAGCTTATAAACACAATACAGCAGATCTTTGAATAACATCATTTCATTCAACATTGTTGCATTATAACATGGATGAGGATAAAAAGAAAAAAACTGATTCCCAGTCCCGGCCACCGTCTATGTGGAGTCTGCATGTTCTCGCCATGTCTGCATGGGTTTTTGCCACATATTCTGGTTTCCTCCCTCATCCCAGAGATGTACATGTTAAGTTCCCTGGCATGTCCACACAGGCGCAGTCTGAGTGAGTGTGGGGGCGTGTGAGTTTGTCCTGTGACAGGATGGTGCCCTGTCCAGAGTTGGCTCCCACCTGGCGTCCTGAAGTACCCAGGCACTGGTCATACAAGATCCTAAACTGGAAATATGCGAGTTGGAAAATAAATGAATACAAATGATTGTCAAATAACAATTCATAAAGTAGACGATAATACAAATGCATGACAATAAATGATGTGGTATGAAAGCATTCAACAAGCCTACCAGATTTGTGATTGGTTTTGAACCTCGTGCAGGAAGGAGGTGCTCCTTATGATTTTTCACTTTGCAAACATTTATTCCTTGATTTAACCCACCACCACCATGACTGCTGTTCATTCATTAATTCACCAAAAATCGGGTAAGTAATTATCTTACATGTTTTCATAAATCTTTCTTTTTTTTTTTTTTTTTTTTTTTTTTTGAGACGGAGTCTCACTCTATCGCCCAGGCTGGAGTGCAGTGGCGTGATCTCGGCTCACCACAAGCTCCGCCTCCCGGGTTCACGCCATTCTCCTGCCTCAGCCTCCCGAGTAGCTGGGACTACAGGCACGTGCCATTCCGCCTGGTTAATTTTTTGTAGTTTTAGTAGAGACAGGGTTTCACCGTATTAGCCAGGATCGTCTCGATCTCCTGACCTCATGATCCGCCCACCTCGGCCTCCCAAAGCGCTGGGATTACAGGCGTAAGCCACCGTGCCCGGCCCATAAATCTTTCTTAAGTGTATGTACAGCTCACATTTATTTCAATGTTTAATGCTAGAAGTATTTTGGGCCTTTATGTAGAAGTTAGATATGTTTTCGTGACCAGAAGTATGCCACATGAACTTAACTCCTGTTGATATCAACTCACCTATGGTAAAATTGGTTTCTTTATACATAATTTCCCTTAAGGTCACAGTTTCTAAGAACCTATCCTTGATGTTAAGTGAGGAATTAATGTGCTCAGCTATATATCCTCTATATGGGGATAAGTAAAGTATTGGGGTGGGCATGGGGGAGGGAAAATTGCAAAAACATCCTGAACTGTTTTTTAAGCAATAAACAACTCTAAGTGAAGCAATTCTGAAGCTTTTAGGTGCATTATAAGATTGGGCAAATCAGTGAGTAGACGTTGTTAGGAGTCAGGGCTCTCAGTGTACAAGAAGAAACATACAAATCTAAGATGGGAGAGGACAAGAAAAAAAAAACCTGTAAATTCACTGGAATTGGGGGTACTGGTATGAACATATGATTTCTAAAATACGTGTGTGTACGCATGCTTATATGTATGTATATGTAGGCACATATAAATGTACACTTTGTATATGTACATACATAGATTTCCTAGCTTTCTCCACTGAAAGGGCCAAACTGCAAAGATACCTCAGTAGCGATGAGCACATCCAGTGCCCAAATCTTGGCCTCTAATACCCCTGCCCATGGACAGGAGCCAGAGAAATGGTTAATTCCAAGGACAGGCAGAGGAGGTACTAGATGAACACAGAACACCATGTTATGCCAGAAAGTGTAAGTGACTGCTCAAAAAATCACCAGGCAAGCACATGACAGCCAGCTTGAAAGGGTTCCTGCAGGCCAACTCTGGGACAATTTAAGCACCAAAATAATTAAATACAGTAATGCACTATAAACCATTAGAAAATTGGAATCCATGAGTCCACACCAATAAGAGATAAATAAATAAATGAGAAGAAGGGAAAGGTCTTGCTTACAACAGAATGCCAAGGGCTGACTTTTAAACACAGAGAGAATGTTGAACGTGGAAAATCATCTTTTCCTGCCCATTACGATAGTGACTGAACCAGGCAAGAATCATCAACAAATGTCAAATCTAAGGGGGAATTTTAACAAGGGGCTGAATATCTGTATGATCCCAAAGTGTCTCCCTGTGGACTGCTTATTAGTTGGGAAGAAAAGGAAGGTCATTACACAATACAGAAACTGGGCAACACCTTAGTCATGTGACCAAAACGAAC
This sequence comes from Homo sapiens, assembly GCF_000001405.40. Taxonomy (NCBI): domain Eukaryota; kingdom Metazoa; phylum Chordata; class Mammalia; order Primates; family Hominidae; genus Homo; species Homo sapiens. The sequence continues at coordinate 11,011,043 of NC_000016.10, read as the reverse complement.
ATCACCCAAGAGGGACAGAAGGACATCATGTGCCTCCAGATGTGACACCCTGAGAAGTGCATGACATCACCCATGCCGTGTTCCAGCCAAGAACGCATAATCTCAGTCTAATCACAAGGACACATCACACAAAGACAAAATGAAGGACGTTTTATTAGAACAAAAAAAGGAGGAGGTTCTGTATTCCTCAAAAAAAAGTCAATGTCGCAAAAGAGAAAGAGATCGTGGAAATGTTCCGGAGTAAAGGAGGCTGGAGGCGTGACAACGGAAGGCACCACCCGCCTCTGGATTGGACCTTGCACTGGAGGAGAGAATATGCTAGAAAGACATTATTAGGCCAATACAACAAGAACACAGCAGGAGAATACTATGAATTTGACAGCTGTGCTGTGCTCATGAATGAGAACACCTTAATCTTAGCAAATGCTCATGATGCTTCAGGAGGAAAGGGGCACGATGAATGTGCGTGGGGTGTGTGGGGCGGGTGTGCAGACAGAGAAAATACAATAGGAAAGTAAATGGTATGAAATGTTACAGGGGTAAACTGGGTAAAGGGTAAACAGGTGTTCTTTATACTATTTTTGGCTTTGCACCTTTTGTAAATTTGAAATTATTTTCAAATAAAAAGTTTGGGAAAATTACCATAAGCATAAAACCAGTATAAATAGAAAGCAACTACAAAAATATACATGATGAATAAACAAAAAGGTGCTAGGGCCTGTTGTGTGCATTGAGAAAGGGAGATGAAAGGGAGATTCATGTTTATGAAAGAGGTATTCAAGTACTAAATACCTGTCACAGCAAATATGCAGGCTCCCCCACCCACCCTATCCCCTGCCATGGAGATAATCATTTAGAATTAGAGCTCTTGCACCATCTTCTTTTTTTTTAAGAAACAAGGTCTCACTCTGTCACCCCGGCTGGAGTGTGTGGCACGATCACAGTTCACTGTAGCTTCAACCTCCTGGGCTCAAGGGATCCTTCCACCTCAGCCTCCAGAGTAGCTGGGACTACAGGCACACACCGCTGTGACTGGCTAGTTTTTTATTTTTTGTACAGACAGGGGTCTCCCTATGTTGCCTGGCTGGTCTTGAACTTCTGGGCTCAGGTGATCCTCTTGTGTTGGCCTCCCGAAGTGCTGGGATTACAGGTGTGAGCCACTGCGCCTGGCCACCATATTCTTTAAGGCTCTCCCTGTACCATCTAAAACCATCTCTATATTCTGCAGTGGTAGAAATACTTATGTACCCTCAACTCTGCATGTTAAGGCAGGGGAAACTGAAGTACCAAGGCATTAGTCTCTGCCCCAGGCTACTGTGGGCTCTTTTCTTTGCACTGCCCCCTTAAGTTGTGGAAATGAGTGCCTGCACAGTATCAGTTCCCATGCCAGGCAGCATGGCCCGTCATGTCCAACACTCCAGCGCCTAGCCTTGTAGGTGGTACGGCGCCATCACACAACTGAAGTTTCCCGCCTCTAGGAGCTGAGTAATGTGATTACCATCCCACAGCTCATGAGGCTGCAAAGCTGGGAGCAGGAACTCAAATCTCCAACTCATTTTGCTTTGGCCAGTACCACCCAGACCCTCTGCAGCCTCTATCAATTCTACAAAAGCCTCAAAGGCAGGAATGGATTTGTATACCCATGTTTATAGCGGCATTATTCCCAATAGCCAAAAGTGGAAGCAATCCAAGTGTCCATCAACAGAGGAGTGGATAAAGAAATGTAGTCCAGCCATATAACGGAATTATTATTCAGCCTAAAAAAAAGAAAGAGAAGGAAATCCCCAGCACATGCTACAACATGAATGAACCTTGAAGACTTTATGCTAAGTGATGCAAGCCAGGCACAAAAGACAATACTGTATGATTCCATTTGAATAAACGACCTAGAGCAGTCAAACCCATAAAGACAGAACATCAAAGGGTGGGGTGGGGAGTTATTAAATGGGCACAGTTTTGGTTTTACAAGATGAAAAATGAAAAGCATTCTGAAGACAGATGGTGGTGATGGTTATACAACGTGAATGTACTTTTTTATTTTTTTTGAGACAGAGTCTCGCTCTGCTGCCCAGGCTGGAGTGCAGTGGCGCGATCTCGGCTCACTGCAAGCTCCGCCTCCCGGGTTCACGCCATTCTCCTGCCTCAGCCTCCCGAGTAGCTGGGACTACAGGTGCCCGCCACCACGCCTGGCTAGTTTTTTTTTTTTTTTTTTTTTTTAGTAGAGACGGGGTGTCACTGTGTTGGCCAGGAGGGTCTCGATCTCCTGACCTTGTGATCTGCCCACCTCGGCCTCCCAAAGTGCTGGGATTACAGGCGTGAACCACCGCACCCAGCCGAATGTACTTAACACTACTGAAATGTGCACTTAGAAATGATTCAGATGGTAAATTTTGTTATACGTATTTTACCATAAGTTTAAAAAAAGGAAAAAAAAAGGGAGCAGGGAAGGCCACATCTTTCCACTTGTTGTCCAACTAGTGCCTATGTGGGGAGGCACTGGTGTGGGCCAGGAGAGTCCTGAGGGCCCTCAGCACCCAAGGACGTCCACTTCTGCCTCTCTAAATGACAGCTCTGGCCAGATTCTTGAGCTTCCCTGATACTCTGACACACTCATTTTTCAAATTACAGCAATAATTTAACAACTCGCCCGGGCTGATGTCCATTCGAATCTGATTAGTATTTGGTAAATGAAGTGCTTTTCAGGGAAATGGCAGGCATGGCCTCCCAATAGTCTTTGACTTCACAAATTCAAGGATTTTCTCAGTTGCCCTCTGTGTTCCATATTCCAGCGATCACAGCAAGGACAGACTGAAAAAAGATGGCAAGAGGGGAATAAGACCTTCAAAGGAAGGCTAAGGGGAAAGATGCCTGGCTGGTTACCTAGGATATAAGGGACAGCCTGCATGTAATTGGCTGGCTTTTTAGCAGAATTTCAAGAAGCAAACAGCCCCTGACAACGACCGAGAGTGTGTGCGCTAAGTGCTCTAAGTACTGGGGGCAGCCCTTCCTTTGTTTTTTTATTATCTTCTACTGCCCAGCAGGAGATTGAGTTGAGAACTGTTTTCGGGAAGTTGCTCTTCAGAGGCTTTGTCCTAATTCACCTCTAATTCTCCTCCTTATCCCAGTTAAGCCCATCTGAAAACCTGACAGCCCCACAACATCTCTCTACTGCAGCGCCTGGGCCTGCTGATCCTTCTTCTCCCTCTCTTCCCACCATTACACACACACATACATACAAACACACTCACTCTCACACACATACTCACCTGCACACTCACTAAGCTCACTTACTAGCTGTAGAAATTAACAGAGAAACGGGTCCCACAGAAACGTGCTTGGTGCCCAAGTGGAGGTCATGCAACCACACTCAAATTGCTGTTCGAGCGCCTCACTCTGCCCTCCACCTTGGCCAGGGTTCGTAGAAAGCTCCTGTGTCACATGCTGAACGCTACAGTGTTGATGTTCTCACTTATGACAATCTGAGGCCCAGGCATTAGGAAGTCCCCTCTATAGGTGGAGAAGTGCAGAGAGGGCAATTACTTGCCCAGAGCCACACAGCTGTTCAGGGGCAGAGCTGGGATTCAGATCTCAACTCTCCGATAGTCAGTCCCTGGCTTGCCCCAACCAAGACACTGCCAGGCCTGGGGCTGGCTCTAATTTTGAAAGAGGAGCTGGAAATGAGGCCAGGTTTCATCCCATTTCAGTAGAGACTTCCAAAAGAAAAAGAAAAAGGCAAGATGGGTCTCTAAACTCCCAGGTACCCTCTCAAACCCAGCTAACCTGGCAGGTTCAAAGGCCTATCATCTTTACTTCATGCCCTTGCTGGAATTTCAACAAATGAGTAGGCTTTGAAGGTGAGTCCGGGCAATTACTTTTTCCATAGGCAAAAAAACAGTAGTCCAGCCCTATTTTTACATGAGGAGTTTGAAGGATTCAGTCCCTAGGATATGCTTATTAAGTTACTGCTCTAAGTAAATTCCAAAAGAGATAACTGTCCTTTCAGACTCAAGGGCAAGCTAAAAAACAAGCACGTACCCTAGGAAGTCTGCCTTCCTGGGCAGAGTGAATGCTTCTTTGCCTACAGGGACGATGATATCCTTCTTTTTTTAGTATTTAATTTCTGCAAATTTAGGGGCCCTGTGATTTCTTGGTTGCAGAATGAGTCACCCATTACTTGGGACCTGAGGCAGAGCAAATTCCTCTGTAGACTGGGGAAGGGAGTGGATGGGTTAGGGGTGCACATTCATTTCACACAACTTCCTTGTCTGAGCTTAAATCTGGAGGAGGTGTGAATTCTGGGTGCTGCATTTATAAAAAATAACAACAACAACAACAAAACAATACACACTAATGCCATATCCAAATTGGGTCATGGCAAAACTGTGCCTCGTGACCACATGCCTTTTTTACTCCTGTATTTTCCCCGTCTTTTAAAGTCAAAATTTCACTACTAAAATGGGATTGGCAGGGTATGCAGAGGCAGAGTGTCAGCATCTCTTTCCTTAAGAGTCACCATGTCCATCTGTCGATAAGTCCGTGGATCTAGGGACAATGAAAGGAGCTTCTAGAGAAGAAATAATGTGGAAGAGAAAAGAGCCGCATGTCTATCTCAAAATAGGATGGCAGAAGATGGCCTTGAGAGAGAAGGGGAGTACCCAGAAATACAGTGTGACTTTCTAGGGGGAAATCTGCTATTTCTGCTGGCCCAGCATCCCTGCCCCTTGCTTCTGATAAACGCATCTCATTTTTTACTGAGGGAGCCACTGTAGCATAGATTTGTCATGCGGGCCAGGCCAATCGGTCCAGAATATCTCTGGGGGTGGGAAGAGGACCCAAGTCAGGCCCACAGTACCCACAAGCATTGGCCCCAGGACTTCAGTGGCAGCCACTGGGAAGGAGAAGCCCCCTCTCCACTTGCTGGCCAAGCTGGGACGATGTGAGCGCACCTGGGCCCAGCCCTGTCCAAGCTTCCCAGGAACATGAACAATAAACACCCTCTTTGCTTAAGCCAGTCTGAGTTGGATTTCTAAATCTTGCAATCGCAAATATCAACGTATCTTCACTTAAAAAAAAAAAAAGTCATCATGTGAATTATATTTTCTATATTCAGAAATTTCCAGACAGGAACAATGAGGTCCAGAGCTTCAAGAGGCCATCCAAGACACACAATAAACCTAGATGCTGAGACATGACTGCGAGTCAGATCTCGCATCTTCTAGGCACTGCCCAGCATCTACACTGTTCTCTGGTATGCAATGTGAATGAAGAAATGTGCCTGACACCCTTCCGACTCACAGGAATTAACAGCTGTGCAGTTTCATCCAAACACAGATACCGTCTAAGGAGAGAACACCCACCAACTGCACCTTCACATTTACAAATAATCAAGAGAGCAAATATATAATTCAGAAAGCTCCAGAATACAAGTGCTGTTGCCTGGCAGGACCGGTCTATGAAAGTTGTATGTATTTATGGTGAGCTGAGTGACAAAATGACAGATCCATCATATTTTGAAATGACTAATGTGCTCAAGAAATTAGGAGGGCATCAAAATTGCACAGGTCATTGAGAGCCATGTGTGACTGAGCCCTGAAGCACCAACTGTTCAAGCAAAGCCTCTGGGGAGATTCCTGGGTCCTGTGTGGCACGATCTGGCTAAGTAACCACCTGGAAAACAGGCTTTTGGACGTGGCAGAAATTCGTTCCCTTGTACCCTGCCCAGGGCAGCTGGGCACAGCTTCCAGGAGCCCCTACTCTAATTCAAGCAGTTCAAGCTGAAACAGCAGCCTGCAGAACTGGCCTGAAGCCCCTGTGTGCCAGGACTGGGCTGGCTGGCTGACTAATTTGATTGTGATTTTGGGGCTAAGCCTGTCTGATCCACACCACTGTTAGTCACAGCTGAGGCCTGGTTAGAGAGCATCCTTAAAAGGACTGGAATGAAAGAGGTAGCATCTTTCCAAAACAAAATCGATGAGAACACAATGCACAAAATGAGGTGAAGATGTCCATTTCTCCCCCAGTGTGGCAACAGAACAACTAAACCTAGGGATTAGGCAGACATTTTTCTTCAGCATTAACAACAAAATAATCAGAATGACCCCAATAAGCAAATTAGCATGGCTTACCTTGGGTTTGGCCTTCCCCTCCCCACCACAGTGATATTTATTGGCAAAGGCTTCCCAGGCCAAAAATGAATTCCTAAACCAAAACACCTATTGCACACTTTAAACAGAAATAAGAGGAGGCTGGAGATCTCAACCATAAAAAGAGGTCTCGGTGGCACCAGAGAGACATTTTGGTTACGCTTGTTGAAATGTGATCATGGTATTCACTGACAACTGCCAAGAAAGTCATGATGGAGCAAGCAAGGTGGTGGCGGAGGCATTCTTTGGCTGCAGAATCTCAGGCAACTCCCAAAAGCAAATGAGCTCCCAGTCACTGAACGAGTGGCTCTGTGTTACAGCTTCAGATGCCCTGGACTGGGAAGCTCACGCAGTCCTTGCTGACAGGGCTGTGGAGAGGTGGTTTCAGAGCAGCCACTGTGAGCCCAAGGCCCAGGAGGAGGGCTCACAGGAAGTGTTCCCCACACCCACAGAGACTGCAACCAGACTGCTGAGGAGATGCCAAGTTCATTCCAGAAAGTGTGGCCAGACCTTCCTGAGAAGAGCCCCAGCTCCACTTCTACCAAGTATCAAGCTCCCCATCACTTCCCGCTGCCCCCAGCCCCAGTGCCCAGGACGACGGGCAGAGACCCCAGCTGTGTGGCTGTGAGCCTGGCCCATGACACAAGCAATAGGGCAGTTCCATTCTGCTTAATCCCAAGAGTAAATGATCTCCAATTCAAGAAGGTTTTAGCATCTCAACGAGAGGGAGGTGAAAAATTGACCAGAATTCCCAAAAAGGGCAAAAGGAGGAATGAATGATTTTGCTTACAGAGCACATACGTACTACACACGAGTGCACCTCATTCTAAACAGACAGGACTTAAAAAACCTTAACGTAAGAATTGAGAGAATTATATTTGATTTTTCAGTATTTTAAAAATACTAAACACTTTTTTTTTTTTTTTTTTTGTAGAGACAGGATCTCGTCATGTTGGTGAGGCTGGTCTCAAGCTCCTGGGCTCAAGTGATCCTCCCACCTTGGCTTCCCAAAGTGCTGGGATTAAGGTGTGAGCCACTGCACTCGGCCTACAAGCATATCATTTCATTAAACACAAATCCTCTTTCTTCCCGCAGTGCACAGGATGCAAATCATAACCCCAGGTTATTGGGAATAATTATATCAGTAATAAGGATAAAGATAATAATAATTCCATGCTGCTCCTACTGTCATAATAATGACGAACACTTCTGCAGCATCGAAGCCTTTGCAGCATTTAGAATGGGCCAGGCACTGTTTGGAGCACATTGCACATATTCGCTCATTTAATTCTTGTATGAACACTACAAAGTAGGTACTATTTGTTACCCTCCTTTAATAGGTGAGGAAAACTGGCCCCAGGTCACCCATCCCATGAGGGCGGGACTTGCCCTGGACCTGCATATGACATACACCTACAGCAGCCTCCGAGTGGCAGGGCTGTATAGAATGAGGTACGCCAGTGTGAGGTAGGAATCGAATCACTGGCTGGACACTGTGGGGAGCAGAAGTCTGGGTGGAGAGGGCACAGGTGGCAGCCTCGCTGGCGGGCTGGCTGGCGGCGCAGGCACAGGGCGGCGTTCATGGGGACACTCACCTTCACTCTCCCCACTCGTCTTGATGCCTTTTGAACCACCCTCTGTACCTTTAGCCTTCTCGGCGTCTTCTTGGGCATCCTCGGTGGGCCCTTTCTCCTCATCTTCTTCTTCCCCAACGTTTTTGTAGTTGGGTCTCTTTTGCACCCGCCTCTTGCCCTTGTGCTTGTTCATCTCAAGGGACCGCTCGAGTGTCTCGGTGGGTTTAATGAAGCACCGAATGCTGGGCTTGGCCTAGGAAAGTCCAACGAAGGCAACAGGTGAATTTGAACACTAGAATCCTGCTGGATGCTATCAAGTTGCCCAAAAGTTTCTGTCCTAAGAAACTCATCTCCAAAAGAAACCATTATATCATAAGATAGCTGCACTCGCATGCTTACTGCGGGACTATTCACAATAGCAAAGACATGGAATCGGCCTAAGTGTCCACCAACAGAGGACTAGATAAAGAAGATGACATGTATACACACGATGGCATAGTATTCAGCACTAAAAAAGAAGGAAATCATGTATTTTGCAGCAACATGGGGACGATTATCTTAAGTGAAATAACTCAGACACTTACTGCATATTCTCATAAGCAGGAGCTAAATAACATGTGCACATGGCAGCAGAGTGTGGGATGATGGACAATGAGACTGGGAGGGGTGGTGGACTTGGAGGGGGTGGATGATGGGAGGGTGTTTGGTGGGTCCAGTGCGCATTACTCCAGTGATGGATGCAATGAAGGTCCTGACTTCACCACAATGCAATACATCAATGTGGCAACACTGCCATTTTACCCCATGAACACAGACAATAAAAACATATTTTAATAAAGAGAAATTAATCTCCAAAACAAATGCCACCTCCAGATCTATTATTATGCCCATTATTAACATCATCATCAAATAATCAAAACAACAGTGCCAGCTACCATTTACTGTCTACTGCCCTAAGTCAGAAATGGTGCACTTTACCAGCAGCAGCTCTACACTCCCCAAATATTAGCTGTTTGTGTAAGGAGAACTTCTGATGAACACTTCTGTGGTACTTTCTTATGTGTCAGATGCTGTTCTCAGGCTCTGACTATATGATCTCACTTGAACTTTATAGCAACTGCATGAGATATTACTGTGTCATCCTCATTTTACAGGTGAAGAAACTGAAGCACAGAGACAGAAAAGGATCTGCCCGAGGTCACACAGCCAGGAGGTGGCAGAGCCGGGATTCAAAACCACGTACCAGCCACACAAGCTGTGTCTTAGCTACAGCCCACTGATATTATTATTAATTTTAACCCAAATAAGTTCATTTTAAACAAAACTATCACTACAGGCAATGGAACACTAGCGTGCCTTGCTATTATATTAAACATAAATAACCAGAAAGAAAAAGCCAGGTGTAGTGGGTGTTGTCAAATTCTGGCTCTCATTAGAAAGGGAGCCTAGTAAGTATCAGCAATAAGTCAAAGATCAGCTCGCCCCAGAGGACAAAGTTCTTCCTTTAAAAAGTCAGAGATGGCCGGGTGTGGTGGCTCACCTCTCTAATCCCAGCACTTTGCGGGGCTGAGGTGGGAGGGATTGCTTGAGGCTGGGAGGTCAAGGCTTCAGTGAGCGAGATCGTGCCACTACACTCCATCCAGCCTGGGCGACAGAATGAGGCTAGTGTCAACTGTGGTTCATGCTTCATATTAGTATATCTCAGTCTTTATAACAACCATAATATATAGGAATTATCAGTCCCATTTTTATCATTGAGAAAATAGAGGAGCAGAAAGGTTAAATAACTTGCCCAATGTCACACAGCTACTGAGTTGGAGTCAGAATTTGAATTGGGGCTTACTGGGGCTTGCCAATTCCAAAGCTCACACTCTTCCTAAAAGAACAGTGTTTCACCAGGAGCTAAAACTTAATTCTACATTTAATGCTCTTTAAAGAGGAAGGCCAGGCACATGGCTCACACCTGTAATCCCAGCAATTTGGGAGACCAAGCTGGGAGGATCACTTGAGCCAAGGATTTGAAGACCAGCCTGGGCAACATGGCAAAACCCCATCTCTACAAAAAATAGAAAAATTAGCTGGGCATGGTGGCATGCCCATGTAGTCCCAGCTACTTCAGAGGCTGAGGTAGAAGGATCGCTCGAGCCAAGGAGGCAGAGCGCCAACATGGCGCCACTGCACTCTAGCCCAGGAGACAGAGTGAGATGTCTCAAAAAAGAAAATAAAAAAAAAAGGGTATAGACATGCAAACAGACTAGAAAGGCACAAAAGACAGAAGAAAATTGATTTGTTTAGGGCGGGATTTTGATTGAAGTGTTTTTCTCTTATCAGAGTCTGAAATAATGTTCAGATATCATTTTGTAATTTAAAAAAAGTTTCAAAATAAACTTTTCCATTATCTTGATATAGATTATCCATCTGAATTTACCCCAAACGACCACCAATTATATGCTGGGGAACACCGTACCTTGCCAATAAATGGAAATGTGCTCAAGGAACACAGATTAATTTCAATAACGCTCAAAACAAAACCTAATTGAAAGGTGAATTAGCATCCAAATATAAACATTAATTTTTATTTGCCCACTGTGGATTATTCAACCACAAAAAAATGACACATAAATTGCTGCATGATTCTACTGTCCAGGAAACCCAGATAGCGTATTACAGACGCCAATAACCGAGGGCCCCCAGATGGGAGCGTTCTGAGAATGCACTGCTTGACAGACAGCATCCATCAGAGCCCACTTAGGATGCCGGGTGATCGAATGCAGCCTAGTCGCCCTCTCATCTTCTCCTGAAGCATCCAAACCCAGGAAGTTAGCTTCCTCCCATCACTGCCAACTCCTAGTGAATTTCAGAGCCGGCCACACAGCAATCAAAGCTTTCAGAAACAGAAAATAGAGACCAAGCGCAGGGCAAAACGTCCCCTAGTTTGAAATTAAGAGCAGAAATTCACACAGACAGATATAGAACCCCTCCCTAAGCTCTGTGTGGACTCAGACATACAGAACAAACTGGCAGAACTGACGAAGTGAAATAAAGTGCTCAGCGCCTGGGGCTGGCCAGAGTGGTCTGAAACCCAACCCAGCTGGCCTGTCCTAGGCCTCAGGTTCCTGTTCTAAAACATGGAGAGTAATTCTGGCCCCCTAGAACCAAAGGAACCCATGGATATAAAGTTCATTCAGAGGCCGGGCGTGGTGGCTCACGCCTGTAATCCCAGCACTTTGGGAGGCCCAGGCAGGTGGATCACCTGAGGTCAGGTATTCAAGAGCAGCCTGGCCAATATAGTGAAACTCCGCTTCTACTAAAAATACAAAAAATTAGCCAGGTGTGGTGGCGGGCGCTTGTAGTCCCAACTACTCGGGAGGCTGAGGCAAGAGAATCGATCGAACCTGGGAGGCGGAGGTTGAAGTAAACCAAGATTAAACCACCGCACTCCAGCCTGGGCACAACAGAGTGAGACTCCGTCTCAAAATAAATAAATAAGTAATAAAGTTCCTTCAGAGAGTGCCGAAACGGTGAACATCCAACACAAAACATTACCTTCTTTTCCTGCTTACATCTAAAAAAAGAAAAAAAAAATCAGCTGCAAGAATGAATTTTAAAACTTTCCAAAGGGATCTACTTTTCTCAGTGATCAGGTGTCTGGTGTGGGAGGGCATGCTTACTGGGGAAATTTCAAACCTTTATAACACGACCTTCCAGTAAACAACTGGAAATAACCTAAATGTCCATTGATAGGGGAGTTGTTAGGTAATTATGATCTGTTTGTCCAAAGGGTGGGAATCTAAGAAGACTGGGGCCTTTTTATTCCTAAATAAACTGATGCAGACTCAGCACCAGGATGAAAATGCAGGAAGGGAGTAGGCAGTAGGGTCCCTTTCAAGTAAAGCTTTTCAAAGGCTATACGTGATGGTGTAAATGCGACTTTTCCTGGAAAGATGCCTAAGAATGTATTGGCATCTTGGGGGAATTAAAAAAAGCAGTGGCACTGTGTACACACCCACACAAGCACACTTTTTTTATTTTATACCTTTTGGTTTGAGATTTCTAATCATGAACATATATTAACTTTATTTTAAACATTCAGCTGGGTGTGGAGCTCATGTCTGTAATCCCAGCACTTTGGGAGGCTGAGATGGGAGGATTCCTTGAGCCCAGTAGTTCAAGACCAGCCGGGGCCACACAGTGAGACCCTGTCTCTAAACATATACATATAAATAGATACATAATACAAATTCAGCAGGGGTCATTTGGACATTGGGACTAAGGACTATTTTTGCTCCCTTTTATTCTATATTTTAAAAACCTGTTTTTTGTTTTTTGTTTTTTCTTAAAGCTAACACCAAAACATCACAGTTAGCATGCAGAGGCTGGTAGAATTTGGCTGGGAAATGTGGGCAGAGATTTGTGACCATTTCTGTTGCTCCGGTCACCCTGCTTCTGGCTGCCAGCCTCCAAGGATGCTCCAGTCTGAAGCCCCTAGGAGAAGGGCCCCTGTCCCTCCTCTCGCCACTGTGCTCTCATCTCTACCCCACGGTGCCTGGACCAGAGCAGGGGCGGACAGGCTGCTGCTGAGTGAGCTCATGGCTGTAGGAATGAATGTTTGTACCAGGCTGTACCCAAAGGGCAAGACAGAATGATGAAAAAAGGAGAAGAAGGAGAAGGGAGGGAAAGAAGGGGAAAAAAAGCCAAACTTTCTCAGGAGCTAAACGTAGCAGAATGAAAGAGCAAGCTCACCCAAACTAACCAGAAGTGGAAAAGCCCACTTCAGAGTAAGAAATCACAAGGCGTTTGGGTTGATTTTCTCATAAAGAAAGTACACAACACATGCCCCAGGGAAAAGTATTCTGCAAAGAAGGTCTACATGTCCCAAATGCCACAGGTTTAGGTTTCACCACGCGCTCATCTCCCAGGTGCCTGAGGCTGGGCTACAGGAGGAGCATGAAGGGAAGGAGCCTCTTTGCTGACTGCAGTGAAACACAAGGGAGCCCTGAGCTCTGCAGCTGAATATTTGGGCTGGCTTCTGGGGTGAGGGCCAGCTAACAGTCAGCAACTACATTTTAGAGGTGCCCCGGGGCCTAACTACTCCCTAAGCGTCTGCACCTGCCTGCTGGTTAATGACGTCTTCCATCAGCCTTGAACCCCTTCACCTGAGGCTTTGGTCCTTGCTTTTTCAAAAGTCAAACACTTTGGGAAAGGTGAATCCCCAGGGATCAATCTTTCATGGAATGGAGGAATCTGTGTGCAGAAACTGCAAAGGGCAGCAATGGGATGGGAGGGAGGATGGAAACAACCAAAGACTGGGTGCCTGAGTGAACGAGAGGAGACACATGGCTGAGAAGACAGATGTCAAACAAACATGTTCCACCAGGTGTGGGTACAGCAGCTTACAAAGACCTGGACACAGGCTGCACAAGAAAAAGCAAGTTGCAATCAATCAACAATTAATGATTCAGTTTATGGTTAAAATAAAACCAAAACTATAGGGCTGAAACATAAGTGCATATCATGTATTCCTGGGTTGATACTTACATGAAAATACACAGCGAAAGGTCTGGAAGAATATACAAACTGAGAACAGTGGTTCCCTCTGAGGAAGATACTGAGGTTGGAGGACCTTTCACTTTCTGCTCTACCTGCGTCTACATCACTCAATTGTTTTATTACCAGCACTATTTAGATATTACCAGCACTAGAAACTTTTATTACCAGCACTATTTACACGTAAAGAACATCTTTACAAAACGCATTAATGCCACTGAACTGAACACTTAAGAATAGTTAAGAGAGTGAATTTTATGTTTATTTTATCACAATTTAAAAAACTTTGAAAAGGCAAGTTTATAAGTTAGGATGGTGATTCTCTTGGGTGGGGTGGAGGTATGGGTTACAAACTGAGGAGGGGCTTTATGGGAATACCAGAAATGTTTTCCATCTTGACTCGAATTATACATGAATATAATCATGTGCACAAAATCATCAAGCAGTACATCTAAGATTACTAAACTTTTATGTACTTTATTGTATTTATGTGATTCCTCAATTTAAAAACTTTCCCAGGCTGGGCGCAGTGGCTCATGCCTGTAATCCCAAGATCTGGGGAGGCTAAGGCAGGAGGATCACTTGAGCCCAGAAGTTCAAGATGAGCACAGGAAGCATGGTGAGACCTTGTCTCTACAAAAAATACAAAATTTAGCTGGGTATGGTGGTGCATGCCTGCAGTCCCAGCTACTTGGGAGGCTGAGGCAGGAAGATCACTTGAGCCCAGAAGGTTGAGGCTGCAGTGAGCTGTGGTCGTGCCACTGCACTCCAGCCTGGGTGACACAGCAAGACCGTGTCTCAAAAACAAACAAACAAAAAACACCAAAAAGTTTACCAAGAGGATTTTCAATGAAGTTGGATTGCTGTAATGCCCTAAATACAAGGTAGGACAAAGCGAACAGGTGGGAGAGCTGGATTCACTGATCACTGATGAAATGAGGGGGACTCAGGTAAGCGCAGGAAGCCACAGGCCACGCCTCTCAGAGCCCACAGTCCACGCCTCTCAGAGCCCACAGTCCACCCCTCTCAGAGCCCACAGTCCACCCCAGACAGGTGAATCCTGGTGAATCCTGCATTTATTGCCACATGGCCCATGCAGACGCTGGAAGAGAAGAGGTTCACACAAGAGTGATGGGGCCGCAGAGGAAGGGAGGGAAAATGCGCCAGGGCTGGGAGGCATAGGGGGAGCTTAGGACGGCTTGATAGAGGAGGAAATGACTGATACAAGTCTTGGATGTCAACAGGACTTCAGCAGCATGCTCAGGAAGGAAAGAATAGTAGGAAAGCCAGCTCAGAGCCCAGGAGGAGCCAGCTCTCTAGGTGTGCCCAGAAGCCACTCACCTTTTACTTCTGCTAAGGCCTAGGTCACCTGGGGCTGGTGCTTGGTGACAGTGGTGGTACCCTTGGACCCAAGGTGCTCGGCCAGCTCCCCAGGTAGGGGCAGATGCACAGCCGCTGGACTTTGCAGGAAGTCAGGGCAGTGGTCCCCGGCCAGCCAGTAGCCTCTCAGTCAGGCACTAGCCCGTGCTGCTCACAAAGGGGTTCTTCAGGCTCACAGCCTCAGAAGAGATATCAGATACCTTGACTCAATGCCCTATAGATGCAACGTGTTGAGTGGGTTTCTCAGCATCTATTCAGTGGGGCAGCAGGGAGGGGAGAAAGCAGTTGTTGGCGAGTGACCAGGAAAGGGGATGTAAGGGCACCAGGCAGCCTGCCCAGGGAAGAATCTTGGTTGAGCACGAAGGAAAGAGAGACCGGTGGCCAGAGGCATCAGGTAAAGGAAGGAGAGATTCCAGGGCCTGAGATTCTGTCTGAATCTATCAAAGCTGTTGTGATAATCAAGCTAAGAAGACCCTTCCAGGCTCTCCTAGGCCGAGCCTACTCACCCTCTGAGGATGCTTCCTCAAACAGCTCTGCTAAGCGATTTGAGAAGTAGGAGAAAGGTTTTCCCCTTAAGAAAGGAGACAGGCCATGGTGACTAACAAAAAACATGCCCAGGCAGACCTGGCCCCAAGTCTGAGACCCACATTCTACTAGCCAAGCGACCCTGACCACAGGAGCCTCAGTTCCTCATCTGTAAAACAGAGACAAGAGTAGTTCCATATCACACGCCACCATGGGGGTAGTGTGGGATCCAACAGGCAAAATGCCTGGTACAAGGGGGCACCAGAGAAATTTTCATTGCCCTTCAACCCCCTGGCAAATAGATCACGAGGATGGAAGAGAGGGCAGGGGAGGGGCTTTTAAAGAACAGTCATGTTCTATGCTTTAAACTTGACTCCCAAGCTCCCAGCAACTTACTGCTCGCTGGCCTTCTGCTTTGTTAGTGGGCTAGACTCAGCCTCCCCAACATGCTCCTGGGCCCCTGGCTAACCTTCCCCATCTCCGGCCTCAGGCGCCAGGACTGGCAAGGTACACAGCAAGGTACAAAGCCAGGGTGGGATTCAGAGGCCCAGGGTCCCATCCACCGTGGTTTCAGTCCTGGCTCCACTGCTTCCTACCTTCTCCTCTATAGGTCTCAGTTGCCACAGCCATCAATGGGCATCATATTAGCATCTCCCCAACAGTGCTGCTGAGAGGTGCCAAGAGATGGCACACTCTTGTTACTCTTTCCAGGTAATAACAGCCATCCTGAATACTCAGTGAACACTTAAAATGTGCCCAGCATGGCTCTGAACACTTTATATACATTGTCTTGCTTTATCCTACAAATAACCAAATGGGGCAAGGAACTACACAGGTGAGGATCTTGCCCAAGGTCACCCACTAGTGAGAGGCAGAGGCAGGATTTGAACCCAGGAATAAACTAGCCCCAGTGCCCAGGTGCACAACCTTCCTGCCACATGGCTCAAACACGATTCCCTTCCATATGCATTTGCTGCACCTCCCAACGTTGGGCCAGCCTCCCGGGAGCACTGATGTAAAGACTAGGCCATGCCGACGTCACACTAATCAGAGAAACAGTAGCTCTTTGCAACAAAAATGCAGTGACAGTTTATGCATCACTCAACAGGTGGTCCTCTAGCCTGACAATTATATGGTTGTCTATAATGTGACTCTTTTCACTTTTTTTTTTGAGACAGGATCTTACTTTGTCACCCAGGCTGGAGTGCAGTGGTGTGATCTTAGCTCACTGCAACCTCCGTCTCCTGGGTTCAAGTGATACTCCAGCCTCAGCCTCCCATGTAGCTGGGACCACAGACACACACATCTTTTCACATTTTTACCTGATAAACACAGAGACAAAAAGTCACAGGAGGTCACACCCACTGTAACCAACAGCACTGTAGCACATGGCTTGGCCACTGGCTGAAAAAGGAAGCCGGGTGATGAGTGCAGCAGAGTGAACCTGTTCTCATCCAGAAGGAGGTGATTGGCAAGCAAGCACCAGATGGGTGATGTACCCCAGGGTGATGTATAGACATATGCCTTACTCGCCAATCCAGGAGCCGCGTGGAGCTGTGGAACCAAAGCCCAACATGCATGAAGAATGCACAGCTGCAACATCAGTGAGGCGATTTGACGGCACTGCCGAAATGTAAAGGAGAAAATGAATGCTATGGAGTGGGGAACATGCAAAGGTAGCAGGCCGCTTCCATTAACAAGGAGAACACGGCATTCTTCTCCATGAATTACCAGTTATCAAGTGTTGCAGCTG
This sequence comes from Homo sapiens, assembly GCF_000001405.40. Lineage (NCBI taxonomy): Eukaryota > Metazoa > Chordata > Mammalia > Primates > Hominidae > Homo > Homo sapiens. The sequence continues at coordinate 10,994,121 of NC_000016.10, read as the reverse complement.
CAGAGGCGTAAAGCAAGGAAATGTCCATCTCTCAGGAATTGGAACAGACTCACAGCACTCACAGGCCTCTTGCAGCCGCGTGCTCAGCACTTGACGCTGAGATGAGGAGCAGGTAACGTCAAGATGGTGCTGCAATTTCCTCTTGGAAAGTGACCTCTGGCGTGTCACTAAGTCTGTAGGGGGCCAGCCTCCTCTCCCTTGCCTTCCCCATCCCAGGTCACCTTCTCTGTCCCTCTCAATGCCAAGCAGCATGTCTGGCACTGTCTCTGGCATTCAATCAAGAGGGAATGCTTGTGGGATGAATTAATTGCAAGATCATCACGAGCATTGAACAGGCCTCTTCAATCACACAAAATGAGGCATCTCACACTCCCTTACTAAACAATGACAAACCAAGCACTTATTTGGTATTTCTTTGGAAAGAGTATTTTACTATATTTTGAAAAAGATGAACTGTGAAACACTGGTTATTCTGTTACTCAGAACAGCCCAAAATGCTACACTGCCCTGACATCTCATGCCAAACTGGAAAACATAATTGCAAGTGGTGATAAAAAGACTTGGAATAGAAACAGTGTGAGATTTGGGGCTAGTCACCTGCAATCCCAAAGGAACAATCACGGAACCTTGGCTTCCTTATGGGGAGCGTGTGACAATAACACCACCTCGCTCTCTTTCATTATGAGCGTGAAATGAGATGTTCAATGAGACAAACAAGTAAGCTTGACTTCTTTTCTTTCTTTTTTAGACAGTCTCACTCTATTGCCCAGGCTGGAGTGCAGTGGTGTGATCATGGCTCACTGCAACCTCCGCCTCCCAGGCTCAAGAGATGGTCCCACCTCAGCCTCCTGAGTAGCTGGAATCACAGGTACGCATCATCACGCCCGGTTAATTTTTGTATTTTTTTGAAGAGACAGGGTCTTACCATGTTGTCTAGGCTGGCCTCAAGTGATCTGCCCACACCGGCCTCCCAAAGTGGTGGGATTACAGGCATGAACCACCAAGCCCAGCCAGGTTCATCTTCTATAAAACGAAAACCGTCCCTCTCTTCCACCAACCCAGGATATTTCTTGAATGCTGGCCTCTCTCCTGATCCCATATACACCCAACTCCTTCCCACAGAGGCCTCTGACTCACCATTTCTCATGTTTTGGCCACGCCCCCCGACCCAACCCCTCAACTCTCAGCAGGCCTAGCTCCCTGACCTCAGTTCTCAATATTAGGCTCCCTCCTTAGAGGGCTTCCCTCATCATACCTCCCAAAGTTGCTTCTATTTCCTTCCCATATCCAAATCTTAAATTTGTGAGGATGAGCTGGCTTACTGTCTATCCCCCACAAATAGATCATCAGGGAAGGGACAGATGTCTTGTTCATTCACAGCACCTGCCTGCAACTTGTAGGGGCTCAACAATTACTCGAGGCAGGGAGTGCACAAGGGTAAGTATGGCAGCCAGCCTCTGCCTCACAGATGGAGCACATTCTGCTCATGTCAGAAAATGACCCACCCAGAACTCAAGTGTCACCCAGCACAATATTATTTGAGTGAATAAAACCATTTAATGTTATCTTTTTCTTTTTTATTTTTTAATGGATGCATTATAATTGTACATGGTTATGGGGTACAATTTGATGTTTTAATATATGTGTACGTCATGTAATGATCACATCAGGGTACTTAGCATATCCATCGCCTCATGTATTTATCATTTCTTTGTGGTGAGAACATTCAAAACTCTGTCTTCCAGCATGATCTCACTTGTGGAATCTAAACAAAGTTGATCTCATAGAAGTAGAGAGGAGAACAGTGGTTACAGGAGACTGGGCAGGGAGGGGATGCAGGGATGCGGATGGGGAAGATGGGGAGAGGGTGGTCAACAGGTACAAAGTTCCAATTAGACAGGAGGAGTGAGATCTGGTGTTCTATTGCACAGAAGGGTGACTGTGGTTAACAGTAAGGTATTGTATTTTTTCTTCTCTTTGCCCATGAAACTAACAAATTTGTCCCCGTGCGTATCTGGAGGCTACCAGGAAGCTGTCCTGGGGCCAGGTTATAAGCAACCCAGCAAGTGGTCAGCAGGCAATCAATTTCAGGCCAGCCAGGATCTGCTACTCAACTGGCCTCAGAACTCTCTAGGGAAACTCCCACTCATTAATCACCTCCAGGGATGAGAGCTGCACTGCCCTCAGGCATGAAACGAATGACTCACACCACCAAGCCACTCTTGTGAACTCTGCTGGAATGCCCAGAAAGGGCAGGGGTCTCTGAGAAGTGAGCAAAATGCTCCCTTCTTGCTCAAGTGCAGCCCTCAGGCTCCCATCAGGCAAAGCATCCCGCAGCAAAACCAGTTTCAAGGACTCTGACACTGGCCAAGACCGGATGTCCACCGCTCATTAGAGATATGTGTTTGATTCCCGTACCGAGACTTGTCACATCAAGACAATCAACGTTGACTGCAGGAACCATGCTAGACATGGGGACACAAAGACGAAGAGGTTCCAGTCTCCTTCCACAGCAACTCCTGAGTCCTCCAATGGCACATAGGTGCCATGTCCCTTGGACACTTGTTCTCTCCAACCTCATCTCCTACTTCCCATCCCCTTGCCACATTGCCCTTTGCTGTTCCTCCAACACACTAGGCACCATCCCACCGCAGGGCCTTTGCACTGGCTGTTCTTTTTTTTTTTTTTTTTTTTTTTTGAGACGGAGTCTTGCTCTGTCGCCCAGGCTGGAGTGTAGTGGCATGATCTCGGCTCACTGCAAGCTCCGCCTCCCAGGTTCACGATGTTCTTTATGACCAAAATGCTCTTCCTCCAGATACCAACATGACTCACTCTCTTGCTTCCTTTGAGTCTGTGCTTCCACCTCACCTTCCCAACAAGGCCAACCCCAGCCACCTTACTGAGAACTGTAACACTCCAGCCTCCGAGCATTGCCCATGTCCATCCTCTGCTTCACTACTGTTTTCCCAGGGCTTCTCACATCTAACGTGCCCTGATGTTACTATTTGCTTTATTGTTCCTCTGTCTCTCTGCATGAGACCCAAGTTCCTGGAGGTCAAGGTTTTTGTTTTGCTCACTGGGTATATATCTCCAGGGCCTAGAACAGTGCCTGGCATACGGCAGATACCCAATAATTATCTGCTGAATATCTGAATAAATAATACTGACCTGGCTTCAGGTAACTCAAAATCAGGTTAAAAATCACAAATATCCGAAGAGGCTGGCCCACTCATGAAAACTAACAATGCCACAGGGGACAGAGGCCAGAAGTGGCATGTACCTCATTTGTCTGTCCTCACCCTCAATTTTCTGATTTTAATTGAAACCCAGAAGAAGTCACCAATGGCCCAACGCAATCAGAAAAGGTCCCCATTCTACATGGAGCTGCCTCCAGCCTTGTGGCTGCCCCAAGCCCATTCTGTGTCACACACTGCAGGACAGATATAGAAAAGCCAGCTAGGGTCTAAGTCACAAGGCTTCTTCCCCATCTGCCTCCTGCTCCCATCCCTGCCCACTGTGCCCACTCCATTGTTACCAATTGGCTTCTCCAGGATGTAGCAATGAAGGCACCTGCCCCTTCTCTGGCTAGCTGGCCCAAGGCCAAAACCCCGGGCCTTTGGTCACAGTCACCCGCGGCCCTGGCTAAAGCCTGCTCCCTTCTCAAGTACTAAGGGACATTGAGACCCTCCTCAGTTGTCCAGCCCACCTTCTGCCCCAGGAAACAGAGAGACGCAACTGTTTCTCAGACAACGATACGCTCCTTAGTACCGGACCTCATGTTGCACTCTGGATTTTGATTATATCAAATCCTCTTAAACATAGACCAGAGCTGCCACATTCAATACTTCGGTGGGCAAGAATGGCACCTCAGAGCCGTAACTGCAGTGAGGGATTAGGGGATAGACCTCAATGGCAAAGCCAAAAGGGAGAATATACACCAAGCTCTAATTCCCTTGTGGGAATGTCTGCAATGGGTCAATTAAGGCCCTTAATTTATAGAAGTCTATCTTTACCCTTTGATATTCACAATCAACCTTCTCCCAGAAGCCTATTAGCATTTTCAGGAAGAAGAATGTGCGCGCCTTGGAACCAGCACTGATTAGCTGGGGGATCATGAGTACAGTCAGGGTCACTAAAAGACTCAGGAACTCTAATCCTGGCCGGAAGGGGTGCTATCCTGCCTGATGCATTCAGCACACGGGAGACTCGGCTGACATCGGATACAAGTTTGAGTTGTAAAGAAAGCCCTGCAGCAGCGACCAGGGGAGCTAAGTCAACGATTAATGCTCTGAATCTGCAAACACACAACCCAGAGAAGCAAGGCTGCTACTTTCCTAGCCACTGGCTCCACACACCATATCCTGGGGGAGTATCCGGCTGGGCAGAGAGTCCTGCTACTAGAAGTGACAGGTGTCCAGAGATTCATCTGGAAACCATCCTAACTGCTAAACTGGTATCTACAGACAGACTGTCAATGTCCTTATGTGGAGATAAGCAAGCCTATTCTGCCCCAGAATCCTCAGACCCTGACTTCACAACCAGCCAACCATATGAACCCACATTAGCAGTTAAGTATTTATACTTTCCAGCTGGGTGTGATGGCTCATGCCTGTAATCCCAGCACTTTGCGAGGCCAAGGTGGGTGAATTGTTTGAGCCCAGGAGTTCGAGACCAGCTTGGGTAACACGGCGAAACCCCATCTCCACAAAACAAAAAAACAAAAAAAAACAAAAGTTATCTGGGCATGGTGGCATGTGCCTTTAGTCCCAGCTACTCAGGAGGCTGAGGTGGGAGGATCGTTTGACCTGGGGAGGCTGAGGCTGCAGTGAGCTAGGATCACACCACTGCTCTCCAGACTGGGCAACAACGCGAGATCCTGTCTCAAAAAAAAACAAAAAACAAAAAACAACGACAACAGTATTTGCACTTTCCAGAAATTAAATCTGGGTCTGGCTGAATGGAGAGCACAGTATACACACAGTATACACACAGAGGGCTTCACCTACCATCACTCAATGGCAATGGCTAACATTGGTGTTTCATCATCACTGTTATTACTAACACTTCTCCCTCTGTGCCTTGGTGTCTGCTCAAAAGCCACCCCACTGAAGGGCGCATGGTGTCTGTTTCCACATTCATCAGTCCAGAGACAGCTCGTAAGCCCAGGGAAGAAGGTCCCAGGTAGGAGGTGGAAGGTCACTGCGCAGCCTTAGGAACTAAGGTCATTATAATGATAACATCTAATATTTATGCACTTGCTGTGTACATAAAAAGGCTTTGGAGTAAGCACTTTACACGGCACTTAATTCTCATCATAAACCCATGTTTGCTATTCTCACTGGAGAGGTAAGAAACTGAGGCCCGGGAACACCTAGTAAAATCAGGGACCACGATTTGAGGAGCCCAGGGAAACTGGTTACAGCACCCACTCCACAAGGCTGCCTCTGGAGGTGGAACATGGAACAGCACCAAAAGCAGCCCACTGCAAACCCAGCCACTGAGGCAAAGAGAAGGCGGCATTCAAGGGGCAGGCTAGGAAGTGACTTCTGCTCTGAGAGTCATTACAAGAATGTCACGAGAGCCCTTGTGACTCTGCTACCACTTCACCCACTGAGTCATTCACTCCTGCACCGAACACCTCCCTGGGCATCTCTGGCAAGCCCCATGATGGCACAGGTGGCACAGGCATCTCCGAGACATGGTCCCTGTCCTCATGGGAGGAGGGAAGCCCAGGGAGGGCAGGGGTCAGGTCGTTCCAGTGCACCACCACATCCCTCATCTCTCAGCACAAGTACACAACAGATGGCTGCTGAAGGAATGGATGAATAGATGAATAAATGAATGAATGCAAAAATGAAGGAAACCATTCCACAGAAACCCAAGAGGAAAAAAAAGTCCTTTAAAAAAAGTACCTACAAGTAATGATGCATATCCCAAATTCTAATCTATATGTTCATTCTGCAAAAACAACGAGATGTTAGCAGTTTCAGAATTAGTGTTGTCCTACTCGATTTCCCCACACAAGAAACACTATCTGCTCTGCATTCGAATTATAGCAAGAATTAGCCTTTAGCAGGAACCATATGATTTTAACGCACAGATGAATTTCAATTAGACATTCATCTAACCATGCTGATGTGTTTTCCATTTAACCCTAAATTACAGTCCTTTCAAATAACTGTGATCTCCCCTCTGCTTCTCTCTCTTCAATTTTGGTTTGGTTTTGTGAAAGGTCTGCTGGTAAAAATGAGGCAATACCAGTAACTTATCTACAAATTACGGGAAGGAGAAAGTAGGTTAAAAAAGACCAAGAAACTTAAAACAAGTATAATCAAACCACATCCGAGTTGGGCAGGAAACAATAGGAGTCTGTTCTCGCTCATAGGGAAGGAAGGTAAATCGTACCAGGACTATTATCAAACAAGTCACAGAAGGAATTCAGCCTGTGCTCTTCCCAAACCTGAACGATAGTCATCAGATTACAACCAACTTCAACTTCACACTGAGAGAAAGGTAGTAACTGGAAGCAGAAAGCCGACACATGTGGGCTAGCAATTCCCTCCACGCTACAGAGTCTCATTTTCAGTTCAGGTGTCCACCACAACTGGCTCTTACATCCCAAAGGCAGTTTGTGTGTCTCTCACAAGGGAGGTGAGACCTTCATCCTAAGAAGAGGCCATATCAGGAGAGAGGACAGATCTCCTAAACACTTCCCCTGACTAAATGGTTGAGCTACAGCCAGTGTCCTAAACTGAGAGGTTGCCAGTAACCCGCAGTTTGCTTTTGCTCAAACATAAATCCTATGTATCACTGTCAATATCCTGCTTGTGAGGGTGTACTAGAGTTTTGCAAGATGTTACCACTGGGGGAAACTGAGGAAGATCTCTCTGTATTATCTGTTACAACTGCACGCAAATCTATAATTATCTCAGTAAAAAATTTCAATTAAAAAAAAAACTGCATAAAAGCTGGGTGCAGTGGCTCACACCTGTAATCCCAGCACATTGGGAGGCTAAGACGGGCAGATCACTTGAGGCCAGAAGTTCAAGACCAGCCTGGCCAACATGGTAAAATCCCATCTCTACTAAAAATACAAACAAAATTAGCTGGGTGTGGTGGTGCATGCCTGTAGTCCCAGCTATTCGGAGGCTGAGGCACGAGAATCACTTGAACCCTGGAGACAGAGGTTGCAGTGAGCCGAGATCACGCTACTGTACTCCAGCCTGGGCGACAGAGCCAGACTCTGTCAAAAACAAAACAAAACAAAACACACCAAAAAAAAAATCAAAAAAACTAAAACTGCATAATGATGGATAAATGGATAAAGAAAGAAAAAGAAAATGTGGTATATTTCTTGGTACACACACACACACACACACACACACACACATTGAGCCTTAAAGAAATAAATTCTGATATATGCGACAACATGGATGAATCTCGAGGACATTACATTAAGTGAAATGAGCCAGTGACAAAGACAAATGCTGCACGATTCTACTTATACGAGGTATCTAAAATTGTCAAACTCATGCAGAGAGGAGAATGGTGATTGCTGGGGCTGGGGGGATGGAGAGTTGTTGTCCAGTGGGTATGAAGTATCAGTCATGCAGGTGACTCCACAGAGCAATGGATAGCACATTGTACTTCTGAAGTTTCAGTATGCAAGATAAATGAGATCTAGAAATCTGCTGAATGATGCTGTGCCTACACTCAACAATAATGTTAACCATACAAATAAAAATGTGTTAAAAGGGTAGATCTCATGTTGTGTTCTTATCACAACTCTAAAAATGCAGCAGGCCGGCTCATGCCTGTAATCTCAGCACTTTGGGAGGCTGAGGCGGGTGGATCACGAGGTCAGGAGATTGAGACCATCCTGGCTAACATAGTGAAACCCCGTCTCTACTAAAAATACAAAAAATGAGCCGGGTGTGGGGGCAGGCGCCTGTAGTCCCAGCTACTTGGGAGGCTGAGGCAGGAGAATGGCGTGAACCCGGGAGGCAGAGCTTGCAGTGAGCTGAGATCGTGCCGCTGTACTCCAGCCTGGGCGACAGAGCGAGACTCAGTCTCAAAAAAAAAAAAAAAAAAAAAAAAAAAAAAAAAAAATTCTGCAGGCCAGGTGCAGTGTCTCACACTTGTAATCCCAACACTTTGGGAGGCCAAGGCAGGCAGATCAGTTGAGCTCAGGAGTTCAAGAGCAGCCTGGCCAACATGGTGAAAGCCCATTTCTACTAAAAATACAAAAATTAGCTGGGCGTGGTGGCACATGCCTGTAATCCCAGCTACTTGGGAGGCTGACGCTTGAACCCAGAGGCAGAGGCTGCAGTGAGCCGAGATCACGCCACTGCACTCCAGCCTGGGCGACAGAGACTCCATCTCAAAATAAATAAATAAATAAAAATAAATAAACAATGCTGCAAACCCCAGAGCCCAGCAATCTCTGGTTTCATCTCTTAGAACGACAAGTCTAGCTTCAGCACTGCAGAGGGTATCTTACAGTAAGACAATCTGAGATGAAGCCACGGCAGCTATCCTCAGGCTTGGAAATCATGCAACTAAAAAAAAAAAAAAGTCCCGAGGGACCCAGTACATCTCCAGTTGCTATTAACATATTAACATCAATGTAGTCCCAGTTAGCAGTGGGCAGGTTTCACGGTAAACACGCCTCATCTGATGGGGGCAGGCTCTGCGAAGCTTCCCGTAGAAACGTGCATTGATGGGGACCAGATCTTCTGACTGTTGGAGAAGATTCCAAAAATCTGGACTTTTCTTCCTAAATTTTAATGTTGGCAATTCAGAAAATTTTCTTTTAAATACTGCAAAGACCAAACCAAATGAGTCTGGTGGCCAGTTTGCAACCCAGCAGGCACTTGATGGGCACTATATATATATATATATTTTTTTTTTTTTTTTTTTGAGATGGAGTCTTGCTCTGTCGCCCAGGCTGGAGTGCAGTGGCGCAATCTCAGCTCACTGCAAGCTCCGCCTCCTGGGTTCACGCCATTCTCCTGCCTCAGCCTCCCGAGTAGCTGAGACTGCAGGCGCCTGCCACCATGCCCGGCCAATTTTTTTTGTATTTTTAGTAGAGACGGGGTTTCACCGTGTTAGCCAGGATGGTCTCGATCTCCTGACCCGGTGATCTGCCCGCCTCGGCCTCCCAAAGTGCTGGGATTACAGGGGTGAGCCACCGTGCCCAGCGGGCACTTTATATTTTGCCCCCATCTCCATCAGCTCTCTAGAGCAGGGCTTGCGCTGCCTGTTTTCTAAATGGAGTGAAACAACCTGCCCGAGACCAGGTGGCTGGCAGGGCACTCTGCACCTCTAACTGGAGGCCCTGCTGATTCTGCTGACTCAGCCTTCCGTGACTTACATTCATTTAGCAAACGCTAGTTTAAGAAAGTTGCAGAGAAATATCTAGGGCCCCATAAACTCTGAGTCAGCTGTACATTTGCCAGACCGTGTGTTGTCATGAGATGGACCACTAGGAAAATCTTTAACACATCACCCCTGTCACCTCTAGGCCAAAGCCTCTCACCAAACACTTCTTCCCTTTAGAGCGCTTATAAGAGTTAAGACAGTGAGTTATTTGCATATCTGATCCATGTCCACCTCTCTACTGTACTGTAAAGCTCGAATACGGCACAGACTCTTTATGACATTGTGTATCCCCAGAACTAGCATGATACTTGGCCCAAAGAAAGAGCTCCATCAACACTGCTGAATGAATCAAGAAAGGGATAGGCCAGACAGGGGCCATGAAAAGGCCCCAATCAATTCACTAATGCCACCACCACTAACAAGGACAGAGTTTCTGGGAAGCTTTTCAGAGGCGCTAATGCTCCCCTGAATAACAAAATGACCTGGCCAGACCATCATACACCAAAACCAGTGGAAGGGCAGGGGCCTCTTGTAATTGTACTCCATGCAGTGGTGGCCTTTCATCCACAGGGTCACATTCCACCCATTCATGTAGGTGGGGCAGCAAATCTACTACCCCAGGGCGAGCTGGCCCTTTTACCAGCCTGGCCACTGCCTGAGCACCTGGCTGCAGAGAGGAAACCTTTATGAAACAGCCCTTGTATAAAACGCACTATGCTCATCTCACTTACCCACTCTAAGCTCCTTATGGCAGGGATCTCACCTGTCACTGAATCAGCTGCAGCCTGGGCTCCGCATAAGTGAGATGAGCATTTGTGCAGCCCAGACTGCAGCTGATTCAGTGACAGGTGAGATCCCTGCCATAAGGAGCTTAGAGTGGGTAAGACCTTTGAAAAGAGGGAACCAGGTGCATCAGGAACCAGGCTGTAGGTACGGTAAAGGCGCAGGTTCAAAGGCACAAATGCTGGACATGCTGGGGGAAAAGCAAGTCAGACCAGGATTAAGGCAGCTGGAGCTCAGGACATGTGAGCAGGATCTGAGAGATGACAGCAGAGATATACAGAGGACAAGATGGAAAAGCTTCAAGAGAAGTCACAACACTGGCCATCAGGTGTTTTCCCTCAGCAGTGTACCAAATGGAACGCCAAAGCTCCTTCCTGCAGACCACAAACATGCTACTTAGTCCAAAGCTTGATGATCATTTAAAACTAGAGATTACACGTAACAATGCGTTTTTCCCGCTTCTCTAGAAACATGAAAAAACCTAGTAATCCTACATCCATATTCCTGCAGAACAGCAGCAGCCTGGGGTAGAACAGGAGCTGCTCGCCAAGGTGGCATACACTCTCCAATTTGCCACACCCCTCGCCACTCTCTACTGCCCTCACCTGGGGCCTGAGTCATTCATGGATGTTCATCGCCCAACTTCTGTAGACATTAGTTCCTCTGATAAGGCATTTTCTCACTGTGTCCCGATAACAGTGTCTCACAGATATGCAACCTAAGGCCCGGAGTGGTACAATTCCATGTTTAAGAACACACAATCAATCAAATCCAGGTGGTCCCTGATCCCAGCTTCTCTTGGGTATGCAATCAAGACTCTGATTAGGTTCACTGAATCCCGGACCAGCTTATGCATCATCACTGCTATATATTCAGAATGTTAGTTTCTGATTTTAGAGAAACACACAGATTAGCAAAATGAGCAATGGTTTCCTGTTAAGGTCAGTCCCGAAGCTAATGACTTACAGAACTTCTCTGAATATCCTGTTCAGTCTTAGCGTACATCTCAGACAGATCACCATTCAGAATGACTTCAGCTAACGAGTTCACCAGCGGTGCATGATGTATAATTAAGAAGACCTGGCGGAAAAAAAAGAAACGGGATTTGCATGAAAGTGTGCGGTATTTTCAACCTCTTGCTTCCTGGATCAGAAGCGACCAGGCTGGGCTACCTAAGTCCTGTATTAAGCAGCAATTCCTACGATGCAAAATTCAAAGAATGAGCCACAGGAAGCAGGACTCGGTTCCACTCTTGTAAGGTCAGTCTCTCCTTCAGACTGTTGCCTATTTGGCTGGCTGCTCTTCCTCGGAAGGAAGTGCATTAATGCGAGACTGTCCCTCATGGCTGGGTGAAGCCAAATCCGGCTGAAGTGGAGCAATGCGGGAAAGAACAGCCAAACCAGCACACTCCTTCCTTTCCATGGGCATTTTAGTGTCAAATTTGGTTATGAGAAGACTAGAAGGCACTGTCCCAATACTTTAGTGATACAAGAAGAAGGGGCCGGAGAGTTTTGTTCCAATCAAGGACTTGGCAGAGGGTTGGCTACACAGAGATTCCATCACGGGAGGGAGCTCTGACCCTGTGGTGGGTTTTAGCACACGGGGATTCCACAGCATCGTCAGGAGGTATGTGAACTACGGGGCTGAAAATCACACGAGACAGAGGCAAACCCAGGTGGGCCAGGATGCAAAATCAGAGGGCTGCCTCTGGGCTAAGCTGGCCCTGCTCCCACACCTGTTGCCCAATGTTCAGAGGACCAGCTTTAAGAATCAGGGTATTCAAAACTGTCTTGCAAAGCTGGCCTAGACATGCCTGCTATTTTGTTTTAAAATGTAAAGGCAAGAGGGTGTAGCACAGGGTGTGGCTTATCTACCATTTGCATAGAAAAGCGTGTGCATGTTTGTATTTGCTTATTTACATATGCATAGGCCAGGGTTTCTCAATCTTGGCACTGCTGACAATTTGGGCTATAACTGAGTATGGAGGGAGGCTGTCCCAGACACTGCAGGCTGGTGAGCAGCATCCCTGACCTCCACCCACTAGATGTCAGTAGCACCCCAGCCTCGGTCATGACAACTGAATGCATCTCCCCAGACACTGCCAGGTATCCCCTGAGGGGCAAAATTGCCCCTAGTTAAGAACCCCTGACAGATGTCTCTGTTAGGACATACGAGAACCCTGTAACCCTAATTGTCTCTGGGGATAGAAGTCAGGAGCCTGAACAAAACTAGAACAGAAACCCGGTTTTTACATGTTTGAACTTTTTAACTTTAAAAAACGTTGTTTAAAAAAAATTATTTTTTAAAAAGTGAAGGCAAAAATCAACACAGGCTGCCTCTGGGGAGTGCAGTTGGGTGCTCAGGGTATAGAGTGAGAGAGACTTTTCACATGCCATGTTTTGTACTGTTTGAACAAGGGGAATATATTATTCTAACAAATACATAGAATTCAAATTAGATAAAAGGTACAGGCAGAATGGCCATGTGGCACCTCCCTATAAAAAATTGCATCTTTTAAAAAAATACTGGGAACCTTTTCTATCACAGAGACCACATAGTATGATTCAATGAGTTAACCCACGTCCAAGGCTTGGCAGGCCCTTAAATGTTAGCAATGATGATTTTTCTCACCTTCCTTATGGCCGAATTACTGCCACACATCACTCTACCAACAACACAAAACACCAATCACTGTGGTCATTCATTCTCAAATATCCGTTACGTACCTTGAATGAATGCGGCCTTAACTGATCATTTATTCCTTCTTTTCAGTCCACAAGCATTCAGTGAGCACCTACAAAGGCCCCCCTGAACAAAGCAACCAATTCCTGCCTGTGGACACACACAGTGCTCATTTCCCTGGCTCTGAACCCAAAAAAGAGGGAGGGTGAGTAACTGTAAGGTACGTGGAAGCACGTGCAGGCCAGACTCAAAAAGCTGGGCCCAGCTGCCTACACCACACTCTGTTAGCAGTTTGGTTTTAGGAGGACAGCATCACCTGTCACACCAAATTAACGTCATCCATAAAAATTTTCATGGTTTTCTAGCTATGCTTGTAAAATAATTTGCAAGTATGCAATGATTTTATATTGAAGTAGGGGCTTTCAGGACACAGGATTTATACCTGATTTTAGGTTTTTCACACATTTAGGTCACATTTTCATTAAGCTAAATGAAAATGCAGGGGGAAACAGGGCTTCAGGTTGTTTATCTTTAAAAGGGATGTATTACTCAAGTTTGAGGAACAATGAATTACAAGCTATGTTTTCTGTGAGATACTGAAACAAGTAATTGGGTGCATGGGCTACTGGTCCTTTACAAAGCAAACCGGTGAGGGAGGAGTCTCAGAGAAAAGTCCTAACTCTCTCCACTGACGTTCCCGCTGTGGGCAGTTGGCGGCCATGCTCTCTGGAGGAGACCCTGCCCGGGCAATGCTCCAACAGCTGAAGGGTCCTGAGGATGCTTTCCATATGATTCCTGGGGCTGAGAACTGGCTTGCTTGGGTCCTGTTGGACTCTCAGAATCTCAAGCAGGAGATGCCGGCAGACTTGGAAAGAGGCAGCAGAAAAAAGCTGCCAGGAGAGGCTGGGGTTTATGCTCAGCGCCGTCGTACAGAGCGGCATTCAGACAAACTTGGCCTCGTGCAGAGCTCTGAGCAAATAGCCCCAGAATAGGACTCTGGGCTGTGAGTGATGGTCAGGACATGTCCGGATTGGCCTACCTGCCGGGGAGGAGGTGGCCTCTGAACCTCTCCTCTTGGGCCAAAAAGACAAAGCCCCGCCCCAAATTCAAAACAGCTGGGGATCAAGTCAGAAGGACAGTTCCTCATCAAAGCAAATAAATACCTGTGCCATTGCAAAAGCGGAAACAGAATTCTGGGTAAATGCTGGACTACTTAATAGTCTAATGAGATGCCCTGAGAGTCTGGACTGCTTGTAATAAAAATATTTTTAAAGTTATGTAACTGGGTCGCCATGGAGTTTTTCCCTTCTTGTAAATATTACATAATTACATGAAGGAAACACACTTGTTGAAGGAGGGGAGGGAGATAAATTGGCTCAAGACACAAATCTGAGAGCTAAGGTTGCTACAAGATTCCTTCCACACGGTAATCTGGGAACTAGAACCGCGATAAAGCCCTTTAACAATAGACTCATTTCAGGAAGTTTGTTACACCAAGGTTGCTGTGTGTATGCACGCTGTGGGTTCTGCAGTGTGGGGCTTCATTCAAAGCTGCAGGAGTAAAAGCGATGCAGCCCACATTTCCAGGGCATTTCAAGCACTCCTCAGTTGTTTTGGAAACCTCAGTCTTCATGGTAAAAATCAACTATACAAGTTAGGTTTGGTTTATTTTTCATTTCTCTTTGGATTTCCATCTCCTACCATGAAAAAGATACACACTACCTCTATTTAGTACCTGGAAAACAGAAAGCCCCTTCTGTTTTGCTGTTATTTTACTCCAGCATGGGGGGGACAGAGAAGATGGGGTGATAAGGCCTGGGGATTTTCTTCAAGGCAGTGGCACGCCAAGGGACCCCAAATGTAGTGGGGACATTGGTGAATGATCAAGCATACCTGTGACAGAAGATAAAGAGACACCGGCAGGCTAATTTTCGGCCGTTCTCCTCCCTAGTGCAGGGTGGCAGGAGAGAGAGAGAGAGATCAGGTCACACAAGCGAGCAGCACAAAATACACAAAGCCAAAAGCCTTCTGTGTGAACAAAGGCGTCCTGTCCCACTGACTTCCTCCACGGCCCTAGGGCTGTCCTTTCTTGGTGCTACTCAAAAGTCCACTCCGCAAAATCCCACTCAATACTGTTTGCAAGGACACTATTTTTCCATCTGAGAAACCTTTCACCATTACTCACGGATGAGAGGCTGACCCACGAGAACTTGCTCCTTAAGTTACCAAGCACGTTCATTTGTACCAGCTGGGGCACTGGACGCCCCGGCAGGAGAGGCCTCCAGGAGGCCTGTTCTTGGGAAGTTATTTTCAAAGCATGGGGGAGGAGGTTTAGGGCACTCTGGCCTTGGAAAAGCCCCTCGTTTATAATGAATTTCAAGATGCTCCATTTCACACCCACCCTGTTAGAGAAGAATAGTTAGGCCCTCATTTTGCAGCCGAAGAAACGGGCTCAGGTTAACTGCTTTAGGTCACAGAGTTAGGAAAGGGAAGAGGCAGAATTTGAATGCAGGTCTGAAAACTCCAATTCTCATACTTTGTCTCTGCCTCCCAGAGCTGCCTCTGGTAAAGCTAAGGCGCTTATTCACCTTTATAGTCTTCTCACACACACACTCTGTCTCTGTCTCTCAGGAAATAAGAGGAAAGGAAAGGAAAAGCAGCGTGCTTTGAAAGGAGTCTCCCTCCGGCTCAAAGCCTCAGTCCTGGCTGGGCACGGTGGCTCATGCCTGTAATCCCAGCACTTTGGGAGGCCGAGGCAGGCGTATCACCTGAGATCAGGAGTTTGAGACCAGCCCGGCCAACATGGTGAAACCCCGTTTCTACTAAAAATACACTTTCTTTTATTTACTCATCTGTAGTGAGAATCTTGAAAACTCCATCCCCTTGGAGCACCTCTGCATGGTGACCAGCTGGCTCTGTCCTGCCTCCTGCTGAGGCCCTTTTACCTCCGGAGGAACTGCACAGAGGCCTCCCCTCCAGAAGCAGCATTCCTCACAGGGGGGCCCTGAGAACCAGCAGCACAGAATCAGAATCACCTGAGGGATAGGTGAGACATGCAGATTCCTGGTCCTGAGGCCCTGCATGTTACCAGCCGTCATCCCCACAGGCCTCTGGGGCCTGCTAACAGTGGACAGTCACCACCCTGGGACCGTTCCCTGAGTGTGCTCCATCCCTTCCCTCCATGCTGCGCAAGTTCTGTCGCTGTCTGTATCTTCTCCAAATCAGTGGGTTCTGGCAACTACCAGGAAAAGTTACTGGGGAGGAGAACACTTCAGGGAAGGATGCACAGAAACCAAAACCCTACATTTGTAGATGTTTCCTGTTTCCTCCTGATGTCGGTAATCTTTTCTCATTCACTTTTATAGTCTTCTCACACACACACACTCTGTCTCTGTCTCAGGAAATAAGAGGAAAGGAAAGGAAAGGAAAGCCAGTGTGCTTTGAAAGGAATCTCCCTTGGGCTCAAAACCTCAGTTCTGGCCATAATCCCAGCACTTTGGAAGGCCCAGGCAGGTGTATCACCTGAGGTCAAGAGTTTGAGACCAGCCTGACCAACATGGTGAAATGCCGCCGTCTCTTCCAAAAAGTACAAAAATTAGTCAGGCGTGGTGGTATGCACCTGTAATCCCAGCTACTCGGGAGGCTGAGGCAGGAGAATTACTTGAATTCAGGAGGCGGAGGTTGCAGTGAGCCAAGATCGCACCACTGCACTCCAGCCTGGGTAAAAGAGCAAAACTCCGTCTTTTAAAAACAAACAAACAAAAAAAAAACCTCAGTCCTGATTTGCAATGCTCAGCCCCATTCCAGGGGACTGGGGACTGTTCTTCCCCACTTCTGATGGCCTTCAGCCAGCGGGAGCCACGGGGCTGGACCCACCTTGTCCTGGTTCTCCAGTGAGTACACGTAGAGGGGCAGGAAGAGCCTGTTGAGCAGGTGGTCAGTGAGCACATCGTTGAGGAACTCACAGTTGATGATCAGGATGTCATTGAGATAGTGCAGGTGGTCTAGGTGCTCTGCCACCAGATCACTCAGTTTACCCCGATTCCGATGCCTGCCAGGAGAAATGACCACCTCAGCCTGGAGGCCAACACTAGGAGCCTTTGAGCCTAACATCAATGGCCTGAGACTTAGGTCACTGTGAGTTCATCCACATATTTGAGTTAGTCTCAAGAGACACTTATCCTGGCCCCTACTGGGGAGATATACAAGGGAAAATGGGCAGGTTTACTAAAATCAATTTCAGGGGACTGCTGGGGTCTCCCAGAATGAGGTAAACAAAGCAAAATGCTGCTAAACTCTTCCAGCAAGCCACTGCATAAGCACAGCTACTAGCCACTGTGGCAAGATCCCCTGGCTCCCCAGATAAGCAGCACTAATGGAGCAATAAATCCACTGTAATTAAAATGCTCCAGAGGAGTTCTAAAGAGAAAAGCAGGCCTCCAGAGCCGTGGCCACCCCAGTGGCCCTGACGACATGCAGACATAGAGCAAAGACATGACACCCCTCCCCCAGGCCCCTGCCCTGGAGGTCTCCGTCTCCCAGCAGTTAGCAACAGCATGCTGGGGATGGGGGGCCAGGGGGTAATGTCTCTTGGGTGGAGTCAGTCTCACACTCCAGAAACAGCTGGTGAGGATGCTTTCACCACCCCCAAGGAGTATGCAGCAAATGCTAGCTAGGCATTTTGTTTGTATTGTTGTTATTACCCAACTGATAGATGATCATTTTTGACAACAGCAAATTAAAATATAAAAGCAAATAGAATTCAAAGTCTCAAACCCACCACTAACAAATATCCACTATTAACATTTTGGGACTTATAACCCTAATGTCTGTTTTTTCTACATTTTTACCTCTCCTAGTAGTAGTCACATCTAAAATATAGATGTCACATTTCTATCCGTCTAACTGTATATACTTGAAAAAAAAAAAGTAAAAACAAGATCAATTCTGCTTCTTTTACATAATTCTGGATAATTATTCCTTTTATTTATTTATTATTATTTTTTGAGATAGGGTCTTGTTTTGTTACCTAGGCTGGAGTGCTGTGGCATGAGCACAGCTCATTACAGCCTCAACCTCCCAGGTTCAAGGGATCCTCCCACCTCAGCCTCCAAAGCATCTCAGATTACAGGCACCTGCTACAATGCCCAACTATTTTTAAAAATTTTTCATAGAGGGTGGAGGGGTCTCACCATGTTGCCCACGCTGGTCTCAAACTCCTGGACTCAAGTGATCCTTCTGCCTCGGCCTCCCAAAGTGGTAGGATTACAGGCATGAACCACTATGCCCAGCCAATTATTTCTTATACTTCAACAAGATATTTCAGCTGGGTGCAGTGGCTCATGTCTGTAATCCCAGCACTTTGGGAGGCCAAGGCAGGCAGATTGCTTTAGGTCAGGAGTTCGAGACCAGCCTGGCCAACATGGTGAAACCCGTCTCTACTAAAAATATTAAAAAAAAAATTAGCCAGGGGTGGTGGCATGCACCTGTAGTCCCAGCTATTCAGGAGGCCGAGGCACAAGAATCACTTGAATCTGGGAGATTGGGTTGCAGTGAGCCAAGATTGCACTATTGCACTCCAGCCTGGGTGACAGAGCAAGACTCCATCTCAAAAAAGAAAAGAAAAAAGATATTTGGTAAATATTTACAGCAAATACATGTTGTAAAGCCTAACAGTATAATGAATGTCTATGAACCCACCGTGCGCCTGAGACCTAGAACATTTATGCACAATGTTTTGCACTTTTCTCCCACTTAATAAGATACTTTGGAACATTTTCTCTAATGGTATATTTAAAGTGCCTCACTTTTTAATACTTTGGTTTAAAAAATATCAAAGTAATATATGCAGCTAGGTTTAAAACTCAAATAGCATTGATAAGCTGATAATGAAAAAGAGCAGCTCCTGGCCCAGACTCGCCTCCTCCACTGTTTTTTTCTTTTCTTTGAGACAGTGTCTTGCTCTGTCACCCAGGCTGGAGTGCAGTGGTGCGATCTCAGCTCACTGCAACCTCCACCTCCTAGGTTCAAGCAATTCTCTTGCCTTGACCTCCCTGGTAGCTGGGATTACAGGGGTGCACTACCATGTCTGGCTAATTTTTGTATTTTTAGTAGAGATGGGGCCAGGCTGGTCTTCAACTCCTGGCCTCAAGTGATCTGCCCGCCTCAGCCTCCCAAAGTGCTGGGATTACAGGTGTGAGCCACCGCACCCAGCCCTCCTCTACTTCTCCTCACTGTCCAGAGGCAGTTACTTGTTTCTGCAGATAGTTCCTCCCATATTTCTAGAAAATCTGCATGGACTCCTATTTTGCAATTGAGCCATTTTAGGTATTATCTATTGACCTCCTGTTATGACAGAACTCTTCCATTCTCTCTGCCCCTTCCCCACAAGTAGTTATCAGTAATTGGGGTTGATGTCATAACATTCCCTGTGGAGCCAAATAGAGGACTATGATTTCATTTCCTTGCTTGTATAACTTTGTTCTTTCTATAGTTAAGTGTCTCATTATGTCTCGCATCCATGACTGTTTAAATCCATAAGGCTTCTAGCTTTCCCAATTGCTCCAATGGGTCTGCCCTGGTCCCTTTAGCATCCTGACCCCATCTAGGTGCACCTCTCACTAGGCCTGGGCAAAGCTGTCACCCTGGAGCAGTGGTTCTCAAGTGAGGGTGAATTTGCCTTAAAGGGGACATTTGGCAATGTCTGGGGACATTTTTGGTTGGTACGACTGGGGAGGGGTGCTACTGGCATCTAGCAGGTAGAGAGGCTGGCGATGTTGCTAAAAATCCTACAACGCACAGGACAGCCCCCCCAACAATGGTGCCCAGTTCAAGAGGTCAATAGAGCCAAGGGAAAGAAATCCTGCTCTGGAACTTCTAATCATCCCTTTGAGGACAAAACCACCATCCTAATCTGTTTTTTAAAAGAGATTTATTGAAGTATAATTCACATTCCATAACATTCAATTATTTAAAGTACACAATGTAATGGTTTTTGGTAGAGTCACATAGTTGCCTGACCATGATCACAGTCAATTTTAGAACACTGTTATCCCCCCTGCAAAAAAAAGCACCTTATGGCTGGGTACAGTGGCTCACACCTGTAATCCTAGCACTTCTGGGAGGCCCAGGTGGGTGGATCATGAGGTCAGGAGTTCAAGACTAGCCTAGCCAACACGGTGAAACCCTGTCTCTACTAAAAATACAAAAATTAGCCAGGCGTGGTGGTGCATGCCTGTAATCCCAGCTACTCCAGAGGCTGAGGCAGAAGAATCACTTGAATCCAGGAGGCAGAGGTGCAGTGAGCCAAGATTGCACCACTGCACTCCAGCCTGGGAGACAGAGCAAGACTCTGTCTCAAAAAAAAAAAAAAAAAAAAAAAAAAAAAAGCAAGCAGCCCCTTACTTGGCCGGATGTATGGCTCATACCTGTAATCCTAGCACTTTGGGAGGCCGAGACAGGAGGATTGCTTGAGCCCAGGAATGCAAGATTGGCCTGGGCAACATGACGAAACCCCATCTCTACTAAAAATCAAAAAAATTAGCTGGGCATGGTGGCACAGGCCTGGTGGTCTTAGCTACCTGGGAGGCTGAGGCAGGAGGAATGCTTAAACCTAGGAGGTCAAGGCTGCAGTGAGCCATGATCACCCCACTGCTCTCCAGCCTGGGTGACAGAGCAATACTCTGTCTCAAAAAAGAAAAAAAAGCCCTATACTCATTAGCAGTTGCTTCCTATGTCCCCACACAACATCCTAGCCCTAGGAAACCACGAATCTACTTTCTGCCCCTATAGATTCACCTATTCTGGGCATTTCACTAGGCATAATGCTTTTGAGGTTCATCTACGCCACACCAAGTGTCAGCACTTCATTCCTTTTTATCGCCAAACACTATTCCATCGTACAGACAGACTACATTTTGTTAATGCATTCATCAGCTGACAGAGCCCCTTGACCTTCTCACCAGCTGCGTAGCAGCCCCATCTATGGCTGTACTGAATTGATTTACCCCGCCTGCTCTGGGAGGCGTCTGAGTTGTTTCCAGCATTTCATTATTACAAATAGGTGAGCAGGACCTTTTACAGTACGGAAGTCCATGCTCTGCCTACACAGAGGTAGGGAAGTGCGGTTCTTGTGTTTATTTTTCCTTGATGAAAACAGAATTCTCCCCTAACCACCCTGTCTATCTACTGAGTGGCCCTGGGGGTGTCACTTACTCCTCATCAGTCTGCACGCAGTCATCGAGTTCGATCACATGGCTCCCAATGAACCAGACCAAATTGGAGAAGTAAGGAACAGCAGTTTTATCTCGGATGTAGTGCAGCATGGCCTGGTTATCCACTGAGAAAATTCACAGAAGAAAAAAAAAGTCAAGCTACCAAAAATAACTTGGGGAAGATTAAAAAAAAAACAAAAACAAAGCAAAACCCAAAAACCACAATGAAAAAGCCCTCTGCTATAATCTGAAATTGTCTGTCTTTCCTGGAAATACTTAAAAATGTTTATCTTATTCATAAAACTATAGTCATCAAGGCAGTTCTTATGATATTTTATACTTAAAAATAAATTAGTTGGGCTAAACATTAATGGTGCATGGGAGAGCCTACTTATCAGTAGCAGACTGAGCTAGACTACACTGAGAATTACACCATTCTCAAGCAAGGTATTTACATATAAGGGTAGATTAAGAAAGCAGAAAACCAGAGGTTAATAACTTACATGACACTGGAATAAGGAACACAGGAATCGTCATTGAAGGAAAAGCAAAAAACAGACAACAGTTAACAGGGTTAGGACCTGGGAAGGTGAGAGAGCTGCTCAGAGGGAGAGAGACTAGGGTGGGAGGCATCTGCACAGAGAGATAAGGTTAGAAGGAGACAGGAGAAAACAGAGCAGGAGGCAGCAGAACCAACTGTGGCTTGGACCAGGGTCACAATCTTACAAGCCTGCCACGTTGGCTAGTTGCCAGAGGTCCAGCGTGTGACCTGGGAGCACGGGCCTTGACCCCAAAGGGGCAGCTGCTTCTGTGCCAGCTGACCCCCCCAACTGCAGGACTGTGGGCCTTGACTAGCCAAATCTACATCTTCAAGGTGCAAATCCAGATTATCATGGAAGATCTCCCAATTTTTAAATACTGGCAACTACACATTTTTTCAAAAACTAAGCCAGTTAAAACATGTCTGATGGCTGGATATGGCCCACAGGTCCTCAGTTTGCGACCCCTGGGTGGGTCCAGTTGGGCTCTTAGAAAGGTTCTTAAATTTAATGTAAGCCCAGTGCTAGGCTGGAGTGAGTCCCTGAGAAGCCCCCACCCTCATTAGGGAGTAATAACATTTTGGCTCATGAAAGTCAAAGCCCTTTCATCCCTGAGAAAATAGTCCCATCTCCACTGTGGTGACTCCGGGGAAAATAACCCAGGAATTAGGCAGAGAACTTCCAAGCATCGCCTTGGAAGGGCAATTCCAGTTCAGGAAACTTGTGGCCAGGCAGCCTTTGTGTCAGTGCAGCGGAGAGTGGGGGAATGGCTTTTTCCCTGGGGCAATGTTTTGGGCATTAAGAACATCTTGAGGGAAAGGAGGAATTGTTAGTGCTGGGCTTTGCAGCCTGTTGGGAATACAACATTGCCCCCTGCTGTTCACAATGTGACATGCTTTTATATATTACTTAAAAGTCAAATTACCCCTTAGCTGTATTAAAGTATATTTCACAAGCCAAGACACAAAAATTTAAATGACACATTAAAAAGACAACTTTGCTTTCTCAAATTCTAAAACATAGCCACTCTGAATCCCACACGTGCCTCTCAGGACATCCTACTTCTATGTAGCAGCATGAGCAAGACTTCGACATGCCTGGAGAAGGCAAGGATTTCCATGAGCGGCCAGCTAAATGCTAGGGGATTCCAAGTTTTTCATGAGAGAAGCTGCCACGGCTCATCATCAATGTGCTCCCTCGTGACAATCGGAGAACTGTACGCACACACACGGGAGTGAGTGCTTGCTGCCAAGTCAGAAATCAGCCGAGACACAAGCCCATGAGGACACTTACCTTTATAGACATTCAAAGTTATGGTTCTTACAGCAATTCTAACCATGCTTTCAGGGTGGTTGAAAAACTTGATGGCTTCTGTGTACAGGGCAAAGTCATTGGTGTGCTAAAACAAAAGAAATAACGAAAACAAATTATAAGCCCATAAGCCAGGCCTGGCCCCACCCCAACTCTCTGAATTCCATCAGAGACTTCAGAAAAAGACAAAAAAAAAAAAAAAAATGTTGCCAATGTGAACCGTAAGTCAGTGGTTCATTCCCAATGGGGCATGTAGAAAGGGACAGGAAGGCAAAGCCATGGAAGAAACAGAAGAGTCCAAGTCCGTGTGGTGGTGCACACCCATAGTACCAGCTACTTGGGAGAGGCTGAGGTGGGAGGTTGGCTTGAGCCCAGGAGTTGGAGGCTGCAGTGAGATGTGATCGTGCCACTGCACGCCAGGCTGGGCAACAGAGCAAGACCCTGTCTCAAAACAAGAAAAAAGAAAAAAGAGCAGTAGTAGTGGTAGTAGTAGTAATCACTGATTGATTGGCTGGGAGTGGTGGCTCATGCCCAGAATCCCAGCACTTTGGGAGGCCAAGGAGGGGGGATTGCTTGAGGTCAGGAGTTTTGAGACCAGCCTGGGCAATGTGACGAGACCTCATCTCTACTTTGAAAATTATAATTAAAAAGAAAATGAGTCCAGATAATGTCAGACCTGGGTTCATTACCCATTCTACCACTTCTAACCTGTGCAATGCAGTATTTCTAAACCTCTGTTTCTACATCTATAACATGGGGATAATAACATCTACTTTATGGTTTCCAGATTAAATGAGATCATTTCTGGTCTTGTGCTTATCCCAGCACCTGACACCTAAGAAGTACTCAGTGGGATGCAGGGAAACATGAGGGGAAGGCTGGTGAGAACCTTCTGAGAAAGTTTTCTTTGGAAGTTAAAAAGGGACACAAGAAGGGAAGTGATCTCATCAGGCATTTTGGCAGTGGCAGCCAACCTGTGACCATGAGGGGTTGAACCTGAGGATGGATGCCAGCTGTATAGTCAGCAGAGCAGCAAGATGGGAAAGCCTGGGTCCTCGCTGATACTGTTGAACCACAGGATGAACCAGCCCCAGCACGACCAGTGCCTGGACCTTTTGGTGTGGGTGATACATTGACCCTATTGTTCAAACCCCTTTTAGGTGTGAGGACAGGAGCAATTTATTTATTTAAGTTGTTCATTTTAATAATTCTCCCAAAGAATGTCAGGGACATTATCTTATCAACAATAGCAACGTCTATGCTTTTAGGGAGCTATGTACATACTGGCACTTTGAAGACATCATCTCATTTAATTTAACCCCTAATAACCCTACAAGATGTATATTCTTATCCCCATTTCTCAGATGAGGAAACTGAGGTTCAGAAAGGGACTGGGACTTCCTTAAGGTGACACAGCAGGGAAGTGACAAAACCAGCCCTGACTGGAGTTCCTGTTTTTCCCACAGGGCAACACTTCCCCAAGACAACATCTGGGCATGTCTCCTCTCTACCAAGTATAAAGCTCTCAGAACAAACTGAATTTTACATTAACAATGGAAAGGCTGGCCAGGTGCTGTGGCTCATGCCTGTAATCCTAACACTTTGGGAGGCCAAGGTAGGAGGATCGCTTGTGCCCCGGAAGTTCAAGGCCAACCTGGGAAACATAGTAAGACCCTGTCTCTACAAAGAATTACATTTTTTTAATAGAAAGGTAACTTATTTAATTAAAAAAATTTTTTAAACATGCCAAAGTCAAAAGTGTTGCCATGAAAATCATAACAAGCATATAAGAGCTTTGTAAACAGACACAAGACCATCCAGATATAAGGCGCTGCCGTAAAAAAAAAAAAAAAAAGCCACGTGTGGCTTTACACCCACACGTGCCCCTCTGGCAATTACTTACCTCATTATAAAAGAAATGGACAGTGTGGTTGTTGAGTTTTAACGAAAGTGTTTTCAGGAACGATATATAATAGGCCATAATCTCCTCATCAGAAAAGTCAAATTTATGAACGATGATAGAATTTACGTAGTTATTTGAGAGCAAATAATCTAGAGGGAGAAAAAAACAAAACAGGTTAACTCATGCTGGAGGAAAGATAAGCCAGGTAACAAGCAGATGACCACGTTAATGTACTTGAATCAGGTAAGCCTCTGGGTTGCTGGGATTAAACACACTAACTGGGAAGAGCTTAACTTTTAACCAGCAAAGAGATCATCTTCAATGTACAGTCACCAGGAAGTTCAAAGGCATCACCAGAGAACAGCCCTTCCCCGCCCTCCCACACCAAATAAAAAAAAGACACTCCAACATTTTCTTTTCATTGATGGCAAAGTGCAACAAAGAGCTGGGAGTAGGGGGAGATTAGCTGGTGTGTGGGCATTTTCACAAACCACCCATGAATGAGGGTAAAAAGCTGCCCCCTTCTGCCATCACAAATCACATCATCAACTCTGAAGGCCACAGTAGGGTTTTTTTCCTCCTTATATAGCAACATGATTGCATAAAGGTCCCTTCCTGCTGAATCCCTACTACATGCCGGCCACTAGGCTGAGTGCTTTACATGACCATTAACCATCACATGATCCTGCTCATTCTTCCCATTTTGCAGATGAGCAAAAACATCTCGGAGATGTTAACTTACCCGTGCACAGAGACAGTCACAGAGAAGGGATTCAAACTTAGGTCTGATGTCAGAGTTTGTCATGCATTATGGGGGCCCAACAATGAAAACTGGGTGATGAGGGCCCAAGGGCACTGGGGTCAACTGAAGAGCAACCCCATTCCCCAGCTCCCAGCGCCTGGCCCTGCAGAAATGCAGGCCAGTATGGTGAGGGCTTTCAACAGTGAAGAGAGGCAAAACCAGATTCCAACACTGCATCTCCTGATCCTGACATGTTTGCCACTGAAATCAACTAGCTTTTAAAGCTGTGCTGGCCGGCAAAAACATGTCTACTAGCCAGCTGCAGCCTATGGCCTGCAGTTTGATATCTCAGTGTTGGGCCCTTGCCAGGCATATTTCCCTCTGTGTTCTTACCAGCCACCCTGCAAGGCAGGCACTGCTGTCCCATCGCCTGTCCTTTGGAATGTTGTGTGAGTGCTGCACCAGCTCACCTGCCCGGCCCCCAGGACAGCTAAAGGCAGAACACGATTCACACCTGCTGGGGGCATGGTTTGGAGCCTCGCTACTCAGAGTCTTGTCCTCAGATGGGGAGCACAGCAACCCCGGAGCTTGTCAGACCTGTAGGATCTTGGGCCCCGGCCCTGCGCCACGGAGTCAGAATCTCCAGGGGTGGGCCCAGCACTCTGCATGTGAGAAGTGTGCAGGGCTCCCCATGCGTGCTAGTGTTTGGGAAGCTCTGGGTTTAATCGTGGACTTGGACTGGCCTGCTTGTGTCCACATCTCGCCCCTGCCACTTCCTAGCTGTGCTGTGACCTTGGGCAAACTGCTGACCCTCCCCACGCCCCAGTTTCATGAAGCCAAAACTTCCTCATGAAGTAGTGGTAAGAGTTAATGGAGAAAATGCACAGAAAGCACTCAGGACAGTAGTAGTAGTCACTGATTCACTGGCTGTGTGAATGGACAGCATGGGCCGCAATGCAAGCACTCGATAATGTTAACTGCCATTCTTCTTATTATTATTACTATTATTCGGAGATTCAAAATCTCAGCTTTAGCCAGGTGTGATGGTGTGCACCTGTGGTCCCAGCTTGAGGCCAGGAGTTCAAGGCTGCAGTGAGCCATGATCGTATCACTGGAGACTAGCCTAGGCGACAGGGTGAGACCTGTCTCTAAAAACAAAACAAACAAAGAAAATCTCTACCATATTCCAGGACTGAAAACAGTTGCTCTTGGGTGAAGAGGAAATAAACCATTAAGTTATTTGGAGCCGTCGAGGTACCTAACTGAGGTCGATCAAAGTCAAACTCAACAGTCTGTTGGGAATCATCAAAAACACCACAAAGAGGAATCTGGGAGCCCGGGATCGTGATGGAAGCCACAGTGTGGGCCTGTGGCGTGGTCCTCCTTGGAAGTCAGTTCTCCGGGAAAGCCACTGCATTCAGAAAAGCCACTGTGCACTCTGAGCAGGCATGGCAGACAGGCTGTGCGGTTTGTAGTCTTAGAAGAGCAGTTTTCAAAATCGCCTGCTCATAACACTACTGAGGCAGTGCTTGGGGATCCCTCCAAGCAAGGAGTCAATGGGTCTAAGGCAGAATCTTAGGAATCTTAATGTTTTTAAAGATGGGGTTATGTATATCACAAATCCTAAGTGGACAGCTTGACATATGTGGAAATATACACACACATATATGTATGATATGGTTTGGCTATGTCCCCAACTAAGTCTCATCTTGAATTGTAGTTCCCATAATCCCCACGTGTTGTGGGAGGGATCAGGTGGAGATAATTGAATCATGGGGGTGGTTTCCCCCATCCTGTTCTCGTGATAGTGAGTTCTCACGAGATGTGATGGTTTTGTAAGGGGCTTCCCCCTTTGCTGAGCACTCATTCTTCTCCTTGCTGTTGCCATGTGAAGAAGGATGTGTTTGCTTCACCTTCTGCCATGATTGTAAGTTTCCTGAGGCCTCCCCAGCAGTGCTGAGCTGTAAGTCAATGAAACCTCTTTCCCTTATAAAGTACCCAGCCTCGGGTATATCTACGTATAAAACACATAGATACATAACCCTAAGTGCCCAGCATGATGAATTTTTACATATACACACGGTGTAAGCACCATCCAGATCCCAAATCTGACATTCCCAGCTCTCCAGAAGACTTCCTCATGCCCCTGCCCAGTCAGTACCCGCTACCCCAATGCAACCCTTATTCTGCTTCTAGCACATCAGACTCGTTTTGCCTGTCCATGAACCTTATCTAATGGAAGCAGACAGTACGCACACTTCCTATGTCTGGCCTCTTTCGCTTATTACCACATCTGAGGGCTTTCCAGGTTGCTGTGTATGCAATGGTAGTAGTTCATTCCTTCTTTCCTTTTCCTTTTTCTTTTCTTTTTTGCTATATAGTAGTACATTCTCTGAATAGTCCACAGTTTATTTATCCACCTGGAGTCTAACATGGGTATCGTGTCACCCAGGTGATTCTGATACCCAGAGCACTTCTTTTTCTTTCTGTGTCATTCTGGCTCTTGCTGGGGGAGAAGTAGGGAGGGGTAATGGGCTGGCAGGATAAGGAGCTGTTGGGGTGTCTTACTGAGCCCTGCTGTGACTGGCTAGTGGCTTCCAGACCACCAGCAGCACAGACACCATACTGGGAGCTTCAGATGTGCAACTGTGAGTCTCTCAGCTGTACCCTGGAGCTGGAACAGCGACAGGCTCCCTCCACTCCCCAGCAGGGACTTTTCCAGGGCCTCCAAGAGATGACTCTGTGGGTGGTGGGGGGCCACCATAGGACAGTTGGAGGTGCCTCTATTATCAGGCTGGGATTTTTCTACTACCCCCTCACTGTGTGGCTGACTTTCTGTGGTATCCTTTTCTAATAAACCCGGGAGCCTGTACGTAATCTCAGTCTCTCGGGACTCTGTCACTTAGGTCACTAACCCCAACAGGCAACAGGTGCATTTGTGAAATGGTAGCTTGTAATAGTGAAAAGCTGGAAACCACCTAAATGCCCGTGGTCAGGTTAAATAGATTATAGCACAACAAGCTGCCACTCCTAAACCAAACCAGGCAGGGTTACAGAACGGGACAATGAGATCTAGGATACACTGGGAAGGTGGGAAAAAGAAAAGCAAACAGCAGAATGGCTGGTGCACAATGGATCGTTAGGGTTGAATTCTGCAGAAACTTGACTTTACATTTTTCTAACATTTGGCTTTTCGTTATTTAACAATGAGGACATTTTTTCTTCTGTGATTAGAAAACAAAAATAAAAGCAAAGGTCTTCTATCCTCCTCACCCCTTACAAATCCAAGTTCTGTAAACGTGCAATGATTTCTACCCTTTTTGCAGGGCTTATAAAAGCACTGTGGTGAAGGGGCTATAAAGCCAGGGGCATCTGCCTGGGTTTCCCACAGCAGGGCACCCTTTTCGGTGCCAGGACAAGAAAAGCCACGCATACTGCATGATCTCAATTACAGGGAGAATCTAAGACAGTCAAATTCATAGAAGCAGAGAGTCAAAGGGTGGTTACCAGGGACTGGGGAGGAGGGAAATGGGGAGACGCTGATCAAAGGGTACGACGCACGATGAGTAAGTTCCGGAGCTCTCATGTACAGCACAGTGACTACAGGTCATCCTACTGTGTTACAGACTTGAAATCTGCTAACAGATCTACTGCATATTTTCATCACCCAAGGTGCACACACAACCCCCACCCACACACACGCACAAAAGTGAGGTGATGGATATGTTAATTCACTTGATTGCCGTGATTATTTCACAATGTACACATTTTTTTGTGTATATGTATATATTAAATCAAGTTGTACACATTAAATATATACAATTTTTAAAAGCCACATAATTCAGAGAAACACTCTAAAAGCCGTAAGTTTTGATCGCCCCACCCCCATCTCAATCCAGTCACCCCGTGCCTAGCTGGACTTTGAGAGGCTTCCCAGGGCAGGGACACTGAGGGTGATGTTGCCTTAAAGGATAAAACCGACACCATGGCCATGTCCTATCTGCCAGACCCTGTGCCTCGCTCTGAACACCTGCTCTCACGCTCACGCCCAGCCACTCTATGCTGCAGCCACTGTGCTCTCCTCTTGACAGATGCACAAACAGCAGCTCGGAGCCTTCACTGTCCAGGCACGTGCAGGGAGCCAGTGTGGGGCAGAACTGGGCCTGGGACCTGGTTCAGTCTGAGTCAAGGGCCTGTGCCACTGAGCTGGATCTTCCCCTCAGAGCTTTTAGAAACCGCAGTCATTTCACATCCAGTGAAACAGGCGCTGGTAACAAGGGAAACCATTTAGGGAGACAGGAGTCGGCCCACATTTGTCAACTTGCGGTCACCGGGAAGCATAAGGCGTCTCTGAGGCAGCAGCACCACCTAGCGGCGGCTGCGAGAGCCATCACTCAGCAGCCCTTTCACCTCTCCCTCTTGGCCAGAGGAATGCCACCATCTCTACCTCTTTCTGCCCACTGCAGACTTTTTTCAGACCTGTCCTGGGGACTTAGAGCCTGCCTCTGATATAGACATTTGGCCACTTGTCCCCCACTTCTGGCGGGCAGGGCCCGGGCTTGGTGAAGTCACCTTGGAATAACAAAGCTAGCAGTCTAGCGTGGAGGATTAGGAACCAAACCAGGGTTTCTCAGCCTCGGCACTGGGGACAATTTGGGCTGGGTAATTCCCTGTTGTGGGGGGCCTGTCCTTAGCAGCACCCCTACCCTCTACCCACTAGATGTCAGCAGCACCCCCAAGAATGTTTTTAGATGATGCCAAATGTCCCCTCACTGAAGACCACTGAGCTAATCGCCTGGGATGAAACCCCTTCTCTATTCTGGCTTTGCTAGAGCTGGCGCCTGGGTGTTAAAATGAAAGCACTGATGGCACCTGCCTCTCAGGGGTGGTTATTACGGATGACGAAACTGAGGCTTAGTGAGGGCAGGTAAGAAGTTCGGAGTCACACACTCACTAGCTGGGTGGAGGGACTGAAGCAGGAGGGTTGGTACCAATGCACACACCCTTGCCTGCCCTCTGGCAGAGATCTTCCTTGTCTTACTTCTTCCAGTGCTTATTCCATTGGCTGATGATTCAGCGACCCCAACTCTTTAATAGCAAGTCATAAAGAAGAACTGCAAACACCCCCAGCATCATCAGCAGAGGGGAACCCTCTGATAGTACCCACCACACAGAAACAAACACAGGCTTAGGGACTGAACTATGTCTCCCTCAGGTTCCTACATTGAAGCTCTAACCCCCATTGTGGCTGTATTTGAAGACAGGGCCTTTGGCGAGGTAATTAAGGTTAATGAGGTCATAAGGGTGGGGGTTCTCATCCAATAGGACTGGCGTCCCCATAGAAGGAGGAAGAGACACCAGCTAGCACTCTCTCAATTTCTCTCCACTCACACACAGATGAAAGGCCATGCACAGCAAGAGGGTGGCCGTCTGCAAGCCAGGAAGAGAGCCCTCACTAGAAACCAACCCTGCTGGCAACTTGATCTTGAACTTTTTTTTTTGTTGTTGTTGGAGACAAGGTCTTGCTCTGTCACCCAGGCTGGAGTGCAGTGGCACAATCACGGCTCACTGCAACCTCGACTTCCTTGACAAACAATCTTCCTGCCTCAGCCTCCTGAGTAGCTGGGACTACATGTGCACACCACCACACCCAGCTAATTTTTGTGGTTTTTTGTAGAGACGGGGTTTCACCTTGTTGTCCAGGCTGTTCTCAAACTCCTGAGCTCAAGTGATCTGCCCACCTTGGCCTCCTAAGTGCTGGGGTTACAGGGATGAGATACCATGCCTGGCCAATCTTGGACTTCAATGCTCCAGAACAGTGAGAAAACAAATCTCTATTGTTTAACCCACTCAGTCTATGGTATTTTGTTAGGATAGCCTGAGCCGACGAATAGTAAGCGCAGACACAGAAAACCACGCCCAACTTCACCCTGCTACATGCACAGCAGCACAGAGGCAAATACCAAGGAATGTCCTTACAAAGTGAGGTCTCGTGACTGATGTTCTCAAAGAGGATGTTCAAGGTCTGCAGCAGCTGAACGCACACGTAACGGCCCGACTTTTGCCGCAAGATGTTCAAGAAGAAAACAAACATATTCTTCTCCAGGAAGAAGCTGGGGAGAGAATGGAAAAGCATCAGTGGCTTGCTTCCACATGTGGAAACAGAAATTATTATCTGGTTTCATTCACAACACAAGTATTAGATTCACCCCTCTCCCCCAAGGTATCTGCACAGGTCATGCCACCCATTGTCACCCGCCACAACTGGAATTCCCAGCAAAGGAATAAGATATAATTATGAGTATTAAATGAGTTTTAGATCTGGGCACAGTGGCTCATGCCTGCAATCCCAGTACTTTGGGAGGCTGAGGCAGGATGATCGCTTGAGGCCAGTTCAAGACCCAGCCTGGGCAAAATAACAAGACCCCTACCTCTACAGAGAAGAAAAAAAAAATTAGGCGGTGGTGCATGCCTGAAGTGCCAGCTACTCAGGAGGCTAAGGTGGGAGGACCGCTTGAGCCCAGGAGTTCAAGGCTGCAGTGAGATATGATCAGGCCACTGCACTCCAGCCTGGGTGACAGAGCCAAAAAAAAAAAAAAGAAAAAAAAGAAAAAAAAGTTCCCAAAAAGCTTTAGCCCTACGGTTTTCTTCCCCTTAACTGCCAGTTTAATCATGAGAAAAGTGAGACAAACCCATTTTGGGGGACATTCCACAGAAGACCTGGCCAGCATTTCTCAAAACTTTCAGGGTCGTAAAAACAACAGAAGACTAAAAAAGAGTCACGGAACAGAGGAGGCTGGGGAGATATGACAACCAAATGTACTGTGGCTCCCAAATTGTCAAGTTCTAGGGGAAAATAACTAGAAAGAAATACACAGGTACTGATGTGGTGGAGAAACCCTACTAACCCATCCCCAGGTCTGTTTCTGCCTTTCTCCTTGTGGATAGGATACTTGTCTGTACACAGCCTAGCGGCACTGGCTTCTGGGGGTACACGTTGGCTCTTTCAGTCTTGAAAAGGAAACAGACCATCCAGTGCCTTTCTCTAAAGGAAGAGAATGACGTTTCTAGTTATGTGTTCTCTGTACTCAAGCTAACACCAGATAATCTTGCATCTGGGACACTTGGAAGAAATGAGGTGTGCCTGCGGGCTGACTCAGTTGTGGGTGCCTCTCTGTCCTCGTCTGGCATCTCCACAGTGGTGAGGTCATGGGCCTGGAACTTACTCAGTGCTGCCTGATTCTGTCTGAATCCATGAACGGATAAATGAAAAAATTTAAATGGCCTAAAAAAGACCCTTACAATCTTCTCCAACTCGGAGGCCCATCTGCCTGTAAATGCCATTCATGTTGACCTCCAGAGTATTTCTGTCATTTGGCCTATTTTTGTCTACCTTCAGTTCAAGCTGCATAAATCAGTGACTCCTAAGGGCCACCAGCAAACTCACTGCCGCACTGTGACCAACTTGGGAACTTGTTAAAATGCCTGTACCTAGATCTTGCCCCGGGGATTGACAGGGTAGGTCTAGCATAAAATCCATGAACCTAGATTTTTTAAAACTCCATAGGGGAGTGGGCAATTCATTGGGAAAAAAGGGTGATTGTAGGACTGGAGCATTTTACAGTACCAGGAAGTAAGAAGTGCTCAAAAAACAAAAGGAAGAGAGCATATCGAGGGGATACAAGAACCAGCCTGAAAGAGCTCCTAATAGCCAAGGCTGAAACAACTTGAGCAATAAAATAACAACATACTGAATTATAGCCCAAAGTATAAATAAATATCCACGAGTCCATATTAATATAAGCAAATGACTGCATAAATGAGAGAGAAGAGATGAATCTTCCATGCAGAAGAATTTCAAATAATACATGTAGATACTGCCCCCTTCTAGAAGGTAGACCTTAACCCCCACCCCCTCATCATGAAAACGTGGGGTAGACTTGGTGACTCTCTTCTAAAGAACAGTGTGGGGAAAGGAGAAGACAGTAGCTTTATAGTAGAGAAACCTGGCAGACAGCACCTTAACCAGGTGATAAAGGTAACATCACCAGGATGTCATGTGGATATTGTGAATGCCTTGTGATGATGGCAAGAGAGGGGAACTTTACTCCTATAGCTTTCTTCCCCTTAACTGCCAGTTTAATCATGAGAAAAACATGAGACAAACCCAGATTGGGAGACATTCCACAGGAGACCTGGCTAGCATTTCTCAAAACTTTCAGGGTGGCAAAAACAATGGAAGACTAAAAAAGAGTCACAGATCAGAGGCTGGGGATATACGACAACAAAATGTACTATGGGAACATGGATGGGATGCTAGGACAGAAAGGAGATATTAATGAAAAACTGGCAAAATCCAAATGAGGGCTGAAGTTGACTCAACAATACTGTACCAATGTCAGTTTCTTAGTTTTGCCCAATTCACCCCAGTAATGTAAGACACTTACAATGGGAACATTCTATACTATCTTCGAAACTATTTTATAAATCTAAAATTATTCCAAAATTTTAAAATGTAGTAAAAACAAAATTTTCTTAGGGACTTTGTTGGATAACTGTTTAAGAATCATGGAGACCCTAAGAGCTCAGCAGCTTTTCTAAGATGACAGATGGACAGGGTGTCATCTTGGGACCTAGAATGACACGTCCGTTCTAGGCAGGGTGCAGTAGCTCATGCCTGTAATCCCAGCATGTTGGGAGGCTGAGGAGGAAGAATCGTTTGAGCTCAGGAGTTTGAGACCAGCCCTGGCAACACAGCAAGACCCTGTCTCTAAAAAAAAAAATAAGTCCATTCTAGTCAAGGGGGACACAGTTTCTCATCTTTAACCCAAGGGTCTTTTTGATTTCCAAAAAGATATTTAAAAAAAAAAAATTCCAGCTGGGCACGGTGGCTCATGCCTGTAATCCCAGCACTTAGGGAACCTGAGGCTGGTGGATCACCTGAGGTCAGGAGTTTGAGACCAGCCTGGCCAACATGGCGAAACACCATCTCTACTAAAAATACAAAAATTAGCCCCACGTGGTGGTGCATGCCTGTAATCCCAACTACTCCAGAGGCTGAGGTAGGAGAATTGCTTGAAACTGGGAGGCAGAGGTTGCGGTGAGCCGGGATCCCGCCAATGCACTCCAGCCTGGATGACAGAGCAAGACTCCATCTCACAAAACAAAAAAAACAAAATTCCCCATGGATCCTTAAAGGAACTAGGTCTGTATATAAACACAAATTCATGACTCGCATGTTCTGCTTTGGAGATCATAGCCACTGTTTACAGGTTTGCATTTTAAAGAGTCTGCATTTCCACAAGTAGCTTTATTGGATAACCTTGCTGATGAAAATATAAAGCTACCCTGAACCTATATTCAGGAACTTGCTCAGTGCTGCCTAATTCTGTCTGAATCCATGAAAAGGTAATATCCTTCTTATTCGGATATCTAATAAGAAACCAGGTTAAAAATAGAACACTTTTACTTTTCAAAAATGAGTTTTAAAAGTGGCCTCAATATTTATAATACAGACACACACACACACACACACACACACACACACACACACCCGTGTTTAGTGGTTGTCATAACCCAGCCCCAAATCCTTCTGCACTAAGACATCAAGGCAGATCTATTAGGGAGGTAGTTCACAGTTAACAGCCCTTGCTATTTTTTTTTTGAGACATGGTCTCACTCTGTCACCCAGGCTGGAGTGCAGTGGCAAGATCATGGCTCATTGCAGCCTGGACCTCCTGGGCTCAGGCAATCCTCCCACCTCAACCTTCTGAGTAGCTGGGAACACAGGCACACACAACCATGCATGACTAATTTTTTAATTATACGTAGAGACGAGGTCTCTGTATGTTGCCCAGGCTGGTCTCAAACTCCTGGGCTCAAGCGATCCTCCTGCCTCAGCCTCCCAAAGTGCTGGGATTACAGGTGTGAGCCACCGCGCCTGGCGGCCCTTGCTTTTTAACTGTCCAGTGAGGCACGTCTGTCTTTATCATTTGCTATCATTTATTCCTGTACCAGGCACTAGACAAAGAGAACTTTTTCTCTCTCTTTTAAAGGTAAAGAAACTGAGGCTTAGGGAGATGAAGAGCCTGGCTGAGGACTGCTCACCTAGGAAGTGGTGAGTTGCGGGACCCCTCACTGATTCTGGGTGTGTCACTTTTCCACCGCTTACCAGCTATGTGACCTTGAGCAAAAAAGGGGACACCAACAGGGCCTCTACCATGGGGTGGGTGGGAAACTTAGGTGGACCATCTCATCAGGAGCTCAGCCCTGTGCCTGGTCATCAGTAAACATGGTAACTGGGAGCCCTCAGGGACTCCCCCAGGGCACAGGCCTTCTGTTCATGTCAAATCTAACCACCAGACATGTTCTCCTTCCTTTGGGAAAATAATCAGACACAACCTGAAGGAAAATTACCCATGACATTTTCAGGTTTTCTAGAGACACTCATTTCCATAACTTCCCCATTTTTGGCTTGCATTTCTATAGTGCTTCAAGGGCATTTTTTTTTTTTTTTTACAGCTAGACAGAGATAGATATCTAGGCAAGATCAAATTAGCGTCAAATCCTGACATCATCCAGAATGACTCATAGTATACATTTAGAAAAACATTCAAAGAAGAATAATCAAAGAACAGCAATCATTAGAAACCCTTACTCAAATACAGAGCTGTCATTTTGATCTCCCCAGATCAGGATCTCAGTGATGGAACGGATGGTCTCCACTAGCAGGTTCCGGTTCTGTTCTGTGACTGTGGTGTTTTTGGTCAAAACGTGGTACAGATACCTGAGAGAAATGAGAGAAAAGGAAATTAAAGGTTACCAACTGAAATGCAAGCCAAGTTCCATGACCATTAGCAATATTTTGGAGACAATGCAGCAATGCTTTTTCAGGTTTGGGTAATGCAATTTCCCATTCAGATTAGATGTAACTCACAACCCCAGAAAAATAGCAGACAATGCTTTGAAGGGTTAAACCAAGGACACACCAACCCAGACGGAGACAAGAAAATCGTCAAACCCTTGAAGTCAACTACTCTCAAACTGCAGTGTGCAAGAGAACCACCCGGAGAACTGAATCAAGTGGGGGCTCCTGGAGCCCCCTCGGAAATTCAGATTCAGCAGGACTGAGAGAAGAGCAAGTAGCCACCTGTTTCATATGCTTCCCATCATGTTGATGCCTTCAGAGCAAGTGGGGACATACAGCTCAGGCTGGATGCCTAACACGGGGCCTGCAGCCAGGCTAATGTTGAGGTTTAGAGAGATGGAGCCACAGCTTAGGAAGGCTGGGTCCCACAGCAGTTGCTGGGACAAAAATCACATGCAATTCCCCTTGGAATGCTCACAATCCTTCTCAAGTGCAGTGAGCCCATCAGAACTTATGGCTCAAATGATCTGGGTGGTTTGCAGCCCAAGGGCAATGGTCTTATTTGCTGAGAACAGATTGTTAAATTCACTGAGTTAAATGGGCTGGCTGGGAGCGGTGGCTCATGCCTGTAATCCCAGCACTTTGGGAGGCCAAGGTGGGTGGATCACCTGAGGTCAGGAGCTCAAGACCAGCCTGGTCAACATGGCGAAACCCTGTCTCTACTAAAAATACAAACATTAGCTGGGTGTGGTGGCGAAGTCTGTAATCCCAGCTACTCTGGAAGCTGAGGCAGGGAGAATTGCTTGAACCTGGGAGGTGGAGGTTGCAGTGAGCCGAGATCACACCATTGCACTCCAGCCTGGGTGACAGAGCGAGAGTCTAAATAAATAAATAAATAAATAAATAAGGGCTGCAGAGGCTATGGTGCTGTACTTCATCTACCCAAACAGGCCTGAATGCCAGGTGCTGGAGCTGAGACAGGTAGACACCTTCCAGTCCTCAAGGCCTCTTTGCTGGTGGGGGAGACCAAAAGAATCACCGAGGCCAGTCCTGAGCAGCGCGGGGACCAGAAGCCTAGCTGGATGCCCTGGGAGTGCCACCGGGCACGGCTTTTAAGATGGCTTCTCCAGGGCCCACAGCCCCAGGTAACTTCACCTGTCAAGGGAGCTCAGGCTTGAG
Source organism: Homo sapiens (assembly GCF_000001405.40). Lineage (NCBI taxonomy): Eukaryota > Metazoa > Chordata > Mammalia > Primates > Hominidae > Homo > Homo sapiens. The sequence goes on along the minus strand of NC_000016.10, from coordinate 10,956,521 downwards.
AAGGAAAAGCAGACACCAAGAGGAAGTGACTCAGGAAAAGGGCCCTCCTCTCCTGATTTCTTTTATGGCTAACTTCAGTTTTCAGGGCTGGGGGTCTGGTGAGAGCAAGGAAGGAAACGTCTAGATAGGATTGTCCCATCTACAATCTCTAAAAACGGGTAAGACATAAAGAGGAAGCAGCCTGAAGATGAAACAATAAAGAACAATCTGCTATTTAAAGGGGCTAGGGTTTATTTACGAATACTGTTTGTTATGCTTTAAAGACCTAGTATAATCAAGCATTTAATTAATTTATTAGAAATTGCATGTAATTTTTAATATGCAGTAATTAGAAGAGCCCTCAAAAAACACAAATCCTCAACCACTTGTACCCAAATCTACCAAAAGGCTGCGGGAGGGGGCATGGGCCCAGTTTCCCTCTATAATTAGGTAACTCAAACAGCACTTGAACCACCCTGGGATGAATCATTGGAGGACCCACTCCCAAATCTACATCTTCATCTTGCCTCAAGTGCATCTTCCCCAAGAGTTTCAAACGGCAGAGTTTTCCAAACTGCAGTTCCCAGGCATCCTGCATCAGAATCACCTTTGTAAGTTGTCCCAGACCCATTGAATTGGACTTTTGGTGCAGGGCCCCAATCCCACTGAAGTCTGACAGTCACCGCACCACTCCAGCTGTGGCCATCAGTGACACTCTCCACGCAGGCCCCCATGTGCCTGACACCCTGCCAGTGACAAGACATCGTTGGCAATATGGGAGAAGGGCAGATTCTCCCTCCTCTCTTCTGTGTACATCTATTAGCATCACACATCATACTCCTGGTCAATGGGAGACGGTGGCTTAGGTGGGTGGGTCTGCTCTGAAGATCCCCAACAAGAAGAAGAAATTTTAAATTCTTTAGGACCACATGACTTCAATTGATGGGGCTTTCTGCTTAGAATGCCCTTGCTGTCCTTGTCATCCAGCAAACTTTTACATTTCAAAACCCAGCTCGGGCATCTCTTGGTAAAGCGTTCCCCATGCCCCCCTCCCAGGTGGATTTAATTGTTCCCTCCTCACTGGCACCTCTGTACCCACACATATTTGCTACTGCACAGCCCACCCTCATTTGCAAAGATCTGCCTCCCATACTAGACCTGAGCTCCTCAAGGTCAGCACCATCACCTTATTGATCTTGCTGACCCCAATACACTCCAAATGTCTGATACACAGCAGGTGTTCAATAAATGCTGAATGGGGCAGGGGATGGTCTTTGTAAACATAACTTAGATCAAAGCATACACGACTGAACATAGCCAGGGATCCAAACGCCAGACACGGCAAGTGACAGCACAGAGCTCTGGTGAAGAGGTCAGGCTTCGGAGTCTGGCAGACAGACTTGGGCTTGACCTTTGGCCCTGCCACCTCCTAACTGTGGCCTTGGACAAGGCGCTTCACCTCTCTGCAGCTCAGATTCTACACAGTGGTGGGAACAGTCAAGGCTTCCTCACTGGGTTGTTCCAGAGAGGCAACGTGACCATGCACAGAAAGAGCCAAGCACAGCGCCTGGCACAGAGCAAGGGCTCAACAGAAGCAGGCTTGGCTGCCATGGTGATTAGATTATGGTCATTGTGGTGGGGGCCGTTATTCACATTATTACTACATTATCTAAGGAATATTCCAGGAAGGTAGAAAAGAGATCAGGCTAGATTCAAACAGGGAAAGAGGGCTTCAGGGCAGGAGTCGTGATGGGAAGGTTCAGCGAAACCAGAGCAGGAAGTAGAGAAAGTCTGGTATTTCCTGAGAGGCACTAGAGTATATGGTTAATTACAAACACTGGTATAATTAGAACATAGGGTTAATCACAGACACTGGAATGCCTGGGTCTGAGCACACCTCCATCACTTATTAGCTGGGTGATCCTGAGCAGGTTACTTTCCCTCTGTGCACCTCAGTTGTCTCACCAGTAAAATGTAAACAGCAATGGTACCTGAATACTTTAGTATCTACCTATTTTGGTGGTGTTGGGAGATAACAGATAACTAACTTGGCAGTTACTATGTATGATACAAGTGCTAGCTATTGTTATTGTTGCCCTTATTAAATAATTTCTGGGGGAAAAAGACCTAGTAACTACCAGAAGGCCCTTATAGGCAGAGAGGGCAGGGCGGTAAGTCCTGAAAAAAAGATTCTAGGAGCCCCCACGTGCCTGGTTCTCTGCGAGGGCTTCATGTGACCTACAGACTCACAGTAACCTGAAGATGTGCACACTGTTGCCACTGCACAGGACAAGACAGCAAGTGAGGTTTGGCGACGTTCAGTAGCTCGCCCACAGACCTGTGGCCAGGAAGAAAGGTCTGAGAACTCCATTTGTTTCTTGGCCTCTCAATACTTGGTGTTCTTTGCCCTGGTCGGTGGCGCCATCTGCTGGGTATGCAGTGATATTGCGTGGGGGCTTTCTTCCAGTAGTGAAACCGGGTGCCTGTTCATATATGTTTATGGACTGTTTGAATATCTTCTTTTGTGAGGTGCCTGTGCAAGTCTTTTGCCCATTTTTTTTTTTTTGAGACGGAGTCTTGCTCTGTCGCCCAGGCTGGAGTGCAGTGGTGCGATCTCCACTCACTGCAAGCTCTGCCTCCTGGGTTCACGCCATTTCCCTGCCTCAGCCTTCCGAATAGCTGGGACTACAGGCGCCCGCCAGCACGCTCGGCTAATTGTTTTGTATTTTTAGTAGACATGGGGTTTCACTGTATTAGCCAGGATGGTCTCGATCTCCTGACCTCGTGATCCACGTACCTCAGCCTCCCAAAGTGTTTGGATTACAGGCGTGAGCCACCGCGCCTAGCCTGCCCATTTTTAAAATTAGGCTGTGTGGCTTTTTCTTGCTTTTCTTTATATACTCTGACCACAAACCCTTTACTGGAGATAAATATTGCAAATACTTTCTCTGATGGTGGCTTACCTTTTCGTTCCCTTTATACTGGGTCTTTAGATGAGTAGAGGTTCTTAATTTTAATGTAGTTCAATTTATTAATCTTTCCCTTGGATGGTGTTTCTTGTATCAAGCTTAAGAGGTTCTTACCTACCCCAAGGTTATAAGGAAATGCTTTTTACTTCTAACAAAGTTACTGTTTTACTCTTCGCATTCTGACTTTGAGTACATCTGGAACTGATTTCTGTGTAGGATATGAGGTACTGGCCAAAATTAAGTTTTTCTATATGGAAATCTACTTGACCCAGCACCATTTACAGAAAAGGCCCTCACTTCTCTACTGCACTCCAGCGCCACCATTGTCATTAATCAGGTGACTACCCATGTGGGTCTCATTCTGGATACTCCAGTTTCATTGATCTATTTGTCTATCCTTGTATCAAGACCATACTGTCTGATTACTGCAGTTTTACAGTAAATCTTGCCATATAGTAATTAAGTCTTCCAACTTCTTTCCTTCTGTTTTTCAATATTGCCTATTCTTGGCCCTTTTAATCTCCATATACATTCAAAAATCACCTTCTTCATTTCCACAAAAATACGTGCTAAAATTTTCTTAGACTTGCCCTACATCTATGGCTAAATTTGGAGAGAACTGACATATTTACAATAGTGTAACATTCTGATATTTACAGCATTTGTTTCCATGCTCACTTGACAGGAATCTTGCAGATCTATTGTTAGAGTTGCTGCTAGGTAGTCGACATTTTTTTATGCTATTGTAAATGATATTGTTTCAAATATTCATTTTCTAAATGTCTTTTGCTGGTATACAGAAATACTCAGTAGACTGCAAGCTCCAAAGCTCAATGAGGGTTACACCTTCACCTTGCTCGTCTTTCTGTCCCACAATGCCCTGGCACACCGTTTTACACAGTGTTTTAGGAAGAGATGCTCAATATACATTTGCTTGAATGTAATGGGGGGAAAGGCTGAATGGATTAAGATTTAATGTTTTAATGGTGTATCTAATTCCAGGGCTTTGGAAGATTAGGTAATTCAACCACCTCAGAGATATAAACATTTTAATAACTTTTTGTTGTTGTTGTCATTTTCTGAGATGGAGTCTTGCTCTGTCATCAGGCTGGAGTGCAGTGGCGTGATCTTGGCTCACTGCGGCCTCCGCCTCTTAGGTTCAGGCGATTCTCCTACCTCAGATTCCCAGGTAGCTGAGTTTATAGGCGCAGGCCACCATGCCCAGCTAATTTTTGTACTTTTAGTAGAGATGGGGTTTAGCCATGTTGGCCAGGCTGGTCTTGAACTCCAGACCTCAACTGATCTGCCTGCCTCGGCTTCCCAAAGTGCTGGGATTACAGGTGTGAGCCAACTCACCCGGCCCATTTTAATAAAACCTTCTGATTATAAATGTAACATTCACTTTAGAGAAGTAGGAAACTTTGACAACAATGAAAGAGAAACGGCAACCGTGGTGCCTAGAGATGACTGCTGCTGGAGTTGCAATCTATTTCCTCGGGTCTTTTTCTTTGCTATGGATATTTACATAGTTGAGGTCATGTTGCATTATCCATTTCAGTGCCAATCTTATTTCCCACCTCAGCTAAAACAAAAGCACTTTTTTTGGTTATTGACAACTGTTTGCAAATATCTGTAATGGCTACACAGTATGACACTGAAAGGACAAGCACAGTAGCAACTCTTTTGAAGGGCATTAAGATTCCTAATTGTGTGAGTGATAACAATGTTGCTATGACCATCTTTGTATGGAAAGCTGTGTCTTTATCTCAGAAAAGTTTCAAAGGACAGAATAATTACCTTGCTACTTAACGGCAGCAAATTAAAATGTTTCTCTTACAATGATAACCACTGTTAGAATGACAACGTGTTTTCTCAAACTATGTATGTACCTCAGTAAAACAGATGAAGCTTCCTATTACTGCCAGTCTCTGTCTGAGTGCTTCGTTTAATCCCAGAAACAATCGACCCTTTGGGGATGATGCTCTGGGAGCTGAGGCATCTGCCCAGGGCCCTGGTGCAGCACAGGAGGTGCCTAGGTTACAACCAGGCAGACTGAACTCCAGACCCCATGATTACAACCCTTCTAGGACTACAGAAATGCAAACAATGAAGTAAGCAACAATTTTATTGGCCAAGAATTTACATGAGGTTATGAATGCCTAACACACAAAAAATAAATTAAAAAAACACCAAATAGATAAACCAAAAAGGCATGAAAATACTATCAGATCTTATGGAAAGTCCTTATAAAAGGCTCTAACTCCCATTTGTCTGGAAAAGAGCCAGTATTCTCATATCCCCAGCAGGAGCTCTGCAGATGCAGTCTCAATATCCGAGCTTTGCCTGTTAGCTAACTCTCCACCGACAGATGAGCTTCAGAGTTTGAAATGCCTGGAGAAGAGAAACTGTAACCAACACACTCGAGGTGCATCACCAAGGATGACAGACGTAAACAAATCTGGCCTCAATAGCCTCTGCTTTCTCAAGAGTCACTAATTTCACAGGTTAAACCACTACAGTTAATAATGCCCCATATCCTTCAAAAATTAGCAATTCAGTCCATTTCAGAGACAGGAATACTAGGTCCAAGTTCATTTCAGTGACAGCATTTTCTGCACGTGCTATGCCTTGCACCATAATGAGCTTATTAGGATGCTCCTCCTTCAAGATTTTGAAATGTACATTTGCAAGGTGGGGCATGAGAAAGGATAAGCAGAATGATAGGAGGTCTGGGGGTTAGAAATTTACCCCCCAATGTCCACACAGCTCCAAATAACAATGTCTCAGGTGTGGTAGAGGGATGGGAGACACAGAGCCTGTATCTGTCTGGCCTGTTCAGCACTCGGGCAGAGGCCCTGCAGACGTTCCCCAGTGTGTCCCACTCTGTGCCCTGAAAACCACCATCTGGTCAGTGTTCAGCCTTCTGGCCAGCAGGACAAGGAGAAGCTTCACGGAGGGTGGAATCAGGCTAGAGGATTAGAGAAGGTGTTCACAGGCTGTGCTTCCCCTGGTGAATCATCCCCCAAAGATGTCAAACAGGGCCGGCAAGTGAGGCTGGGCCGGGGATGTGTAGGGTATAGGCAGGGCTATACCCTAGCTTTCTTTAGGGCTTTAGCCCTAGAGAAAGTCATGGCTGTGGCACAGGTGCTGTGACTAAACTGGGGAGAACAAGCAGTTGTTGGGAAAAGACTGGCCTTTTCTGAAAACAGAGGTCTGCCTCTCGTTCATCCTGTGACAAATATTTGTTGATTGCTTACTATCTGCCACGTCCTGTGCTGGCATACCAGTACCCAGCTGAACAAGCCATACAGGCTTTCATGATTCTTATGTTCAAATTGGGAGAAAACAACAAAAAAGATATGTAACAAAGGAAGACAATGTCTGATAGCCAAAGGACAGGAACCCCGGCCAGCTTCCTGAGGGTCTAACTCAAGGCCGAGATGAAACTTTAAGAACGCACAGGAGCTAACAGCCGACCCACTCTTTGGCGATGAGAAGTATATAATAATGTGTTAACTGTGTGGGACAGTGTGAACAGGCACAGAAGAAGTTAGAGAAGACAGCAAAACTCTTGTTGGCTGAAGTCACCAGGGCAATTTTTAGGGAAGAACTGGCATTTTCGGGATAGAGCTAGGGATTTGGATGGGCAGGAGGAAAAGAGCAGGGGACCTCAAGTGGGCAGGCGAGGTATGTGTGTGAGTGGACCACCAACAGGAGATACACCTGGATGACAGCAGCTGCTACCGTAACTCACCAGGGGACGGCAGCAGAGCCCCTGCTCCCCGCCCCACCAACACATGTGGAGGCCCACCTCCAGTCTGCCCCTCATCCAATCCATTCTGCCAGCTTCAGCCAGACCACAGCCTTTCTGTAGTTAAAAAACCTTCAGTGGCTCCCTACTGTTCTCACTCATAGTCTGAATTCCTTAAAGTGATTTACAGGGCCCCAGGGGACCTGGCCTCTGGAGACTGCCAAGCATGGCTCTGAGCTTGGGTCCTCACTTCCTCTTCACCCAGTGAACACTCCCCTGCTGAACCACGTGAGTTCTGCCAATGTGCACTGCTCCCCTTGCCCCACTAGGCTTTCTCAAATGCCTTTTCCTCTGCCTGAAACATCCTTCCTTCCACCTGACACCCCGCTGCCTGGTAACAACGACTCACCCCGTTGGTCTCCATTTAAACAGCGTCTGCCTAACAAGGATGTTCCTAACTCCCTGTGCTCCCAAACTAGATGGTGGGAAGGCCTGGAAGAACTTAGACGTGACATAGTGGGAGCCTAGGACCCATAATATGTGGCATGGTGAAGACGATATTTTAAGAAAATCAACATGGCAATATTGTACCCCAAGCTCTAACACTGTCAGTGCCACCTTAGCCAAAACTTGAAAGCACCAAGAGTAGGTGTGCGTCTGTCTACCTGCCATGGATCCATTCTCCGCCTTCTTTGGGCAATAACCCCTGATTCTCCCATGGGGAACCACTCTTTTCTCTCATTCTTTTCCACTAGCTTGAGTGGAGCTAATCCCACTCTTGCTCCAGGGAAGGGAATATGAGTGAGGAATGGCCAATCAGATCCCCCTATACCTTTGGCCAGAGTGACAGTTCAGGGGTGGCATGAGACCTTGCTGGTCCAGGGATACTCAATCTCAATTCTGGACTTCTGCTGGCAATATTGAGAAAAGAAGCTCTCTTTTTCCTCAGGAATGCTAAGCTGATATGATGTAAGCCTGCAGCCTGCCTGAAAATGACACCAACAGGAAAAAGGTAGAGCTGAAAGGTGGAAAAAGGCCGATTTCTGACGGCTCCAAACACCTGGATTCAGCCATGGTTTAGCGGGGACAGACCATTCAGTGACATGAGCTATTCAATCCATTTGAGGCTTAAGGCAATTCTAGCTGGGTTTCTGTCACTGGAACCAAAAATCTTGACCCCCACACAAAGTGGACCAGAATGAAGGCCACAATACAAAAACGACCAATTTCTACCAGCCGCAGACTTGCAGTCCCTGGTAAAGATGATGTTTCAGTAGCAATCAAACGATTCCATCACTCAGGCTTCCGCTTGGTGGTGGACATTTGTCAGTCAATGTCACAGCCTTGCCACTAATCTGGACAATAAACCACCCATGGTGTGTAGCAAATAACCTCTTGACTACTTCAATCTGCCTGAGCTAAATCACTAACTCAGTTCAGCAGACAGAGACCACAGGTATGAAGTTTTCTACCATTTAGCAAAAGTAAAACCCTAACAGGAAAATTCCTTTCCAGTTTGCAAGCTGGGAGTGTTACAAAGAATAATGAAGCTAAAAACAGTTTCCAGCTCTCTGTGCTATCTTCTCAACCTTTCTGTAAATCTCAAACTGTTCTAAAAAAGTAAAGTCTAGGCCGGGTGCAGTGGCTCATGCCTGTAATCCCAGCACTTTGGGAGGTCAAGGAGGGCAGATCACAAGGTCAGGAGATCGAGACCATCCTGGCTAACACGGTGAAACCCCGTCTCTACTAAAAATACAAAAAATTAGCTGGGCGTGGTGGCGGGCGCCTGTAGTCCCAGCTACTCTGGAGGCTGAGGCAGGAGAATGGCGTGAACCCGGGAGGCGGAGCTTGCAGTGAGCCAAGATCGTGCCACTGCACTCCAGCCTGGGCAACAGAGCAAGACTCTTATCTCAAAAAAAAAAAGAAGAGGGTTTCCAGATGCCTTGTGTATTTAAAAAATAATAATAATAAATAAATAATTCTTTTAACTATCTTAAACTTTCCCTCTCCATCCATACTGCTCTAGGTCAAGGTAAGAGTGTATTAAGAACTGTCACTTGTCACTGGTAGGGTGACCAGTTTATACTAGTTTGTCCAGGACTTTCCCAGTTTTAGCACTGAAAGTCCCATATCCTGGGAAACCCCTCAGCCCAGGCAAACCAGGACGGTTGGTCACCCGAAGTGTCAGATAAATCCCAAGCCCCTTCCTACTTCCAGCCTTGTTTCCCACAGCTATCAGCCCCCACCTGGACATGCCACAAAACCCGCAGGGTCCTGGTCACAGTGCTCCGCCTCCCGCCCCTGCTGCCCGCCAATGGTGGCTTCTGTTCATTCTTGGAGAACCCGCGCTGGTGTTGTCTCCTCCAGAAAGCTCCCAATAAGGGTTCCCACAGAACCCTGGGTCCATGGCGATCTCAGCACTTATCACACTGTACAGTCACTGGCTCTACAGCTGTCTCCCCCACCAGCCTGCAAACTCCCTCAGGGAACGAGCTGTTCTGTACCCAAGACCCAAGATGTTTACCAACAGAGCCAAATGCAGAGTGGCACAAGCCCCAGGGTGGGCACTGGCTGTTTACAAAACTCTTTTCCAAGTCACTGGGGGATCTTCTAACCCCCCCACCAATACACAAATCTCAGGTTCTTGGGGCTGTAATATGGATTAAGCTGATCTGCCTGATTCAGGGCAGGCAACTTGGGTTTCCAAAGAAGCATCCGATAGACATGTGATCTAAACAATGAACCCAGGCAGTTCCCAGGATACTGCAAAGGAACCAGAGACCGTTTACCATTCCCTGCTGGCTGGCAAAGATGCCCCATTGGCGATGAGACTCAGCCAAGTCAAAAGTGTTCTCAAACAGACTTATTGGGAAGTTTTATTCAGAAAGACAGTATAATGAGCACAAGCTCGGGAGTCAAATCCTGCCTCTGGTACCCTTCAGCTGCTGACACCTGGGGGCAAGTCACTGAAGCCCCCTGAACCTTAGTTTCCACTTCCGTAAAATGGAAACAATAATGGTTCCTGTAACTCAGACTTGTGAGGACTAAGGGAATTAACACACAGGCAGTCCTTAGCAAATACCTGGTACAGAATAATGCATTCGATAAATTAATAAATTAAGGTAATTTAAAAGGGCTAGAGTTAAGCAGAGTTAGGTGAGAACCTGGAGGTACCTGGATGCCGGCAGGAGGCCCAACCTCCTCTGGATAACTCCCCTCCCCTCCTCAGCCACCTCCGCCCACTCGATAAATTCCTGAAATCCTTCAACCACTCCCTTTCCCGGCCAGCTGCCCTCCCATCTAAGATCCCCACCTCCCTACCCACCCCAGACTTGTCCTGGGCCTCTTTCCTCCCCTTGTCTTCTCTCACCACCTCCTGCTCTAAAAGTGCCCCTCACCACATAGTGAACCCTCCTGCTCCCCACTCTTCAAGACTCACAAACGTTTACTAAATGCTGCTCCATGCTAGAAAGGTCACAGCTGAGAACTGTGGCCCTGCCACTACCCCTACCCCACTCCCGGGGACACATGAGAAGTCCCTATCTAATTCCCTCCCACCAATCCTTTCCACAGCCCCGTCTCCCTTCCACTACTTCCCACCATATCCCTAACCCTATCTTCCTCCTTTCCCATTAGTAGTCTCAGGATCTCCTTCTGGAAACCTGCCTATTTCTTGACACTGAAGATTTGTCTACTCCCCTCTTCAGCATCCCCGCCATTTCCCTCCCTAAAGCCTTTCCCTTCATACAGATCTCTATTTTTCATCATCCTCCACACCTGCCCCCAAATCCTGGGTCCTGGCCTGCATGCTCTTCATCTCTCCCCAATTCAATCATTCATTTTTCCACTCTTTAAGTAAGCAGAGAGCAGTCCTAGATGCTGGGAATACAACTGTGAACAAACCAAGCAGTCTGTGCCCTCGTGAAGTGCCAGTTTAACAGAAGACAGAAAATAAGTATAAATAAAAAATAAAGAATAATCGCAGAGAGTGGAGAAGCACTCAATGAAAGCAAGAGAAAGATGTGATGGATAGGAACTGGGATGGGGGGAGCACGTTAGGTAGGGTGGTCTGGGAAGGCCTCGCTGAGCTGATAATAAACACAGCTACCACTACTGGCCACCTACTATGTACCTACTGGGTCAGTCACCTTCCATTTCCATTACAATGTTCACGATCCCCATTTGCAAATGGGAATCTGGAGGCTCAGAGAGGTGAAGTAATTTGCCCAAGGTCACACAGCCAGTAAATGGTGGTTTCAGGATTTGAACGCAGGTGTGGCTGCAAAGCCAGCCTCTTAATTTCTGCACTCCTGGTCCCAAGACCCTATCTGCCACCTGTCCTCCCCCAGAGCTGTAGAGTCATTCCCTCCTCAGAGGTCTCTATTTTTCATCATCCTCCCCAATCGCCCCAAAATCCTGGGTCTCAGCGTGCATGCCCCCAGCTTAGACTCCCCTCGGAAAATAATCTGTTCTTTTATAATAATTAATGCCGTTTAATGAGCAATTGTACGTGTTCTGAGCTTAACGTTCATTCTCTTATCCAACCAACTCTCAACACAATAGCAGGAAGCAGGTGCTGTCACTCTACTCTTTTTACAAGTGGGGAACCTGAGGCCTACATTCACACAGATAGATTCGGACCCAGATCTGCCCGACTCCAGGACCCAGGCCTTTGACCCTCTAAGCTGTTCAGTTTAAGAAGTACCCCGCCAGGAAACTTGGTGGACACCGTCAAGAACAAAGTCTGTGTCCATAAACTGAAATCGCATCCTCTCGCTTTACAGGTGGGGATACGGAGACTCTGAGAAATTAAGCGACTTGTCCAAGGTCACACAGCCAAGAGCGACGGGGTCAGGGTTCGAACCCAGGCGCCCTGACTCCCGAGCCCTCGCTCTTAACCACCACACGGGCTTCCCCGGGCGCCCTTCGCCGCCGCTCTCACGCCTCCTAGAGCCCCGACCCGGAGCTCGGCGCCCCGTCCCCCTGTCCAGCCCCGAGGCCTCCCGCTACGCCCCCCACACTCACTTGAGGTGGTCCAAGGAGTGGATGTTGCGGGAAGTCTTGCCATGGCCCCCGCCCACCCAGCTCCGCGAGCGGCCAAACATGTCGGCGGCCCCGACCCGTCTCTCGTCTCACGGTCTCATGCCGGACCAGCAGAGCGGCCCAGCGCCCGCGGCGGTAGCACAAGCGGAGGATGCGGCGGCGGAGGCGGTGGAGGAACCGCGAGCCGCCTTCCTCCCCGGCCCACAGCCCAGCACTGACATTCAGCCGGAACCGGCCGTTCGACCGCCGCGCTTTACGGCCGCCGCCGCGTGGGGCGCTGGGAAATGCAGTTCACCCGCGTGGCCTTCGGCGGCAGGACTCCGCGAACGGACTACAAGGCCCGGCATGCATCGTGCAACCGCGGGCCTACGGCCATCCACAAAAGGCGGGGCGAGAGGAGGAGCGACCGCAGAATCCTCCGGGTGGGCGGGAATTGGAAGCTTTGGGCGCAGTCCCGGAGAGGGAATCGGCGTAGATGGGTCAAGGAAAGTCACCACTGTAGTAACAATTACTAGATTTATAATAAGAATAAGAATAGTATTGGATGGTGTATACTATGCAAAGCCACTATCCTAAGGGCTTTACATATTAAGGTATTTAATTTTCACAACCATCCTATGAATTGGGTACTATTATCGAACCTATTTTATCATCAGGGAAACGGAGTCACTGAGAGGTTGACTTACCCAAGATCATGCAGTTAACAAGTGGCAAAACCAGGGTTCATAACCACGCACGCACCCTTATTTTTCATTCCCTTTATAAACCAAAACGGCACTAGATAACAACCTTATTTGTCCTGACAGCCTTTTTCTTTTTCCACTTCAATTAAGTGTGTGTGTGTGTGTGTGTGTGTGTGTGTGTGTGTGTGTGTGTGTGTGTGTGTGTTGGAAAAGGCTGGATGCAACAATGCACCAAACTGAACATTTTGTACTTCCAGAGGATTCCTCTGGTCTTCAGCCAGAATCCATGCTATTTCCCAAAGTACCACGTTAAAATGAAAAAGGAAACACCCAACTTTCTGCATGAGCCAGAATATATCTAACTTCTACCCTGGATTAGAAGTGGTAAGTTCAGTGTGGGCAAGACTTCTCAAGTTTACCATCCATTCATTCATTCAGTCACTTCTACATATCAACCTTATTAAAGGTCCACTGTGTCCCATTAACTCTGCTCAAGAAAGAACTGGGCCAGAGGCCAATGTTCTCCCCAGTGCCTAGCACAAGGTTTGGCACATAGCAGGTGTTTAACAAATATTGGTAGAGTGCATGAATGAGTAAAGGTTTGTTTCACCTTCAGCAGTTGGAGAAATGGATAAGAGTGGAGAGTTAATGGTTTGTCCTGTAATTCATATAGAGTGGGGCAAGACAAAGTCATGGAGCAAAAAAGAACAGGATCTGGCCTCCAAAGAAACACACCCAGGCTCAGAAATGTAGGATCCCTGGGCTCGTATTTTTCATCTGTAAAAAGTACGCACATACATACTACACTGCCTTGTATACCTCCGATTAAGCGATGCATGTAAAATACTCAGCTCAGTGTGGCCTGAGATTTAAAGGTTTCTTGAACTGCTTTGGAAGGCTCTTTGGGCGAGATCATGTTTTCCTGAAAGACATGCAACGGTTACCCAAGAGCAGGGGAACCAGTGGGTGGGAGAGACTCACTTTTCTGTGTACTTCACGGTTGTTTGAATGTTTAGCCATGTGTATTATTGCTTTTAAACATGATTCACAAAGTAAAAAGAAACAAAAAGCATCCTTATGGTTGAAGATCTGAACTACCTCGGAATCTCTTTATTCAGGTGTTCCTTAACTCTAGGATGCAGGTTCCGTAGTGGGCGGACCTTCCAGCAACCAGAGTTTGGAGAAGCGAAGGGGACACTGGTGGATCTCCACCATGAAAATTGGCGCTTTGGGAATGTCCAAAATTTCCAGGGCAACCGTCCGTCGCCCCTCCCCGACCCCGCCTCCTTTTAAAGGAGAAACGGAGTCCCAAAGAGGCATGCAGCAAGGTGCAGCGGTAGCCCGGGTTTCCTTCGGCTTTTGCGGCCTTAGCATTATGTCTAGGTTTGAACTGTGTTCAGTCTCTTTTACCTCCCCCTATTCGATACGCAGAGCGAATTCGATTTGAGATCTGAGGGCAGACCCGAACCAGGAAAGCAACTCAGACGCTAGGGCCCCGAGGGGCGGAGCGAAGCGGTACCCGCCCCCTGGCGGCCGGAGCCAATCAGCGCGGGCGTTGAGCCGGCCAATTAGCGCGTGCAGGGGGCGGCCTGCCAATGAGCTCGGGGCCCCTCGGGAGGCGGAGCTCCGAGCGCCACCGGGAGGGCTACGCGGCGGCCGCAGCCATGGGTGCTGGGCCTGCGGGGGCGCGGGGGGTGCGCGAGGACCTGCGGGGCGGGGCGGGAGAGAAGGCTGCCGGGACCGGCCCTAGACACTGAGCCGCGGTGGGATCCCCACCGGCTCTGCGAGGCCCTGCGAGCGCCAGGGAGGCGCCACGAGGGAGCCGGGCAGCCGCGGGCCACTTCAGGGGGGCCCGCCTCGCCGCCCGGGCGGTCGAGAGATCCTTGGGGGCACATCTCGGGGTGCGGTGACCCGCCCGGCGCATTTCGGGGGTCGGGGCGCAATTGCCAGGGGACATCTGGAGCCCGGCCCTGCTTCTGTCGGGCTCCAGGGTACCCCTGGATGGCTGCGCTGTGCCCTCGCCGGCCGCCCGGGCGCCGCAGCGGCTGAGTTCGCCGGGATCGCCGGGCCGCCGCCCTTGCCACCCGCTGCATGCTCGGCGCCCGGGTCGCGGCCCACCTGGACGCACTGGGCCCCCTGGTCCCCTACGTGCCGCCGCCGCTGCTGCCCTCTATGTTCTACGTGGGCCTGTTCTTCGTCAATGTGCTGATCCTGTACTACGCCTTCCTCATGGAGTACATCGTCCTCAACGTGGGCCTCGTCTTCCTGCCCGAGGACATGGACCAGGCGCTCGTGGACCTCGGCGTGCTCTCCGACCCCGGCTCGGGCCTTTACGATGCTGACTCGGAGCTCGACGTCTTTGATGCGTACTTGGAGTAGGGTCTCGACTGCTGTTCCCCTCTTCCCTACACGATCCGCAACCCATGCCCTGGACCAGCCGCCCAGATCATGCCGCCGCAGCTGGTTGGGGGCACCATCTGGACGGGGATGGTTCCCCAGGAGGAGACCCTCCCCTGCCTCCGAGGCCTGTAAGTGCCCTCTCTGAACAGGATGAGGGCGGGTTGGGGCGCTAGCAAGGGAGAGGGAGGAATTCCCAGGCCGGATACACACCCCTCCCTCAGGCTTCTCCTCCGTTCACCTCCTCCAGGTCTAACTGGATGCCAGGAATGGCCAGACTCCTCTTAAGCCCTTCGTTTGGGCTGGAAAGCTTCCTCCAGCAAAGGGGACAGCTGGTGAAAAGGAAGGAGACCCCGAGACTAAGTTACATTTGGGGTAGCTCTGTGACTTACCCCCAAAGCTTATGGAAAAAGCCTTCGCTCCCAAATCCATTTGAGGCAGAGCTGTCAGCTCCTCCTCCAGTCCTCATCCTGGCTTGATGATGACCTTGGCTTTTGGGGGATTCTCGCTTGTCCTAGAAGGATAAAGATTTAGGGGTGTCAGAAGACACAGGGAGCCAGGCACGAATCACCTTTGTACTGTGGCCCTTGGGGTAGCTGGGTGGGGATTAAGTGCAGGGGCTCTAGGCCAAAGCTGTGAGAGGAGAAATCGCAAGCAAAGAAGCCCGTACTTCCTTTTGGCCTTGGGTTTGCTGCTATTTTGGAGTCAGGTTTCAGGGTGCCCCAGCTCATCAGTTCTGCAGCTCAGAACTGCAGGGGCTGCCAGTTTTGTAGGCTCCCTTCACAGAACAGGCAGGCAGGGAGCTGGTGCCAGGGCTCGCTTTGTCTGCAGTGTTTGCAAGCGCTCAGGGGGCTCTTAGGTCCTCGGGAGAAGGCACCACAGGGTCATTGCACTGAGATGGTCAAGTCCTGTCTTTGGGGCTGTGACGAGGGAGCTTTGCATCCAGCATCCAGCCCACTGTGTATGTGAGAGGTAGGGAAATGAAGGTCCAGGAAGGAGTAAGACTTGGTCATAGTCACAAGGAAGAGAGGCAGCTAGACTCAATTAGAGAGAACACGTGAGCCAGACAAGCTGTCAGGCAGCTGCCAGGTCTGGTGAGGGTCACAGGGCAGGCAGGAACGCCTTGGCTCAGCCCCTGAGACTGGACAGTACTGGAGTGTCACTGGGCACAGGGTCTAAGTGGCAATGAAGAGGGGATGCTGAGATATGGTGGGCAAGGGCTCCTTTAGGAAAATGGACACTAATGCCATTCACCGCAAGCAGGCTGAGTCCACCCCTCTCCTGCATTACCTGGCTTTGCCAAGACAACCACAGGCAGAGGGTGTCTTAGTTCAGTCTGCTATAACAGAACACCATAGGCTGGGGGACTTAAACATTTATCTCTTACTGTTCTTATAAGGGCATTAATCCCACCCATGAAGGCTCTGCCTTCGTGACCTAATCACCTCCCTAAGGCCGCACCCCGCAATACCATCATTTGGGATCAGAGTTTCAACATATGAAGTTTGAGGAGACACAAACATTGAGTCTGTTGCAGATGGTGGTACAGGGTGGGGTAGGACCTACTGACAGCATAGCTGGCGGCAGAGGGCTCTCCTAATGGGTTCACAGTGAGATTTCTTTGAAGAAAAAGCTTCAGTTGAGCTCAGTAACATCTTAGCGAGAACCAAGTGCCAGGGGGAGTGTGTGCCAGGTGCTCTGCACACCTCCCCAGCCTGCCTGCCTGCCTGCCATCCATCCGTCCGTTCTTTTACAGAATGAATGCTTGTTGGTTCAGTACAGTGCCTGGTGATTGAACACAGTGAACAAGACAGACCAAGCCTTGGCCCTTTGGCACTTGGTGAGGAAGACTAGTAGGAACCCAAACAAGAGAATCAGATTTTTTCGGAACTATGAAGGCAGGCAAGAAGGACATGAGCTTCCCTGTTGTGTTCACTGCCATGTCCTCAACACTTAAAACTGTGCCTGGCCTCTAGTAGACGGTCTCTGTAGGTGTAGACATGGAGTGAAACAGAAGTGAAACGGTAGGATAGAGATGGTGGGCTGCTTTAGCTGAGGGGTCAGAGAAAGCCTCTCTAAGGAGATGATGCTTTTGAGCTGAGCCTTAATTTGATAGAAGGATCTGGAGAAAAGCAGTCCAGGCTGAGGGAATCAGTGGTGCCAAGACCTTCAGGTGAGAGAGAGTTGGTTTTTCCGCAACCAAAAGGAGGCCCATGTGGCTGGAGAACAGCCCCAGGAAAGGTCAGTGAGGTGGGTGGGAGCCATACCATGGAGGACCTGGAAGGCCATAGCCAAGAGCAGTGGAAAGCCATTGGAAGGTTCTAGGCAGGAGATGACACAATCCCATTCCCATTTTGCAAAAATGACTCTGGCAATTGTGGACAGAATGAGCTGAGGGGTAAGAGGGGAAGCAGGGCCACCACCTCAGATGCTGTTAGTTGTCCAGGCCAGAGGTGACAGAGGCTTGGATGAGGGGAGTTTAGTGAAGATAGAGAAACATGAACAGACTGAGAACAACTCTCAAAAGTAGAACCTATGGAATCCATTCAAAATCTGTACTGAGCATTGATTGTATCGCACTCCTGTGTCTAGGCCCTTTGCATATGCACTCACTCATTCAACAGACTTTGACCCTGCCTGCTCTTCTGCCAGGCCGTGTGCTAAGGGCCTGCGATCCCAAGATAAATCCCTGTCTCCAAGCCAAGCATTTGACTTTGAAGCAGTGTAACTTGGTGAGGAACGTCTTATTTTATCTCTTTACCACATCAACAGAAACACTTCCCCTTCCAAATGAAAACATTGGCATATTCTGAACTAAAAACTGAATCCCAAATGCTTCGACATATTTTGCAGCAAACGCTGTTTAAGCAGAAACACCAGGAAATATCTCTCAGGGACACCCTTGCAAAGCTCTCGGGGTGTCAGGGCCTGACCCTGGGAAGTGGGGAGGCCTGGAGAAGTGGTGGAAGCCATGCACAGCCTTCCCTCCTCCCCACCCTCAAATCCAAGCCAAGGAGGCCTTGCCCCCAAGTGCCGAGGAAGCTCAGAACCCCAGGGTATGAGAGGGGTAGCTAGCAGCAGGGAAGCCGCCAGGAAAGACCTCAAGATGATCTGACCGAGCCTCATCTCCAGGCCCCTTTCCATAAGCAGGGGAACGCCGGTAGTCAGTCCTGCTCTTTCTCAGCCATTCTCATGTGGTCACATGTGTTCCCCACACGCCAATCCAGGAAACAGTGACTAAGGGCGTGGAGCATGTCACACAGTGGGGCCCAGGATGAATCTCAAGATGAACAGGTGCACCTACTTTTGCTCCCTCTTTTTTTTTTTTTTCTCTTATGTGTGGACCCACATAATTCAGTTCCTCAAACATTTGCTGAGCACCTACTTGAGGAGGCAGTATTAGGGTCATGGTTAAGAGCCAGGGCCCTGGGTTCACATCCCAGGGTAGCTGTGACCTTGGGCATGCTGCTTAACCTCCCTGTACTTTGGTTTCCTCTTCTAGAAGATGGAAATAATGAAAATCTCCCTTGTTGTGAGGATTAGGTGAGATATACATAAAGCACTTAGATCTCCTTGTATATAGTAAGAGATGTATTAATATTAACCACTCATATTCATAGTCGGATACAATGGAAAGCGTGTTATACCCATGCCCTTGCAAATGTACAAACCTGCACCTATACTCATGCATGAATATTTATATCCTGTGAGCAGAAGAGGACAGGCTGCCTGAGTGCCAGGGAGGTCCAGGTCTAGCCTAGCTGGGGGAGACTTCCCACTCTGCCTTCCCAGCCCCAGGACCCTTAGGAGAACTTTCTTGCTGCCCTGTGGTCCCCAGGGCACCAGAACCCTGGATAGCCGGCTCTGTGGTTTTCCTAGAGTGTTAATTGTTGCCCAGGAGCAGGGAATGGGGAATCGGGAGCTCCCTCCTTCCCAGGAGAAAGGGCTGCAGTGGCTGGCCTGGGAGCCAGGGAGAGTCTTCACGTCCCAGCAGTTCTGGTGCAGAGGCAGCTCAGTTGGATTATTCGTCCCGGTTCCTAATGAAAGTGAAAGCTGCTGGTACCTGCCAGCCCTCTCTTGGCACACAGCGAGCTGAAAATGCAGAGACTGGAGAACGTTGCCACCAGAGTCAGCTTGTCCTGGTGCAGCTCAGATTTGGAGCTGAGGGTTATCGATGCATTGGTCTATCTTATTCCAGGATTTCCTAGGCTTCAGTTATCTCCCAACTAGGAACCACAGCTGCTCCTTCCTAACCTGGTCCCTCCTTGCCAATCTGTGGCCTGTGCTATCAGCAGAACCCCTGTGCCGGACATAGAGCTGCCCAGGTCAGAAACCCAAACCTTCCACAGGGACACAGTCAGATTTGAGTTATGGGAGATCCCACAGCCAGGGGTCAGGGCGGATGCAGGAAACCAGGCCAGGAAGCTGTGGCTGTCATCTAAGCAAGAGACAGACAATGGTGACACAGGGAGGCAAGTATACCCCCAGGCCTGGCCACCTCTCCAGCTCTGCTCCTGACATGAGGCTCACCCAGAAGGTCCTTGGCCATAGGGTACATTGGTGCCAGCTGCGTCTTCAGACAGGAGAAAACCCCAGTATGTGTCTCAAGACAGTGAGATGTCAAGAGTCCTGCTCTCTTAGCCCTGAATTATACAAACTGGAGATTTCAGCCAAGAAACAGGCAGGGTCTGCCCCACTTACAGCTCATGTGTCTGTTTTGCCGAACTAAGAAAGTGAGGGCTTCTCTCAATTTGGATATTCATATTTCTGGTTTATCTGCTAGCTTTCCTCCCAGAACTTCTGAAAGCATACTCGGCTTTTGGGAAACCTAAGATCACAATAAAAGTGGCAGACCTCTTTATCCCTGTCTCACAAATAAATGGAGGCACAGAATGGGGAAGTGGAGGCCGAGGGAACAAAGCCAACTAAGACTGCCAGCCCGGTTCCCTGGCCACAGCACTGAGGGTTTGAGGGGTGCCTCCAGTGAGGGCTCCCCATCCCCGACCTTGGAACACCAGCTCATAGTTTCTGCCAGGCCTATTTCATACGCACTCTTCCAACTTTTTCCTGAATTAAAAACAAACAAACAAACAAAAACCTCTGTTATGAAGTAATTTCACACTTACAGAAAAGTTGCAAGAGCACAAACAATGCCCGCCCAAACTCACCAGTTGCACCAGTTAGCACTTTGCTCATGTACACGTGCATGCTCTTCCCTCTGTTTGTATATGCATGCCTGTGTATATGCACACATGTGTATATGTGTAATTTTCATAAGCATTTGAAAATGGGTTCATTATGCACCTTTACTCCTAAATAATTCAGTATTTATTTCCTTAGAACAAGGACAAATTTGCATAACCACAGTAGGGTTGTCAAAATCAGCAAATCTAATATTGATACACTATACAATCCTATGACCAATCTCATCTACAACTTTATTCAAATTTTATAGAGGCTGAGGTGGAAGGATCACTTGAGTTTGAAACCAGCCTGGGCAACATAGTGAGACCCCGTCTCTACAAAAAGTAGGAAAAAAAAAATAGCGAGGTGTTGTGGTACACGCCCATAGTCCCAGTTACTCGGAAGGCTCAGGCAGGAGGATTGCTTGAGTCCGGGAGTTCAAGGCTGCAGTGAGTTATTATTCCACCACTGCACTCCAGCCTGGGTGACTGAGCGAGACCCTGTCTCAAAACGAAAAAAAAAAAAAATTGTCCCAGTAGTGTCCCTTAACAATAAAAAGGGGAGAGTTGAGGTCCAAGATGCAATCCCAGATCAGCTTTTGCATTAATCTCGAGCCTTCTTCAGTCTGGATCAGCTCTTCAGTCTGTCTTTCTCTCTTGTGACATTGACATATTAAGCAGAGTACAAGGCTGGTGTTTTGTAAACTGTCTCTCAATTTGGGTTTGTCTGATGGTTATACTCGAGATTAGATTCAGATGAGGCATTCTTGGCAGGAATATTGCAGAAGTGAGTGTGTGTCTTCAGTGCATCTTATCGAGAGGCACATGCCATCTGTCCCCTTTCTGGCGATGTTAACTTTGATCAGTTGGTGAAGGTGGTGTCTGCCAGGTCTCTCCACTGTCAAGTTACTATTATTCCCTTTATAATTTGCAGTTTAAGATGAAATGCACTAGTTTTAGTGCTTCATCTGTAAAACTACTTTTTTATGTGAATTTATTTTTTAAAAAATGTCTGTCACTAAAGAGAAAATCATCATCGCTTGGCATGGATAAAAACACTAACTGCCAAAGTCATTAACTTTTGGCCAAATACCAAAGCCAGCTAAAGTCACAGGGCCTTGGCCTGTATTCTTTGTTAAAAAGAGATTAACAACTGTCGGGTGATAAACATAAGATATACCAGCACCAAACTGAACTTTCTCCTCTAAATAATCATAAGGATTGACCAAAAACTGAAAAGCAAATTGCTTGCTCACTATATGTGATTCCTTGTTACTTAGGGTCACCTCCGTATACCCTCTAAAATTGTTACTTACATGCTTTGCAGTTGGACATATTTTGGTTTAAATCCCAGCTCCACCAACACCTCAGACTTCATCTCCTAAGCCTCGGTTTCCTTCTCTGTAAAACAGGGATAATAGTAGCACCTGCCTAAGGGCTTGTGCAAATTAGATTGGGATAGTGAATGATGTATAGTTGGTGCTTGCTTAATGAATGACGTGGTCAGTGTCAATGGCGTGTCAGACCCTGAAGGGGCTCTAGCCCAGGAAGCCTTCCCCCTTTCCTTGGGTGCCCTTCCTCCTGAGGACTGGTTACCAAGGAGGGTGTGTCTGTGTGGGCAGCCTTTGAAGTAGCCCAAGGGCGGTGATAATTGGTACCCAGCGAGTCCCCAGATGGTGCTGGTGCCCTCACAGCTGCCATCCCAGGCCCCAAGCTTGGAGTGGCGGGGAACTCCCTCAAGGGTAAGGCTTCATTTCTGGGAGTCCCTCCTGGCAAGGGGCTTGGCTGGGTGGTTAAAAATAACTGCCTCTCCCACATCTCCATCACCTGCCCCAAGCATCACCCTGTGAAGCCGCCAAGGAGGGTTCCATTAGACCAGGGAGGAAACTGAGGCTTGCAGAAGTTCGATGACTCATCTCAGATACCCATCTATGAGGTGGCAGCATTGGGCTCCTGGCCACGCTGTCCTGATGTTTCCCCCAGTGAGGTGGTCTGCTGGAGGCGTCCCAGGGCGGTAGTGAATACGCAGCAGCGGATCAGATCAGCTCTCAGGGCCCCGACACCCCCTGAGCACCTACTGCTTTGCCCTTTTAACTGGCACAAGGCTCAGTTATACAGGCCAAGGGTATCAAGCTAGACTTCCTGGTTCCATTTTCATTGTATTTTTAGCATTGCCTTCTGTGTATGACAAATTCTACTGCTTTGGGTGTTATATGGTGACATAAATGATCTTATTAAAAAATTGGAGTTTAAAAAGTACATTGGTTTAAAATACTAAGTAAATAATAGTCCAGGTGGTTCTTGGATGTGGCAGGACCTGGAGGGAGGCACTGGGCAAGTGCTGCCCTTCCAGAGGGCTCAGGGAGTCTTGGGCGTGACCAGCTGGAGGCACGTGGTAGACCAGGCATCTTCACAAAGCCCGCTGCTGATCAGCTTTGGCAGCCAACGTGCAAATCCGAAGCCAGGTTTGAGAAAGTGGTCATCATTTCTCTGTGACGTTGGCTTTCCTCAGGGACATGGACCTGTGCAGAGACAGGCAGCTTCTCCTTTGCCGTCTGTCTCCTTCCGGCCACCAGGAGACAGCCAGACCCCAGCCATGCCTTCATTCTGAGATAAGGTAGAGACCCTCCTGCCACATAGCCTGTCACCAGCGTGGAGGATCAGAATGGCTGCGTGAGTAGGGGAGGGTGACGTCTGTCTTTAGCCACTTTAATTGATTTTTTGGTACATGGAGAAAGGAATGAGCAATGGGTTTCTAGAAGGCAAGGTCTTTGAAGGAGGAAAAGTGCTGCTGCTTTCAGAAGGCCCCTAGCCTTGAGAAGGTTCCCTGCCGGTATTGGTTTCTACCTGGGAACAGGTGGGGCTAAGGAGGGAAGGAACCACCCTGTACTGATGTCTCGTGTGTGCTGGGTATTGTCAGGCACTCCATGGACACAAACAGCCCAATGTGGTGGGCACTGTCCCCTTTTCCAGATGAGGAAACTGGCCCAGAGAGGGTGGGTGACTTGTCTGAGGTCACACAGCCAGGAAGGGGCAGAACCACAATCAGCACAGACAGGCTAAATGCAGATCTCACAGCATTTGCCCTGAGGAGCAGGACAGCGGGCAGCTGAACTCTAGGAAAGAATTCCCTTCTACCACTTTCAGAGCCTCACCCACCAGTGCGCGTAAAACGCCAGGGCCATCTTCTTACTTAAGCCACATCCTGAACCAGGCAGCTTCTCTGCAGAGTTACTGAGCTAAGACATTGCTTCACGAAGGGGATCTAGCACCCAACTGTCATTCTGACTACAGAAACCAGCCAGCCAGCCACGTCCTCTGTCCAGCTCTGGGGAATGGCTGGAATGAAAGGTTACAGTTTCAGAAAGGGGGAAAAAAATCTAGTGGCTGATAACTTGTCTGCTGTGCTCTGATGATGTCAGAAGGTTGGAGAACCTGCTGCCCTGGGTTCTATAAGCTCCAGCTCTGGGGTGCTTTTCAGCCTGGGGCTCTTGATGCCTTAGAAGAAACTTGTTCAATCCGTGGTGCGGCCTGTAGGCTGCATACAGCTCAGGACGGCTTTGACTGTGGCCCAACACAGATTCATAAACTTTCTTAAAACGTTATGAGATTTTAGCCTGGCCAACATGGTGAAACCCCATCTCTACTAAAAAATACATCAATTAGCCAGGCATGGTGACATGCGCCTGTAGTCCCAGCTACTCAGGAGGCTGAGGCATGAGAATTGCTTGAACCTGGAACTGCAGTGAGCCAAGATCATGCCACTGCCCTCCAGCCTGGGTGACAAAGCAAGACCCTGTCTCAAAAAAAAAAAAAAAAAAAGAATTTTTTTTTTGGTTTGTGTTTTTTTGTGTGTGTGTGTGTGATTTTGTTTTATTTTTTAGCTCATGAGCTATCATTAGTATATTTTATATGTGGCCCCAGACAGTTCTTCCACTGTGGCCCAGGGAAGCCAAAAGATTGGATACCCCCATCTCAGAGAAAAGGGACGAACCTGCAGTGCCGAGTGGTTTCGGCTTTGGGGTCAGGCCACGGGGGTTCAAATCCTGGCTCTGCCATTTATGAGCTGTGTGGCCTTGCACGGCTTGCTTAACCTCTCTGAGCTCCATGTGAAATGCAGGGATGATGGTCCTACTTGGCCCTACCTCCTAGAGTTGTTTTTGAGGGATAAGTGAGTTAAGACATGAGTTCGAGTAGTACAAGGTGAACACAAAGTAAATGCTTCATAACACAAGTGTTGTCACGATTTTCATTTAGCGTTTGCCAAGGCTGCCATTGCAAGACACAGGAGCGAAGGGGTTGATCTCTAATAGCCAAAGTGTGTGACAAATGAGAATTGAACTGTGTCCCAGAACATCCTCCCGCCCTACACATAGAAACCTGGGGTCACCTCCCTGTCCTCGACTCACTGTGTGACTTCAGGCAGAGGTCACCACCCTCTCTGGGCCCTTTCATTCTCTGCTATGGACTGAGTGGGACCAGCTTGGATCAAAATCCTCAAACCTCATACAACACTGTCAGCAGCTTTTCCTGTATCTGCCTGTTACCTGAACTATTAACAGTTTTCTTTAAATTGGCTCCTTTTAAAGTAAAATGTTTTGAAAAGAGAAACTTTTGTGTTTTTTTGAGACAGAGTCTCACTCTGTCACCTAGGCTATAGTGCAGTGGCGTGATCTCGGCTCACTGCAACCTCTGCCTCCCTAGCTCAAGCGATTCTTCTGCCTCAGCCTCCCGAGTAGCTGGGACCTCAGGCACCTGCCACCATGCCCAGCGAATTTTGTATTTTTGTTTGTTTGTTTTTAGTAGAGACGCGGTTTCGCCATGTTGGCCAGGCTAGTCTTGACCTCATTTCGCCATGTTGGCCAGGCTGGTCTCAAACTCCTGATCTCAACTGATCCACCCACCTTAGCCTCCCAAAGTGTTGGGATTACAGGTGTGAGCGACTTGGAAAAGAAAAACTATATTACTACCAGAAATGGAAACTTGGCATCACTTGCTATAAATAGAAGGTAACCCTACAGATAAACACAATGAAAACCGGAGTGTTAGTAAATTCCACGTGTAGCCCATTCAGACTGGAGATCTGCACACAAGAGGGCAGCTACAGCCAGACTAGCGCCTGGCTGGGACTGTCGGGGATGCGGTTTGTGGTCACAGGACTGGGAGAGGAGTGAGGTCCTCACCGAGTGATTCCATCTTCTCTTTTTTTTGAGACAGGGTCTCTGTCACCCAGGCTGGGTGCAGGGGCACAGTCATAGTTCACTGCAGCCTTGAACTGCTGGGCTCACGCAATCCTCCTGCCTCAGCCTTCCAAGTAGCTGAGACTACACTATGCCTGGCTAATTTTTAAATTTTTTATAGAGACAGTCTCACTGTGTTGCCCAGGCTGGTCTCAAACTCCTGGCCTCAAGTGATCCTCCCACCCCAGCCTCCCAAAGTGCTGGGATTACAAGCATGAACCACTCTATCCAGCTGATTCCATGTTCTCTAACACCCTATCCACACAAATCTGAGATGGGCTCAAGGATGACCACAGGCCTTGGAGATCTCTGCAGTGAGCATCTGTGCGGCTGAATCTGAGTAAAGGATTCTGCTTCAGGCTGCTGGCCAGCAGGTGTCTCAGGAGCAGGCTGGTGGAGGGCAGCTATGGAGAGACATTAGCTCTGCCTGCACTTACAGCCTGAGGACCAAGCAGGCTCTGGAGGCAGAGAAAGGCCTCAGCAAAGAAGGGCAGGTCGACCTGCAAGGAAGAGTGAGTGGAGGGAATGGGGCGGGGCACCCACAGCCTCTGCTAAGGTCTCATGGCACTTAGCAGGGTCCTCAGCGTCTGCTAAGAGCTCAGGAAATGGTACCTGCTCTCATTCAGACCGTTTCCATCGTTATTACCAAGCCAGTGCCAGCTTTGCCTCTCATAGCTGTGCATCTTTAGGCAGGTTACTTGGCTTCTCTGAACCTCAATTTCTTATCCTATTAAATGATAAGAACCTCAGTTTCTTATCCTATACGATGCATGGGTCTCAATGGAAACAGTTCCGCCCCCTTAGGTCGACCTTGGAAATAGGGTAGGAGGGCATTTTTAGTTGTTCCAGTGGCCAGGGGTGCTACTGGCATTTAGTGGCCTGGAGCCAGAGATGCTGCTAAATGCTCAGTGCCCAGAACAGCCACCCCACCTCCAAGAATTGTCCTACCCCAAATGTCAATAGCACCCTGTCAAACAACAATACATGTCACATGTTTAACATACAAGTTCTGCGAGATGTTCAGTGAAGTTTGCGGAAAGGATAGTGAGCTGGGAGATGAGGCTTGGAATCAGAGCAGGGCTTGAGGGGGCTGCAGAGGGGTTGGGCATGGGAACACGAGGTGCTACAGAGACACTGGCACCCGGCTAGGCACACAGAGAAGGCAGTGGGAAACGGGGACGTGCCAGGGGGCCAGGCCATGGAGATGATGCTGCATCCTGGGAGAAAGAGCCAAGTGGGGCTGCTGAGTAACTTGGCTGTGGCTATTGCCTTCCTGTAGGTTGCAAAGCATTTTTCCGGGCAAGGTGGAAGGTGTTGCCAAGCCCTGCCCACTACCCAGCGCTGGCTCAGCTGGCCCAGAGCTGCAAGTCAGCCCTCAGACCCTGGGTGACTCCTGAGCAGGCTGCACCAGCATCCCCCTCCTCCCTCCCAATAAACAGGACAGTCCTTCCTCTCCCGTGTGACATTGCACTGGTTCTCCAGCCCAGGGTCTCTGAGAAATTAGGCAAATTCATTAAAAAGAGTTTTATATTTGCAGAAAGACATTTTCAGCCTGAGTCTGGGGCTCCCAGTGGTTCCCTAAATTTGAGGGATGGAGGAAGACTTCCCTGCCCCACCCCAAGCCTCCCGAGCCTGGTGGATTGGTCCCTGTCCCCAGCCAACCTGGTGGCAGGGTGGGGCTTCCGTGCTAATAACCCCCCTTTTTCCTTCTTGTTAGACCTGCTCCCCTCAAAAGCTTCGTGCCAACAGAGAGGTTCCTGTTTGAACCCAGGAGAGTGGAAGAGAGATTGGGACTGAGTGCTGAGGTTGGGAAGGCACCTGCTCCCACAGAAGGGGGAACGCAAGAGGCATCCCAAGACCTCATCTGCCTGCAGTGTCAAATCGATGGCCTGGCCTTGGCTTCTGATTATTTGCAGCTGCGATGGATGTTTACAGGAACCCAGCCAGAGTTTGCCTCCCTGCACTTCATCCCGGAGCGCACCTGCTTCCCCCACTTCACCTTCGGAGAGGACACTTCAAACTGCGGACACACGCAAAAGCGACTCCCAGCTCCGTTTGATGTGAGTTGAGCCTTCAGGCCAGCTGGGTTTAGCCCGAGGCTGGTCTTAGATGCAGCGACTGTTTCAGGGGTGACTCAGAAGAAAAAGAAGCTGAGGAAGCTGTTGGGGGGCTGAGGGTGGGATTCTCGCTCCTTCATTTCAGGTTACTCGTTCTTCAGCAAGTTGGCAAAACAGACATCATGCTGGTGAGTGCCACGTTACTCCCCTGGCTGGAAATGCTTTTCTGAAAGTATGAGTGTTGTGCCTACTTAATTCTGATAAACCTGTCTAAGCAATACTTAGGAGGCTTACTTCTTTGGATTAAAAAAAAATGTATGCAACTCCAACCCCTGGGGCCCTGCCTTTTTTTTTAACTTTGAGATTCGGGAAAGGAGTTCTAGGCAGAACCTTGTGGCTGACAAACAGCAGAAGATCCAGTGGGGTTGAGAGAGTCTGCCCCAGTCGGGCTGGCGTGAAAGTCCCAGGCTGGCCCCCTGCCCCACTCCACAAGCCAGGGACAGCATTTGGGGTGTGGTGGGAAAAGCCTGAAGGCCAAGCTGGAAACCAGGCCTGAATCCCATAGAAGTGGGGGTGGGTATCCCCTGTGTCAGGCACATGGTAGACCTTCATTAAAGATAGGGGGGAAGGGCTTGGCATGGTGGCTCATGCCTGTAATCCCAGCACTTTGGAAGGCCGAGGCGGGCAGATCACTTGAGGTTAGGAGTTCGAGACCAGCCTGGCCACCACGGTGAAACCCCATCTCTACTAAAAATACAAAAAAATTAGCCAGGCATAGTGGCGCACACTTATAGTCCCAGCTACTCGGGAGGCTGAGGCAGGAGAATTGCTTGAAACCAGGGAGGCAGAGGTTGCAGTGAGTTGAGATCATGCCACTGCATTCCAGCCTGGGCAACAGAGCAAGAGAGGGATTAAATGAGTGGAATTGGGAGCTTGTAGTTTCACGGAATACAAGCAGTAATTCTCTCCAGTTTGCAGAGCACTTGATTTCAAAGCACCTTCACATACACACCAAGTGAAGCAGGGTTCAAACGATTGACCCCTTTCTACAGGCGAGGAGACTGAGGTGTGGGAGAGTACAGGCGGCAGAACTCTGGGGGGAGACAGTTGGAGCACCACTTGCCCTCAAGTGATGCTAAAGAAAGAAAAGCTACGAAATCTGAAAAGAAGACATTTGAGAGCCCCAGGGAAAAAGGTGAGCGTCAGGAGGGAGACATTTGTATGCAGAGAGAGGCCTGCGAGGAAGAGTGACCATTTGGAAGGTGCGTGGACTTACAATCCACTGGACATGGAATTGCACTATCATGCCCTGATTCCTCCGAGCAGCGCTTTACCACCTGACAAATGGGGTTCAGGGGCACTTCCGGCACACTGTGCCTGTCCCTGCAGAGAGGTCCTCCAAAGAAGTCAGAAGTCCATTCCTTTATAGGAGTGTGACTATAAGTATCACTTAGATCTGTGACACGGAGACAGTAATTTATCCACATCTTACGATGACTGTGCGTTAACTACGAAAAGATGCCCCTCTGGGTTAAAAGGCTCCACACCAGGACTCCCAGTTTGGCAAGCAGAACCCAGACTGGTTTGCAGCCCCCATGTTCCCCCTTGTCCCAGGTGCCTTTGTGCAGTGTACAGACTGGCCAACCTCACCTGGCAGCCCTGTCCAAAGAGTTTTTTTAATTTGCTAAAATATAAGACTCACCAGGGCAGGAACATCTTATTCATGACTGTGCTGTCAGTATGTATTTGCAGAATGAATGAAACCGTTAGGTGAGGATTATTTGTTCATTTTATGTTATTGAGCACCTATTATACACAGGCGCCTTGCTGGGTACAGAGGGCACAGCAGTGTACAAAGCGAGATGTTTCCCGCCCTCCTGGAGCTCATGTCCTAGGACAAGAGCAGACTGCATAAATAAGTGAAAAAGATAAAACTAGTGATGGGGTTGGAGAATGGGGCAAGTCCCGAAGGATGAGAAATCAGCCATATGGAGAGCTGGGAAGAACATTCCAGCCAGAGGCAAGAATGAAACACAGATATATGTAATAATGACAGCCAACATGTTATTGAGCTCCAATTCTTAACGTATTAGCTCACCACACCTTCACATAATCCTATAAAGAAGGTGCTGTGGTTATGCCCATTTTACAAATGAGGAGACTGAGGCACAGAGAACTAGCTTGCATAAGTAAGTGGTGAGGTGGGCGTTGAGCCCAGGCAATCTCGTTCTAGAGTCTCTGCCACTTGCCCCTAGACTCTTATCCCTCTTGAGTAGGAGTTTAGCACAGTGTCTGGCACACAGTCATCACTTATTGAGCTAATACTTTCTGAGCGCTTTGAATTTCCCTTGCACTGTGATAAGGGCTTTGCATGTATCTGCTCATTAAATAAACAGTAGTGGCCGGGTGCGGTGGCTCACCCCTGTAATCCCAGCACTTTGGGAGGCCAAGGCAGGCAGATTACCAGCCTGGCCAACATGGTGAAACTCCATCTCTACTAAAAATACAAAAATTAGCCAGGCGTGGTGGTGCATGCCTGTAATCCCAGCTACTTGGGAGGCTGAGGTGGGAGAATTGCTTGAACCCAGGAGGCAGAGGTTGCAGTGAGCCGAGATCATGCCACTGCACTCCAGCGTGGGCAATAAGAGTGAAAACTCTGTCTCAAAAAAATTAAATAAAATAATAAACAGTAGCTATCATTAACAAATCGTTAGTGTTAATAACTGCAGGCTCTGACCTCATTTCATCATCACACAGACCAAAAGCAGTGGGTCAGACCAAAAACCTGGCACATGGCACAGTGGATGATCAGAGCACACCTTAGTGCTCACTCCTGTAGGCGCACACACAGGAGGCCCATGGCCTCTGTAGAGTCTGCAAGTGCAGGGATCCCTTGCAGGGTGACACCTGAGCTATTTACAAGCTGAACCTGGATGGCAGCACCTGATACCCTTTGCAGCCAGTTCGAGGCAGGAGGTGCTTGCCTGTCTGCAAAGATCATCAACCACGCAGCCGGGTCTGGATTCCTCAGACCCTCTTGACACCCAGCTCTCACTTGCTGGGGAGAGGAGCAGAGCTTGGGAATCAGACTGATCCTGTGGGCACTGGGGCTGGTGAGCTGGAGCTGAACAGGCAGCTCCCACTGCCACCAGGAGTAAGCTAAGATGTCTTGAATTGGGGCTTCTGAGCAGACTATGCCCGAGTGAAAAGCAACAGTCGTGCCGGCAGCTCGCTGGGTAGAAAGCGGAGCTTCCAAGTCCCTTTCGGACTCCCTGCAGCCAAGGTGGGACTCCGTCTCCGCTAAAAACCAGCTCACTCCCAGGACAGAGCTGTGTGTCAGAGGCAGAGGCAAACATTCCCCTTGGTAAGCTTTTGGTGCTTCAACCTTTCTCATCCCCAAACAATTAATTTTCCACTGAATTTTAGGAAGCCACAAAGAAAAGTCCTCTCAGAAAAGAGGACTTGAGCCAAGGTGGGCTCTGGTGTGTGCACGCGTGTGTGTGTATGTGTGTGTACGTGCACACACGTGCATGTGCACATGTGGTGAAAGGAGGGTGGGTAGGACAGTAGCAATCCTTGTCACACTGGCCAACAGAATATGGCAGAAGTGGGCTGGGTGTGGTGGTTCACACCTGTAATCCCAGCACTTTGGGAGGCTGAGGCAGGAGAATCACTTGAGGCCAGGAGTTCAAGACCTGCCTGGGCAACATAGTGAGACCCTGGCTCTACAAAAATAAAACTAAAGATTAACTGGGCTTGGTGACTCACACCTGTAGTCCCAGCTATTCGGGAGGCTGAGGTGGGAGGATCACTTAGCCCAGGAGGTTGAGGCTGCAGTGAGCCGTGATCATACCACTGCATTCCAGACTGGGCGACAGAGTGAGACCCTGCCTCTTAAAACATATATATGTAGCAGAAGTAATACTGTGTGACTTCTAAGGCTAGGTTATGAAAAGTGGTCTCTCTCTATCCCCTCCTTTCTTTTTGGGACACCCTCCAACCCAGCCACCATACTATGAGGAAGCCCAACTAGCCCACATGGAGGGGTCCTAGCCAACTATTCCGTAGTGGCACTGAGGCCCCCAGCCAACAGCCAGCATTGCCTGTCAGACGTACAGAAGAATGAGTCTTCAGGTGACACCAGCCCAACCCTCAAGCTGCCCCACCTGACACAGAGTAGGACAGAAGGAGCTGTCCCCGCTGAGCCCTGCTCAAATGACAGATATGTGAGCAGAATAAATGTGAGTGTTGTTTTAAGCCACTATGATTTGGGGTGGCTTGTTACATATTAGATAACCAGAGCAGTGGGTACCCCAAAATGGTAACAGGGTATGAACTCAAACCCTGGACCTGCCTGTGACATTAAAGAGACATTTATAATGTAGTGAAAAAAGACACAGGAAATGAAGCTGTGCTTCCAGTCTGTTCCCCTCTCACCGCCCCATTAGTGTCCCATTAGCTGTTTCCCTGCTAAGGGCTGGTGCATCTGGCCAGGCCTAGCTTTGGCTTTGGCCAACAATGTCAGTGCATTGAGTCCCATAGACAAAAGCAGCTGCCACTGAAGCCCAGCCTGTTGCAATCTGGGGAATTAGCAGGCTGGGGGTTGCCCATCAGTGTCTTCTGAGTGCCCGGTGTGCCCTGTCAAGGTGTCTGGTCGGAGAGCAGGGTGGAGAAGTACTTTCTCTGTGGCCCGGTGCAGTGGCTCACGCTTGTAATCCCAGCACTTTGGGAGGCTGAGGTGGGTGGATCACCTGAGGTCAAGAGTTTGAGACCAGCCTGGCCAACATGGCAAAACCCTGTCTCTACTAAAAATGAAAAATTAGCCAGACATGATGGTGGGTGCCTGTAGTCCCAGCTACTCGGGAGGCTGAAGCAGAAGAATCGCTTGAACCCAAGAGGCGGAGGTTGCAGTGAACCCAGATCGCACCACTGCACGCCAGCCTGGGCAACAGTGAGACTCTGTCTAAAAATAAAAAAAAAGAAGTACTTTCTCCCCAGGGTGGCAGGGGCCTGGGCAGGCAGAATGGGGCTGCCTCTGTCACTCCCTCTGGCCTGGCCGTGGCTGTCCGCAATGTCCTTCAGAGAAGGCCTCGGGGCTCCTGGGTGGACCGCAGCTGCCACCAGGCATCCACCCAACTGGGCGCTAAAGGAGCCTGGAGCCGGGCCTGTGTCTGTCAGCAGAGCAAGATGTGGTTCATTCCGCAGCCGGGCAGGGGCCAACCCTGAACCAGCAGGGGCCGGGTGCCAGGATGCTGAGGCTCATGGGATACAGCCTGGAGAAGAGCTGTGTCCACAAGTACCCAGTTCAAGGTCCAGCGTGGTTAGTGTCCTCAGAGAACATGCTGTAGCGGGAGGAGCCAGGAGAGGGGGTTTAGGCAGGACACTCTAGGAGGGGCAGCTTGACACCTGGGAAGGGTGCTATCAAGATGGGGGGATGGGAGGGGCAGTGGAATGGAGGTGGACGTGCAGCACAGTGCGGGGAGCACAGGGCTGGGGGACAGTGATCTTCATAGTGAGGAGCAGGAGACTTGTCAAGCAAGTTCATCTGAGACAAACCCGGAGCATCAGGGCAGCCACCAAGCCGAAACAGCAGCTGGGAAGGCTTGGAGTCCCCAAAGGAAGCTCTTCCAAGCACTGAGGCTGTGGGATGTGGATGGCCAACTTTCCTGTCCCCTGATCTCTAAGCCTGACCACAGGGACCAAGCTCGCAAAGCCTGGAGGACAGCTCCACCGAGCCCAGGGTGGAGATGAGGGGATGTCTCTGATGACGCATGCGTCCAAGGGTGGTGGCCTAGCCCCACCTGTGTCCCGCCCACATTTTTTGAATGCCACCTTCACAAGGACACTGCCCCCAACCCACTGCGGCTCTCCCCTCCCAAGCCCACCCTGGTTACCCTGTCCAGAGCACAGCTGGGATCATCTCAGGCTGATCCGTGAATCCTGTTGTTGCAGGTGTTCCTGGACACTGAATGGGATGGTGGGCGTCCACATCCTGCAAGGGGGGATGGGACTCAGAGCCAGGTTAGAGGAGAGAGGGCGGCCTGGGGCCCCAGTGACAGCTGCCCCCAAATCCCTCCTTCCACCCAGCCTAGAACGTTGGGGACTTTTCCCCTGGCAAGATACCGACCGGTGTGGGTCATGGGGAAAAGGAGAAGCCTAGGAGGCCCGAGATTCCTTTATGGTTCTGCAGCTGACTTGCTGTGTGACCCCAGAAAGGTTAGTTAACTGCTCTGTGCTTTATTTTCCTCATCTGTAAAATGGGTCTTGTAAGACCCACCCTGTGCGTCTTAGAAGAGGTGAGTGATTGTGGAGATAAAAGTGCTTTGAAAGAATATAAAGTAACCAGTATTGGACATCATGGTGACTTAATAAAAGATAAACCTGAACCATATGAAATTGCCAATTTTACAGGTCAAAAATGGGTGGATGTCAGCAATTTCATATGGTTCAGCCTAATATAGCATTTATTGGCATTTTTGTGTGCCAGCTACTGTTGTTATAAGAGCTTTGTAGGGCTTGATTAGTTTAAGCCTCACAAAACCTCTTGGGTGGATATTATTACTGTCCCCACTTTACAGATGAAGAAGCTGAAGCCAGAGGGGGAAGTGTCTGCTCACCCAGGGTTGCAGATTGGTGAAGGGAAGAGCATGATTTGAGCTCCGGGGTCACACTGGGCCACACGCCTGGGGAGTGAGTTGTTCTCCACCCACCAGGGTTGCCTGGACTTACGCCAGCGTCTCCACATGAGGACACCTCCGAAGGCTGGCAGCGAGCTGCTGGGCCCCGGCAGCCGTGAACTTGTTGTACTGGACGCTGGCAAGAGAAACTCACCTTGGGGCCTGGCCCTTGGGACTCCCCAGCTCCAGACCAAGGCCACCCCCACATCCAGCTCTTCCAGGACACCAGGGAGAGACTTCAGTGTCTCCCACCCCGGGCTGAGCCACCCACCGCCCAGACTCCCACACTCACTCCATCACCCGGAGGGACACCATGTCCGGAAGCACACGAGCCAAGCTCTCGGCTCCCACGTCGCAGATGCAGTTATTGTACAAGCTGTCGGAAACAGAGGCCAGGGGGAGGGATTGGAGGCCTGTGCATGGTCAGCCTTCCAGAAGCCACCATCCCTAGATTCCAGAAAAAGCCTGGTCCCACTATCCCTGGGGGAAGGAATCAATATTTATTGCACAACAGAGCCTGGCATTGTGCCAAGTACTTACATAGGCCATTGGGATGGTTCCCATTTTCTAGATATGAAAATAGAGGCTAGGAATGAATAAGTGACTTGCTCAAAGTTTCTGTCCCCAGGTCCCACTAGTTCTCTTGTTCAGGGCTGTGGTGATTGCTTCTAGGATCTCAGTGTCCCCTGCAGCCTGGAGGTCAGCCCCGTGGGAGTCACCACCTACTGGGATTACTGCCCCATTTTAAAGACAGGCAAACCAAGACCCAGAGAGTTGAGACCACTTCTCTGTGGTCAAACAGTGAGCCCAGGAAAACAGCAGGACTAAAAGGAAGTCATTTCTTGCCTTACTGTGTGGAAACTGTCAGAACAACTTCCCAAGTTCAAATCCCAGCTATGCCTCTTACTGCCTATGTGACCTTGGGCAAGCTACTCAACTCTTCTGAGACTCAGTTTGCCCATCTGTAAAATGGGCATGATAGAGTCATTGTGGGGAGGAGTAAATGAATCAATGCTGATATAACATTTAGAACATGCCTTGGTGCCTAGAATGAACTAAATGTTAGCTATGGTTCTGACTACATCACAGGAACATTGGTGAGGGTCGCATGAGTTAACATAGAGGGTGTGACCAGCACTGGGGGCAGGAAGAGAAAAAGCCAGTCACTGGACCAGCTCCAGTTTCTGCAGCATATTCACAACCAGCATTAGTAGCAGTGAAAATAGCATGATGAGTGTCACTGATGCCAACTTCAGCTGTTTACTCGACACCAAGCAGCCTTTTAACAGGTCAGGTGCTGCTGCGGGTATGATTTCAGGGCCATGACTTTGCCATGATTCAGCCTCAGAACTCCCTTGCAGGGCTGCATATAAAAGCAGCAGGTGCAGTGGCTCACGCCTGTAATCCTAACACTTTGGAGGCCGAGGCGGGTGGATCACCTAAGGTCGGGAGTTTGAGACCAGCCTGACCAACATGGAGAAACCCCGTCTCTACTAAAAATACAAAATTAGCCGGGTGTGATGGCACATGCCTATACTCCCAGCTACTTGAGAGGCTGAGGCAGGAGAATTGCTTGAACTCGGGAGGCGGAGTTGCAGTGAACTGAGACTGCACTCCAGCCTTGGCAACAAGAGCGAAACTCTGTCTCGAAAAAAAAAGAAAAAAATAAATAAATGCAGCAGGTTTACACTGCTGCCAAGTGGATTCAGGCTAAATCAACTCACATCACGGGTCGGCCGGTACCAGTGCAGAAACTAGATGGGGGTTTTGCAATCTCTGAACCCTGGAGACCCTTCCTCCACCCCACAGGGAGAGTAATCTGACCATATTTCATCGATGCCAAGACATATATGTCACCATTTGAATATCATTGAGATCAGGATGTGTCTTATAACCAATAGCGTGTCACAGTTTGCATTTTGGCCTCATATTGGGGTCTTACAATGGATGGCATCTTAGATTCCATGAAATATGATGTTTCTTAAAGGGTAAATCAGGCTGGGCATGGTGGCTCACACCCGTAATCCCAGCACTTTGGAAGGCTGAGGTGGGTGGATCGCTTGGGCCCAGGATTTCAAGACCAGTCTGGGCCACATGGCGAAGCCCTGTCTCTACTGAAAACACAAAAATAGCCTGGTGTGGTGGCGGGCATCTGTAATCCCAGCTACTTGGGAGGCTGAGGCATGAGAATCACTTGAACCCAGGAGGCAGTGCTTGCAGTGAGCTGAGATCATGCCACTGCACCTTAGCCTGGGCAATAAAGTGAGACTTGGTCTCAAAAAGAAAAGAAAAGAAAAAAGAAAAGTGTAAATCAGATCAAGTGTCGCCTTCCCAGGCCCACCTACTTTTCCATTCACACTGAAAAACTGCAAATACCTCTTGTGACCCACAAGGGCCTCCCTGTGTGATCTGGATTCCCCTGACCTCCCCTACTTCCACCATTGCCCAGCCTCTGTCCCTCATTCACTACACACAGCCACAGTGGCCCTTCTGACCCTTAAAACACAGCCCCTTTTCCCACTTAGGGCCTTTGCACCTGCTGTTCTTTCTTCCTAGAGTCCTTTTCCCCTAGAGCTTCCCACGGAAGAATCATCTCCCCAGAAGTCCTGTACCCTCCTGGGGCTTGTTAGTTTCCTTCCCAGCATGAATCACTGTTTTACAATATTTTATTTATGTATGTGCCTAATTCCTACTACGCAAAGAAACTCAAAAGCAAGAACGACATCTGTCTAGTTCATACTTGTATCTCTAGTTTTTAGCACAATTATGAACCAGACAGATTCTATTTTTGCTTCTGAGTTTCTTTGCATAGCAAGAAGTAAGCACCTACATAAATAAAATATTGTAAAACAGTGATCATGCTGGGAAGAAATTAACAAGGCTCAGGAGGGTATAGGACCCAGCTACTTGGAAGGCTGAGGTGGGAGGTTCGCTTCAGTCCAGGTAGTCGAGGCTGTAGTGAGCCATCATTGCACCCCTGCACTACAACCTGGGTGAGACCCCATCTCCAAATAAATAAATAAATAAATAAATAAATAAGTTGGCCGGGCATGGTGGCTCACGCCTGTAATCCTAGTACTCACTTTGGGAGGCCGAGGCAGGTGGATCACCTGAGATCAGGAGTTTGAGACCAGCCTGGCCAACATGGCGAAACCCTGTCTCTACTAAAAATATAAAAACTAGCTGGACGTGGTGGTGGGCGCCTATAATCCCAGCTACTCGGAGCACTGAGGCAGGCGAATAGCTTGAACCTGGGGGGGGGCAGAAGTTGCAGTGAGCTGAGATCACACCACTTCACTCCAGCCTGGGTGACAGAGCGAGACTCCATCTCAAAAACAGAAATTAAAAAAATTAAAAATAAATAAATAATAAGGGACCAAATGCCATCTTTCCTGGGAATCTGACTCTGGTTGTCCTCAGTAAGTGAAGAGCTCTGGCGAAGAGGAGAGCAGTTTCTCTCAGTCTGGCGAGTAAGAAGAGCTGGTAATGCTGAGTTGGATGACTGGGGCTCTGGTCCAAGCTCAGTCCGCTCATTACCTCTGGGACCACACCAGGGCCTGGATGGAAGTCACTCAAAAGCAAGAGGTGCTATGCCAAGGCCTACCAGAAGGTGGCAGTGAAACACTGACCGGCATGTAAGTGACAAGGCCGGCAAAAGCTGACGTACGTGGTTAGCCTTCCAGAAGCCACCACCCCTAGGTTCCGGAAAAAGCCTGGTCCCGCCATCCCTGGGGGAAAAGGAGCAATATTTATTGCATAACAGAACCTGGCATTGTGACAAGTGCTTACATAGACCATTAGGATGGTTCCCATTTTCCAGGTAAGAAAACAGCGGCTAGGAATGAATAACTGACTTGCTCAGAGTTTCTTTCACCACGTCCCGCTAATCCTTTTGTTCAGGGCTGTGGTGATTGCTTCTAGGGTCTCAGTGTCCCCTGCAGCCAGCACGATGTGGGTTCCCTGCGCTCTGCAGCCCCCCAGCTCAGCACCTGACCGGTATCCGGGGCCCCACTCACCTTAGCCTGAGCAGGGATGCAGCGAGCGAAGGCAGGGCCTCGGCGAGTTTGTAGGCACCCAGGTCAGTGATGTTGTTCTGGGACAGACTGCGGGGACACAGTGAGGGGGAGGGCTCAGGACCAAACTTGCATGCCTCACTTTGACCTCAAGGAGAGTTCTGGGTCATAGGCTGTGAATGGCGCTGTCGACAGACTTAAGCTACCTCTCGGTAAATAGGAGGATACTGTTAGGTCCTGTGGCCAAGTGGGAGGGCAGGGATGAGGAGGTGGATGGGAGGGAGAGTGCACCCTCCTGCCCCCACCTGTCCCATGACTTTACAACATCCCCTCTTTTCCCTCTGCGCCACTTTTCAGCACTATAATGAAATAAGTGTTGGCATTATTTGTTTAATGGCTGTGTAATCCTTTCTGCCGGGTTGTGGGCTTCACATGGAGCAGGGCTGTGTCTGTTTTGCTCATTACTGTATCCCTGTGCCTAGAGCACTGCCAGGCACATAGTAGGTGCTCAATAAATACTTAAGTGGGGTGGCGGGTAAGAAAGAGGGGGACGGAAGGACTAAGGAGAAGAAATCTAGCTTACAGTGTTACCTAGGACACTAGAAATTACTGGAGAAGTCCCACAGTCCTACAATTAAGGAAATTGCTAAGTAAATTCCGGTAAATTATTTGGCCATCCTAAGACCTTGGTTGTGAGGGGGAGTGTGGGAAGATTTTGATATCCTCTAGGTTCAGTAAAAAATCATGTTGAACTGGGCGTGGTGGCTCATGCCGGTAATCCCAGCACTTTGGGAGGCTGAGGTGGGCGGATCACTTGAGGTCAGGAGTTCAAGACCAGCCTGGCCAACCTGGTGAAACCCCGTCTCTACTAAAAATACAAAAATTAGTTGGGTGTAGTGGTGCATGCCTGTAATTCCAGCTACTTGGGAGGCTGAGGTGTGAGAATTGCTTGAACCCAGGAGGTGAAGTTTGCAATAAATAGATCGTACCACTGCACTCCAGCCTGGGCTACAGAGCGAGACTCCGTGTCAAAAAAAAAAAAAAAAAATCCCATTGAACCAGGCACAGTGACTCATGCCTGTAATCCCAGTACTTTGGGAGGCAGAGGCAGGAGGATGGCTTGAGCTCAGAAGTTCAAGACCAGCCTGGGCAACGTGGTGAAACCACGTCTCTACAAAAAAATACAAAAATTAGCGGGACGTGGTGGCATGCACCTGTCCCAGCTACTCAGAAGGTTGAGATGGGAGGATTGCTTGAGCCTAGGAGATTGAGGCTGCAGTGAGCCATGATTACACCACTGCACTCCACCCTGGGTGACAGAGCGAGACCTTGTCTGAAAAAAAGAAAAAAAATCACATTGATCCTCCTGTATCTTATCCATCTCCAACTTCCCAGAGCCCAGAACAGTTTTTAAAAAGTTTTACTGTTTTGATAATAATGCTTTATTGATAAATCCTAATCTATCTCTCCTATTTCACCCCCCAGTATAATTTTCTGTCACCAAACATTATTTTCATTACTGTATACTTTATAATTACCGACTTGTTTACTTGTTCATTGTGTCTCCTCACTAGAATTTAAGATTCCTGAGGTCAGGGGATTTATTTGTTTTGTTTAAAGCTGGGTCTCCAGGGCCTAGAAAGGTGCCTGCACATAGTAGGTCCTCCTTAAATATTTGTTGATTAAATTAATAAATGGTTGGGTAAGTAAAGAAATGATTGAGTGAGCGGTTGGATGAGGGAGTAAAGAAATGACTGCATAAGTGAATGGATGAATCATTGAATGGAAGGATGAATGGCTGATTGAATAGGTGAATGAGTGAATGGATGAATCCACTGGGGCTGGGCATGGTAAGTCACACCTATAATCCCAGCACTTTGGGAAGCGGAGGTGAGGAGATTCCTTGAGGCCAGGAGTTCAAGGCTGCAGAGGTATGATCATAGCACTATATTCTAGCCTGGGTGACACAGCGAGCCCTTGTCTAAAAAAACAAATTTAAATTAATTTTGAAAAAGTCAGCCGGACTTTGGGGGCCCGATTCAGCAGGAAGGGCAGGCCCAGCTCACTCACTTGAGGGTTTCCAAGGACTTCAGCTGGGGGAAGGTGGCTGAGAGCTGCGAGACACCCTCGTCCCCGATCTTGTTCTCACTCAGCGCATCCAGGCTGCAGGTGGAATCAGATGGGGGCCATCAGCTAGCGTCCTGGGGCCATCTGACCCTTCCCATCCCAGTGAGGGCCTCCTCAGCCCTGGCACCTGCCCTTCCCACCCCCCAGCTCTAATACACCATAGGCAGCCGGCACATTCCTGAGCTTTTCAGACGAGGACTTCATCACCTGGGGGCTCCAACCAGGCAGCCAGAGGGCAAAGTCTAACTCATGATGGACTTGAATCCCTGTTTAGCTTCTTAGGAACTAAGCCCCTGAGGCTTGGCAACTTCCTTAACCTCCACTGTAAAGTAGGACTATGCTCCCCAATCCCTCCCCAGCTGAATTGCTGAGAGCAGCAAATGAGGTTGTGAGGAAAGGAGTTTCAAAGGTCACGAAAGGATCTACAACTTTTTTTGTCACTGGGGATTCCCATCTGATGTGGCGTCATCTCATCACTCATGTGCCAGCCACATTGAGGATGCAGTAGGCGGAAGAGAGAAAAAAAGGGACAAAGTGAGGGCTTTTCTTTCTGCAGGTGCCTTGGGGGCAGGATTTGGGGTTGTCAAAACCCAGAGGTTGCTGGGCACTGTAGCATGCACCTGTGGTCCCAGCTACTCAGGAGGCTGAGGCAGGAGGACTACTTGAGGCCAGGAATTCGAGGCTGCAGTGAGCTATGATCACAGCACTGCACCCAGATGTTGAGAGGAAGGGGTCCCAGAGTCTATACTCACTCCAGATGCTGCAGGGAGGAAAAGGCCGTGAGGATCCGCACCAGTTTGGGGAAAGCCTGGGGGCCTGAGACAGGGCCCAGCCTAGGAGGCAAAGAGCAAGGGTAAGACCTCCAGTCACAGTCACAGCCCCTCATTCAGCCCCAGGGTGGGGCAGAGACAAGGCACAGAAGTCAGGTCCTGTCTGAGGCCCCTCCTCTTCCCTTCCACCCCAGCCTCTTAGGTCCCTGCAACCCTTCCACGTAGGACCCCAATCTTTTCTGCTTGGGGTAGATTTCATAGCCCCCCATAAGAGGCCAGTTGAGGCTGGGAACAGTGGCTCATGTCTGTAATTCCAGCATTTTGGGAGGCCAAGGTAAGAGGACTGCTTGAGCCCAGGAGTTCAAGACCAGCTTGGGCAACATAGTGAGACTCAGTCTCTACAAAAAACACAATAATTAGCCAAGTGTGGTGGTGTGTCCTGTGGTCTCAGCTTCTTAGGAGGCTGAGGTGGAAGCATCGCTTGAGCCCAGGAGGTGGAGGATGCAGTGAGCCATGATCACACCACTGCACTCCAGCCTGGGTAAGAGCGAGACCCTGTCTCAAAAAAGAAAAAAAACAAAAAAAGAAAAGAAAAAGAGGTAAGTTGGGCTCCCATCTTGGGGCTCCCCAGCTTTTGTCTCTAAGTAGGGAGCCAGTTCTTACTCTTCCCAACATCCACAGATACCCTTCTCCCGCCGCAGCCTGGGGAAGGGGTCCTGAAATGCCAGCTGACGACCACTGCCAGTGGTAAACCAGGTGGTTGACTAATATGCCTTTGCATTTTAATAACAAAAGGAACCATTTGTTGAGCATTTATTATAAGCCAGGGGCATGCTAGGCCCTTCCCTCGGCCTAGATCTCATTTACTCCTCAAGACTCTGAGCTATGGGCTCTTATCTCCATTTTACATATAGGGAAACTGAGGCACTAGGCGATCAAATAGCTCACACAGGGTCACACAGCCTGGATCAACATTTAGAGCAGACTTCAAGGGGATGAGAAAAATAAGGACAACGAAGGGCCGTTTAGTTTAAAAATATGGTTAAATGCATTCCATATAAAGAGCTGTCTTTTATTCTGCAATTATGTCCTTTGAACTTTTTCAATATTAGAATGATCATTCTTTGGTAAAATTATGGTGCCAGCAGTGGGTATTTTGTTGTTATTTGTTTGTTTGAATGAGCATCCTTGATAAACATTAAAAAACAGTAACCGCGCACGGTCACTCGAATTCATTCCGAAATGTTCTCGGCCTCTGAAATCCTGAAGTCTGAGAACACTGGCCTCAGCAAAAGGCCACAGGATCAGAGTTTGACTCCAGGATCTGGCATTTGGCTCCCTGCTAAAGGCCTTGGCAAATCCCTTCACCCTTAAGTCTTGATCTCCTCAAATATTTCACCCCAATCTTATGGGGGTTCTTGGATTAAGGCATTCGTTGTTAAATATTGACCGCTTGCCTACTATGTGCCAGGCCCAGGGAGGAAAGTTGTGGGCCAAACAGACGAAAATCCCTGCCTTCTGGGTGCTGACATTCCAGGGGGGAAGATAGACAGATAATCAAAGAAATCGGAAAGCAAGCTGATGTCTGAGACAATGAATCATATGGAAATATACAGTGGTGAGGGGGATGGAGTTTTTTTTTTAACCATGAGGGGAATGGAGTTCTATTTATTTATTTATTTATTTATTTTTGAGATGGGGTCTCACTCTGTCATCCAAGCTGGACTGCAGTGGCGTGATCTCAGCTCACCGCAACCTCCGCCTCCCGGTTTCAAATGATTCTCCTGCCTCAGCCTCCCAAGTAGCTGTGACTACAGGCACCTGCCACCATGCCCAGCTAATTTGTTTTGTATATTTAGTAGAGATGGGGTTTCACTATGTTGGCCAGGCTGGTCTCAAACTCCTGGCCTTGTGATCCACCTGCCTCGGCCTCCCAAAGTGCTGGGATTACAGGCATAAGCCACTGCGCCTGGCCAGAGTTTTATTTTTAACTGTGAGGGTCAGAAAAGACCTCACTGAGGCCGGGTGTGGTGGCTCACGCCTGTAATCCCAGCACTTTGGGAGGCCGAGGTGGGGGGATCACGAGGTCAGAAGATTGAGACCATCCTGGCTAACACGGTGAAACCCCGTCTCTACTAAAAATACAAAAAATTAGCCAGATGTGGTGACATGTGCCTGTAGTCCCAGCTACTCGGGAGGCTGAGGCAAGAGAATCACTTGGACTTGGGAGGAGGAGGTTGCAGTGAGTCGAGATTGTGCCACTGCACTCCAGCCTGGGTGACAGAGCGAGACTCCACCTCAAAAAAAGAAAAAGAAAAAAGGAAAAAGAAAGAAAGAAAGGGAAAGAAAGAAAGAAAGGAGGGAAAGAAAGAAAGAAAGAAACAGGGAAAGAAAGAAAAGAAAAGGCCTCACTGAGTAAAGACCAGAGGAGGTGAAGGCATGAGCCATGCAGATATCTGGGGAGAAGTATTCCAGGCAGAGGGCACAGCCGGTGCAAAGGCCTGGAGGCAGAAGCATGCCTAGGAGGTTGAAAGCCAGCAAGGAGGCCCTGTGGCTGGAATGGAGAGAGCACCCAGCGAGTGTAGGAGATAAGGGTGAACAGGTGAGTGGGGACTGAACTGGGGAAGGACTCTGTGTACAAACGAAGTCCCTGTAGGGTTGTGAGTGGCTAAGAACCCTGATTTGACAGACAGATGAGGTCTA
This sequence comes from Homo sapiens, assembly GCF_000001405.40. Classification (NCBI taxonomy): domain Eukaryota; kingdom Metazoa; phylum Chordata; class Mammalia; order Primates; family Hominidae; genus Homo; species Homo sapiens. The sequence continues at coordinate 10,912,929 of NC_000016.10, read as the reverse complement.
CAGGGTGCCTGGGCACAGTAGAAGCCTGAGAAAATGCCAGAAATAGTCTTTTCCTTCCTTCCTTCCTTCCTCAGAACCTCCTCGGGGGCTTCCGGTCTCCAGGTGGCTGATCACCCGGCTCTAGGCTGTTCCACCCCATGGCCGCTGTTCCCCAGAGCGCAGTTCCGATCTTGAACTAGGGGCTTTTTCAGCTGAAAATAATTTAAGGCCAGAAAGGGCCCTCAGTTATTGTTTTCAGACATTTCCCCTTTTCAGCATCATTTTTACCTCTGGACAAATTTAGCACCTTGTCTCTGTTCAAAACAAGAGACACTGGCTTTTTTCTGGGGCACAGGGGAGCAGTGATCAGGGAGAGCTGATAGCTTGTGGGTGACCAGCTGGGGGACCACGGGCAAGTCACTTAACCTCACCAGGCCTCCGTCTCCTCATCTGTAAAATGGGGAAGATGATGACTGTCTGTCTTCCACAGTAGCTCTTGAGATTAATGAGATTATATATAAAATGCACTGAATTATAAGCTGGGCATGGTGGCTTACACCTGTAATCCCAGCACTTTGGGAGGCTGAGGTGGGAGGAACATCTGAGGCCAGGAGTTCAAGACCAGCCTGGCCAACATGGTTAAAGCCCGTCTCTACTAAAAATACAAAAATTAGCCAGGTGTAGTGGTGTACACCTGTAATCCCAGCTACTCGGGAGGCTGAGGCAGGAAAATTGCTTGAACCGAGAGGTGGAGATTGCAGTGAGCCAAGATCATACCACTGCATTCTAGCCTGGGTGACAGAGCAAGACCCCATCTCCAAAAAAAAACAGCACCGAATATACCACAGGCATAACAACTCCTTCCTAATCATTAGATGATCTAGACCCCTACCAAGGAACAAACATTCATTTAGCTTTTTCTGTGGAAGGAGCTTAGGGCCAGGCTGACCTGACCTTTATGACTTTGGATAAACAATTTAAAGTCTCTTGTTCTCAGCATTGCCATTTGTACAATGGGGAGATGATGACAATGCCTGTAGAGGAGGGTGGCCTGAGATAATTGAGATGGAAGGTGAGCTGCAAATTTAAAAGCCTGTTCTGGCCAGGTGCGGGAGCTCGCACCTGTAATCCTAGCACTTTGGGAGGCTGAGGTGGGAGGATTGCTTGAGCCCAGGAGCTCGAGACCAGACTGGGCAACATGGTGAAATCCTGTCTCTACAAAAAATACAAAAATTAGTCAGGTGGGGCATGCCTGTAGTCCCAGCTACTAGGGAGGCTGAGGTGGGAGGATCACTTGAGCCTAGGGAGGTTGAGGCTGTGGTGAGCTGTGATTGTGCCACTGAACTCCAGCCTGAGGGACAGAGTAAGACTCTGCCTCAAGAAAGAAAAGAAAAGGAAAGAAAAGGAAAGGAAAAAGAAGGAAGGAAGAGAAGGAAGGGAGGGAAGGAAAGAGAAAGAAAGAGAATGGAAAGAAAGAAAGAGAAAGGAGAGAAAGGAAAGAAAGAAAAGAAGGAAAGAAAGAAAGAAAGAGAGAGATAGGGAGGGAGGAAGGAAGGGAGAGAGAGAGAGAAAGAAAGAAAGAAACAGAGAGAAAGAAAAAGAAGAAAAGGGGGAAGAAGGGAGGGAGGGAAGGAAGGAAGGAGGGAGGGAGGGAAGGAAAGAAAAGGAAGGGAAAGGAAAGAAAGAGGAAAGAAAGAGAGAAAGAAAGAAAGAAGAAAGAAAGAAAAAGAAAGAGAGAAGAAAGGAAAGAAAGAAAGAAAAGCTATATTCTGACAGATCTAAATATAATAATTATTGTGCTTTCTTGGGGCCCATGTATGGTGGGCTGCCCCTCCTCAGTGACCCAGACACAACTGGACTCCCTAGAGCCTTGCCTAGGTCTCCATTTCTGTCACCCCAGCAACACTGCCTAGGGTGTGGCCCCCAGCCCTGGCCACACATAGAGCAACCAACTGTCCCAGTTTGCCTGGGACTAAGGGGCTTCTTGGGATGCAAGACTTTCAGTTTTCAAACCAGGATAGTCCCAGGCAAGTAGGGTTGCTTTTTCATCCTAGCTGCACATCAAAAGCTCCTGGGAATTTCAAAATGGGGGAAAGATTCTCCCTGGGGAGGCCATCCCTTGGCTGTGGAAGTAAACAAGCTCAGGCACAAGGGACGTTGTGCAGTTCCTGGCCACAGGAGGGAAAAGGACTCCATAGTCATAGTGGCATCCTCCTATGGAAGGTTGGGGACACATTGGGCCTTTTCTGATCCCTGGCGAAATTACAATTCCTGGAAAGCCTTTCTTACTCCCCTCTCCCCACTCAGCTCATTCCTTATCCTCACTGAAGCTTCAGTGCAGATATCACCTCCTCCAGGAAGTCCCCCTGACCTCCTCCAGAGGGGAGTTGATTAGACTGTCAGCTCATGAGGACAGCAGCCTCAGTCATTCAAGTGCTCAATACCTCTGTTGAATGAGTGATGGGAATGACCATGTTAACCAGCAAACGGGTCCATTAGCTTCAAATCTGAGAACCTCCAGCATTTGCCCACACTGGTCACTTTCCAGCTGCTGGAAGCTATTTCCAAAGTGGTGGGCAAGAGGGTAAGAATGATTCTGGAGATCTATCTCCATTCAGGTGGTACAAGCCCAGCTAATGCTGCAGGGGAAACCTTGCGCAGACCCACAAGACAATCCACCCCTTTGCTTACGCAAACTCCAGTTTCTTTAGGTCCCGAACAGCAGGGAGCTCCCCAGCTGTGTCTTCCGAGGAACTTCTCGTCCTGGAGAGAACAGGCAATGTTAGGGGGAGCAGGCACTGCTGTCACTGAGCCCTTACCCATGGGTCCCATGATGGCTGCCCCAGTGCCCCAAATTCCCCAGGGGGATTGCTTTCCTTGGGGCAACTGTTGTCCCCCTCTTAAAAAAAAAGATCTGTCTGGGTGCGGTGCCTCGTGACTGTAGTCCCAGCACTTTGGGAGGCTGAGGCAGGAGGATTGCTTGAGGCCAGGAGTTCAAGACCAGCCTGGGCAACATAGCAAGATCCCTGTGTCTACAAAAACTTAAAAAATCATCCGGTGTGATGACGTGCACCTATAATCCCAGCTACTTGGGAGGCTGAGGCAGGAGGATCGCTTGAGCTCAGGAGTTCCGAAGCTACAGTAAGCTATGATCGCACTACTGTATTCTAGCCTGGTAGACACAGCGAGACCCTGTCTTTAAGAAATAATAAAAATAAAAATAAAAGATCTCAGGACTGTATCTTTCATGGAAATGAGCCTCAGATTAGGCACTTACCAGTACCTATCCCAGACAGCACTTAAGAGGCGCTCAAACAATGTGTGATGAAGGAATGAATGAAAGACAGTTAACTTGTTCTGTAATCAAGTTTTGTCTGCCTTCTGGACCTTAGCTCTGCCGTCTATAAATTTGGGACAACAGTTGTCCTAAATGCCTCAAAGGGTGGCAGTAGGTGTCACTTCTGTTACTAGGTGCACAAGGCATCCTTGTTAACTCCTAGAAGGGGAGAGGTTCTCCATGGCTTTAGCTAAGACTTGGGCACATGATGGCAGGTTTTGAATGCAGCAAAGTTTTCAATTCTAGAGGCTCCGCCTGGGCAGCGAGTGCAGTGAGAGACTCTGGTTAGCCATTGCCCAGAAAGAGGGCATGGGGTGTCCCAGAGGACAGGGGGCACTGGAAATGCCCATGACAAACTTGAGAATGGGTCCTACATGTCCTCAACCTGCATGGCGTGAACCACCTCCCATCCGCCTCTCCTCTCACCTCTGAGTCTGCACAAGCTTTCCCAGGTCTTCCACATCCTTCAGGGACTTGGCTTTGAAAGGCTCGATGGTGAACTTCTCCTCTGCTGCCTGAAGTAGCTTGGTCTCCCCATGCTGCTGCAGGGACTCCCACAGCGCCACCGTGTCGCTCAAGGCAGCCCTGTGGAGGGAGGGCCTCAGACCCAGGCACGGTGACCAGGCTAGACCTTAATGGAAGGGCAGCTCCATGAAGGGTCCTCCTACCTATTAAAATACTTTCTTTCCTTAGCTCAACCTCTACCTTTCCCAGAAAGCCTTCCATGACCACTCCAGCCTTTATTGATTCCTACTTTCTCACAACTCACACAGTGGTTTTCTTTCCCTTTTTGCTTCGGCTACCAGGAAGCTCACTGCTAAATTATTGGCACAATTATGTAGGACCTTACAGCTTGGGTAAAGTATGTTTAGGGGGAAATATGGAAGCAATCCTCTGGCGATTAAGCTGAAATGCTCAAGCAGATTGCAGACCGACTTAATGAAACCAAATTAAGGAATTTAGCCTTCATCCTGACAGTGGTGGAGTGTCCCTGAAGGATTGTAAGCAGGGATGGGATACAATCAGATTCAAGTTCTGAGAAGATTGGTCTGGTTGCTGAATACAAAATGGAGTGGAAGAGGAGAGAATGGAGGCAGAGAGTCCAAGGGGAGGCCATGGCTTTACTCTTAGCATAAGAAAACGGTGGCGTGCTCAGGGGGTGGAAAGAATAAAACAAATTTGAGCCCAGGTCAGTCTCAGATTCTAGACATACCCCAGTGACTGGCACATGGCGGGCCTTCAAATATTGACTGGGAGAATGCCATTGCCTCTCACTTGCTGTGTGGCAAGTGGCTGCCCCTCTCTGAGCCTCAACATCCTCATCTTAAAAATGGAGAGAATCCATTCTGCCCCACCCGGCTGCTCTGCATACTAAAAGAGACCCCACAGAGCACTGGGCTTGGCACCAAGACCGCAGTTAATGCCCAACACAAGGATGTCTCTTCCCCAAGCCCCTCACCCCACCTGAAACGGGTGACACAGCTGAGTCCCACGAGGCTCCCCAATCCAGAGGGGCAAATGCCAGTGCTGCGGAGGTCCAGGGAGAAGTCTTGGCCCGCCGCCTCCAAGGCCTTGCCCAGTACATGTGCATCAGGAGGCGTGAGGCGGGTGCCCAGAAAAGAGAGGCGGCCGGGGAGCTCCTGTACCACGTGCTGCCAAATTCCAGCCTCCTCGGCCTCGTGGGCGCAGTGCAGCAGCTCCAGCAGCTGCCGCGCCCGCAGTGTCCCCGGCTGCAGCCGCTTCAGGTACCTCGCAAGCACCTTCTGCTTCCTGTCCACCGAGGCAGCCGCCGATGGCCCGAGTAGGGCTCCCAGGCAGCGGGCGGGAGGCTGGAAGATCAGCCCAGCCAGAAAGCGTGGCACGCCCTCCAGCCAGTTGTCATAGGGCCTCTTCTTCCTTGGGGTCAATGCTAGGTACTGCGGGAGCTCCTTGTCCTTGATTTCGCCACTCAGAGCCAGCCACAGGGCCCCCAGGAAGCATTGCAGGAGGAAGCTGGGGAAGGCCAGCTCGGACTCTGCGGCCCGCGGTGGGTGTTGGACTAAGCCTTTGGCCATCGCCCAGGTCCTCACGTCTGCGGATGGGAACTGGTCCTCCTGTAGGGTACTTTGATGTCTGCGGCCCAGCTCCCAGGCCAGCTTGGCCAGCTCTGCCAGGGCCCCGGGGGGGCTGTCGAGGGCTGCACGGCCCAGCAGGCCGACATAGAGTCCCGTGAGCGTGGAGGGCAGCTTGGCGTCCTCCCCAAGCTCCAGCAGGGCCTCTGAGAGCTGGCACACTGCCCGGCACAAAGTAGGGCTGTGGCTGTGACTGAGAAGAAGTGGCCGGTCCCGGAGGAGCGTCAGGGCTCTGTCTTGGTGCTCTGTCATCCCTGAGCTCTCAAAGTAGCGCATCACGTATGCCTGGGCCTGCTCCATGGAGAAGCCGGACAGCTCAAATAGGGCGTCGGCCTTGCTCAGGCTCTGGACCAGGCGGCCCCGGGGCCGGGCTGTGAGGAGGAGGGTGCAACCTCGGAGCAGCTTCTTCTGGAAAAGGCCGGCCAGCAGCCCCCGGAGGGAGCAGGGCTCCGCCGGTGCCGGTCCGCACGTGCTGTGCAGGAAGCCATCTTGCGCTTCCAGCTCCTCGAAGCCGTCTAGGATGAGCAGAACGCGGTCAGGTCTCTTCAAGATGTGGCTGAAAACCTCATCGGCCGCCACGAGTGGCTGTGGGCCCAGGGAGAAGAGCAGATCCTGCAGGCCATAGGCATCCCCCGGACGGTTCAAGCAATGGCAGGGGACAGAGAAGACAAAGTCGTACTGGGGAAGCCGGCCACAAGCCCAGGCCCGGCTCACTGCCCCAGCCCAATAGCTCTTGCCCTGACCAGCTTTGCCCAGCACAGCAATCACTCGTGTCTCACGCGGCCGCCGGTGCTCCTTGGCAGCCAACAGCACCTCAGCCAGGCCTCCTTGGGCCAGCTGCCGTTCTGCCCAGTCCGGGGTGGCCAGTTCCCGCTCCAGGCTCTTGCTGCTGCTCCTCTCCAGCCTGGCCTGCACCAGATCCACCTCCACTAGGATGCCATCCGGGCCTGCGGGCTCGGCACCATACGTGTCCTGCAGTGAGCGGTAGAACTGCTCCACCGGCTCTGCAAAGGCCAGGGGCGTGTCAGGGTGGGGGTATGTGAGAGGCAGGGCCAGGGCCAGCCACCACAAGGCCAGCACTGCCACCATCATTTACATCTGTTCCCCACACAGTTTTTTTGTTTGTTTGTTTTGTTTTGTTTTGAGACAGGGTCTGGCTTTTTTGCCCAGGCTGGAATGCAGTGGTGTGATCACAGCTCGCTGCAACCTCAACCTCCTGGGCTCATGCGATCCTCCTGACTCCACCTCCCAAGTAGCTGGGACCACAGACATGTGACACCATGCCCAGATAATTTTTTGATTTTTTTGTAGAGATGGGGTCTCACTATGTCGCCCAGGCTGGCGTGCAATGGCACAATCATGGTCCACCACAGCTTCAACCTCACAGGCTCAAGCAATCCTCCCACCTCAGCCTCCTGAGTAGCTGGGACTACAGGCGCCCACTGCCATGCCTGGCTAATTTTTCTTTTTTGTTTTTTTGTGGAGATAAGTTCTCACTATTTTGCCCAGGCTGGTCTTGAGCTCCTGGGCTCAAGCAATCGTTCCGCCTTGGCCTCCCAAAGTGCTGGGATTACAGGTGTGAGCCACCACATCTGGCCCCCATACAGTCTTCATCATTTGCTTCATTCAGTCACCCACCACTCATTCATTAGTTCACTCATTTCCACACCCATTCCTTCACTCATCGTCTCTCTTGTTTAAGTGTCCACTCCTTTTAGACCTTTTCTCTCTTTTTTTTTTTTGAGATGGATCCTGCCCTGTGCCCCAGGCTGGAGTGCACTGGCGCAATCTCAGCTCACGGCAACCTCCACCTCCTGGGTTTAGGCGATTCTCCTGCCTCGGCCTGCCAAGTAGCTGGGATTACAGGCACCCACTACCACGTCTGGCTAATTTTTGTATTTTTTAATGGAGACGGGGTTTCACTATGTTGGCCAGGCTGGTCTCGAACTCCTGACCTCAGGTGATCCACCTGCCTTGGCCTCCCAAAGTGCTGGGATTACAGGCATAAGGCACCATGCATGGCCATCTTTTCTCATTCCTTCATTTACTCACTAAGCTTTTTCTTCGCTTGATCACTACTCACTCACCATGGGGAGGTCATGGGAGGGAGTGTTAAGAGTTAAGACAGTGGAGCCCACGTGTCTGGGTTCAAATCCCGGTTCTACCACTTGCTGGAGCAATTCTGAGCATGCTATACATCCCACCATGCCTCAGTAGCCTCATCTGGAAAATGGGGATAATATTGGGATTGTGTGAGATGTTAATGATTTAGCATACCTAACATGCTTAGACCAGTATGTGAGAGTAAGCATTTAGTAATTTAGTAATTCTCTTATTCACTGGTTTATTCCCACTTTCCATTGCTCCCATCCTCATCAACTTCTCACTTCATCCACTCACTCACTTCATCATTCGCTTGCCCCTCATTCATTCTCTCAGCCTGACAATGAAGTGTTAACACCCAGTGCAGGCTTATTGAAGGGCAATAAATATTATTTGAGGGAGTGGTGGAGTGAATGGTGAAATGATGGCATAATCAAATAAGTGAATGAATGAATGAATGAATAAATAAATGAGTGTGTGAGCCAACAAAGAAGGGGTTGAATAAGTGTCAAGTGAATGAGCAATGTGAAGCCAGATATGGGCTTCCATCTCCACCACCCAGGGCAGAGAGATCCCGCATCACTCACCAGGCCATTTTGGAAGCTTGTTGGAGACCTCTCCAGCTGCCGGGCATTGGGTGGGGGACGTCTTGTGCTCTGGAGATGGAGAAGCAGGTGCCAGATTTAGGGTGAGGGTTACCCCTGGGGACCCCCCTCCCTCTGGGCCACTTAGTCCTTACAGCCTTCATGGGCTGAGTTTCCCAAGATGGAGGTTATAAGATAGCGGCCTGAGGCTGTATCTAACTCAAATATGTCTTTCTTTGGCCAACTGTACTTTTAAAAATTTCACTCATGTTTAAAAAAGAAAATCGCAATATCAGGCTGGGTGCAGTGGCTCACACCTGTAATCCCAGCACTTTGGGAGGTCGAGGCAGGTGGATCACTTGAGATCAGGAGTTCGAGACCAGCCTGGCCAACATGGTTAAACTTGTCTCTACTGAAATTACAAAAATTGGCTGGGTGTGACGGTGCACACCTGTAATTCCAGCTGCTCCGGAGGCTGAGGCAGGAGAATCACTTGAACCTGTAGGGCGGAGGTTGCAGTGATCTGAGATCGCACCACTGCACTCTAGCCTGGGCAACAGAGTGAGACTCCATCTCAACAATAAATAAATAATAAAATAAAAATTAAAAAATCACAATATCTATGTAAAAATCAGGGTTTTCAACTTCAAAAGATCTGACCACATTGTCTGGCTTTTCTGCTGGGTAACAAGCAGCTGAAGGCTGATGGCTGTATTTGGATGGGATGTGGATTCTCTAGCTGTCCATTCCCCCACAACCATGCCTCCACTCCCTGGAGACCCTCCCTGTCCCGACTGACCCCTAAACATGACCTGTTGTCCCTACAGGCAGCTTTGCTTGTGGATCTTATTTGAGACAATTCCTTCCCCAGGGCCTCGATCCTGCTTCTAGTACCTCTCACAGGCCCTAAGGGTCCTTACCTGTCATGTTTGCTCGGGAGGTCAGGGCAGGTTCAGGCATGCTGGGCAGGTCAGTGGCTGATGGAGCGAAGGGGCTGGTGGAGCCTGGCCGGTCTGGAGATGTTGGGAGGCCGTGGACAGTGAATCCACTGGGAGGGGGTACTTGGCTGGCCTGGGGCACCTCACCTACATTGGGGGTGGAGAGTGGTGTGAGAATAACCAGGTATTGATTCCAGAAATGCACTTGGGTCACCCCTACTCCAAACTGGGCTGTGGAGCTCAGGAAGTCTGGAGAGAAGAGAGTAGAACTTCCAAAGGAAGATATTTCAGGACAGAGCTGAAGAAAGAGCTCTGGAGTTACATCTAGCTCCTGGAACCTTGCTTTTCCAATCTGTGAAATGGGTGCAATTAGCTCATAAGGAACTTAGGGCAGGTACTACTATTGCACTCTTCCTGCTGTGTGGTCAGTGCTCATTTTCCTAGATATCAGGAACTGCTTCTCTGCTTCTGAGATACCAGTGCGTTATACTGAAACTGTCTTGCAACCAGGAATGGATGCTCTGGACTTGAGTGGAAGCATCCTCCTGGTCTCATCCCTGACAGCCCAAACACACCTTCCCTGAGACAAGTCACAACCCCTCAGTGTGGTGGGTCAGTAGGGACCATTTTACTGATTAGGAAACAAGACAAATCAGAGAAAGCTATGCAAGGATGCACACCAAACTATTCACATCAGTATACTAAAAGAGTGAGAGAGACAGTGAATTCTTGTAAACATCACTTGTCATTAGCTTATTAGTGAGCATGTATTGATGTTGCAATTTAAAAACAAAAACATTTAAAAAAAATAAGGAAAAACTAAGGGTCAGAAGGGGAAAGCAACATATGGAAGGCCACACAACCACTCTTGGTCATGCACCCAGACCACCTCAGGAATCTCTGCTCTTCTGCTTTGATTTTTGGGAAATAGGGACAGAGAAAGTTGTGCTGGGGAGGGAGGATCATGAGAAGGTGCTAGGGCACCACTGCCAAGTGCATGGAGTATGGGGAGGATGAGGTCAGGGAGCAGTCAGGTAGGAGGGAGAGGTGGTCGGGGAGCCAGGCCCCGCACTCACCATGGTAGATGAATATACTGGAGACCCCTGTTCCAGCCTCAGAGATTTGCCAGAGCCCATGGGGCAGAGTGGAGATGGTGGGGACAAACTGGATGGGTCCCTCAGGGAGATTCAGGCAGCTCAACGAGGAACTGGAGAAAGGCACTGCAAGAGACAAAGGCAGTGAGGTGGGATCTTGCATAGCACCTGTGTTTGCGATTCTGCTTTTGCTTATTTGATTAATGTCTGACCCCCCTAAAGGGCCCTAATTTCCCTAAGAGCAGTAGCTGTTTCTGTCCTGCCCTGATGGAATTCTTAGCACCTAGCAGAGCAGTTGGCACAGAGAAGGGGCTCCATGAAGAGCTGATGAACGAATAAGGCTGGCAGGTGAATGCTCTAATTGGTGGAGATTCCCTCCTGATGCTCGCACGGATGTGTTTCCTTCTGAGGCATGTTCTCTGCCAGGGATTGAGCTGACGGGGGCCCCAAGGATAAAACTGGCTGGGGCAGAGGTGAGTGACACTGATAGGGTTGGGGAGAGGTGAGGTCCAGTTCCTGACAGTCCCTGCCTTAGTGTCAACTCCTTATCCACCTCCCAAGAGGGAGAAAGCCCACTCTCTCCAAGCCCCCTAACATACTGGGAATCTGGTCGGTTTTCTCCAGGCGCATCTGGCCGGAGGCTGGCTCCTGGTTGAACAGCGCAGGCAGTGGCAGGCAGGGCAGGGTGGAGCAGTCGCTCACTGGTCCCACTAGGAGACTGCCAGTCACCACAGTGGGGGGCTCAGCTGTGAGGAAGTGGGCTGTGTTAGAGACTGGGTGCTTGGAGGGGCCTTCCTGGGATGGGGAGGGCCCTGGAGTGGCATGGATGTCTCTCCTGACAGAGGAAATGCTTGTCATCTTCTCAGCCCTGGCTGCAGCTGTGTTGATCAGCAACTGCTCTGTGCCAGGCAGTCCCCCAGTCCTCTCCTTGTGACTTGGCTCTGAGAGCTATGCTGAGCAGGACCCTAGGGCCTCCACACGGAGAGCTGGGGCAGAATAGAACCTATGAACAATCTGTTAGCTCCAAGCCCCTACCACCTTCCACAAACAGTCGTGAGCCCCTTAGAGGACTCTAAGGGACCCCAAGCTCTCAGCCTCTACCCAAAGAAGGGCAGGGGCTGCACCATGCACCATCCCCATCAGACTTGGGCCAGGAGTTCAATCTCTTCCATCCCCTCCCCAAGGCATCCACCCTTCCCAACCCCAGCCCACCTGCCCTGCACACCTGGCTTCCAGTGCTTCAGGTCTGCCGGAAGCTCCTCTGGGAAGGCTGCAGAGAAAACATGTGATCAGCTGCCCCAGGGAGAGGATGTCCCAAGCCAGAAGGGGCTCAGGACTCTAGCAGGCTATACGGCCTTAACTTCAAGGCTGGGTAGTGGTCTTGGGGGTCCATTTTCCTCCCCTCGCTCTAACATTCCAACCCCAGCTCCTTGGCTTGAACCCAAACCCCATCTCAAACCATACCAGGCAGTGTAGCAGCAGAAGAGGCCGAGTCACAAATGGGGACACAACATGGGTTTGAGCCAAAAAACAAAACAAAACAAAACAAAGGAACCTGCTTTTGAACCGCTTCCTAGCTGTGTGCCTTTGCAATGCAGCTTCTCTGAACCTTTGATCTCACATCTATGAAATGGGGGTGGTGGTTCCTACATTGCAGGAGTATGCCAGAAATCAGTGAGTGAGTATCAAGCACTCACAGCAACAGATTAAAAACCCACGTGTCCCTTAGCAAGGGACTGCTTAAACAAATTATGGTTCATCTACCCAACGAAACACTGCATGGCCTTAAAAGAAAGGATGCTGAAGTACACGAGGGGAGTGTAAATCTGCAATTTACATTTGAAATGTACATTGAAATGTACCAAAAATATAATGAATGGGTGTGTGGATGGATAGAGGGATGGACAGATGAATAGAGATGTGATAAGATGAATAAAACCCAACATTAATTGTAGAATCAAAATGGTACATGGTGGGTATATGGACCTTCATAGTACCATTCTTTCACTTTTATTGTATCTTGAAAACATTTTTTTTTTTTTTTGAAACAGAGTCTAGCTCTGTTGCCCAGGCTGGAGTGCACTGGCGCAATCTTGGCTCACTGCAACCTCTGCTTCTTAGGTTCAAGCGATTCTCCCACCCTAGCCTCCCTGGTAGCTGGGATTACAGGTGTTCGCCACCACGCCTGGCTAATTTTTGTATTTTTAGTAGAGATGGGGTTTCACCATGTTGGCCAGGCTGGTCTCAAACTCTTGACCTCAGGTGATCTGCCAGCCTTGGCCTCCCAAAGTGCTGGGATTACAGATGTGAGCCACCACGCCTGGCCGAAAACTTTCACAATAAAATCTTGGGGGGAAATATTTATCAAATGAAAACATAAAGAAGAAAAACAAGAAAAGAAAGAAAATAAAGAAGCTGCTGAAGATAGGACCGTGTCCTCTCCCTCAATAATATGGAACGTGACCTCCCAGACAGGGAGTAATGAAGTAAATGAAGAAAGCAAAATGCAGAATAGTGTAAATAAAATGTGGTCATTTGCATGGAAAATTAAAGCAAATACAGGAGCTCGCTTTATTTCTGACAAGGCAAAAAGGAAGCTGGTCACATAGGTTGACTAAGATAGGAGCAAAACTGAGGGACTACAGAACAGGAGTGGGAGGGAGATTTTTTTTTCACTGAATATTCTTTTGGTTGTTGTTGTTTGAGACAGAGTCTTACTCTGCCACCCAGGCTGGAGTGCAGTGGCGTGATCTTAGCTCACTGCAACCTCCACCTCCTGGGTTCAAGCGATTCTCCTGCCTCAGCCTCCCGAGTAGCTGGGATTACAGGCGTGCACCACCACACCCGGCTAATTTTTGTATTTTTTGGTAGAGACGCGGTTTCACCATGTTGGCCAGGCAGGTATCAAACTCCTGACCTCAAGTGATCCGTCCCCCTTGGCCTCCCAAACTGCTGGGATTACAGGTGTGAGCCGCTGCGCCCAGCCTTCACTGAATATTCTTTGCACTTTTAAAATCTCATACCCTGTGTGCGATTCACCTGTTTAAGAACTGAATAAATAGATACAGGACTTACACATGGTCAGACCCATAATAAGTACTCAGTTAACTGTTACACCCATTTTACAGATGTTTTCATTCAACAGATATCTACTGAGGTGCTACTGCATACCAGGCACTGCACTAGATGCTGGGGAAACAGTCACGAGCAAGAAAGACAAGGTCCCTGTCCTCACAGTGGGAGAGCAAGGCGTAAAATATGTCCAGATGGTAATGAGTGCTAAACTGCAAGGAAAAAGACACACAAGGTGAGAATAACTGAGCTAATCTACATGGAAGGATGGTCAGAGAAGGGTTCCAGGAAGAGGTGACAGTTTAGCCAACACCAGAAAGATTCAAAGGAGTCAGCCATGGGAAGAACTGGGGGAAGGGCATTCCAGATAGAGACTATAGCAACTGCAAAGGCCCCGAGGCTTGAAAGGGCACATGGGTTATAGGAGTGGAGAAGCTGGTGGTGGCTGAAGTGTGGTGTCTCATAGTGGGTTTGGAGAGGGAGGAAGGGCCATACAGGCCTTGTGGCATGTATTTTGTAGCCATTGGAGGGTTATCAGGGCCATGAAATAATCAGATGTACATTTTAAGGCTCCTGTTGGCTTTTAAAGGGCCTCCCAACCAGACAGGACTTAGCGAGGGAAGCAAGTTGGACCCACAGCAGGCTTTGGAGTCAAGGAAAGGCCAGGTCTCAAGCAAGGCTAGGTTGGATCAGGGAGGGGCTCACTCACGTCTTTTCTGACTTTTCTGCCCAACTTCTGCTGGCATCTCCATACTCTCACCGATCACTTCATCTGGTCCTATGTGCTCTACTTTGAGAAAAACCAGAGACCAACTCACACAATCAATGAAAGCCCAAGGTGAGTCTCTATTGTACCCACCTTGGGGAGAGGGGTCTGACTGCCCATCAATGAATGGTCGTCAGGTATTAGGGCACCCCCCAGGGAACAAGGCAGGAAATGCAGGCTGAGCCAAGACCTCCCCACCCACCACAAACTTACTGAAAATGTCCTTGCTCAGGCCCTCCAGCTGGGAGTCCTGGAAGACATACTGGTCCAGTTCCGCTGCCCAGACAAGGAAAAGCGCAGTCAATCAACAAGGTCTAACTGAAGGCCCACTGTGTGCCAGGCCTTGGGCTGGGGAACCTCTGGGCCTGGCACACAGTGGGGACTCAAGAAATGTTTGTTGAATGAATGAATGATCAAACAAATGAATGAACACTGACACTCCAGGGGCCCTTAATCTAATCAAAAGGATGAGGTATGTATCCATGAAAACTTATCTACTGCTACAAAGAAGAGCAAGGCAGAATGGTAGAGTTACTGCAGGATTTGAGTTCAAATTCCACCTCTACTTTCCACTAGCCCTACTAGCTGTGCAATCTTGGGCTACTTATTTAACCACTGTGGGCCTCCATTTTCTCATCTGTGTAAGATGAATAAATAATGCCTACTACCCAGGAATCGATGGTGATAATTAGAGGTTCTACATCTAGAGCATCCAACACAGTAGCTGGTATACAGTAGGCACTCAGTAAATAGTGGTAACTATATAAAGGGGTACATGGCTCAGAGCCCTTGGAATATAGGCACCATGACATGAAGTCCGAGAAAAAAGGTGTATGGTGGAATAGGGCAATCAGGGAAGGCTTCCTGGAGGAAGGGATCCTGGAACCAGGCCTTGAAAGATGAGGCAGAGTCTGGGAGAAGGAGAACAGATAGCTTTCTGGGTCACAGTGGCAGAGTGAGGAAACTTGTTCAGAGTATGTTTAGGAAACCCTGAGAGATAGGTGACGGTGGTAGAAGTTTCATGCTGGGGAAAGTTAGGACTTGATTTTATAAGCAATGGGGAGCCATAGAAGGCTTCTGAGCTGAGGAATGGAATGATGGCCATAATGAAGGTGATGAAAATGAAGATGATAATAATGATGGTGATAATAATGATAACGGTGGTTGTGGGGTAGTACCTAACATCTACTGAATGCTTACTCTGTGCAAATTCCTTTTCTAAATGCTTTACACATTGTAACTTATTCAGTCTTACAACCATCCCGTGATGGTGGGTGTGATTATTATCTCCATTTTACACATTTAGAAGCTAAGGTCATATTTCAGGATGCTGCAAAAGAATACTTGCCCAGGCCTGGGCTTCACCTTCCAGAAGCAGAGAGAAAACCCACAGACTTGAGGAGCAGACTTGGGTGAAGCTGCCTGTTATGACGTGAATGTTTGTCTTCTCCAAAACTCATGTATAAATGTAATCCCCTATGTGGCAGTATTGAGAGGTGGGGCCTTTAAGAGGTGACTGGGGCTTTTCCTTGATGAATGGGTTAATCCGTTCATGGATTAGTGGATAAACAGGTTAATAAGTTAATGGGTTGTCGTGGGAGTAAGACTAGTGGTTTTATGAGAAGAGGAAGAGAGACTATCACACCGAAACCTCTTGCCTCGTGATGCCCCACACTGCCTTGGGACTCTGCAGAGAGTCCTCACCAGTAAGAAGGCCCTCACCAGATGCAGCCCCTAACCTTGGACTTCTCAGCCTCCATAACTGTAAGAAATATTTTTTTTCTTTATAAATTACTCAGTGTCAGGTATGTTGTTTTAAGCAACAAAAAATGGACTAACGCACTGCCTCACCTATTTGCTTAGACAGCTTTCGCTGCCTGTGGAGATGCCACTAAGGGGGGAGAAAAACACCCAAATCCTATGACATGCCCAAATCCTTAATGACTGCCTCCAGTTGTGAGGAAATGTGAATGTCCTCAGCCCCAATCACTTCTGCTTCCCCCATGTAAATCCCCAGGAAGGGAAGGAAGCAGTCAAGCTCTCAGTTCTGTAATTTCTGAAACATGAACAATTACTAGTCCCCTCCATTTTCTTCCTTGGTATGATTTTCAATACACTGTGCTCTGGGGAAAAATTGGCCACATTTGGATCAAGCACAGAACTGCTGAATGCTGCTGTTCCTGGGTTGGCAGGAAGAAGACCACTAAGAAGAGTTTTGCAGGTTGTTCACTGCACACAGGTGCCCAAGCCAACAAGGAAAATGGGGGCAGGACTCCGGCTTGCACTTTGCTAGCCAAGCAGTTACTTCCTGGTAGGGGCTGCATCCTCCAGAAAAAGGCCACTTTTTTCTATTTCAACATAGGCTCTGTATGAGGTGGTGGTGATGCTGGTGAGAAGAGATTCTCTATCCCACGTCTCTCCCCCAAAAAACAAACCACTAGCAGCAACACCACCACCACCTCTCCCCAAGAGTCCTGCCCTTGTCTGAAAGCTGTAGCTCTTCTTAAGGCTACAAATTAGCTTCTCTGCTTAAGCCTTAGCAAATCTTCCAACCCCAGACACTTTCTTTTTTTGTGGTTAAAAATGGAGACTTTGAAACGAGAAAGACCTAGGTTAGAATTTCAGATCTGTACATTACTATCTCTAATGCAAACTTGGGTAGGTCGTTTCACCTCTCTAAACCTCAATTTCCTCATTTGTAAAAGACAGAAACTAATAATATGTATTTCCTTTGTTGTTGTAAGGATTCCAGATGATAATGTATGGACAGCAATGAGCATACTATGAGTATCCAGTAAATGCTAGTTATTACAAATACTAGAGTAGCTTGGCTAAGGAGCTGGGAGGAAAAGGGAAAGGGGTGTATGGTATGGGCTTTGTAGAAAGGATGGACAGAAGAGCAAGAAGCAGAAATGCGTATAGAAATGGAGGTGGAGGATGTAAACATGAGATTTTGTTTTCTTGGTGGTCATTAGTGAAGGGGCCTATTTCCCCCACTGGCCTCCATCTCCCCTCTCTTCCCTGGAGTCTCCGTTCCTCCAGCCATTGCTCCGCATCCCCCTTGCAATGATTTCTGTGGGAGGGGACTGACGTGGCTCATGATGAATGGGTGATATTGACAAGTGGCAGCAAAGAACTCTTGCCCTTGATTGTCCTTTTCTGGGCTCAGGTGCTTCCTCACCGATATTGGCATAAGCCTCCCTGGTCTCTTCATCACCTTCCATGTCACACAACAGCCTGCTGAACTGGTCGCAGTTGATGGTGTCTGTGTCGGGTTCTGGGAGGAAAAGTCCCTTGGATGAAGAAGGAAATTTCTGGAAAGAGGGCTGGTGGGGAACGAGGGAGAGGCGGGGCAGGGCTGGGAGATCATCCCCATCTGCAGAGAGCGTCCCACAGACGTGGGAGCTGTCCGTGGTGCTGACGGGAGGGCAGGGACCAGAATTTCCCCTGATTGCCGTCTCTACAGCAAGCTGAGGGGTGGGGGATACCGGAAGAGACCAGAGGGAGGAGGGCCCACCTGAGTAGAGCTCAATCTCTTCTTCTCCAGCCAGGTCCATCTGGTCATAGAAGTGGTAGAGGCACAGGGGGTCAGCATCGCTGTTAAGAAGCTCCAGGTAGCCACCTTCTAGGGGCCCCAACTCCATGGTGGCACACTGTGAGCTGCCTGGGAGGGAAGACAATGCTCAGTCACCTCACAGGGTGTTGGAAAGAGGCAGAAAATTGACACCTACAACAACTCCCAGCTGGTGAGGGCTGGGGATGAGAGGAGTGAATAAAAGCGCTCATTCAGCACCTCTTATATGCTCAGCGTGGTGGAGAGAGCAAGCCACATTCCCTTCCTCCAAGGAACTTACAACCATATGAGAAGATACCCAGGAGGTAGAAAAGGGAACTGGAAAGTGTGGATTCCATCAATCTCACACCAGAGAGTCAGGAGACCCGTCCCACATTTGGCAATGCCATGAGTGGTAACAGCTAAGGTTTATAAAGCACCTCCTATACGCCAGGCACATGAGCTGGCACATTTAATACTCATATCAGTAACCATGTAAGGAAGGTATTATTATTATCCTCACTTTGCATATGAGAAAACTGAGGCTCAGAGAGGTGAAGTGATTTATGTAAGGAAACCCATGTCCAAGTGGAACCAGGATTTGAACCCAGACAGTCTGACTGAAGTCCTGCATTTAACCACAATGCTCTACTGCTTTGGGTGGACTTGAGCAAGTCTCTGCTCCTTTCTGTGCCTCAGTTTCCTAATATGTAAACTGAAGGAGTCTGAGCAGATTCTAAGATTTCCTCATCATTTGTTGAAGGGCATATTAAATACTTTTAACACTATTTCATTTAATCTTTAAACAATCCCAAATGTGGATACCTCAAATATCCTGACATGATCATTATACCTTCTATGCATGTAATAAATATTCACATATACCCCATAAATATGTATCATATTATGTATTAATAAAACAAAAGAAAACAAGAAAAACCAGATATATCCACACAAAAACCTATACACGAATGTTCACAGAAGGATAATTCAAAATAGCCAAAATATAAAAACAGCCCAAATATCCACCAAAAAATAAATGGATAAACAAAATGTTGCTTATCTATACAATAAAGTATTCCACCATTAAAGGGAGAAAGCACTGATACATGCTGGAACATGGATGAACCTTAAAAAAAATGCTAAGTGAAGAAGCCGGACACAAAGGGTCACATATTGTATGATTCTATTTATTTGAAATGACCAAAACAGGCAAATCCATGGAGACATAAAGTAGGAGGGGTGGGGCGTGGTGGCTCATGCCTGAAATCCCAGCACTTTGGGAGGCTGAGACAGGAGAATCGCTTGAGCCCAGGTGTTCAAGACCAGCCTGGGCAACATAGCAAAAGCCTATCTCTATTAATTTTTTTTTAAGAAAGAAAGCATATTAGTGGTTGCCTAGGGCTTGGCAGAGAGGGATTTTGGAAGGAAATGGGGAACAACTGCTGATGGGTCTGGAGTTTCTTTAGGGGGTGATGAAATGTGCTAAAATTGACTGTGGGGATGGGAGATGGTCACACAACTCTCTGAGTATTCCCAAAAGAACACTGAACTCTACTTTTTTTTTTTTTTTTTTTTTTTTTTTTTTAAGACGGAGTCTCTGTCACCCAGGCTGGAGTGCAGGGGTGCAATCTTGGCTCACTGCAACGTCTGCCTCCCAGGTTCAAGCCATTCTTCTGCCTCAGCCTCCTGAGCAGCTGGGATTACAGGCACCCACCACCACACCCGGCTAATTTTTGCATTTTTAGTAGAGACAGTGTTTCACCATTTTGGCCAGGCTGTTCTCAAACTCCTGACCTCAAGTGATCCGCCTGTCTCCTCGGCCTCCCAAAGTGTTGGGATTACAGGCATGAACTGTACTTTTTAAGTGGGCAAATTGTATATGTGAATTACATCTCAATAAAGCTGTTAAAACCTAGGAAGTAAGCATTATTGTCTCCATTGGCAGATGAAGAACTTGAGACCCAGAGAAGACAAGCAGCTTCCTCAAGATCATGTAGCTCTTGCTGGGGAAAGCCAAGCTGAAGGCTCATCTGTGTGGCTCTAAGGCTCCTGCCAGGATCCGTGGTTCAGGTCCATGTTTCCATGGTATATTCATTTCCCAGGGCTGCTGAAACAAGGTACCAGCATCCAGGTAGCTCAGAACAACAGCACTTTATTCTCTCATGGTTCTGGAGGCCAGAAGTTGAAGCCAAGGTGTCAGCAGGGCCACGCTGCCTCTGGAGGCTCGAGGGGAGAATGCTTCCTTGCCTCCTCTAGCTGCTGGGAACTACTGGTGATCCTTGACTTGTGGTCTTGTGGCTGCATCACTCTAAACTCAGCTTTAGTGGCCACATCACCTACTCCTCATGTAGCAAGTCTCTTTCTCTTATAAAGACACTTGTCATTGGATTTAGGACCCACCTAGATAATCCAGGATGATGTCATTTCAAGATCTTTAATTCTTTTTTTGCCTTCTTTTGAGACAGAGGCTTGCTCTGTTGCCCAGGCTGGAATGCAGTGGCGCTGTATCGGCTCACTGCAACCTCCACCTCCCAGTTCAAGCGATTCTCCTGCCCCAGTCTCCTGAGTAGCTGGGATTACAGGTGCTCACCACCATGACCAGCTAATTTTTGTATTTTTAGTAGAAATGGGGTTTTGCCATGTTGGCCACGCTGGTCTTGAACTCCTGACCTCAGGTGATCCTCCAATCTCAGCTTCCCAAAGTGCTGGGATTACAGGCATGAGCCACTGCACCCAGCCCCTTAACTTAATTCTATCTGCAAAGACCCTTTTCCCAAATAAAGTCACACTGACAGGTTCCAGGGATTTGACATGGACATATCTTTTGGGGGGCCACCTTTCAACCCACCACACATGACATGCAGATGAAGGCTGGAAAGAAACAGAGGGAGCTTCCTGGAGGAGGTAAGAGGAGAGCTGGCCCTGAAGCTGGAAGACCAGAGGGAGGCTCCTACTGCCCTGTTCTGGGCCCAGAAGAGAATACATTGAAGAGTAAGCTCATGAGAAAACACACACTCAACTTGCCACCCCATTCCTGAGACTCATTTTCTTTTTCTTTTTTTTTTTGAGACAGAGTCTCACTCTGTCGCCCAGGCTGGAGTGCAGTGGTGCAATCTTGGCTCACTGCAACCTCTGCCTCCCGGATTCAAGCAATTCTCCTGCTTCAACCTCCCAAGTAGCTGGCATTACAGGCACCCGCCACCATGCCTGGCTAATTTTTTTATTTTTAGTAAAGATGGGGTTTCACCATGTTGGTCAGGCTGGTTTCGAACTCCCGACCTCAGGTGATCCACCCGCCTTGGCCTCCCAAAGTGCTGGGATTACAGGTGTGAGCCACCACACCCGGCCCAGAGACCCATTTTCTTTCACGCATCCACAGCTTTCACTGCCTGGGGAGAGGCTCAGCACAGACCCCCGGATGTCACAGAGAATGATCTTTCCAGTCCAAGCTGGGGCACTGGCTGGGCCCACTTGTTCATGACGGTTGAGCGGGGGCTGCAGGAACCCAAACATAACCGGCTTGCAGCGAGATCCCAGCCAACCATGACTAGAGGAAGCAGAACTGAAAGATGGGGCCACCGCCCTTTTCCTGGAGCAGGGCCAAAGCTGGGAGATGGTTGGGGGTGAGATGCTCCACCTCTCCCAGCCCCTTGGTCAGGGACACAGGCACAAAATCTGTTCTCTCAGAGCAGTGAGAAAAGACACCTTTGCCCCAGCTCCTGCCTGATGCCCGCCTCCCATTCCACCCATGCTCTTTATTAAGAACCTACATTGCAGCAATCTGCCTCCTCTTTGAGGCAGTGTGATCTCGTGACAAGAGCTCCAGACTGATCCTAGCAACTCCGTGAATGAGTTGTGTGACTTTGGACTTTGGGCCATATCTATAAAATGATTCCATATCTATAACATTTCTATAAGATAATTCCATATCTATAAAATAATAAGTTACCCAAACTCAGTTTTCTCACAGGGCATTGGGTCTGCCAGGGACCTTCAAGCTTGACCTCTTTCCTTCACTCTGCAGATGACAAGACTGAGACCCCGGGAAGGACGTGACTTGCACAAGACCTCATAGCCTGTCGGTGGCTGCCCCTGCCCCTTCTCCCCCACTCCCCCTGCCAAGACTCCCAGGCTGGTGCTCTTTCCCCCCAGTCAAAATGTTCCCAATGAAATGATCACCCTTGTCCTGTCTGGGCTCAAGCATAGAGACACAGGTGGTATCACAGATGGGGGATGGTGGGAGGGACCGCAGGGAGGAGCCTGGAGACATTTAGCCCACCCCCACTTATTGATGAGCTCTGCTTCAAACTCTGGATGACACTGCTGTGTGGTTAAGCACACAGTCAGAGAAATAAATTGAGAAGGGAAAGAAGGCAAGTATCGTGAGCTTTGGCGTAAAATTTACCAACTTTGAGACTACCCCTACCTACCAACACACTGTAACCTGGGCAAGTTCATTTTTTAAACCACTTGGAGCCTCAGTTTCCATATCTATAAAATGCGAATAATAATTGGCAACTCACAAGGATTAGGGGAGTTAAGTCACGCGGAGCCCTTAGCAATGGGACTGGCAATCAGTAAGTGCTGAATGAACAGAAGTTTAAGGCAGCACAGCTTCTACATGGTGAGTATAATATGTGTGATGGCCATCATTATTAGTTTGCTTCTTACGTTTGTGAGAGTGACAAAGGGACCCTTTCCCTTCCATTTCTTCCGAGGTCAAACTTTGTGAAGCCGAGCTTTCTGTTCTTTTGCATAAGGGGACCCTGCAGACTTCATAGGAACAAGAAGGGCCCCATAGGCCGGGCATGGTGGCTCACATCTGTAGAAATTCCAGCACTTTGGGAGTCCAAGGCAGGAGTATCACCTCAGTCCAGGAGTTTGAGACCAGCCTGGGCAACATGGTGAAGCCCTATCTCTACAAATAACACAAAACTTAGCTGGGCGTGGTGATGTGCATCTGTAGAACCAGCTACTCAGGAGGCTGAGGTGGGAGGATAGCTTGAGCCTGGGGAGGTGTCAAGGCTGCAGTGAACTGAGATTGCACCACTGCACTCCAGCCTGGGTGATAGAGCCAGACTGTGTCTCAGAAAAAAAAAAAAGGCCCCCACAGCCAGCAGGGCAGCTTGGATGGTCTGGCCACGCTCCCCATCACCACCACTGAGAAGTTGCCTGGGCAAAAAGTCACCAGAGGGCCTAAGATCTGCGTCATTGGCTCAACCTGGACAAGAAGAAACCCCCTCCCAGAAGCCCCCAATACACATTTCAGCGCCCCACTTCCTGCTTCCCTAAGACTGAAGCCTGCACCTTAAGCACTTCCTCTTGGGTGATCAAGGATTTGCAGCTCACAGTGGACTTCTGCCTCCATCCTCCACACCATCTGAGTTCCCAAAAAGCTCTGGGGAAAAGGCAGGGTAGAGTGTTATGCCCATTTGAGCTTAGAGGAGGTTCACACGCCTCAGTGAAATGGCTTGTCCAAGGTCATGTGGTTTAGGAGCTTGCATCTGAATTCTGGCTGTGATGCCTTAGCCAAGTCACTTGACCTCTCTGAACATCAGTTTTCCCAATATTAGTTCTGGAGAATGAAGATTGCCTTGCAGCCCACCACTGTGGGAGGCCGAGGCAGGCAGATCACTTGAGGTCAGGAGTTTGAGACCAGCCCGGGCAACATGGTGAAATCCCGTCTCTACTAAAAATACAAAATTAGCCAGGCATGGTGGCGTGCTTCTGTAATCCCAGCTACTTGGGAGGCTGAGGCAGGAGAATCGCTTGAACCTGGGAGGCAGAGGCTGCAGTGAACCAAGACTGCGCCACTGCACTCCAGCCTGGGCGACAAAGTGAGATACCATCTCAAAAAAAAAACAAAAAACAAAAAACAAAAAAGATTGTCCTGCAGGATCATCAGAAGGCCAAGGGAGTTCTGTGTGGGGTGCCAGCTATGTGGGAAGCCTACAGTCAAAGGAAGCCCATTACATTAGAGGGTGTCAAAGCTGAAATTCAGGCCCAAGACTCTAGGTTTCCCCACAACGCCACAGCTGCCTCCCAGTCACACCAAGATCTACTTGAATCTTGGCATGGGACCTTCCTCTATCCCCAGAGCCAAGTTTCCTATGTCTATAGATGCTTAGGAAGTGCTTCAAAGGCCCCTTCATTGGACTGTTTCTCCAAACCACATTGCCAGAGCGGGATGGAGGGAAAAGATGGCCCTGATCATCCCGTGGCAGGAGAGAGAGCCCTTCAGCTCTCCCTGAGGGCAGGGACTGTATCCCTCTAGCTCACCTTCTCCCAGCTCTCAGCATGTTTCTGCGCATGGCAGCCTCTCTTCATCCGTGGCAATGATATAGAACTAGAATTCACAGTGTCCAGCAAGTGCCAGGTACCAAATGACATGACTCGTAGGCATTACCCCATTTGGTCTAACTTACACATCAGCTATTTGTATTCCTGTTTTTCAGATGAAGAGACAGGCTCAGAGGGATTAGTGGGCTGAGATTTGAACCAAACTACCCATCTCCAAAGTCTCAGCCCACTCTATAGCCTTTTTGAATTGCTGTTGGCCCCCCAGCACCCCGGCGAGGGAAGGCGTGGGTGGCAAGACAATTTCTCCTTTTGAGGAGCCATGTGGGGGCAGGGCAGAGGCGCGGTCTGTGTCTTTTTGGTAAATGGGCAGTATTTTTAGAAGGTCCTCTTTGAAACTGTGCTTCCCCCTGGGCCACCACCTTCCACATCCAACTCGAGAAAATATTCCTGATCTTTTTGCCATCAAAAGTCCTTTTTGGGGTTTATTTTCATCCCCACTTCACACTGCATGCAGGATTTGAAAGGCTAAGTGTAGACACTAAACAGGTGTCTGAAATAACAATTCACCTCTCTCTCCCCCGAGGGAAATCAGGTGTCGCCACAATGTTCTAACTCAGACTTAAACTATCTGAAGATCAGTGCATGCATCTCTTCTGGGAACAGCATAACGTTCCATCTCAGCTGGTGGGAGATGAATGGAGCTCAGATGGTGAGCTTTGGGGTGAAATTTCCCAACTTTCAGGTTATCCCTACCTACCAACGCACTACAATCTGGGTAAGTTCATTTTTTAAACCACTTGGAGCCTCAGTTTCCTTATCTGTAAAGTGGGGGATAATAATTGGCAACTCATAGGATTAGGGGAGTTAAGTTGCATGGAGCCCTTAGAAAGGGGACTGGCGACCAGTAAGTGCTCAATGAACAGTAGCTTAAGGCAGCACAACTTCTGCATGGTGAGTACAATATGCGTGATGACCATTTTTATTATTAATGTGCTTCTTACCTCTGTGAGAGTGACCAGGGGAGATTTCTCTGTGTCTGGGGCTGTGCTAGATGCCTTGCATTTACTATTCTGTTTCAACTGTTAACGGCAACTCTGGGAGATTGTTGTTATTATAGCCATTTTACAGACGCAGGCGCTGAGATTACGTCCAGTTCATTAGATGTTTTCTTCCCAGAGGCGGGGAGTCTATCTTTGAGGGTCTAAGGAGGCACTGAAAGGGAGAAGAAGGCTCTTTTGCTACCCCTAAAAGCCTCCAGCACTGCTCTGAACTGTGATTAAAGAGCATGAGAAGGAGGCCAGGGGTGGTGGCTCACGCCTATAATCCTAGCACTTTGAGAGGCCGAGGCTGGCGGATTACTTGAGGTCAGGAGTTCAAGACCAGCCTGACCAGCATGGTGAAACCCCGTCTCTGCAAAAATACAAAAATGAGCTGGGCGTGGTGGTGGGTGCCTATAATCCCAGCTACTTGGGAGGCTGAGGCAGGAAAATTGCTTGAACCTGGGAGGCGGAGGTTGCAGTGAGCCGAGATCACGCCACTGCACTCCAGCCTCGGTGACAGAGCAAGACTCTGTCTCAGACAAAAAAAAAAAAAGCTTGAGAAGGAATACTTCCCTACTCTTGACCATGAACTTCTCCTCCTGAGGAATAATGGGAAGACCTCTGAACTGTGTGCCTAGAGACATGGTTTGAGTTTCTGCTCTGCCTTTGATCCTGAGTACATTACCTTAGCCCTCTGAGCCTCCGTTTCAACGAGTGTTGGAGCCCCTTCAATTGAGTCTTTTTGAGATTCTGATTCCTCGTTGCCTGGCAGTCTTCTCCTTTTCCTTTCCCCCAAGGCCCCCCCCAACACCAACCTGCTCCCCAACCTCATGACAAGCTGCTTCCGGGGGCCAAATGGTGTTGGGAAGCCAGGGGCCTAGGAATGCCTATCTACCATGACCAGACCCCAAACAGCTTCTTTGTGGGGGTAGTAGCTCAAATGAGTTCCGCTTTTGCTCATGCACCCTGTAGTCCTCCAGATAAACTCTAAGAAACATCTCTCACTTTTCCCCTCTAAAGCTGTAAAACAATGATTCACTGAGCACCCCGTAAGAAAGTCACTGAGCTCAGTTCCTTACTGGCCCCAAAGAGGTTTACCACACAGTCCCTGCCAAAGAGGCTTGCAATGTAGACCCAGATGATATTTTAGGAGAGAGACAAAACATAATAATAGCATAGTGGTTAAGGGTGCAGGCTCTGGGTTCAAATCTTAGTTCCACACTTGCTGTGTGACTTTGCAAATGTTACTCAACCTCTCTGAGTCACAGAATCGACTGCATTTTGTTGGCACAGTGCTTATGTCACTGGGTTGTTGTGACTTACCTAAAGTGACTTAGCGAGTAAGTGGTACTAAGATGTAAACTCCAAAAATAAAACAGCAAAGTGACACTTGATACTGTACAACTGGCAAAAGTTAGACATCTGGGAAATGCCAAGTGTTGGTTACACGGGTTTGTGGGAATGTAGATGGATGGGGCCGCTCTGGAGAACGACCTGGCATCATGTAGAATATCTAAGGATATGTAGATCCTACCACCTGGCAATTCAGCTCTTGGGTCTATATATCCTGAAGAAATGTTCCCACAACTCCCCAGGAGAACCCATCTGAGGATGGTTACTGCTGTGTTATTTGTGGTGACAGAGAGTTGGAGGTCACCTAGGTGTCCATCACTGGGGGTGTGGACAGGTGAAAAGTAACCCCTGCACTCCATAGAGAACAATGTCCGTGATTAGAAGCAAAGATCAAATGCATCAGAAGCAAGGCAAGTAGATCCTAAAAACATAGTACAGAATGCAAAAGTAAGAAACTGTGGCCAGGCGTGGTGACTCGCACCTGTAATTCCAGCACTTTGGGAGGCCGAGGCGGGTGGATCACCTGAGGTCAGGAGTTTGAGACCAGCCTGGCCAAGGTGGTAAAACCCCATCTCTACTAAAAATAGAAAACTCAGCCTGGGTGACAGAGTGAGACTCCATCTAAAAAAAAAAAAAAAAGGCAAAACATGTTTTATAAGAGCACATACAAACAGAAAGATACACCTGAAATGCATTAGAATGGGCACCCAGTATGGGAAATAGGGACATTAATGAAGAGAAAACCCTCATGTGAACCAAAGATCATAGTGTACCATGACCTGGGCTGCACTGGGCAGTTAATCGAAGGTTTAAAGGCCCAGGGGTTGAAAAGAAAAGAAACAAAGGAGGATTCATGGGGTGAGGTTGGTACCTCTATGGCTCACCAACAATAGGGCCTGCACAGAGCCTGGTACCTATAGATGTTCACAAAGAAACAAACCTCTGCTCTTGCCACCCCACAGGCTGTCTGGTGATGGCTTGATTTGTGCCCAAGAGCCCAGGGTCCTGGGGAAGAGATAGGAACATGCTGGACTTGGAGCAGGATGGGGGAGGAGCTGGATGTAGAGGAAGAAGCCCCTCACTCTCCAGCCTGCTGTTTGCAAACCAAGTGTAGATATCCCAGGAGAACGAGACAGAGAGAGGACTTAAGAGAAACTACTGGTCTCACTCAAGACTTTCACTTCCTGGAGTGGCACGAGGAGGTCACAGGAGACGGAGAGGAAACTAAGGCATGTAGCAACACTGCAATGCTCAGGGGCTTATGGGCCTGGAAACAGTTGCAGGATCTGATCATTTGTCCTCAAGGCAGGGAGACTAGAAGACGTGCGTGCATGTGCCTGCATGCATGTGTGTGCATGTGTATGTGTGTAATGGGGGCAGGAGGTCAGATGAGCTTCGTGTCAGGAGAGGTCTGGAGATATTGCTATTGGTTGGCTCTAAATCCCCTTTCTGACCTGCAAGCTCCTCAGCTGTGCCACAGGGGCTTGGCTGCAAAATCAAAAGTTGAATCCAGTCGATAGGCCTATTTGTTTTGTTTCCCAAGCCAATATAAGTGTGTGTGTGTCTAAATCACCATCACAATGTCTCTATATAGAGTACACACAATTGTTACCAGAGGCCCCACTACTCCCTATTGCCTTCTGCCTGGACACATTTTACATCATTATGGCCCCTTTGGTATTTGGATTTGCCACCCTTGGCTTGGAGGCCCTTGCAGGTCCCAAGATAATGGCTTGGGAGGGATGGGTGACTGGGGCAGGGAGAGGCAGGATTC
This sequence comes from Homo sapiens, assembly GCF_000001405.40. Taxonomy (NCBI): domain Eukaryota; kingdom Metazoa; phylum Chordata; class Mammalia; order Primates; family Hominidae; genus Homo; species Homo sapiens. The sequence continues at coordinate 10,884,922 of NC_000016.10, read as the reverse complement.
AATTATGTCCTGTCCTGCAATGGAATTGAGGTGTACAGTAGGGTCTTTTTCTACAGAGGGTCTTGGAGGGGACTGGCCCTGGGTACCCAAACAGGCCAGTTCCACACAGAGAAGGAGCAGGAAGCACTAAAGTTGCAGCATCTGGGGTGTTGGGTGCACTTTCCCAGCTCTGCTGCCAGCTCAGATGGAAAGGTGATTAAGAGGTAAGCTGTCTGAGATCACACCTGTAATCCCAGCACTTTGGGAGGCTGAGGAGGGAGGATGACTTGAGGCCAGGAGTTTGAGACCAGCCTGGGCAACATAGTGAAACCCCATCTCTTCAGAAATAAAAGATACAAAAATTAGCTGGGTGTGGTGGAGTGCCCTTGTAGTCTCGGCTACTTGGGAGGCTGAGGCAGGAGGATGGCTTGAGCTCAGGAGCTTGAGGCTGCAGTGAGCAATGACTGTGCCACTGCACTCCAACCTGGGCAACAGAGTGAGACTTTGTCTCATAAATGAAAGGATGAATGAATGAATGAAAGAATGGTAAGCTCCCTGGGAACTGTGGGATGCAAAGAGCTGCTCCCTGCTGACACCTGCCTGCTGCTCCTTTTTGCCATCCCAATTCCAGCACCGTTGAATGGATTTCCATTGCAGCTCCCTGCCCTTTGGGTTTGAACCAACCAGCCTCTGGCAAACAAAGTAACTTCAGAGCAGGAAAGTGGAAAACAAATTAAAATTGGCTGCAATCCCTAGCCAAAGGGCTTCTCAGCAGTTGGAGGCAGGTTAAAGAAAGAAGGACAAGCTCAGTCACAAGTGAAATGAGTCTGTGTGATACTATAATGTCATATACATTACATCATGTATCTGTCCAAACCCACAGAATGTACAACACCAAGAGTAAACCCTCATGTAAACAAACCATGGACCTTGGGTAATAATGATGCATCAATGTAGGTTCATTGATTATAACAAATGTATCAGTCTGGTGCTGAGTGTTCATCATGGGGGAGGCTATGCCTGTATGGGAGGACGGAGGTAGATGAGGGATGTGAAGGTCTAGCTTCCTTGCTGTCCCAGCTTGAGTGCTCCCTATGGGATTGGCTAAGACCTCTGTTGTGACTGCATTGCACCTCAACTCCTGCTGCTTCCCAACCCTGCTTTCTTCCCTTTTCCTTCGGGTGTTCCCTCCTGTGAATGTCCCCAGTAAACCTCCTATATGCAAATCTCCATCTCCTACTTGGCTTCCCAGACAATCTGACCTGAGACAACTTACTTCTATTTTTCCTCCAAGAGGGACGTGGAAATCCTACAGGACCCCACAAAAGACACCACAGATGCCCCCTCTGAAAGTTCAGGCAAGCCACCTATCTTCTCTGGGTCCCGATTGAGGACACTGACCTCATAACAACTTGGAAAATCTTAAAACTCGAATGGGCCATCATCTCCAGCTTGTGCATTTGCCAGTAAAGGGTAAAGTTATTGTGGGTGAGGGGCCTGGTGGTCCCAGGATGAGAATGAAGATGAGCTGTATGAGCTGCAGCCAGGAGACCTTCGGTCCCTGTCCAGAATGCAGGGTTGGGATAAGAGTTCCCTTCCCCGCTTGCCTGGTCTGTCCCAGCTCCAGATAGCCTCCCTTCTGCATGCCACTCCTAACTGCAGTCAATGACCTGGAAAGGAGTCCAACAAGTTTTTCCTGGAAGGGAACCTGACCCTGGTGCTGGGGTAGGGGGTGGAGTGATGAGGATCTTGTGACTGCAGTTAGCAAAGCCAGGCCCCACACTCCAGTCCTGACCCATCCGGCTCTACTTAACACAGTCCCCCCGCCAGCACTCTGCTGGGTGCTGGAGACCCCAAGATGAACCACGAGCCAGTCCTGCTTGCTGAGATCTGACTACGGAGTCCAGCCATCGGCAGGCTTGGCTGTGAGTGAGAATTACCTGGGAAGGGTGTTAAAAACACAGCGTCCTGGGCCTCACCCCCAGTGATTCTATTCAGGGAGTCTGCAGCCGGGCCCAGGAATCTGTATTTTCTTTCATTTTTTTTGAGACGGAGTTTCACTCTTGTTGCCCAGGCTGGAGTGCAATGGTGTGATCTCGGCTCACCGCAATCTCCGCCTCCTGGGTTCAGGCGATTCTCCTCCACCAGCCTACCGAGTAGCTGGGATTACAGGCATGCACCACTACACCCGGCTAATTTTGTATTTTTAGGAGAGACGGTGTTTCACCATGTTGCCCAGGCTGGTCTCGAACTCCTGATCCCAGGTGATCCACCGGCCTCAGCCTCCCAAAGTGCTGGGGTTACAGGTGTGAGCCACCATGCCCGGCCTGGAATCTGTATTTTCAAAAATTTATTTTTATTAATTTATATATTTTTTTCCTAAAAAAAGGTCTTGCTCTGTTGCCCAGGCTGGTCTTGAACTCCTGGTCTCAAGCCATCATCCTGCCTTGACCTCCCAAGGTGATGGAATTACAGGCATGAGCCACTGCACCAGGCCCCTTTCTTAATTCTTATATCTTTCCTTCCTGAAGTCTTTCAGCTGCCCTCTGCTGCCATGCCCTTGGTCTAGTAGTCACCAGACCCTCAGCATAGATTTTACAATAGCTTCCAGGTCTTTCCTCTCATCCGGTTTCCCAAACTGCAGGCATTCGTCTTCCATCTTTACAATTTTTGGGGTCATATTGACATATCACCTGTTCTACAATTTACCTTAGTATTTTTCTTAAATTAACTTTTTAAAGAAACTTAAATAGACCGATTTTAAAAGAAAGCTTTCTAGAGTTGAAAGCGGGGAGTCAGACAGATATTTGTCCACCCATGTACCTAGCAAGATTATTCACAATAGTCAAGAGGTAGGAACAACCCAAGTGTCTATCAACAAATGAATGGATGAACAAAATATGGGATATCCACATATTAGAATACTATTCCGCCATAGAAAGGAATTACACATGGCACGACATGGATGAACCTGGAAGACATTATGCTAAGTGAAAGAAGCCAGGCACAAAAAGACAAATATCACGTAATTCTATTTATAGGCGGTGTCTAGAGTAGCCCAAAACATAGAGACAGGAAGTTGGAGTTACCACGAGCTGGGTGGAAGGGGCAGTGGGGAGTTATTGCTTATTGGGTAGAGTTTCAGTTTGGGAGGATGAAAAAGTTCTGGAGATGGATGGTAGCGGAGGTTGCACAACAGTTTGAAATATTTAATGCCACTGAAATGTACATTTGAAAGTGGTTAAAATGGTAAATTTTATGTTATATGTATTTTACCATGATTTTACAAAAAGAAAACTTTTTTTTCCATGTATAAACGGAAAAGCAAAACCAAACCAACAGTATCACTTGTGGTTGAAAAAGAAACAATGTTACTAAAATAATCTCAGCTTCTTTACCACTTTGTTAAAAAGAAATCTTAGCAAGCATTAGGGCACTGTCAAACATCAGGGAAAATCAGAGACTTTGTCCTTGATGTCAGAAGGATTGAAGGAATCTGAAAACTATCTATGTCCTTCCTATGAGAATCGGTGGTAACTAATGCCCCTTTCTGAACTGTCTTTTGACTGTGTGTGTCTTGGTCTTTGGAAACCTCCCATCTGCCTATGCTTTCCTCTCTGACTTTTTTCTCTCTCTTTTTTTTTTCCTGAGACAGTCTTGCTCTGTTGCCCAGGCTGGCGTGCAGTGGTGCAATCTCAGCTCTCGGGTAACCTCCACCTCTCGGGTAAACTCCGCCTCTTGGGTTCAAGTGATTCTCGTGCCTCAGCCTCCCAAGTAGTTGAGATTACAGGTGTGCACCACCATGCCCGGCTAAAACACAAAAAAGTGTTTTAGTAGAGTTGGGGTTTCTCCAGGTTGCCCAGGCTGGTCTTGAACTCCTGGCCTCAAGCAATCCACCCGCCTCGGCCTCCCAAAGTGCTAGGATTACAGGTGTGAACCACTGCTCCCGGCCCCTCTCTGATCTTTCTAAACAATCCCTTTAGGATCTATAATAATTATTCCCAATGCATGAATATTCTTTGGTGGTTTTCTAAAGTGCTTTTTCTGTACACATCAGACATCATCAAGCAAGCTCTCATGTTTTATCCATTTTACAGATGAACCTCAGAGAGGGGAAGTCACTTGTCAGTGTGACTCAAGGCAAATCTGAGGCTAAGTCCAGAAGTTTCCTACCTCCCTCCAGCCACTTCCCTGATTGCCTGGAACTAATCCAGAGTTTCCTTGGGTTAATTTCTGATTCTGCTCTTCTCAAGGTATCTGAGGCTGGGTCTTAGGACATGAAACCAAGCCCCAGCCATCAGACAGACTGGGTATCAACAGGTTTCTCTCTGACTGCCTGGGACCTGCCCTGCATTTGTGGAGGTTCACATCTGCTTGCTGCACTGGGCTGGGCTCTCAGTAGACCAGGGTTCAAATCCTGCGTCTGCAAACTGCTTGCTATGTGGCGTTAAGCAAAACAAAACAAAACACCTCCTGGTACTCCTTTTCTGATAGAGGTTTTGTAACAGGGAGAGAGTAAAGAGATGAGACCACATCAGCGCCTCCCAGTGTCTCTGACTTGAGGGACTTTTGCCCCACAAACGAACATTGGAGTCACCTGGGATAGATGGTTTAACCTGCAGGATCTCAGCCTCACCCCAGGCCTAGCCAACCGGGCCTGGGGGTGAGCCCGGGAACCTACATCCTGAACAGGTTGATCATCCCAGGTGATGTTCATGTGTGGGGAGCCTGGGATTCCCCACTCAGTCATCTCCAAAGACCCTGCCTCCAAACGCTCTGAGATTGTTGGAGACCAGGTCATCCCCTAAGGGAGCCGGGGGTTTGCAAGGTGATCATTTGTTGGAGTCAAGTTCCTTTGGCTCCTCTTTCTCCAAGAGGAAGAAGTACCTGTTTCCTTAATCTCACTCCGGAGAAGTATTTATTTATTTTTTCTCTGGAGTGGGGAGCAGAAACGGAAGACTTCCTGCCAAAGTTAGACACTCCAGGCTGCGGCTGGGGAGGGAGCCATGCCTTGAACTTCTAGGCTTTTGCCACCTCTCCTGTGCCACCTAGGGTGGAGAGGGGCTGTGGGACTCAGGAGGACCGCGGCTTTTAAGAGTTCCAGACTAAGCTAAGCATGGTGGCTCCGATTCCGGCTTTCCTGGACCCCAGGGAGATCCAATCTCCCACTCCCACCCCGGCATTCGCACGCTGGCTTTCCGGGGCGCTTTAGCCTCTCTCCTTAGAGGGTGTGACTCAGGGCCCCAAAGCGAGGTAGAGAAGTGAGAGATCAAGAGATCGGTTCAGTCCGGGGGGATCCCTCCCCCACCCCTCCCAACAACACACACCTTCGCCAAGATGTTCAACGAGAGTTGAGGACTTATCCCATCCTCTGGTTAAAGGTTTGGCTCCCTACTGCCTCCCTGAGCAGGGCCCCCCGCCTGGAGAGCCCAATACCCAAGATTCCAGAGTTAGAGATGGAATATGACCCAACAGGGAAAGTGAAGCTCAGGGAACGGCGGCCCTGGTCCAAAGTCTGGCGTACAAGAAGGGCGCGCACCTCTGCAGGATCCCGGGCGCGCGGAGTCGGCCAAGGGTGGCCGGGGGAGTGTGTCTGCTCCGCGCTCCCAGTCTGCGCTCCGGCTTCTCTGCAGAAGCTGCCGCCAGGCTTTCCTGCCACCCGCCCACGGCCCCGGAGCTCTGGGCACAGCAAGCCAAGCTCCGGGTTCCCGGCTCCTGGTTCCCGCGCAGAGTCGTTGCGGGGATGCTGGAAACGAGGTGTTTCCCGGCCCTACATTTTGCATATTCCATCCCCCCATCCTCCCAGACTTGCTGTGTGACCTTGAGCAAGTAGCTGACAGTCTCGGAGCCTCGATTCTCAGCCCGACCTTAGGGGTTACAGAGGAGACTTTGGTCACCTACCGCTGTTCCCCGGGCTCCCGCGCGCGCTGCTGGTGGCCTCTCCCTCCCGCCAGCTCTGGGGCCGCGGCAAGTCTGTGGCAGCTCGTCCGCTGGTCATCCTACCTCCCCGCCTCCCCGCAGTTCTTTTTCCCTTTCACTTTCTTTCTGCAGCGCTGAGCTCGGGCCAGGCTGTGGAGCAACCAAGCACCTACTGTGGCCACCACGTGCTTTATCAGAAGTGGCATCCCAACTGCCTGGGGCATCCAAGAGGTCCCTGCCTCCAGTCGGTTCCTCACAGTGGCCAGCCCCACTTCGGGGAGAGTCCCAGGCCCCGGGCCAGGAGCCAGGAGCTAGGGAGCCACTTGGGCAAGTGATCTGCAAGTCCTGAGTTGCAGGGAGCTTGTCCCCACCCCTGGGTGGGTCTCTGTTTCTCTCCAACTCAGTCCAACCGTGAAAGTGGCAAACCACCTCCGAGGGCACATGGCCCCTGAGATGAGCTAACTGAGCTATTCACTCCTCTGATGCTGGCCCTAGGGAGGAAGAGAAAATCCCTCAGGTACCTTCCATGGATGGAAAACCTGTGTTACCATGACCACACCCCCAGCCGTGGCAAGAGCCCTGCCGGTCCTTTTCAGAGGTCTTGGATTCCTGCTGGGTCCTCCAAGGCATGAGACTTTGAGGTGGTCACTTTCCCTTTTCAGGCCTGAATTTCCTCATCTGGAATTGAGGGAGGGGGCAAGGTTACCTCTGACTTCTCCCCCTCCAACACTTTCCCGTAGCAACTTAAGGCTGCACCCAACCACACCGGCAGACCTGTCATCAGTCTCTGGGTTCAAAGCAAACCATACATTTCAGGGGAGTCTGAGAAAAGGGATACCACCCCTTTAACCATCCAACAACAGCAATGCCAATAAAATTGAGCTCCTATGAGCTCAATTCCAGTTCCTATAAAATATTGGACACTGTGCTAGGTCCCTCATCATTACCCTTTCATACAGGCTTTCCCACAGGTCCATTGTACACTCCAGGAAAATTGACTCGAGAATGTAAACGACTTCTTCAGGGGCACACCCTTCCCAGCCAACGGTGTAGCTGCCATGCTGCCTTCAGAGCCGGTGCCAGGTGTCTGCACTGTGCTCTTCCCACCATCTGTTCCCCCGTCCCCTGACCCTTTTTAAACAACACCATTAGGAAACTGGGGGGAGGGCAGCATCCGCCAGCTCTCCCCAGCTGCTGAGGGCTCAACAGCTACACCTCAAGGCTGACTCCAATTTTGGTTTCCCTGCTTCTCTGGGTATGGAGTGGAGTCTGGCAGAGGTCCCGTCCTGCAGAGGCACCCCTCAGTATTTACCCAAAGGGAGGCGAGAAGACCTTGCTGTGGGCCGAGCCAGGCCAGCATGCTGAGAGTTAGTGACACACTGCCCGAAAGTCTGACTTCTAGAACCTTTCGGTGCTGATACATGGTTCATACTCCAGACACCTGGCTGACCTGAAGTCTCCCTCCGGTGGAAGGAAATAGACAACTCTTTCACATCTTCCAATGGCCTGCCCCAGCAGGACACAGACTCCTGTTCCCATCCTCACCCCCATCCCCAATTCAGAATGGTTTCTCTGTTTATCTGGAATGGCAGGACCAGCTGAGACTGCACGCTAAATTAAGATGCTTTCCCGGCCTTTTTACCTTGGGGCTCTGACAGGTAGGACCCAGCAGGGCGTGGAGCCAGGCAACGCATTGTGTAGGAATCCCAGCCAGGCAGCAGCTCCCGGAGTCTGGCAGCCCCTCCTCGTGCCCTCAGCTTCCCCAAGGATGCCTTCGGATGCCCAGCTCAGAAGCACACAGCCTCATCACTAGCCTCATCACTAACCAGTCACCAGTTGGGAGCCCGCCAAGCTAAGCCAACATGCAAAGAAACAAGTGAGGGATCATCAAAAAAACTCTCCCTGCAAGGTGGCCCCAAGCGGTCAGATTTCTGTTTCTGAACACCCTCTAATTTTACCACACTCCCTTAAGCCCTCCCCACACCTCTGAAATTAATTTCACTTCCTTACTGTGGACTGAATTTGGTGAAGACAGAAAGTTGCACAGAAAGTCTGTTGGGGGAACCTTCAACAGTCTGACGTTCAGAAATGATGATCACAATGGAACCGCACTGGTGCCAGCTGCCAATATCTGCCACCTTCTGCAGGATGGGGCCAGTATCATAGCCCTCCGCCCAGATGCCTCAAGACAAGCTGAGAGCCTCTGCTGGGGACTTCTTAGATGCTGCTCTCCTCTACCATGCCTACTCCCACACCAAATTGCCCTGAATTTCTCTGGAGATCATAAGTGGCCCACCTGTCATTTTCATCCCAAGACATTGGACTAAAACATAAATTATACCAAAAGAGTGTTAACCCAAATATGGTACCCTTGTAGTCAGATGGTTTGGGGTGACCCGCCAAAGTGATGCTAAATAATACTGACTCCCATAGGGAGAAAGTTAGTGTCTTTTCCAGTCTCTGCCCATCCTCCTGGTGGTATCAAGGAGGAAGTCTCAGCTTGGTGTGAACATGTCTTTAACACCTCTTCTAATATATGATCACTCTGTTTTATAGAAAGCAGCTCTCTAGCCTCAGAGCCTTCTACAGTCAACAGTATCTTGCTATAATCTAACATCACTCTGCTTTCTTGTTAAATGGTTACCTCCTGTTTTTGCCATTTTTTCCCTTTATAATGGGACGTAAAGTTTTATTTGAATATAAAGTAGATGGCTGGGCCAGGTGGCTTGTGCCTGTAATTCCAACATTTTGGGAGGCCGAAGCAGGAGGATTGCTTGAAGCCGGGAGTTGGAGGCTAGCCTGGGCAACATAGTGACACCCTATGTCTACAAATTGTTGGGGTTTTTTTTGTTTGTTTTTGTTTTTTTTTAGACGGAGTTTCACTCTTATTGCCAGGCTAGAGTGCAATGGCATGATCTTGGCTCGCTGCAACCTCCGCCTCCCGGGTTCTGGGTTCAACTGATTCTCCTGCCTCAGCCTCCCGAGCAGCTGGGATTACAGGCACCTGCCACTATGTCCAGCTAATTTTTCTTTTCTTTTCTTTTTTTCTTTTTTTGAGACGGAGTCGCGCTCTTTCGCCCAGGCTGGACTGCAGTGGCGCTATCTTGGCTCACTGCAAGCTCCGCCTCCTGGGTTCACGCCATTCTCCTACATCCAGCTAATTTTTCTACAAATGATTTTTTAAAAATTAGCCATGTATGATGGTGCACAACTATAGTCCCAGCTACTCTGGAGGCTGAAGTGGGAGGATCGAGTGTGCCCAGGAGTTGGAGGCTGCAGTGAGCTATGATCATGAAATACACTCCAGCCTGGGCAACAGAGTGAGATCCTGCCTCTCCTAAAGAAAAAGAAAAGAAAGATAAGTAAAAAAGGTGAGTGGTTAAAAAAAACCCTGTCATAAATAATAGTAAAGTGTTATGTGGAAAACACAAAAATGATGAAGGTGGTACTGAAATGAAGGTTTGGAAACATGACTTGTGTGCCTCATGCATTTTTGCTGAAAGAGCACTGGACGGGGAACTTAGTAGCAGGTGTGTGACCTTGGCCTCTTTACTTCCTCTCTGTGGTCCTCAGTTTCCCCATGTGTGAAATGAGGATGATGCCCTTCTTTGTAAGGTGATTACTTTGAAGCCTTCACTGTTTTCAGAAGTCCCCGGGTGAGGAGTGGGGTAGAAATTGACAAATAAGAAATGCTGAGTCAATTTGAAACAGCCTTGCTTAGTGGGGCTAACAAACGGATATGGTGAATGTCAGAAATTCTAAGAATGACCAGGCACAGTGGCTCATGCCTGTAATCCTAGTCCTTTGGGAGGCTGAGGTGGGCAGATCATTTGAGGTCAGGAGTTGAAGACCAGCCTGGCCAACGTGGCAAAATCCTTTCTCTACTAAAAATACAAAAATTAGCCTGGGCGTGATGGTGCGTGTGCTACTCGGGAGACTGAGGGATGAGAATCACATGAACCCGGGAGGTGGAGGTTGCAGTGAGCTTAGATAGTGCCACTGCACTCAAGCGTGGGTGACAGAGTGAGACTCAGTCTCAAAAAAAAGAAAAAAAAAGAAAGAAATTCTAAGAAGTCTCATTATCCTATGACCTGGTGCCACGGGAGAGGCGCCTCTGACTGCTCAGCTGTCTTGAGGTCCCATATGGGGGTCCCTTTATGTTCTCAGAGACAGCTGGTTCTGATGTCCCCCCATCCCACCCTCAGACCGATGGCCAAGGCAGCTTTGGAACTTAGAATGGGCCAGCCAGGACTACCATCTCTCACCTGGGTGACTGCAGCTGCCTGGTACATCTTCCCTGTACCAGAGGTTCGTTTCAGTACCACCTTCCTCATCTACATCTTCCCTGACTCCTCCAGACCCAGTTCTTGTCCACAAGACCTGAACCTGACCATGCCTGTGTCGGTGCAGGTCTCTGAGCAGAGCAAGTGACATCCGTCAAACTGTGTGTTTGACTGATGGCAGAGGATGCACTTTGGCACCTGAAGGCACCAGGGTAGAGAGTCTACAGATGAGTGGCAGTGGTACCCAGCCAGGAGCTGAGGCACACCTGGATTTCAGCTGTGGCAGGTGAGGGTGTGGGGATGGAGAGGGAGGGGGCCGGATGTCTCAGAGGCAGAATGACAACCTCTAGCACTGAGTGAATGGGGGCAAAGAGCACGAGGAGGAATGAAGCCCACCCCAGGCTTCCTCTCTGTTGAAACACCTGCATCCTTGTTCCTGCCTCTTAAAGACTCCTGCAGGCCGGGCGTGGTGGCTCACGCCTGTAATCTCAACACTTTAGGAGACTGAGGCGGGCGGATCACCTGAGGTCAGGAATTCGAAACCAGCCTGGCCAACATGGTGAAACCCTGTCTCTACTAAAAATAGAAAAATTATCCAGGTGTGGTGGTGCACGCCTGTAATCCCAGTTACTTGGGAGGCTGAGGCAGGAGAATTGCTTGAACCTGGGGGAGGTGGAGGTTGCAAGTGAGCCGAGATCACACCACTGCACTCCAGCCTGGGCTTCAGAGCGAGACTCTATTTCAAAAAATCAAAAACAAAAACAAAACACAACAAAACACAACAACAGCAACAACAAAAAACTCTTGCAGAGGTGATGAGGATTCCCCGAGCCCAGGTCTGCTTGGGACAAAGTCAGTTCTCTCCTGAGACGGGACCCCTGTCAGGAGAGGTGCTGCTGAAGCCGGTCTTACCCTAGGGATCTGAATTTATTTGTCTCGAGTCAGAAACTAGCATGCCAGCAACCACTAGCACCCAGCAGAACCATCATTAAGGTTGCCATGCTGGGGTCCCCTGGCAAGTCCCAGGGAGAGATGGGGAGTAACTAGGTCTTCCAAGTAAAGAACAGTTGTTCTGGAAAAATTGCCGGTCCTTGCTGCAGTCTCCCAAAACAGATTCTGCTCAGTCCTACCTTTGCACCTTGGTTCCCTGCAAGCCAAGGAAGAATGCTGGGAGCTTGCTCCCTCCCGGTGCTGCTCTCCTGCCTTCTCCCTTTTGGTCTATATTTTAGCCATCCTGCAAAGCTCGAGTTCCCACCTTCATCGCGCTTCCAGCTAACTATAATTTTCTTGCTTTGCTGTGTTTTACAAAACTTGCTGCAACATTATTTGGCAATACAACTTTAACTTTCAAGTTCATAAGCATCATCTCTGCTACCTCTGATTAGATCATACATCTGTTAATGTCTAGGATCAGGTCTTTAATTTTCTGCACTTACCCCAATACCTACACAAGACTGAGCATTTGAAAGACACATTATCAGGCGAGGTGCAGTGGCACACTGCACTTTGGGAGGCTAAGGCAGGTATGTCGCTTGAGCCCAGAAGTTTGAGACCAGCCGTGGGAAACATAGCGAGACCTCATCTCTACCACAAATAAAAAAATTAGCCGGGCATAGTGGTGCATGCCTGTAGTCCCAGCTACTTGGGAGGCTGAGATGGGAGGATGTCTTGAGCCCAGGAGATTGAGGCTGTAGTGAGCTGTGATTGCGCCACTGTGCTCCAGCCTTGGCGACAGAGCAAGACCCTGTCTCAAAAAATAAAATAAAATAATAAAATAGAAGATACACTATTCTAAGACCATTTGAAGGAATGAATGGAGTTTTAGATTTGAATGATCAAGGCAGCCTCCAGTTCCAAATGGATGAAGATTCCTCCCCTACTAGGTTAAAAGTCCTTCTTCATCTCATGCTTTTTGGTGAAAGAGCACTGGATGGGGAGTCCACCATAATTTCTAGCAGGTGCTAAATAAATGATTCAGGAGAAGGAAAGAAAGGAGGCAAGAAAGGGAGAGAAAGAGATCGGTGAATAGGGAGATAGGTGAGTAGAATACAACTGCTATGTATCCAAATTAGGGAGGGACATGGGAGGGTGTATGAGAACCTGGACCTGCTGATGGATTGTTGTAAAGGGGGCTTAGCTGGTAGGAATGCAGGGAAATACTTTGACATGTAAATACATGGGAAATATATGGGTGATTAGGTAGGTAGAGAAATGGATTAACTGATAAGTAGACATGAGTAAATAAGTGTATAAGTATGTAGACAGTAGATATAAATAGATAAATTGAGAAGTAGATTACCACCATAAGACAGGGCGAGAGGCTGGGCACAGTGGCTCACGCCTATAATCCCAGCATTTTGGGAAGCTGAGATGGGTGGATTGCTTGAGGTCAGGAGTTTGAGACCAGCCTGGCCAACATGATGAAACCCTGTCTCTACTAAAAATATAAAAATTAGCTCGGCATGGTGGCAGGCGCCTGTAATCCTAGCTACTCGGGAGGCTGAGGCAGGAGAATTGCTTGAATCTGGGAGGCAGAGGTTATAATGAGCTGAGATCACGCCACTGCATTCCAGCCTGGGCTACAAAGCAAGACTGTGTCCCCCCCACCCAAAAAAAATTAAAAAAAAGACAGGGTGAGAATAATGATAATAATAATAAAAAGAAGTAGATATAGGAAGGTAGGTACACAGATCAGGAAAGTTGGAGGGCAGGCAGGTAGGTGGATGGGAAAGTAGACAGTAAGGAACGCAGGTGAACTGCTCAAGGTCATAGCAACAGAGAACAGAAACCGTGACTGGTTGGAGAAGTGCCAGGCTTGGGGGCAAGCTGTGTTTGGAACAGGCTGGCCTGGGAAAACCCATGGGGAAATGCCAGCTTCCGGGTACAGGTGTGTCTCCTTCTGTGGTTCCTGGGGTAGAGGGCCAGAGAAGCAGTCCAAGATGAAAGGCACGAGTCTTCCTCGCCAACACATCCCCCTCCCTGAGGCAAAGGAGACTCCCAAAATCAGAACAGGGGCTGGTTCTCAGGAAAGGAAGCCCAGAAGGTGAGAGGGCACAGCCTCTCTCCTCTCTGGTGTGTCACAGCTCTGGTTTCTCACATCCTAAGGGCCAGATGGGGAAGGAAGCTGGAGGAAGGGAGCTTAGCGATCCCTAAGGGTGGGGTGTTCCTCCCTTTCCAATAAATCAGGCGACTTCCCAGAGGGAGCCTTTGTTCTGTCATTCCTAGAACTGAGACCTCATGGGCAAAAATGTCACGCAATGAAATCAGAACAACAAAAACAACCAACAAAGTAGAGTCAGAGGAATCAATAAAATGTAAGACCCTGGCAGGGGTGCCCTACAGCCTCTGAGAAAGTATGCAAAATGGGCCCCTTTGTGCCTCGCATTCCATGGTCAAACCCAAGGCCAGCTGAGGTTGCCCCCACTTACAGTCATCTTTCCACCATGCACGTTGGGCTTGTGGTTGCCTCAGACGCCAGCCTCAAGGCTGAGTCAGAACCAGCTTCCTCTTGCAGGGAGTGTATGGGGCTTACACTGAATGGTGTCCCTGAGCCCTTAGATCAGTGACTCTGAATGCTATTATCATCTCCACTTTATAGATGGGGAAACTGAGGCGGGGCGCCCGGGAAGTGCTCAAAGTCATACCTCTTGGAATTGGGAAGGCAGGACAGGCACTCAGGCTGTCTGAGGACATGGCCCATGTGCCAGTTCAACTCGAGGGCAGGGGCCACATTGATTTGTTTCTCAAATATGCACAGTACCCAAGCACTCAGCACTGCATTTTGCATGGGGTAGGTGTCTAGATATTGTCTGGGGCCCCCAGACTGCAGTAATTATTTTTCTTGGTGCCTCAAACCCCTGGTTTATCTTCTTCCTGTTCCATTCTCCTTGCTGTTAGACTCAGAGTGGTCTGATATTTATACAGTGCGACCTAATGCCAAGCACTGCCTTGGAAGGTTTCTACCTACCATCTCATTTAACCCTCACTAGAGCCCTGGGAGATTCGTATCATTGCTCCCATTTCAGAGATGAAGAAACTGAGATTCCGAGTGGTCTAGTCATGTGGCCAAGGTCACATGGTACGTAAGGAGCAGAACATGGCTTCAGATCCAGAGCTGTCCAGCTGTCCAGCCTCCAGCCTGGTTCTTTTTCCATCATCACCCATCCTAGCTCCCCCTTCTTTGGCCTCTGATAGATGTTGTTCAGATGTTGTGACCCACTGTTGACCAGGGACTGCCTAAATGTTTGCTTTAACTTCCCACTGAGGCACCTGAGTTCCTCCAGGGCAAGGACTTTGACTCTTGGGACTCACTGGAACTTTCCTGGGGCTGGATGCACACAGGTTGCTCAGTGTAGCACAGAGCGAAACCCCTAAGCTCCCATCTCCAGAACTGGGCTTTCTGCACAATTGCACCTAAGGCACTGCAATATCTGAAGGGGACTTCTGAATCATCAGGCTGGTTTCAGTTTGAAGACTGCCACCCTATTTGGGGTAGATTTACGGTAGCCCCTTGGGTTGTTTAGAAGAGGAAGCTAAAGCAGTACTTTTTTTTTTTTTTTTTTTTTTTTTTTTGCAGGAAGTACTGCAATTGGCCAGGACTCATGAGACCCCATAGTCTCCCTCCTCAGGTCATGACCAGAGGCAAATCATTAACTTCTCTGTGCCTCAGTTTACTCATTGGTAAAGTAGGAATAATGGCATTACATGAACTATCCATTCATCCATCTACCCACTCATCAACGCATCCATCCACTGAACATTCAACAAATATATATTGCATACCTACCCTGTGCTCAGGCCCTGTGCTAGGTATTTGGGACATATTGTGATCAAAACATAGATCCATGTCCATGTGGAGTTTATTTTCCAGTGGGAGGGTCAAACAATAAACAACACACACGTAATACAAAAGTAAGATATACAGAAGGTGGGGAGCCAGGCGCAGTGGCTCATGCCTGTTATCCCAGTACTTTGTGGGGTGGGCGGATCACTTGATGTCAGGAGTTCAAGACCAGCCTGGCCAACTTGGAGAAACCCTGTCTCTAAAAATACAAAAATTAGCCAGGCATAGTGGCACAAACCTGTAATCCCAGCTATTTGGGAGGCTGAGGCATGAGAACTGCATGAACCTGGGAGATGGAAGTTGCAGTGAGCTGAGATCTCACCACTGCACTCCAGGCTGGGCGATAGAGCAAGACTCTGTATCAAAAAAAAAAAAAGTGGGGAAAAAATCAATCTGGGGAGGGGGCTCAGAGTGTGGAGGGAGGAGTTGCAATTCTAAATGGCTTGGTCAGGGCAGGCTTCATTGATAAGGTGCAAAGAATAGAAGGAATTTAGGAGGTTGACCAAGAAAATGCTTAGAGAACAGTGCTCCAGGCAGAGGGAACGGCATGTGCAAAGGTTCTGAGGCAGACAGTGTGCTGAGCGTGTCTAAGGAACAGCGAGGGTGCCAACATGGCTGGAGTAGATGAACAAGGCAGACAGGAGTAGGGGATGAGAGCAGGGAGCTGATGAGGTAGGAAAGGCCTTGTGGGCCATTGTCCAGATTTAGCTTTTTCTCTGAGTAACGTGGGAGCCAGTGCAGCGTTTAGCACAGCAGAGGGCCAAGGTCATTATAGAGTGGTTGAGAGGGAGGGTCACAAAAACCCCACATGGATGATTTCCTTTTCCGAACCCCCATCAAAATGAAAGTCAGTGCCCTTTGTTTACAAACCATGCAATTCTCTTGCCCTGTCCTCTTTCTTCCCCTCTGAGAGCTGCCCAGCAGCAGCACACCTGCCCACTGTCGCAGGTCAAGCCTGGCAGCCCTGGAGGGAAGCTGGCTGGAGGGCAGAAAGAGAAAGCAGGAAAAGAGCAACTTGCCCTGCACCCCTCCCAGCTCCCCGAAGACCACACTGGGCCCCGAGTGCAGTTCCACTTTCTGGAGTCACGTGGGATCAGAAATAAATATATTACCTCCCGAGGGAGGAAACAGAGTTAAATAACAGGAACCAGCACTCTCGGAAAGAGGGGGTGGGAGGGGCTGAAGTGTCCGGCAGTGAAGGCACATGTGGCTGGGGCAGGAGGGGCTGCAGCCAGGGAGAGAGGAAGGTTCTGGCTTCTCCCCCAGGTGGCATCTGTGCCACCATCAAGACCACACTGGCTGTCTGCGCCCCTGTTGAGAAGCCAAGGGAGAATGTTTGGGTGGTAAAGATGCCCCTTTGCCTAGGTGACTGTTAGGAGGAAGAGAATTAAAGAGGAGTCCAATAGACGATGGAAACCACTTGGGTGAGAATTTGACCACAAGAAGAACCAGCCCTGTAGAAATGTTGTCTTGGCAGGAAAGCTGGTAAACAACACTGCCCTGGTGCCCAAGATAAGGCCGCCAAAATGCATTTGATGCCCTGAAGGCTAAGTTGAAGATCAAAGCTTGTCTGTCTTCAAATCCAGTCTTCACCGCTTCCCACCTGGGGGACCTGGGCAAGTTGCGTCACCCCTGGGCAGAGTCTGTTTTCTTCTTTAAGTGTTAAATAAGGATGGGGATCAAAGGGCTCAAGGTCAAGGGAGAAGTAAGAGGGTTCTAGATTGCGCTTAGGCTGTTTCTGGCACACTAAATAATCAATGTCAATCACTGTTATTCTCTCAAGACTTGCATTTCAGAAGGAGATGGAACAAACACCGTCTTTAGAAAGTTATGACCAGGTTGGGTGTGGTGGCTCATGCCTGTAAGCCCAGCAATTTGGGAGGCCAAGGTGGGAGGATCGCTTGAGCTCAGGGGTTCGCAAGCAGCCTGGTCAACATAGTGAGACCTCATCTCTACAAAAAATAATTAAAAAAAAATTAGCCAGGCATAGTGGTGCATGCCTGTAGTCCCAGCTAGTTGGGAGGCTGAGGTGGGAGGATCACTTAAGCACCGCAAATGGAGGCTGTAGTGAGCTGTGATCATGCGACTACACTCCAGCCTGGGCAAGAGAACAGACCCCGTCTCAAAAAAAGAAAGAAAGTTGTGACATTACAATGAAGGGAGGACTTCTTTGTAAGTGGGTAGGAGACGTAAAAAGTTGGAGGAGCCAAGGATGTGAGTGGAAAGAGGACAGTGCAGGCTTGTCTTTCTGGTTTGAGATGATTGTGTGCCACCAACGCTCTTAAAAATAAGGCCTTCATTCTCTCTCCCGTAAGCGAGTTCTTATTCTCTCTTTCTCTCTCTTTCTTTCCCCCACCTTCTCCCTTTTTCTCTTCCTCCATCAGCCTCCACCTTCCTTCCTCTCCCTCCCTTTTCTCCCTGTCTCTGCCTGTCTCTCTGTCTCTTTCTGTGTCTGTCTTTCTCTCCCTTCCTTTCTCGCTCTCCCTCTGTCTTTCGGTTTCTGTCTCTGTGTGTCACACAGACACACACATGCACACACAAGCAAATGCATGCAAACGCACACATGCCCCCCCCCAACACACACAGTGGGCTCTGCTTTCAGCTTTTTCTCTGGCTCCTCCTTTCTCTGCACCCCATTTCTCTATTTTTTTTTTTGAGATGGAGTCTTGCTCTGTTGCCCAGACTGGAGTGCAGTAGCGTGATCTCGGCTCATTGCAACCTCTGCCTTCCCAGTTCAAGCAATTCTCCTGCCTCAGCCTCCTGAGTAGCTGGGACTACAGGCACCCACCAGGATGTCTGGCTGTTTTTTGTATTTTTTAGTAGAGACAGGGTTTTGCCATGTTGGCCAGGCTGGTGTCGAACTGATCTCAGGTGATCCACCTGCCTTGGCCTCCCAAAATGCTGGGATTACAGGCGTGAGCCAGTGCACCCGGCCCCATTTCTCTCATTTTGACTCACACTGATTGTGCCTGCATCCATCTTCCCCACTAGACAGCAGACCCCTTTGAAGGCAGGAGCTGATCTGTCCATCCATGCCCCGTTAATGTTGGTGTATCGTCAGGGCTCAGGGAGTGAACCCAAGCAGGCATTTGGCTGCGTGCCCCTGGGATGGTTCCTTCCAGCAGAGTGGGAAGCACGCCGTTCGCTCCAGCACACCCAGCAACAGAGACAGTGCTCCAAGTTTTCACTGCTCCTGCCAGCTCACTAGACACTTGGATTTCTCACCAGTCTGCCTTCCCATTGACTTCCCTTTCAGAGAGGAGGGAAAATCCTTGAGCTGTCTACAGTCTGTCATTTCTCCTTGATTAAAAGTGATGCCAACTTACCACCATGGTCACTGTGGCCGGGGCCCCTCTCGGCTGCTGGGGGCTGCAGCCCACTCCGGGCCCACCCCAGGAGGGCCAAATCCAGGTCTCCTTTCTCTAGTAGGGTCAAAGAGATCTTCCTGGCCAGAGCCTCACTATCAGGCTCATGGAGCAGAGTGCAGTGGTATTCCCTGGAGAGGAGGTCCTCCTTCAGCAGGTTGTCCAAGAGGGCCTGCACCAGGCTGGGCTGATGGCTGGAGAGCAGCATTCTCACCTGAGTCAGGATGGCCTGGAAGTTGTTCATGGCAGCCCTTGGAGTCAGGGCAGCTGCCCTGGCCAGTGCCTGGAATCTCCGCTCACCCAGCATGCAGCATCCAAAACATGAAGTGAAAACCAGGACGAGGGAACCTCTGCAATTTATTACAGTTTATTTCTACTTAGGAAGATTTCCTCTTTTGCGTTGTAGGCTGGGGTTCCTGATGAACGGATGGATATTGGCTTTTGGGTTGATTCAGACTCCACAGATATTCTCTGGGTCCTACCCAGGTGCATGTGCCAGAGAAGCCCACAGCCTTCTGTTGGAGCCAATCTAGTATTGCTAAGAGGAAGGCGACATGCCTCCTTAGAGGACCTATAGGGTAATAGGTCTTTTCAGATGTTTTACCATAGCAAGAAGGCATTGTGGTATAGAGGTTAAGCAAATAGGCTTGGAGCTAATCTGCCTATGTTCAAGTCCCAGATCTGCTGCTCCTTGCCAATTATGTGACTTTGGGCATGTTACATAGCCTTTTTTTTTTTTTTGACAGGGTCTTGCTCTGTTGCCCAGGCTGGTGTGCAGTGGCGTGATCATAACTCACTGCAGCCTCAACTTCCCAGGCTCAAACAAACCTCCCATCTCTGTTTCCCAGTAGCTGGGACTACAGACTCACACCATCATGCCCCGCTAATTTTTTATTTTTTTATTTTTAGTAGAGACAGGGTCTCACTCTGTTTCCCAGGCTGGTCTTGAATTCCTGGGCTCAAGTGATCCTCTTGCCTCAGTCTCCCAAAGTACTGGGATTACAAGTGTGAGCCACCACGCCTGCCTTACTTAGCATTTTTAGTCTCTGTTAACAGTACTTACATGATAGGGTTGTTGGGAGGATTAAATGAGATAACATAAATAGAGTCCCTAGTGCATTATCTACAACATGATAATAATACAATAAATATGAACCATCATTATTATTGATTAATCATGCAAATTACTATCACCCTGAGTTTAACCTCACAAATCCTCAGTCTCCTCCTCTGCAAAATTTCCCACTAAAAGCAATCGAAGCTCATATGCATTTAAGGGTCTCTACACTGGACCTAGTAAGCACTTAACGAACACTGACTATTTGTTAATACTATCCCCAACTTACTAATGCACAAAACAGAGGATTTGCATAGAAGCCAGTCTGGTTTATGATTCTAAAAATCCCCAACCCAGTTTTAAAGAACCATAGGCGACTGTTCTCCTGCCCATTCTGTAACATGCCGTGACTTTGTTTCCTTCCAGACTCAGGATTACCATCTCTCAGCTGGGGCCATTTGCATTATTCATTTAAATGAGACAAAGGATTTCCATTTCCAGTGTGGCTGACCAGCTCCCATATGATCAACGCTACCACAGGTAACAACTATAAACTCTGGGGAGAATATAAAAAACAACTATCTGAAGGCACTGGAGAGTGACAGGCCAGGCAGATACTGGAAGGGAGTCAATATATGGAAAATGAGAACTTCACAGGTGAATTTCCCAGTTCATGAGTTTAGTCTGAAGGCAAGTTCCAATCAGTGCTGTGCAGGGCAGTTAAGACTTCATGCCTGTGGTCCCAGCTACTTGGAAGGCTGAGGTGGGAGGAGCACTTGAGCCTGGAGAGGTTGAGGTTGCAGTAGGCTATGATAGTGCCACTGCACTTTAGCCTGGGCAACAGAGTCAGACTCTATCTCAAAAAAAAAAAAAAAAAAAAAAAAGAAAGGTTTACTGCCCTTTATAATCAGAGGATAGAATTTGGGGCAAAAATACCTACTGGAAAGTAGAAATCCCAGACAGAGAAGGAGAAAGGAGTAGCCCAAATTCTGTATATAATTGTCTAAATATCTGGCTGGCTTCTGGACCATGTATATATTCGTAGGTCAGACTCCAAGCAGCTCAGCTAAGGCTAAATAAGCTGAACGAAGATTTGAGCTGCAATGGGTGTAGGGGTAGGAGATTTTGCATTTGATTCCAGCCAAGTTATGTCCCTACTGAAATAAAACCCAAAAATATTAATGCTGTTCAGATTATAACAGAATCCAGAGTGTTTACAACATATCCCTAATGTCCTGTGTTCAATACAAAATTACTTGACATAGGCCGGGCGCGGTGGCTCATGCCTGTAATCCCAGCACTTTGGGAGGCCAAGGCGGGTGGATCACGAGGTCAGGAGTTCAGGAACAGCCTGGTCAACATGGTGAAACCCCATCTCTACTAAAAATACAAAAATTAGACAGGCGTGGTTGCAGGTGCCTGTAATCCCAGCTACTCGGGAGGCTGAGGCAGAGAATTGCTTGAACCCAGGGGGCAGAAGTTGCAGTGAGCCGAGATTGCGCCACTGCACTCCAGCCTGGGTGACAGAGCAAGACTCCATCTCAAAAATAAATAAATAAATAAATAAAAACAAAATTAGTTGACATATAAAGAAACAGGAAAAAGGTAACATTTTCAAGAGAAAAAGACAATCAGTGAAAACTGGCCTCAAGATGATGCTGATGTTGAAATTAGCAGACAATGATTTTTAAAGCTGTGATTATAACCATGGAGGAAAAAGACATCTAAGATGTAAAGGAAAATATCCTCATCAAAACCAAATATCGTATGTTCTCACTTGTAAGTGGGAGCTAAATTATGAGGATGCAAAGGCATAAGAATGATATAATGGACTTTGGGGACTGGGGGAAGTGTTGGGGTGGGGCAGGGATAAAAGATTACACATTGGGTACAGTGTACACTGCTCAGGTGGTGGCTGCACCAAAATCTCAGAAGTCACCACTAAAGAACTTACCCATGTAACTAAAAACCACCTGTTTCCCCCAAAACTATTGAAATTTTAAAAAGTAGAAAATGGGGACAAAAGATATGGTGTGACTGTGGAAGACTAGTCAAAGAGATACAATGTTACTGGCTTCAGAGATGAAGGAAGGAAGTCACAAGCCAAGGTATGTGAGTAGCTTCTAGAAGCTTGAAAAACCGCAGAAATAGATTTTCTCCTACAACCTTTGGAAGGGAATCAAATTCACCTTGATTTTAGCCCGTTGATACCCATGTAAGACTTATACAGTAATGGTAAGAAAATAAATTAGTGTTGTTTTAAGCAAAAAAAAAAAAAAAAAAAAGAAAGAAAAGAAAAAAGAAAAATAGCCAAGGAATACAGATTTGAGAAGCTTAGCAAATCTAAGTAGGATAAATACAAGAAAACCACACCTAGGCACATAATAGCCAAACTGTTGAAAATCAAAGCTAAAAAGATACTCGTGAAAGCAGCCAGTTCAAAATAACACAGTACATATAGAACACCTGAATGATCACCGACTTCTTGTTTGAAACCATGGCGGCTGGAAGACTGTGGAAGAATATCTTAGAAGAGATAAGATTTTAAAATATGTTCATCCTGAGTTCTACATTCAGTGCAAATATCCCTCAAGAACGCAGACAGAAATAGACATTTTCAGATAAAAGAAAACTAAAAGGATAGGTTGCAGGAGATCTGCATTACAAGATGATGAAACAACAAACAGTGGGTGCACAGAGCCAGGGACAAGGATCTGCTGTCGTAATCACTTAATAAGTCTGCTTTGATTGTTCCTATCAATCCAGTGGCCACTTGCCATGTGCTTAGTCAAGAAAACCTGGGTGCCAGCCTCCACTTGGCCACTGACTCACTGTGCCTGGCAAGAAACTTCCTCTCTCTGGACCACAATGTCGTCACCCATGAAACACATAGGTTGGATTACATGATCCCCAGGATTTTTCACTTCTGAAATACTACAGTTTCCAGGGAGGTGTTACCTAGTTGCAGAACCCACTGGTCTTGAGCTCAGCAATATTCCCCTGCAATTAATCACCAGTGTATTACTTCTCCCATCTTTACTTATTCAGAGCTCCCTGCATAATTTTTTTTCTCCTCCAAATCACATGCAATCTGTACTATTATTTACCTAATATTTTGTTTTACTCTGTCTTACTGATTTAATTTGTTTTAAAAGGAAATTTCCTATCTTTATCACAATTGGAAAGCCAGTATCCCTTGTGCAAGAATAGTAGGCAACTGTAACAAAAAAACCCATGCAGAATGGAAAATGATAATATGAAAGTTTAGATTTCAGTTTCCTCGAGTTTCTGATCCTGGGGACCTATCTCCTTTTGTGACAAAAGGTAGTTAGCAAGTGTTAGAAAGGTATTAAAGATAGAGTAGCACCAAGCTAAAGCTCTCTTGCATCAGCAGATAAGTAAAAATGTTAAGGGTATAGAAAAATGGGAATTCTACTTTGTTGGAGAGCATGTAGAATGGTGTAATTGCTTAGGGTAGTAATTTGGTAATGCCTACAAAATCATTAAATAATACTCAGGATTTCCACTCTTCAGTATATATGCCAGAAAAATTCTTACACATGGGCATTATGAGACACAAAGCAGGTTTGTTTGTGCTAGAAAAAAAAAGAGAAAGAAATAAAAATCACCGTAAGAATAGATAGAAATGTCTTATAAACATTCTGGAGTTCGTATGCCTTTAACCAATTAAACTTAATAGACTTAATCAAAGTGTAGGAAGTTGATGTTTGTTAAAATAAAGTTATTCAAATAAATTACACATTGGGACAGTGAGTGAGTTTTAAAGGTTTAATAGTTGAATCTTTTATCATCTTCTCTCCTTCTGTTTCATCATAGTATAGTGTTACATGTAAAAGTGAATCCATAAGCTATGACCTGGGACTGCTACATTTCTAAGAAGAGACCCTTAACACAGGTTGCTAAAGGTACAACATTCAGATATAGGTATTCTAGAGTCTTCTCCTCATGAGCTCAGCTGCTAGTACAATCTCCACACCAATGGTAGCATTGGTCATCTATGATTACCAACCTGTAATTCCTTCCAGAATCATCATAAGTTATTTGCCATCAGGGCTCTCTGTGACTGCTCTTCCACAAAAAACTGGTCATTTTAAAGAAAATACTGTTCATCTTTTTTTTTCTTTCTTTCTGATTCAGGATCTCACTCCGTTGTCCAGGCTGGAATGCAGTGGTGCAATCATGGTTCATTGTAACCTCAACCTTCTGAGCTCAAGTGATCCTCCCACCTCAGCCTCTTCCCGTGTAGCTGGGAGTGTGCCACCATGCTTGGGTAATTTTTAAATTTTGTGTAGAAATAGGGTCTCACAACGTTGCCCAGGTTGGTCTCGAATTCCTGGCTTCCAGCGATTCTCCTGCCTCAGCCTCCCAAAGGACTGGGATTACAGGTGAGAGCCACTGCACTCAGCCTAGCCATTATTCTTTATAACTTTTTTGTTGTTGTTGTTGAGACGGAGTTTGGCTCTTTTTGCCCAGGCTGGAGTGCAATGGCATGATCTCGGCTCGCTGCAAACTCCGCCTCCTGGGTTCAAGTGATTATCCTGCCTCAGCCTCTGGAGTAGCTGGGATTACAGGCACGTGCCACCATGCCTAGCTAATTTTGTATTTTTAGTAGAGACAGGGTTTCACCATTTTAGCCAGGCTGATCTCAAACTCCTGATCCGCCTGCCTCGGTCTCCCAAAGTACTGGAATTACACGCGTGAGCCACTGCATCTGGCCTTTATTCTTTATAAGTTTTTATATGTCTAAAGAATCCTATTAGATTGAGTCATATAAAACTGCTGATATTTGTTTGTTTTAGATTCATAAAAATTGCTGTTTCATATGGTGTAACCTAATATAATGATGAAGATGATGATGATTGAGAGGGGGCTTTCTTACTAAGTGATTGGTTGTTATTTAACACCTATGGGTGAACCCCTTTTCCCTTAGTTATCTGCCTGCCAGAAGGGTGACACAGAAACCACACTTTGGGAAACACCAGTTTAGTGCTTGGTGTCATGGTTCTGTTACCAATCAAGATCTGGGTCTTGACTCTGAAGACACTAGGGGCCCTGGGGATGAGAAGCTTGGAGCCTGAGGCTGAAAGCAGGGAAAAGAGAGGGTGCTGAGGGATCTGTTGAGAGGGGCAGTGAAGTTGGTTACATGTAAAATGCCCAGGCTCTATTTCCCCAGTTCACGGCTAGGAGCTTAGGTGGTCCTTGACGTCACCTACCTGTTGGGTGGGGGGCAACTGGCTTCTCTAGTTCCTGCTCCTCCAGCTGGAAATCAATGATGATATAATTTTAAAAATTCAGATATCATTTCTTGAGTGAGAATACTGGGGAGTTAGATGCTTTCTGTATATGATCTTATCATCACCAAAAATAATTCAAGGAAAGCATCAATCATCTTACTCTATGGATGCGGCTAAGGTGTAAGTTACAGAACCTGGGCCAGACCCTGCGTTCCTGGGAGGAACACTGGGCTGCAGATTTTGAAAAGGAGAAGAGGGCTGGGAACACAGCATCTGCTGGAGTGGCTACTTCCCCTTGAGAGGAAGAGGATCAGCTCCCTGGATCTATGGGCACGTCCAGGCTGGCCCCTGTGGCTGCTGCCTGTCTGCCCACAGACCAGGTTGTTGCATCTCAGCCTGAGTCACCTTGGCTGCTGCTCAGGGCTGTGGACTGCTACCTTTGCTTTTTGGGTTTCCCTGCAAGACATATGGAGTTCACTCCTGGCTTATGACTGAAAGCAGTGGGGAGAGTGGGTGGCGTGTCGTCTACAGGATGACATCACCACCTCCGTCATCACCACCTCCATCATCACCACCACCATCATCACCATCACCATCATCACCACCACTATCGTCACCACCACCATCACCATCATCACCACCATCATCATCACCACCACCATCACCACCGCTATCGTCACCACCATCACCACCACCATCACCACCACCACCATCATCACCATCACCGCCACCATCACCACCATCGCCACCATCACCACCATCATCACCATCACCACCACCATCACCACCACCATCATCATCACCACCACCAACACCACCACCATCAACATCACCACCAACATCACTACCATCACCACCACCATCACCACCACCATCACCACCATCATTATCACCACCACCATTGCCACCATCACCATCATCACCACAACCATCACCACCGTCATCACCACCACCATCACCGCCATCACCACCATCACTACCACCATCATGACCATCATCATCACCAACACCATCACCACCACCACTATCACCACCACCACCACCATCACCACCACCATCACCACCACCACCACCACCACCATCATCACCACCATCATCATCACCACCACTGTCATCACCACCATCATCACCACCACCATTCCTGCCACCTTTATCAGTATTCTTCTATTTTTCTGAGAGAGAGTCTTGGTCTGTCACCCAGGCTGGAGTGCAGTGGCATGATCTCAGCTCACTGCAACCTCCGCCTCCCGGTTCAAGCGATTCTCCTGCCTTAGCCTCCTGAGTAGCTGGGATTACAGGCGTGCGCCATCACACTCTGCTAATTTTTGTATTTTTAGTAGAGACAGGGTTTCACCATGTTGGCCAGGCTGGTCTCAAACTCCTGGCCTCATGTAATCCACCCGCCTTGACCTCCCAAAGTGCTGCAATTACAGGTGTCGGCCACCGCGCCTGGCCATGTTGTTAGTATAAGTGGATTTGAATCCCTGCTTTATTACATATAAGCTTGAACATGCCCCCTTATAGCGCTATGTCTTAGTTTCCTCAACTGGGAAATGATGTTCATCATATGTTAGACTAGGCCTGGCGTGTAGTAGCCATCTAACAAACTCATTCATTTATTGAATAAATGAATCAACCCCAGTGGGGCACTAACAGAAACAGGGAAAACAATCATGAACAAAAAATCAAAGAAAAAAAAAAGAAAATTGCCAGTCTTATGCAGCTTACAGTCTTATTAGTTAAAGGTAAATCTGGGCCAGGTGTGGTGACTCACACCTGTAATCCTAACATCTCAGTGATCCTCCTTCCTCAGCCTTCCAAAGTCCTGGGATTATGGGTGTGAGCCACCATGCCTGGCCTGCTCTGAAGTTTTAGAAGACGTAGACTAAATAGTCAATGCAGACAAATTACATTTAGTAAACTAAGATCAAAATTTCCAGGTCAGAGTGCATTTTTTCTTTCCTTTGAAGTCTTATCAAGAGCACATTCAAGATAAATGTTCTCTTGAATAGAGATGCATATATACAAAGACATACACCTATCCTTAAGTATTACCTTTCCCATTTTCTCTGTTATTTACTTCTGAAACTCCAATTTGTTTTATGTTACACCTGTCTTCTATGTCTTTTAACATATCTCTTACATCTTTCTTCTTCAGAATTAGTGAATCAGAAAATCTACTAATTTACCATTTAATTTGTGTACTAAGTTTTCATTTTTAGTTATATTTTTCATTTCTAGAAGTCTTATTTTGTTCTTTGTAAAATTTACTCATTTAATTTTTATTTTTTGACAGAGTCTTGCGCTGTTGCCCAGGCTGGAGTGCAGTGGCGCAATCATAGCTCACTGCAGCCTCAACCTCCTGGGCTCGAGCAATTCTCCCACCTCAGCCTCCCAAGTAGCTGGACTACAAGCATGCACCACCATGTCTGGCTAATTTTTTAAATTTTTCTGTAAACATGGGGTCTCCCTATGTTGCCCAGGCTGGTCTCAAACTCTTGGGCGGCCTCCCAAAGTGTTGGAATTACAGGCATGAACCAATGTGTCCTGCCCAGTTGTTCTTTATAGTCCCTGTTCCCTGATTTTTTTTAAAGCTTCTCTGTTAATCTTCAAATAAATTCAGCATCTGATTTGAGTTGGTATTTGAAAATAAATAAATAAATAAAATAAATATATTCAGCAGTCTTCTAGTAAATGTTAAACAACTGTATCACTGTCTCTTTAAAAAAAAAAAATAGAAGCCCTAATTTAGAGTTTGCCAACCTCCGTGGTGTAAATATTCCCACCATGGACAATGTCAGGCTACCAATATGATATTGCTGCACGTGGAGTTGGGAAGAGATGCCCACAATCAGCTCTCCCGAGCTCCGCCAGCTGGCTTAAGCACATCTTTGATTTTACACATTTGTATCTCTATTCGGGTATCCGAAGTCTCTGGGTTTGTTTATTTGTCTTTTAGAGACTCTGCTGCCCAGGCTGGTGTGACCACTGCTCAATGAATTCCTCAGTTCGAATCCTTGAATTCCTGAGCTCAAGTAATCCTCCTGCCTCAGCCTCCAAAGTAGCTAGGATTATAGGCGCCTGCTACCATGCTCGGCTAATTTTTAAACTTTTTTGTAAAGATGGGGCCTCACTATTTTGCCCAGGCTGGTCTTGAACTGCTGGCCTAAAGTGATCCTTCCACCTTGACCTCCCAAAGTGGGAGGGAGCCACCGGGCCTGACCTCTGTGTTTACTGTCTATGGTTTCTATTTACTTCCACTCAAGATGCTATGCTTCTTTGCCTGTGTGTGTAATTTTTTTTTTTAATGTGAGCTCTTCATTTCTTTAGAACTTCATTGTAGGTGACCTTTGAATCCTGGAATAAAGTTAAATTCCATTAGAGAGGAGTTGACTCCACCTCTGCTAATCTTAAAGCACCCTACTTCCAGTTTATAACATCTTTATATTATTATTATTATTATTACTAGATAGCATGAATTCAGGTCACAAACCTGAGTAAGGACCCCTTTGTAATGACAAGTTCTCAGGTAAGATATTTTTCTTTTCCTACTTTCAACCCTAAGATTGGGACAGGCAAGTTTCAAAGCTGTTTCTCTGGTAGGGTTTAGCTCTTGCTCATTCTTACAGTGACAGTGTACTCCATTAGGGTTCTGCTGTATGCAGAAATCTACCATTAAATCTACCTGTGGACGGGTGCGGTGGCTCATGACTATAATCCCAGCACTTTGGGACACCGAGGCGGGCAGATCACTTGATCTCAGGAGATGGAGACCAGCCTGGGTAACATGGCGAAACCCTGTCTCTACAAAAAATACAAAAAAGTTAGCGAGGCTTGGTGGTGCCTGTAGTCCCAGCTACTTGGGAGGCTGAGGAGGGAGGATCACTTGAGCCCAGCAGGGTGAGGCTGCAGTGAATGTGAATGCACCACTGCACTCCAGCCTGGGTGATAGAGTGAGACCCTGTCTCAAAAAAACAGAAGCAAAACAAAAATTCTCACCTGAGTTCTCCTAGTATGCTCTACAGCTTTCAAAGGAGGAAGCTCAGGTTCTCTAGAGTTTGATAGGAACCTTCAGGAAAAAAAAAAACACCTTTACTGAGTGCTCACCAGCATTCTTAACTTCATGCCATTTGTAGGATCTAAGGAGCCTTATCTTTGTGCCAGACCAGCAATGTGTTTTATTTTTATATATTTATGTATATATTTTTTGAGACAGAGTCTTGCTG
The DNA here is from genome assembly GCF_000001405.40 of Homo sapiens. Classification (NCBI taxonomy): domain Eukaryota; kingdom Metazoa; phylum Chordata; class Mammalia; order Primates; family Hominidae; genus Homo; species Homo sapiens. Next base: position 10,855,995 of record NC_000016.10, on the reverse strand, counting down.
TGTTGCCCATGCTGGAGTGGAGTGGCACAATCTCGGCTCACTGCAACCTCCGACTCCCTGGTTCAAGCAATTCTCCTGCCTTAGCCTCCCGAGTAGCTGGTACTACAGGCATGCGCCATCACACCCAGCTGATTTTTTTGTATTTTTAGCAGTGGTGGGATTTTGCTATGTTGGCCTGGCTGGTCTCAAACTTTTGGCCTCAAGTGATCTGCCTGCTTTGGCCTCCCAAAGTGCTGGGATTACAGGCATGAACCACCATGCCTGGCCCACCAATGTGTTTTAAAATGGTTTTGTTTTTGTCTTTGTTTTGAGACAGAGTCTTCCTCTATTGCCCATGCTTGGGTGCAGTGATGTGATCATAGCTCACTGCAGCCTCCAACTCCTGGGCTCAAGCAATCCTCTCACCCTGGACTCCCAAAGTGGTGGGATTACAGGCATGAGCCCCTGCACCTGGCCTAAAAGGATGTTTTAAAATATTTTATCCAGCAGTTTAGTTGTTTCAGTGGGCAGAGAGAGTCATGAAAGTATCTAATCCTCCACAGTGGCAGAACTAGAAGTCCATTACCTTTAATATATAAATGACGTCAAGATGCATGAAATTTACTACACTATTTTCTCAGTCCTTTTCCTCCTCGAGCCCTCTATTGTCCTCACACTCTAAAAGGCATAATTTCTAGGAGTTGAGATAGCTGCTATAGTTGCCATAGGTCCTTCTGAAACTGTTTATGATAAACATGCATTAAATAAAAGGACTTCTCGGCCCGGCATGGTGGCTCATGCCTGTAATCCCAGCACTTTGGGAGACTGAGGTGGGTGGATCGCCTGAGGTCAGGAGTTCGAGACCAGCCTGGCCAACATGGTGAAACCCAGTCTCTACTAAAAATACGAAAAATTAGTTGGGTGTGGTGGCCTGCACCTGTAAACCCAGCTACTTGGGAGGCTGAGGCAGGAGAATCGCTTTAACCTGGGAAGTGGAGGTTGCAGTGAGCAGAGACTGCACCATTGCACTCTAGCCTGGGTAACAGAGTGAAACTCATCTCAAAAAAGAAACACTTCTCACGTAAAGATAAAGCGAATTAACTATGATGTGGCGATGTGGCTTCTGTCCTTCTACACATGCTCCAAAACAAATCCACTGGCTCTGAACTCAAGACCTGCTCATCTGCCTTTGTTCCCTGAGTCAGTGAATGATATTCCTTCCCGCCCGCTCCCGGGACAGCCAGGCGGGAGACCCGGAATCATCTTCCACCTTTACCATGACCTCCCACACCATGCAATCTGTTCCCAGGTCACTCGGTGATGTGTTCTTGGGATTTCTGGAGTCTCTTGTTCACCTCCATCCTTCATCCTCACCCAGCCTTAATTATCATCTGTAATTTTTGTTTTGTTTTGTTTTGTTTGAGACGAAGTCTCACTCTGTTGCCCAAGCTGGAGTGCAGTGGTGCTGTGTCAGCTCACTGCAGCCTCTGTCTCCTGCATTCAAGAGATTCTCCTGCCTCGGCCTCCCAAGAAGCTGGGATTACAGGTGTGCAGCCACCAAACCCAGCTAATTTTTTTTTTTTTTTTTGAGACGGAGTCTTGCTCTGTCACCTGGGCTGGAGTGCAGTGGTGCGATCTCGGCTCACTGCAACCTCCGCCTCCCGGGTTCACGCCATTCTCCTGCCTCAGCCTCCCGAGTAGCTGGGACTACAGGCGCCTGCCACCACGCCCGGCTCATTGTTTTGTATTTTTTAGTAGAGATGGGGTTTCACTGTGTTAGCCAGGATGGTCTCGATCTCCTGACTTCGTGATCCGCCCGCCTCGGCCTCCCAAAGTGCTGGGATTACAGGCGTGAGCCACTGCGCCCAGCCAATTTTTGTATTTTTAGTAGAGACGGGGTTTCATCGTGTTGTCCAGGCTGGTCTGGAACTCCTGACCTCAGGTGATCTGCCCCCTTCGGCCTCCCAAAGTGCTGGGATTACAGGCATGAGCCACGGCGCCCGGCCTATCATCTGTAATTTAAATTCTCTTCGTCACTTCTCATCTGAACCTGGCTCCCTACATGGTCTAAGCACATGACTTCACAGTTAGTCCTCCCAGCAATCCTATGTGGTAGGTACAATCATCATTCCCATTTTACAGATGAAGAAGCTGAGGCTCATCAAGCTTAAGTGAGGGTCCCAGGCTAGTCAGTGGTGGAGCCTGACTCCACACAGTGGTCTCATCTAGAGTCTCTATCGTAACCACCACTCTTGAAAGTTTGGCTGGGCATGGTGGCTCACACCTGTAATCCCAGCACTTTGGGAGGCCAAGGTGGGCGGATCACTTGAGGTCAGGAGTTCGAGACCAGCCTGGCCAACATGGCGAAACCCTGTCTCTACTGAAAATACAAGAATTAGCTGGGTGTGGTGGGGCGTGCCTGTAGTCCCAGCTACTCAGAAGGCTGAGGTACAAGAATTGCTTGAACCTGGGAGGTGGAGGTTGCAGTGAGCCAAGATCACACCACTGCACTCCAGCCTGGGTGACAGAGCAAGACTCTGTCTCAAATAATAGTAATAGTAATAGTAATAATAATAATAATAATAATATTTGTTTTCCTGCCTTCACCGTCATCCTCCGTGGCAGCTACAGGGATCTTTCTAAACTGCACCACTGGTCATGTCCCTCCTTATCGCAAAACCCTCCAGCAACGCTTCCCACTGCCTTGGATGAAGCGTCAGCTCTTCAGGACGGCTCTTTTCACCCACACAGGCTCATCCCCTATCACAGGAAATTGTTCCTACTTCATTCTATTCACTCTGCCTGCAACCTCACCACAGCCCAAACATGACATCAGAAAGGAAGCCATGTTCTCCTGTCCTTCTCAGACTCTGACACACTATTCTCTAACTGCACAGATTTCTCCTTCATTTTCCCTTGGTGAACTCCTACACATCTTTCAATACCCAGCCCAAATGTTACTTAGTGGAAGGCTTCGCTCACCTTCCTGCAGAACTGGTTATTGTGTCCTTTGCCCTATAATACCTTGGCAGGGGATTTTTTATCTTCAAGGATCATTAGTGCCAGAGAAAGACAGGTAAAAGCAAATCTAGTCAGAATGGGACTAAAACTTCATAGTAAATATTGAGGGGAAAAAGGATTTGATTATTTGATTGAGACTCTACCTTAAAAATGAAACTAAATGAAACTAAAATTTGTAGACATTATTCTGTCTTTAGCTAATGAAATTATAATTGCAAAACTGTACACATTTTTAGAATGAACAGAGTATGAAGCCAGGAGTGATGTATATTTTTTCTTTTAGGCATAATTTTCTGATAAAAAATTTGTTGGAACACATGATATGACCGTTTTCTGCAAGTTTCAGGCCATGATCACACAGAAAGGAAGTCATTTTTGCAAAAACGTTAGAAAGTACCACTAGTTTCCCAACGGGTCTTTCTTTGTCTTTTCATAATGAAATTATCTGTTTTAAGCGCCTGTCCAGTCTTCTTGTCAATTTCCTCTTCCTCAGTTGTTTCTTAGCCTAAGTCTACCAGATGCTTATTTGTTGATATCTTTGTGGGTGCATCATTTACATTGACTTCAGGAAATTCTGTAACTTGGCAAGGATGGCAGCTTCATTTTGCAAATGATTGCATACACTCAGAGACAGACAGACTAAAAGAGGGTGTTGATATGATGGTCAGAGCCAGACTAGGGTTCAAAAAGGAAGGTTCTGCTGGTCTGGAGTCTAGTTAATTCTATTGGACTGATGTCAATTTCCTGGTGCTAGTAATGCAATGTAGTTATGGGAGATGTTCCAGTTGGGAAGAGCTGGGTGAAAGATACACAATACCACTTGACACTCTTTTTGCAAGGTCACTTGAGTCTACAGTTATTTCAAAACAAAAAGTTAAAAATATTATAACAATAACTCACAGTCAAGAAGGGCCTAAGGAAAGGTGGAAATGAAATGCATAAGACCTAAACTTGGAAATTAAACTTACCTAAGACCAGATACTTTATTAAAACATTATTAAAATTTATTATGGATGAAGGGTGGGGGCCAGATAATGAACACTTGGATTTTCACTAAGTCCTTTCATGGAATTATAATTACTTATTTAACTGCCTGTCTTCGCCTCTTGGGACTGTGAGCTTCTTAATAGGTGGGAATGGGTCTTATTGACCTTCATGTTCCCAATGCCCATCATAGGGGCTGGCATTAGATTTAAACCCCTAGTAATGAATGAATGAATGAATGAATGAAGCCTCTGATTTGGTCTTGGCCTAGTTAAACCCTGGGAAAAACAGTGCCTATGGCTTCTCCTGTAATGGTGGCTATTGTTTGGGTTTCCATGGTAACAACAGTTGCTACAGGTTATGGAAACCCTGCTGGAAGGATTTACCTGCTATGATTCTGCCTTCTCTAAGCAGATGGTGTTTGTCCACCTACCTCTCCTACCCCCTGAATCAGCGAGGAGGGCTTGGGGAATTTCAGGAGTGGTATGTTTGGGAAAACGCAGTTTTGGGTGAAATCACCTCCATGGGCACCTGGAAAGTGACCTGTAGATAAGAATCAATTCTTCCTGTAGAGGCTGGATGCGGTGGCTCCTGCCTGTAATCCCAGCCCTTTGGGAGGCCGGGGCAGATCACCTGAGGTCAGGAGTTCGAGACCAGGCTGGCCAACATGGTGAAACCCTGTCTCTACTAAAAATACAAAAAGTTAGCTGGGCATGGTGGCACACGCCTGTAATCCCAGCTACTTGGGAGGCTGAGGTAGGAGAATTGCTTGAACCCAGGAGGCAGAGGTTGCAGTGAGCCGAGATCATGCCCTTGCACTCCAGCCTGGGCAACAGAGAGAGACTCTGTCTCAGAAAAAAAAAAAAGAATAAACTCTTCCCCATGCTGCTCAGCCTCAGATTCTAGGAGGGGGTTTCAGAGTTGGCTTTGTTCCCCTGGAAAAGAACAACTCCATCTTCAAAGTGAGAATATTATTCCCTACACTGTCCTTTCCTCGTTTCTTCTCCCTGAAACTTATAAGAAATAAATCCAGCTGTCCATACATAGTCTCTCTTTCTAGAGGCAATCTATGGAAATCTTTAAATATCATTCTGTAATTATGCTGTTATGCAACTTGACTCTCAAATGTTTCGTGTAATGTATTTTGGACCCCTTTCTATGTCAGTGCATGCAAATCTGCTTCATTCCTTTATTTGTTTTGTGTATTTACTTGCTTCATTCCTTTTAATGGCTCTACAATATTGTACAAAATGAATATATCATTGCTTATTTAACCAAGTCCTTTTAATGGTGGACGTTGACATTGATCTGGTTTGTTACAAACAATGTTGCAATAGTCATGTACATTTGACTTCCTAGCTGTTGACATCTATTGCCAACTTGCCCACTGCTATGGTTCGGATATGGTGTGTTTGTCTTCACCAGAACTCATGTTGAAATTTGACCTCCAATGTGGCGTTGTTGGGAGGTGGGGCCTAGTGGGAGGTGTTTGGGTCATGGGGATGGATCCCCCACGAATGGCTTGGTGCTAGTAATGCAGTAATGAGTGGGCTCTGCTTGACTGGATTAATTCTCATGGGAATGGATTAGTTCCTTTGAGAGTGGGTTGTTATAAAGCCAGGACACCTTTGGGTTTTGCCTCTTTGCATGTGTCTGTTTCCCATTTGACCTTCTCTGCCATGATATGATGCAGCATAAAAACTCTTGCCAGAAGCTAGTGTTGTGCCCTTGAACGTCCCAGCCTGCAGAACCACAAGCTAAATAAACTTCTTTTCTTTGTAAATTTCCCAATCTCGGGTATTCTGTTAGAGTAGCACAAAACGGGCTAACACATCCACCCAAAAGGTTGTACCTGCTTTCACACTCCCAGCTATAGCATGTGACCATGAAGCCAAATCTCTTGAAACAAAAAGAAATCGCATTAGCCATGAGGATGATGATTAGCGTGCAAAGGAAGAATGAACCTCACTTTACAGGGAGCTTTCTTAGCTATTTTTTGTTTTACTTTCAGCCTCCTAGCAACCTTGCAGGGATGAGGAGAATGATGAGTGATATGGCTATTATAATCACTACTCATTTTGCAAATATTTGGTGTCAAGTCCATGCAGGATACCATGTAGAGGGTAGGCCAGGGTGCTAGAGACGGCCAACAGGAGAAGGCACCTCTCTGGGGGATTAGGTTCCTGCACATCCTCCTCCAGCCCAGCTCCAGTTTTTTGCTACCTTTAGAGCCAGACTCCTTGAAAGCATTATCTATACTCCTCTGTCTCGGATTCTTCTCTTTTCTCTTTTTTTCTTTCTTTCTTTCCTTCCTTTTTTTTTTTTTTTTTTTTCTGAAACAGTGTCTTTTTCTGTTGCCCGGGCTGGAGTACACTGGCACAATCATGGCTCACTGCAACCTTGACCTCCCACGTTCAAGCAGTCTCACTTCAGTCTCCCACGTAACTGGGACCACAGGTATGTGCCACCATGCCTGGCTAATTTATTTTTATTTTTTAGCCATAAGGTCTCACTGGAGACCTAAATAAATAGGGAGACCTTATCTCTAAAAAATAAAAATAAATTAGCCAGGCACAGTGGCACACATCTAATTATTTAGGTCTCCCTATTTAGAGGTAAGGTCTTGCCTGGCTAATTTATTTTTATTTTTTAGAGATAAGGTCTCCCTATGTTGCTCAGGCTGGTCTTAAACTCCTGGGCTGAAGTGATCCTTCTGCCTCAGCCTCTCAAAATGCTGGGATTACAGGCATGAGCCACTGTGCTTAGTCCCATTCTGTTAAACCTCCTCCAATCAGGCTTTTACTCCTGCCTCTCTCCCAAATAGCTCTCGTCAAGGTTGCTGTTGCCACATCTAACATGAAAAACCATCAGCATTTGCCATGGTCTACCACTCGCTGCTTGAAATGTTTTTCCAATTTGGGGTTGCTTCTCCTCCTGTATTTCCCCCTCATCACCTCCACTTCTCAAATTAGAGCACACCAAAGCTCTATTCTCAACCTCTTCTCTCTCTTTTTTTTTGAGCTGGATTTTCGCTCTTGTTGCCCAGGCTGGAGTACAATGGCACGATCTCAGCTCACTGCAACCTCCGCCTCCTGGATTCAAGCGATTCTCCTGCCGCAGCCTCCTGAGTAGCTGGGATTACAGGCATGTGCCACCACGCCCAGCTAATTTTGTATTTTTAGTACAGATGGGGTTTCTCCATGTTGGTTACGCTGGTCTGCAGTGGCCCAATTTCAAGCAAATGAGTATTTCGAGCAAACTGTGTCTCCTGGGTTCAAGCGATTCTCCTGTGTCAGCCTCCCGAGTAGCTGGGCTTACAGGCATGTGCCACCACACCTGGCTAATTTTTGTATCTTTAGTAGAAATGGGGTTTCACCGTGTTGGCCAGGCTGGTCTCAAACTCCTGTGCTCAAGCGATCCTCTCACCTCGGCCTCCCAAAGTGCTGGGATTACAGGCATGAGCCACTGCACCCAGGCTTCTTTTCTCTTTTCTAGCCACATTCACTTCTTGGGCAATCCATCCAGCCCCACGTCTTTAAATACCATCTGTATGCCCTTGACTTACACACGCCAGTCACCGTTCTAGACCTCCTCCAGGAACTCAATAATCCTAATCCACTTCACAACGCAACTTTACATCTGCTTCTTCCGGGAAGGCTTCTCAGATTAATCCACCCACTGCTCACCAGTTTTGTATTCTCCTTGTCCCCAGCATTTGCAGTTGCTGACAACGTTGAAGCTTCACTGGAAGCTTGACATCTTGCAAGAGTTTTCACAGATCAAATAGCACATATTGGGGAGCCTCTCAAAAATTGCGTTACCTTGGGCAAGTTAGTTGACTTCTCTGAGCCCATATCTGTGAAATGGAAGTAGAAATAAACTCCTACTTCTTAGGGTTTCTGTGGCACCCAAAGGAGACATGGTCTATGAAACACCAGTGCCCAGTACACAGTAAGTGTCCACTACATATTAGTATTTATTACTATATATTTTTTTTGAGGCAGAGTCTCACTGTGTCGCCCAGGCTGGAGTACAGTAGTGTGATCTCCCCTTACTGCAGCCTCCGCCTCCTGGGCTCAAGTGATCCTCCCACCTCAGCCTCCCAAGTAGCTGGGACTACAGGCACATGCCACCATACCTGGAAAATTTTTGCATTTTTGGTACATATGAGGTCTTGCTATGTTGTCTGGTCTGGTCTTAAGCCCCTGGGCTCAAGGGATTCACCCGCCTCAGCCTCCCAAAATGCTGGGATTACAGGTGAGAGCCACTGCACCTGGCCAATTTATTACTATTATTATCTGGAAATGACCTGGCAAGGTAGACGTTTTGATCTCCATCTTACTATGACGAGCCCAAAGCGCACAAGACTAGAACAATTTGTGCAGCTCACAGTAGCCAGCAGGAAATCAAGCCACATTTCCTCCCTTTCTGTTTTACTTCCCCACATCTTTTAGAGATTCCTTTTCTAATATTCCACTTTACAGCCAATGGCATTGATCTTACATGTGAATTTTGAATCATTCTCCGATTTCTGGTTTCACCCCACAACAATGACAATACTCTGCTTCCCAGGCCTTTGTGACTTTTGCAAGCATGCTCATGTAGGATTTCACACTTGAATCACCCAGTAATCCTGCAATATGGGGAAGGCACATCCCACAACGTGGGCAGGCACATCCTCATTTTGCAGACAGGAAAACTGAGAATCAGAGTGGCAAAGTCACTTGTTCATGATCTCACAGCACAAAATGGCAAAAACCATTGTTAGAATTCAAGGGCTAAGCCAGGGTTCACCTTCCAGCCTACCACAAACTCATATGCCTTCTCTTTCCCCCTCTCTCCTACCACCAAAAGATTCTGCATTCAGCAGACACTCAATGAATGCTTATAGGGAGCTGCCCCCTCCAGAGAGGGTAACAGTGTGCACCATGATCATCTGCAGACCCCAAGGAAGACCCAAGAAAGGCGAGTGGGTTGAGCGGCTGCCTTAGGCTGACCCAGCTCCCGAAATTGTGTCCCCAGCTCAAGGATCACCTAGGGGATCATTCTAAGTATTCAAAGTACTTGGGTAGAAAGTATTTCAAAAACAAGTTGGTTGTTTATTCATGGAACTTCCTCCCAAGACAGAGAAACCACAGGGGTAAGTTCTCTTTTCCAAGTAAGTACATTAATCTGCTTCTCCAAATTTGAACTGTGCAGGGGACAGATTCCCCGAACTCCTGCAAAGCCAGATTCCGCCCATGCGGGAACCAACTTCAACCAATGTCCACCATTCTTCAATCAACGAACGTGTTGCTAAGAGCCTACAAACTGCCATTCTCTGTGTGTGTGTGTGTGTGTGAGTGGTGGGGTGGGAGGGTGGACAAGAGTGGTTGGCATGCAAAATGAAGTATTTTTATTTATTTATTTATTCGGAACAGGGCCTCACTCTGTCAACTAGGCTGGAGTGCAGTGGCATGATTATAGCTCACCACAGTCTTGAACTCCTGGGCTCGATCGATCCTGCCGCTTCCTGAGTAGCTGGGACTACAGGCATGTACCACCACACCCAGCTAATTTTTAAAAAAATTTTCGTAGAGATAGGGTCTTGCTATGTTGCCCAGGCTCAACATGAATTATTCTTAATGTGAAGGGAAATGTCTTCACAGAAGGTGTTAGGGGCTGAATTGAGTCCCCCACCCCTATTCATATGGTGAAGTCCTAAAACCTAGCGCCTCAGAATGTGACTGTAATTGGAGACCAACTCTTCAACAAGGACATCGGGTTAAAATGAAGTCATTAGGGGCCAGGCGCGGTAGCTCATGCCTGTTATCCCAGCACTTTGGGAGGCCGACGCAGGCAGATCATGAGGTCAAGAGACAGAGTCCATCCTGGCCACATGGTAAAACCCCGTTTCTACTAAAAATACAAAAATTAGCCGGGTGTGGTGGCAGGCGTCTGTAGTCCCAGCTACTCGGGAGGCTGAGGCAGGAGAATCTCTTCAATCGGGGAGGCGGAGGTTGCGGTGAGGTGAGATCACGCCACTGTACTTCAGCGTGGGCAACAGAGTGAGACTCTGTCTCAAAAGAAGTAAAATAAAGATGGAGGTCATGCTATGTTGCCCAGGCTAGTCTTGAACTCCTGGCCTCAAGTGATCCTCCCGCTTCAGCCTTCCAAACTCTTGGATTACAGGCATGAGCCGCTGCGCCCAGCCAGAAAATAAACCTTTTTATTGCCGAAGCCACCCAGTCCATGGTTCTTTAATATGGCAGGCTGAGCAGACTGATGCAAAGGGAACGTCCTTTTACATCACGGATTGTGTCCATTGTTGGACACAATTTCCACTCCTCCTTATCGCCTTGCACATGCCTGCTTTACTCATCAACATTGCCTCAATTCTCTTGACGGTGTGTGAGTTTATACCTACTAAAAGGCTACTTGTGGAAAGGCTAAGAACTAATTTCCATCTTCCACCCCACCTGACTGCCAAACCTGTTATCATCAGGGTGCCTTCCCATCCATTCATTGGAACAAGATATTGAAAGAACCACCATTCATCTACCGCTCCGTATTCTTCCGTTCCAGGAAAATTTCTGGCTTTATTTCTTTGATGCCTTCTTCTCTTCTGCCTTCTCACTTCTCTTTTTAGAGAATCCCTAAACTCTTTTAGTCAGTTGTCTGGATACTCATTCATAGAGGCCTCACCTGTCTTCCGTACCGACCCAGCCTTCTGTTGCCCTGTATAGAAAGCAGAATGATGGGAAAAGATGGAGGCAGGTAGAATGCAGTGAGTTAAATTGTGTCCCTAAAAAATATATGTCCGTGGCCAGGTACAGTGGCTCATGCCTGTAATCCCAGCACTTTGGGAGGCTGAGGGGGCAGATCACTTGAGGTTAGGAGTTCCAGACCAGCCTGGCCAACATGGTGAAACCCCGTCTCTACTAAAATACAAAATTACAAAATGCAAAAATACTGAAATACAAAAGTACAAAAATTAACTGGACACGGTAGTGCAAGCCTGTAATCCCAGCTACTGAGGCTGAGGCAGAAGAATCGCTTGAACCTGGGAGGCAGAGGTTGCAGTAAGCTGAGATGGCACCACTGCACTCCAGCCTGGAAGACAGAGCGAGACTCCATCTCCAAAAAAGGAAAGAACAAAAGAAAAGAAAAGAAAAGAAAGGAAAGGAAAGGAAAGGAAAGAAAAGAAAAGAAAAGAAAAGAAAAGAAAAGAAAAGAAAAGAAAAGAAAAAATGTCCGTGGCCAGGTACAGTGGCTCACACCTGTAATCCCAGCACTTTGAAAGGCGGAGGTGGGAGGATGGCTTGAGCCCAGGAGTTCAAGACCCACCTGGGCAACATAAAGAGCCCTCATTTCTACCTTAAAAAAAAAAAATGTTCAAGTCCTAACTCTCCATACATGAGCAAACTTAATTCGAAATAGGATCTTTGCAGATTTCATTAAGAATCTCAAGATGAGATCATCCTTGATATAGGTTTGACACAGGTCAAAATCCAAAGACTTGTGTCCCTATAAAGAAAGTAGAGGGAGATTTGAGACACAGGAGAGAGAGGAGAAGGCCAGGTGAAGATGGAAGCAGGGACGCCCAGGGGTGGTGGCTCACACCTGCAGCCCCAGCACTTTGGGAGGCCGAGGTGAGAGGATGGCTTGAGTCCAGGAGTTCCATACCAGCCTGGGCAACACAGAGAGACCTTGTCTCTACAAAAAAAGTTCTAAAAATTAGCAGACATGGTGGTCTGCGTCTGTAGTCCCAGCTACTCTGGTGGCTGCGGATCACTTGAGCCTGAGAGGTGGAGGCTGCAGTGGGCTATGATCATGCCACTACACTTCAGCATGGGTGACAGAGAGACCCTGTTTCAAAAAAAATAACAAGTCTCCAGCATTTTATTTTGGGGAAATTGGGTTTGGTTCATGCTGGTCCCTCTTCCCTGTTGCAATGGTTTTACTGAATGAAATCTTCTTCAGTGCATTAGCTAGTGGTGGGCTCTGTTTATCTTTGATGGGCAGAGCCAGAGGTATAAAAACAGTGTGCTCATTCTCCTCCACCTTCCAATCTCCTGTCTGGGCCCCGCATTGGCCAATGGGAGCCTGTGGGTGGTGGGCACCACAGCTGCCTGCTGATTGGGGCTCTTATGGTCAGCATCTGTGCAGACGGCAGGTGGGGAAGGGAAGAGAAGGGAGGGGAATCCCTCTGGAGGCAACAGAAGCTAGCCAGCACACCCTGCTTCCTGGGCGCTTCTCGTGGCATCAGCAACAGTCTTATCATGACTGTCCCTTAAAACATTCCAAGGCTGGGTGCGATGGCTGATGCCTATAATCCCAGCACTTTAGGAGGCTGAGGTGCGTGGATCACTTGAGCCCAGGAGTTTGAGACCACCCTGGGAAACTTGGCAAAATCCCATCTCTACAAAAAATACAAAAATTAGCCGGATGTGGTGGTGTACACCGTAGTCCCAGCTACTCGCGGGACTGAGAAGTGGAAGGATCGCTTGAGCCCAGGAGGTCAAGGCTGCAGTGAGCCAAGATTGCACCACTGCACTCCAGCCTGGGTGACACAGCAAGACCCTGTGTCCAAATTAAAAAAAAAAATTCGAAAATGTCTCACTTCTTCTGGGCAATGTGCTCTGAACTTCCAGCTTTGGTCTCAGGACACACCTAAGACACAGCGGCTCTCCAGGTGGGTTCTGATGTCAGATAAAGACATGCATGACCCTGCCTGTTGGGTCACACGGCTGGCAGGATGGCTCTGAAGGCCTCATGTGTGTCTGGCCTGTGCTTAAATCCCAGCCAAGGGAAGCAGCCGCCCAGTCCCAAGGCCTGGCTTTCGGTTTCAGGCTGCCTGTGGTCACACCAAACTCAAGGACTCTAGAAAATATTGTCCTGGTTCTGCAGCCTCTGGAAACCCCCTAAAACTCCCAGCAGGTGGGAAGGTGCAAGGGGCTGTGAGGAGGAAGCCTCAAAGGCCCCAGTCCCCACGCCTCGCTGGGGTGCCTCTCTCCTTCTAGGATCTGGGAGTAAGGTTTCTCTTCTGACATCCTCAGCCTGGCCCTCCTGCCAGCCTCCACCCCTCACCAGGAAAGGAGAATACTCATTTATTATATTTTATTTATTTATTTATTATATTTATATATTTATTATATTATTTATTTTTACAGACAGCATCTCACTTTGTCACCCAGGCTGGAGTGTAGTGACATAATCACAGCTCACTATAGCCTCGAACTCCTGGGCTCAAATGAGCCTCCTGTCTCAGCCTCCCAAGTAGCTGGGACTATAGACATGCACCACCAAGCTCAGCTAATTTTTTAATTTTTTTTAGAGACGAGGTCTCACTCTGTTGCCCAGGCTGGTTTCAAACTCATGGGCTCAAGCAATCTTCCCACTTTGGCCTCTCAACATGCTGGGATTACAGGTGTGAGGCACCATGCCTAAACTGGAGAATATTTAAAATCCAGAAAGGAAACAAAAACTGTGCTATTAGGAGGCAGGACAATGGTTCCTCTGGCAGGGGAGTGGCTGGAAGCGACTGACCCCCACAGGGGCTTCTGGGGGCTGCAAACATCCTGTTTCTTGGTCTGGATGCTGGATCTCCGGGAGTGTTCAGTTTCTGAAAATGCATTAAGTTGTACATTTATGATTTTGCACTTTATATATGTTATGCTATTGTTTAAAAAATATATATATTTTTTGATAGAGTGAAGCTTTGGAAAATAGCCTGCCAGTTTCTCAAAAGTTACAAAGGGAGCTGGGCATGGTGACTTACACCTGTAATCTCAATGCTTTGGGAGGCTGAGGCAGGAGGATCACTTGAGACCAGGAGTTGGAGATCAGCCTGGGCAACATAATGAGACCCCCATCTCTACAAATATAAAATTAGCTGAGCATGGTAGCGCACTCCTGCAGTCCCAGCTACTCAGGAGGCTGAGGCAGGAGCCCAGGAGTTGGAGGCTGCAGTGAGCTGTGATCCCACCGCTGTACTCTAGCCTGGGCCACAAAGTGAGACCCTCTCTCTCTAAAAAGAAAAAGTAAAAAAGAAAGGTGTTCTAAAATTGACTGTGGTGAAGCTTGGACAACTTTGTTTGTATACTAAAAGCCAATGGCTGGGCACAGTGGCTCACACCTGTAATCCCAGCACTTTGGGAGGCTGAGGTGAAATGATGACTTGAGCCCAGGAGTTCGAGACCAGTCTGGGCAACACAGGGAGACCTCATCGCTATAAACAAATTCGAAAAGTTAGCAGACATGGTGGTCCAGCTACTCGGAGGCGAGGTGGGAGAACTGCTTGAACCCAGGAGGCGGAGGTCGTGCTGCTGCACTCCAGCCTGGGTGATAGAGTGAGACTGTCTCCAAAAAAAGAAAGAAAAGAAAAAAAGCCATTGAATTGTACACTCTTAATGGATGAGTTGTATGGTATGGGAATTATACCTCAATAAAACTGTTATAAGAAATTCAGCAGGGCATAGAAAGGAAACATAGTGAGTTTTTGGCCAACGTCAGCACCATCACCTCAGATTATTCCACCACATCGTCTGCTACATACTTGACTAGCCTGGACTCCAGTAGACTGAGCCCTGAGGTGCAGTCGTGGCAGAGAGCAAGGGGGACGAGGCAGACGACGAGAAAAGCGAACTGATCCTTGAAGGGCGGCCTGTGGAAACCGACAGCGGGAACGAGTTTCCCATTTTCCCCACAGCTTTGACTTCGGAGAGGCTTTTCCGAGGAAAACTGCAAAAAGTGACTAAGAGCAGCCGGAGAAATTCTGAATGAAGTGAAGTAAGTTGCACCGAGGGAAGTTTAACATCAAGTTTAGATAGCCGGAGACAGCTCTTCAGTTCCCATAAACTCATCACATGTGATATTCTCTCCAGGAAAAAATCAGCGAGATTCAAGTCAGACAGTGGAAGTCTAGGAGATGCCAAGAACGAGAAAGAAACACCTTCATTAACTAAAGTGTTTGATGTTATGAAAAAAGGAAAGTCAACTGTGAGTTTACTGACACCCACCAGAGGTGGATCCGAAAAACAGGAATCCACATGGAAAACGAAAAAAGCAGATCAGCTAAAACTGAGACCCAGAGCCCCTGCGGATGACGTGTTTGGAGTAGGGAATCACAAAGCGAATGCCGCGACTGCTAAAAGGAAAAGCACCCGGCGCAGACATACGCTAGGAGGGCACAGAGATGCTACTGAAATCAGCGTTTGGAATTTTTGGAAAGCGCATGAGCGGAGTTGGGAGAGAGAATCTGAACTTTCAGCTGTAAGCCGGTTAAAACCAAAATGCTCAGCCCAGGACGTTTCCATCTCAGACTGGCTGGCCAGGAATTGCCTACACACTAGTACCTCTGACCTTAGCAGCGGAGAAAGCGGAGATCCCCAGGCAGAGAACCCAAGGACACGAGAAATAGCCACGACCGACACACCTTTGGCTTGTCAGTACGACACAGGCAGTTCTTCCAGCACCTTGGCTTCAACAAACAGGCCCCTTCTTTCCATACCACCGCAGTCACCTGACCAAATAAACGGAGAAAGCTTCCAGAACGTGAGCAAAAATGCTAGTTCTGCAGCGAATGCCCAACCTCATAAACTGTCTGAAACCTCAGGCAATAAATCACAATTTCATCCCTGTCTTTAAACTGGGGGTATGTCTACTCTAGCAAGTAAAAAGCTACTGTTACACATTCCAGCAACTCTGTCAATATTTTCTTGTACCAGAATTGTTATTATGCAGCCTTCATTTGGGCTGGTTTCATCATTTTGCACTGTAAAATAGCTTTACAGTGCATTGCTACAGCCAGAAGAACATATATATATATATTTAAAAATATATCGGATAGTCATATACAAATGAGCGAGGCATTTGTTGCAACTTACTACATAGCATATACCCCAAGTCACTGAAGAAAATCGCCGGCATTAGTGTGCAGCAAATTTGTTCTTTTGGTTTCATCACAAACAGAAGTGCCTCATCATAAAAATACATTTGGTTTTCAAGGTGCCCTATTGTTAAAATTAGATAACTTACGTTGAATAAATGAATGTGTTTTATCGGTAACAAATTTCATTACATTTACCAGTTTTAACACAGGTGGATACAGAACTTCAATTCTTTAGTCATTCCAGGTGGATCTGAGTTTTATATTCAAACTTTTGATACAGTTTTTGAGTTTTGCGTGACTTGAATTTTTAATCTTTCTGCAAAATACATAACTTAAATGAACATATTAAATGTGTATCTTTTCTGCAGATACCAGATTTGATAGAAATGTTGTAACATAGGTGTGTAGATAGTGGATCCTGGATGGAACGGGCTTCTTTATCAAGAAGAATATAATTCTGCATAAGGACTTAATGAATCCAAACCTGTGTCAAGCCTGTGTGCATACCCAATTAAACACGAAATAAAAATCATTTTGGTGAAAAAAAAACAAAAAAAAAAAAAAAGAAAGAAAGAAATTCAGCAGGGCATTAGCATTAGAAAGAATACCAGACCAAGCCGAATGAATGCCGGACAGATGGCCCCACCCACAGGGCTGCACCGTTGCCTACCAGCTGGGCTCCAGCCACCGGACAAACATAGACAGTCTGTTGGCTTCCCAGGCTCAGGAATACTCCAGATCATAACCTGGTGCAGAGAATCTTGAAGGCAGGAAGTACAGGCAAGATACAATGCAATCCTTGGGTTCCCTAGAAACAGATCCTGAGATAAGGATGCGGGTGGGAATAGTTTATTTGGGGAGGGATCCAGGAAGGAAACGAAGTCAGAATAGGTGATGAGCAACTGAGGCTCAATTCCACTTTGGGGCGAGGGAGATGGGGCATTTACCCTCCACCCAGACCATCACTACGGGGGGCTGCTCCTGGGGCATTCACTGCCTCCTTCTCACCCTGGCCCCGGTGGATGGAGCCCACAGGTGCAGAGCCACAGCTTGCCTGGGACATTGGGCATGTGCTGGATTTTCGAGTGCCAAGGAATTGGGCAGGGCAGCTCCAAATCCACCTTGCCTGAGCAGCTCTCAGGTGCTGTGAAACCCTGGGTAAGTCCTGGCCCCCACAGGCCTCAGTTTTCCCTATCTGGAAAGTGAAGGTGATGAGAGCAGTGTTCTCAATGGGGCATTTGGCCATGTCTGGAGACATTCTGCATTGTTACAACAGGGAGGGAAGGTGTGTCTGGTATCTAGTGGGTGGAGACCACAGATGCTGAATCCTACAGTGCACAGGACAGAATTTCACAACATAGAGTTATCCAACCCAAAATGTCAGCAGTGCCTCAGCTGAGAAACCTGGGCTAGGATCCACCCACCGCAGCCTCCCAAAGTGCTGGGATTACAGGTGTGAGATACCGCGCTCGGCCGAGAAATTCTAAGAATGATTTTCAACTTGAACATGCCAAGCTCTGAGTATATCCCAGGGAAGGCTTATGCCAACCTCATGCCAGTCAGGGGCCACTGCTCCTGTACCACTGAGGGCCCCAGGCTGCCCCTCAGAAGCAGACGAGCCTGGGCTCCCTGGCTCCAAATCTGCTGTAAGCCTCTCCTGGTTCTCCTGTACAATACTGGGATACCCCTCATGAGCTCTGGGACCAGAAGCCAGGACCATCCTAAAGGCCTGGAGACGGCCCTATAAGTCCTCAGTCCTCAACCCAAACCCTCAGATTTTTAAAAATAGATTCTACTTTTTAGAGCAGTTTTAGGTTCACAGCAAAACTGAACAGAAGATAGAGGTTTCCCTTGTCCGCCCTCCCCCAAAACAGGCACAGCTTGTCCCATTCTCAACATCCCTCTCCAGAGTGGAACATTTGTTACAACTGATGAATCTATATTGACACATCATCACCCCAAGTCCATGGTTTACATTAGGGTGGATGAATGTGCTCGAGGTACATTCTGTGAGGCTGGGCCAATGGGTAATGACATGAATCCACCATTACTGTGCCATACAGAGTTTGCCCTGCTCTAAAAATCCCCTGTGCTCCACCCGTTTATTCCTGTCTCCCCTCAACCCCTGGCAACCACTGATCTTTTTGCTGTCTCCATAGATTTTCCAGAATGTCATAGAGTTGGAATCATACAGAGAATAGCCTTTTCAGATTGGCTTCTTTCACTTACTAACATGCATGTAAGTTTCCTCCATGTATTTTTGTGGCTTGATAGCTCATTTCTTTTTAGCAGTGAATAATATTCCATTGTCTGGATGTACCTCGGTTTTTATCCATTCACCTGCCGAGGGACATCTTGGTTGCTTCCAAGTTCCGACAATCATGCATAAAGCTGCTATAAACATCCATGTGTAGTTTTTTGTGTAGACATGAGTTTCTAGCTCATGTGGGTAAATGCCAATGGGCCTGATTCCTGGGTTGCATGGTAGGAGTATGTTTATTTTGTTAAAAACTGCCAAGCTGTCTTCCAGAGTGGCTTCACCATTATTGCATCCCCACCAACAGTGAATGAGAATTCCTGTTGCTCCAAAGGGGGGAGGTACTACGCACTTTTAAACAAACAGATCTTGCAATAACTCACTCACTCACTATCAGAAGGACAGCACGCAGGGGATGCTGTTCATGAGCACCCATTCACGAGAAACTGCCCCCCTGATCCAATCACCTCCCACCAAGCCCCACCTCCAACATTGGGGATTACAGTTCAACATGAAATTTGGGTGGGACACAAATCCAAATCATATCACAGCTGGACTTAAGTCCTAGCTCTGCCACTTACCAGTGGGACCTTGGTCAAGTTGCTTAATCTCTCTGGGCCCTGGGAGAAGCAGCACAGTGCAAAGTAGCACTTGTGTTTTGGAGTGTCTGCCCATGTAGCTCTTACACTGGGGCACCTATGGAAACTGCCATTTTTTATGCTTAGTATCTTAATACTGAAGTCCCTTTGTCTTGGTCCATTTCATGTTGCTATAAAGGAATAACTGATGCTGGGTAATTTACAAAGAAAAGAGGTTTATTTGGCTCATGATTCTGCTGGCTGGAAGTTCAAGACTGGGCATCCAGTGAGGGCCTCAGACTGCTTCCACTTGTGGTGGGAGGTGAAGAGAAGTCCACGTGTGCAGAGATCACATGGACAGAGAAGAAGCAAGAGTAGGGGCAGGTGCCAGGCTCTTTTTAACAACCAGCTCTCTTGGAAACTAATAGAACAAGAACTCACCCCATGGGAGGGAGAGATCCATCCCCATGCCCCATGCCCTAAACACCTCCCATTTGGCCCCACCTCCAACATTGGGGATCAAATTTCAACATGAGGTTTGTAGGGAACAAATATCCAAGCCATAGCACCCTTTTCCCACTGGCAGTCCTGAGAGCCTCTCTTCATGCTTAGTTTCTACTCCTCTGTACCCTGGGTAAGTGCTTATCTCTTTAGGGGGCTTCCCCATGCATGAGTCATGGAGCCAGTGTCTTAAGCCAAAAGATCTCAAACACGACACCACAGTGGACAAATATCCATCTACCCATTTTTTGCATGATTCAAAATAAGGTAAGATATAGGTATGGCTGCTGTGACAAAGGCCAGGCAGAGACAAATGTATTTCTTTCTTGGGTAACAGTCCAAGTATCAACTATTCAGAACAGATAAGGGGGCTCTATAGGGCAGGGTCTCAGCTTCCCTCTCTTTCTTGGTTTCCCAATCTTTATTCATGGCTCCCACCTCATGATTCAACATGGCTGCTCCAGCTCCTACCATCACAACTGCATTCTATCAGAGGGAAAATATAATCCCAAAGTGGCACAACTTACTTTATTAGCTTTACTTTACATTACCATACTCCTTGCAGGGGAGGCCAAGAAGGGTGATCTTTAGCTGATAGGACCATGAGCCAGCCAAAAATCCTCATCTGATGTAAGAAGATATTAGGGTCAGCTGGTAGTTTTGCCCTACATAACAGAACAGATAAAAGTTTAATTTTATTCATGTGGTTGGATGAATACTCAGACCAAGGGGTGTGAGGAAAAGGCCCCCAAATCCCCAACAGAGTAATGGGCAAGAGGCTGGAGTGAGACAGAAGCCTGTTTGGAAAAGCTGTCAATGTTTTCTTTTGTTCAGTCAACAAACAGGCATTGAGCATCTCCACTGTGTCTGACACTATAGCAGACACTGGGTGTGTGCAGTGAGGAAAGTGGGTGAAAAAGCTAGGTCGTTCCCAGCTGACATGGTGATCAATTTCTTGCATGCCTTTAGTATCGTGCCTCTGTTTACTGAGCACCTAATATGTGCCAGGCCTGGGTAGGGGATAATGAAGCGGAAACAAATCCAGCCTGACCCCAAAAGACTCTCACAATGAATAGGCACTGCCCACAAGCCACATGGGAAAGCCCAGCTCCCTCTGTTAGAATCACACCTGCCTAGGTTGGGGTGGGGGTGAGGAAAGGAGGAAGGATGGCCTGATCTTCATCAGCATCAGTTGCCTGAGCCGTGGTTCCAATCTCACCCCATGCTGTCCGTCTGTGGCCCTTTCCCCTCCTCTGATGTTCAAGGTCTAGAGCAGGATTCATGGCCCTCTCCACAAGGCAGTGGGGATCTCAAGAGACTTGGACCTCTAGAAGTGGCCAGGGCAGCGGTGTGGCTGGCTGGTCTGTTATCCAGGTGGCATGGGGAACACGTAGAGTGACCCACTCATCCTGGTTTGCTTGGACTATCTCAGTTTTAGCACTGCAGAGCCTGCCTCCTGAGAATCCCCTTGGTCTGGGGAAACTAGGAGAGTTGGCCACCCTAGAACCTTGGATTCTGTCTGGGTCCTCCCCTACTCCCCAAATTCTAAACCAGTGGTTCTCCACCCTGGCTGCACATTGGCACCTCCTGGGCAGTTTTTTAAGAACGCTGCTGCCTGGGTCCCCCTGCCAGACGAATTCATTCAGAGTTCAGGGTTGAGGCTGGGTGTAGATCTTATAAAAACAAAAACAAAAACAAAAAAATCTCCCAGGGACCAGGGTGTGAGCCCCTCCTTGGGGATGGGGCTGAGTCAGGAGATGGTTGAAGGTAGATTTTTGTTTTCTAGCTCCAGTGAGAGCTGAGGAAGAGGGGAGAAGGAGCACTGGATTGGGGTTCATTGACTTATTCCATCACCCACTCATTCATTCATTCATTCATTCATTCATTCATCAATTATGTACAGGGGACCTGCTATCAGTCAGGAGCTGTCCTGGGGCTGGGGACATGGACTGGGGGAAGAGGGTGATCATGAACCTGTTTTCAAGAAGCTTACATTCGAGTTGGGGAAACACATAGTCAACAAGCAAGTCACCTGGATACTTCCAGATGAAGATGGGAAGGAACTTGATGGAGTGATGTGTTGGATGATTGGGGGTACATCAGCTCCTGAAAGTCAATGGTTGGGTGCAGCATCTGGGGGCTTCACCACTCCAGACCTTTGGCCTTGACTGTTGGGTCTTGAGGCTTCTAGAAGACAGAGACAGCCCCCAGGCAGAGTCCCAGGTGTTTGCCAGAGAGTGAGTGTCATAAGGTCCTAGTGTGGCACCAACCGTGGCTCCTCCAGAAAGTGACCTCTGAGCTGCCACCTGAAGGACATGGAAGAGCTGGCCGTGTGATGAGCATGCCAGGGCATGTGGAGGGCATGCCAGGCAAGGGTGATGGCGAGGGCATAGTCCCCAAAGCGTGTGGAGAGTGTTCCAGGTAAGGGAGATGGCAAGGGCATAGTCACCAAGGCGTGTGGAGGGTGTGCCAGGCAAGGGAGACGGCGAGGGCATAGTCCCCAAGTCAACTTTGGTGCATTCCAAGAGCAGCTACCAAGGACGGTGGGTGGTGTGGCCCGGGCTGGAGAGGAAGATAGAGTGGCAGGGGCTGAGAGTGGGGGAGAAGTCGCCAGGGCCAGGCCACGTGGCACTGAGATTCAACTGTGTAGGCAGGGAAGCCTCAAGAAAGTTTTGAGCAGGCGTCTACGGGATCCAGTTACTGCTGGGCAACAAGCTCACTTTGCATGTGGTCTGGAGGTGGGATTGTAGGGAAGGGCACAAGATGAAAGAGGAGAGATGGTCTCACCCCCCTGGGTGGCCTTGGCCAGTCCCTTTTCTTCTCTGAGATTCAGCCACTTATCTGGAAAATGAGGCCAAGAAGTCCCACCCCATATGCTTCAGAGGGGCATTTCAGCTGTGCACAGTGGCTCATGCCTATAGTCTCAGCATTTTGGGAGGCCAAGGTGGGAGGATCACTTGAGTCCAGGAGTTTGAGACCAGCCTGGGCAGCATAGCAAGACCCTGTTTCTAAAAAAAAAAAACAAAAAAAAAACTTTTTAATTAGCTGGGCTTGGTGGCATGCACCTGTGTTGTCCCAGCCACTCGGGAGGCTAAGGCAGGAGGATGGCATGAGCCCAGGAGGTCGAGGCTGCAGTGAGCTGTGATTGTGCCACTGCACTCCAGCCTGGATAACAGAGTGAGGCTCTGTCTCTAAAAAAATAAAAAATAAAAGAAGGGTGTTTGGTGACTCCCATGAGCGGAAGTCCCCTGGCTACAGTTGGATGAAAGTCTCCTGGCTGTGGCAGAACACAGGGAGGGGCCTTGACACCACCCTTTGGGTAGAAGTGGCCATGCCTGGACCCACCAAATGCAGACTGGGGCCTTTCTCAAGTTCTCTGCTTTGTGGTTGGGTTTTTCCAAGTGAACTGAGCTAAAATTATGAATGGTGAATGCAGCGTCTCGGAGGTATAAAGGCCAAGTGAGGCTGAGAAATGAAAATCCAGTCCTCGAGGTACCTTGGCCAAGAATCCAGGTGCCGCATTTCAAGACCTGTGTTTGAATATCCTGAGCTCACTCATGGGGAGGGCTATCTGATTTGGGGGTCCTGTTTCTCCCAGGGGCTCCTCAGTCCCTCTGTAAGTGAGTTGATGCTGATAGGTATGAGGGCTCTACCACCTCCACCTGCTGACACTCCCCAAGCGCCAGCTGGGTTGGGGTGCACATGGATGGGGGTGAGTGGGCATCATCCATTCTTTTTCCTAGCAGCTCTGGTCCCAGCTGGTGTGGACTGTATGTGGAGAAAGTAAGGCAGAGAGGCCAGTGACTCATTTAGGGCCACCCTAC
Source organism: Homo sapiens (assembly GCF_000001405.40). Lineage (NCBI taxonomy): Eukaryota > Metazoa > Chordata > Mammalia > Primates > Hominidae > Homo > Homo sapiens. The sequence goes on along the minus strand of NC_000016.10, from coordinate 10,832,979 downwards.
TGGTCAATTCCCACCAAGGTAGTGGATGACAGAGGTGGAGTAAAGACTCTTTCCTCTGTGTCACCATGATGGTGGTTGGCAGGAGCCCACAGTCCCTCGGATCCTGTCACCATCTTCATTCCCACCAGGTCCTGGTGAGCTTTCACTTCCAACAGCAGCCCCTGCACCTCTTAGCTAGAGACACTCCTCATGATGTTGGAACCTGCTTTGCCTGTGTGTTTTCCTAGAGCCAATGGGGCAAGGGCAAGATGGACAGGAGAGTATAAATACCCCAGCTCCCCCCTCCCACTGGAGACTCTGAGAACCCCCTGTGGGGTGAGCCACAGTTACCTTCTGTTAAGGGTTGACTATGTCCTTCATCTCAAAATTCCTATATTGAAGTCCTAACTTCCTGTACCTTAACATGTGACCCTACTTGGGGATAGAGTCATTGCAGACATCATTAGAAAGATGAGGTCACACTGGAGTAGGGTGGATCCCTAATCCAATATGACCGGTGTCCTTATAAAAAGGGGAAATTTGGACACAGACACGCATACAGAGAGAACATCATGTGAAGATTGGATTACGCAGCCACAGCCTAGAAAATACCAGAAACTAGGAGAGATGCTGGGGACAGATCCTTCCCTAGCGCCTGCAGAGGGAGCAGGGCTCTGTAGACACATTAATCTCAGACTTCCAGGCTCCAGAACTGGGAGACAATGAATTTCTGATTTTTAAGCCACTCAGTTTTTGGTACTTTTTGATACACCTTTGAGGGCCTTTGTCTGCTGTCACACCCCTGTGTGGCCTCCCTGCCTCTCAGCCCATCTCTCCGACCCTCCCCAGAGCCCTGCCTAATCCCTAAGGTGCTCATGCACCCTCATGCAGGGTATGGTCTGCTTCTGGGGAATCCCACCTGACAGCGGGTTTTTTTTTTTTGTCGTTGTTGTTTGTTTTTGAAACAGAGTCTCGCTTTGTCGCCCAAGCTGGAGGGCAATGGCACAATCTCAGCTCACTGCAACCTCTGCCTCCCAAGTTCAAGTGATTCTGCTGCCTCAGCCTCCTCAGTAGCTGGGATTACAGGCATGTGCCACCACAACCAGCTAATTTTTATATTTTTAGTAGAGACAGGGTTTTACCATGTTGGCCAGGCTGGTCTCAAACTCCTGACCTCAGATAATCTGTGTGTCTTGGCCTCCCAAAGTGCTGGGATTACAGGCATGAGCCACCATGCCCAGGTTACAACAGTAGGTTTTCAGGAGCAATGGCAAACTCGCCAGTGGCAGAGAATGAAGTGAGCACACTGGTGTCTGGGGGTGGTGAGCTCGACTCTGCAACCCCATCTAAGGGGGGATAGCACCGCTCAGCTCCCACCACAGGGAATTCAGGCTCCATGTCACCTGAGCTTCCTTAAGAAAAAACAGAAGTACAGACTTCAAAAAAAAAGTGACATCTGATTTTTCTTTTCTTTTCTTTCCTTTCTTTTTAAGAGACAGGGTCTCACTCTATCACCCAGGCTGGAGAGCAGTGATGTGATCACAGCTCACTGCAGGCTTGAACTCCAGGGCTCAAGCGATCCCACCACAGCCTCCCAAGTAGCAGGGACTGCAGGCACAGGCCACCATGCCCCGCCTGGTTAGTATTTTTATTTTTTATAAATAGATATGAGGTCTCGCTTTGTTGCCCAGGCTGGTCTTGAACTGGCTTCAAGAGATCCTCCTGCCTTGGCCTCCCAAAGTGCTGGAATTACTGGCGTGAGCTACTACACTTGGCCCCAATTTTCCAATACTGGCCATTAACTCCATGAACGCTGCCTATTTTTTTTTTTAACTATGCAGGTCCAACCCAAACATGTCTGGAGCCCAGAGTTGACCCTTGGGCAGGCACTTTGCAACCTTGGGTTAAAGGTTTGGCAGGGACTGTGCACCCCAGTTTTGTGTGATGGGAAAAGCTATGAGCAGGGAGCAGGTGGAGACCTGATATCTACTCATGGGTCTACCACTGGTTTGCTGTATGCACCTGCTTCAAAACCTCTCTGAGCCTCAATCACCTGATCTGTAAAATGGGTATCATGCCATGCACTTTACCTCCTGGAGTGAAAATAAAGGTGGCTTGACATAATTTATTTAGCAAACACTTACTATGTGCATGCAATGTGCTGAGTATGTGATAAAACATTAACTCCTAGCCAGACCCAGGGGCTCATGCCTGTACTCCTAGCACTTTGGGAGGCTGAGGCAGGAGGATCACTTGAGTCTATTCCAGACCACCCTGGGCTGCATAGCAAGACCTTGTCTCTATGAGAAATAAAAAATTAGCTGGGTGTGGGGTGTGCACCTGTAGTCCCAGCTACTAGGGAGGCTAAGGCAGGAGGATTGCCTGAGCCCAGGAATTGGAGGCTGTAGAGACCTATGATTGCAGCACTGCACTCCAGCCTGGGTGACAGTGAGACCCCCATCTAAAAGAAAAAAGAAAAAAAACAAATTAGCTCCTGCATTCTATCCAACAGCCCTGTAGGGAAAAGAAAGAGAGATCAGACTGTTACTGTGTCTATGTAGAAAGGAAAGACATAAGAGACTCCATTTTGAAAAAGACCTGTACTTTAAACAATTGCTTTGCTGAGATGTTGTTAATTTGTAGCTTTGCCCCAGCCACTTTGCCCCAGCCACTTTGACCCAACCTGGAGCTCACAAAAACATGTGTTGTATGAAATCAAGGTTTAAGGGATCTAGGGCTGTGCAGGACCTGCCTTGTTAACAAAACGTTTACAAGCAGTATACTTGGTAAAAGTTGTTGCCATTCTCTAGTCTCAATAAACCAGGGGCACAATGCACTATGGAAAGCCACAGGGACCTCTGCCCTTGAAAGCTGGGTATTGTCCAAGGTTTCTCCCCATGTGATAGTCTGAAATACGGTCTCGTGGGATGAGAAAGACCTGACTGTCCCCCAGCCCGACACCCGTAAAGGGTCTGTGCTGAGGTGGACTAGTAAGAGAGGAAAGCCTCTAGCAGCTGAGATAGAGGAAGGCCACTGTCTCCTGCCTGCCCCTGGGAACCGAATGTCTCGGTATAAAACCTGATTGTACATTTGTTCATTTCTGAGATGAGAGAAATACCGCCCTATGGTGGGAGGCGAGACATGTTTGCAGCAATGCTGCCTTGTTATTCTTTACTCCACTGAGATGTTTGGGTGGAGAGAAACATAAATCTGGCTTACGTGCACGTCCAGTCATAGTACCTTCCCTTGAACTTCATTATGACATAGATTCTATTGCTCACATGTTTATTGCTGATCTTCTCCTTATTATCACCCTGCCCTCCTACTGCATTCCTTTTTGCTGAAATAATGAAGATAATAATCGATAAAAACTGAGGGAACTCAGAGACCGGTGCCGGTGCCCGGTGCAGGTCCTTGGTATGCTGAGCGCGGGTCCCCTGGGCCCACTGTTATTTCTCTATACTTTGTCTCTGTGTCTTATTTCTTTTCTCAGTCTCTTGTCCCATCCGACTAGAAATACCCACAGGTGTGGAGGGGCAGGCCACCCCTTCACGGCCCTTAAAACAGGTCATGATTCTCATTTCACACTGAAGGAAACTGAGGTTCAGAGAGGTTTAGTAACTTGTCCAAGCTATTTATTTCCCGGCTGATAAGAGGCAGAGCTGAGCTTCAAAGCACGCTGACTGCAAAGTGTCTGAGTCCACAAACTGCTGTTTTGGTTTTTGTTGTTGTTGCTTTGGATACACAGGAAGGAGAGAGATGGGCAGTGACTCCCCGGCTTGCCTTGTGGGTCTCTGGACAAGCCGTCTGGGGAGGAACTGAGCCTGCGTGGGCGACGCTGGCACAGGGCAAAGCTTCCTGACCCAGTCTGGACAGGGGCCAGGGCTGGGCTAAACAACCTACCACTCTTTCTCCTCAGTGGAGCATTTCCCGTAAGTGGTGGCAGCCTGCCTGCTGGCTCGCAGACCTGCTAGGGCAGGCAGCCAGCCATTGCTTGGGCTCCTCCTGCAAGAGGCCCCCAGGGCTCCCAAATCGGGTCCTGGGTAATCTAAGTCCCGCTGCCCGCCCCAACCCAACCTCCCTGCGGCGGAGGGCCAGGCATGCTGCAGCGGCTACTCTGGGCTCCCCGCCTCATAGCTTAAATGCGTCCTCCATGTTGACATGCAGGGCAGGGCGTTTTGGGAGGGATGGGGACAGGTGGGCCTGTGCTGAAAGGTGGCGTGTGTGTGTGTGTGTGTGTGTGTGTGTGTGTGTGTGTGTGTGAAAGAGAGAACTAGATTGAGACCAGACCCCTCGGGAGGCAATAATCCAGGTCTCTGTGTCCCCTGAATTGTAAGGTCCTCATCAGGGGACTCTGCAGAGATTCGCTGCCAGGCGTGTGTTCTGAGTCGCTCATCCCTTTGTTCACCCACTCTCTGGCTGGCTTGTGGAATGCCAGCTGTGTACCTGGCCCCATGCTCTATGAACTTAAGAGACGCCTGCCCTTATGGAGACAGTACCCTAGTGGAGGCATGGGGAGGGGAATCTTACTAAACCAATAAGAAAACAAGAGAATTAGAGATCGTAGAAAGTGCTAGAAAGGGAACAAACATGTCAGGCCACAGTCTAGATCCCAGACCCTCAAGAGGGACTGAGAAACTGGGTGGGACATGAGCTGGGCTTCAGGGAAGGCCCCTTGCGGGGAGACCTCATATTTTCAGCCCTGAGAAAATCAGGAGGAGAAGGGCTTTCCTGGCCAGGGAGTCAGCAGGAGCGAAGGCCCTGAGCCAGGAAGAGGCTTGGAAGTTTCTGAAAATCTTGGAGTCTGGCCATTGTGGTCAGAGCATGATGAGTGGTGCAGGGAGAAGTGGGAAAGATCCGCAGTTCCTGACCAAGCAGGGCCCGGCTAGGTCACTTTCTCTAGTAGGGACAAGCTTCAGACCCCCCGGCTGCTAAGGGAGCGACCAGTGTCATGACCTCCCCAGCCCTGCCTCCATGGGAGGGGCCTGCCGACCTCTGGCTGCTCCAACAGGAGGCAGAGGTCCAGGGCCCATCCTGTCCACTGGGGTCACAGCCACTGTCCCCCATCCCGGCTGGCCGCAGAGAAGGCCCTGTTGACCTGACATTTCTGTCTCTTGTCCAGGCCCTTGAGTGACAAGAGGCCTTCTTTGGCCTGTTTGCTGACTTCTCCACGTCCCTGGTGACAGGGTGTGTTGCTGGGGAGGCCAGGCGGGCCACATCAAAACTTGGCTGTCCCTTTTGTTCCCTGGTCTGGAATTTCCCCTCTCTGTGCTTCTGGCATCCTGTCTCTACAAAAAATAAAATTAGCAGGCCGGGTGCGATGGCTTATGCCTGTAATCCCAACATTTTGGGAGCCCGAGACAGGAGGATCACTTGAGGTCAGGAGTTCCAGACCAGCCTGGCTAATGTGGCGAAACCCCATCTCTATTAAAAATACAAAAGTTAGCTGGGCGTGGTGGCGGGCGCCTGTAATCCCAGCTACTCAGGAGGCTGAGGCAGGAAATTGCTTGAACTCAGGAGGCGGATGTTGCAGTGAGCTGAGATGGTGCCATTGCACTCCAGCCTGGGTGACAGAGCAAGACTCTGTCTCAAAATAGATAAATAAATAAATAAAATAAAATAAGCTAGGCAGAGTGGGCATGTGCCTATGGTCCCAACTATACAGGAGGCTGAGGTGGGAGGATCACTTGAGCCCAGGATTTTGAGACCAGCCTGGGCAACATAGTGAGACCCCAACTCAAAAAAAAAAAAAAGGTAAAATTTATTTGCTTTGTCCCCCAGGCTGGAGTGCAGTGGTGTGATCTTGGCTCACTGACGCCTTCACCTCCTGGGTTCAAGCGACTGTCCTGCCTCAGCCTCCAGAGTAGCTGGGATTACAGGTGTGCACCACCACACCTGGCTAATTTTTGTATTTTTTAGTAGAGACGGGGTTTCACCATGTTGGCTAGGCTGGTCTCGAACTCCTGATCTCAAGTGATCTGCCCACCTCGGCCTCCCAAAGTGCTGGGATTACAGGCATGAGCCACAGTGCCTGGACGTTTATTTTAATTTTGACAGGCTTTCGCTATCATCCAGACTGAAGTGCAGTGGTGCAATCACGGCTCATTGTAGCCTTGACCTCCTGGGCTCAAATAATCCTCCCTCCTCAGCTCTTCAGTAGCTGAGACTACAGGCGCACACCACCATGCCGGGCTAATTTTTGTATTTCTTATAGAAACAGGGTTTTGCTATGTTGTCCAGGCTTGTCTCTAACTCCCCAGCTCAAGTGATCCTCCCACCTCAGCCTCGTGAATAGCTGGGACTACAGGCATGCACCACCACGCCAGGCTAATTTTTTTTTTTAATTATTATTTTTGTGTAGAGACAGAGTCTCATTATGTTGCCCAGGCTGTTAATTATAATAATACATTCTCTTTAATCCACTATGTCTAAAAGATTATCATTACAGCATGTAAACAATTAAAACATGATTTCAATATTATTATTTTACATTCTTTTATTCCTACCAAGTCTTTTTTCTTTTCTTTTTTTTTTTTTTGAGACAGAGTCTCACTCTGTTGCCCATGCTGGAGTACAATGGCACGATCTCGGCTCACTGGAACCTCTGCCTCCTGGGTTCAAGCAATTCTCCTGTCTCAGCTTCCCAAGTAGGTGGAACTACACGTGCCCGCCACCACACCTGGCTAATTTTTGTATTTTTAGTAGAGATGGGGTTTCATCATATTGGTCAGGCTGGTATCGAACTCCTGACCTCAGGTGATCCACCTGCCTCGGCCTCCTAAAGTGCTGGGATTACAGGCGTGAGCCACCACGCCCGGCCTTTTATTCCTAACAAGTCTTCAATCTCTGCTGTGTACTTTGCCCTGATAGCCCATCTCCATCCAGCCTTACCCCATTTCAAGGGCTCAGTAATGACTTGTGGTTCCTGGATTAGACAGCACAGCTTTGCATGGGGGCATTTAGTGCACTTTTGACAAGCTCTAGTTTGTTGTTTTTTCACTTGGCTGTATTTATTTGTCTGTAACTAGAAAGTTGGCCTAAAGAGGGTCAGCAATCAGCAGCTTATATCTCTTGCTAAGAGCTGCGTCCATGTCCACACCAGCGTGCTGGGCACAGCTGGTGTCAGGATTTGCACCCAGGTCTGTCTGGGTAGAAATCCAGGGCTATTTCCATGTACCACTCCCTGCGCCTGACAAGGTGGATGGGGCCCTGAAGGCAGCCCACGGGAGGGGACCCTCCTTCTTCCCTTGGCCCTCTGCTCCGCCCTCCTGGGTAACCTGCACTGGCTGCCAGCCTGAAGAAGGACTGGACTAGGTCACCTGAAAGGAGCCTCTGTGAAACAGGCAGCAGTGTGACAGTCACAGGGGCAGCCATACAAACAGGAGGGTGGGAGCCCCCCAACCTCGTGGGCCTGGATGTCCCCTGGCCTGGAGTCATACCGTAACTGAGTAGCTTGGCTTCAAAATGCTTTTTTTTTTTGCTCTGTTCCCCAGGCTGGAGTGCAGTGGCACAATCTCGGCTCACTGCAACCTCCGCCTCCCGGGTTCAAGTGATTCTCCTACCTCAGCCTCCCAAGTAACCGGAATTACAGGCACCCACCACCACGCCCAGCTAATTTTTGTATTTTTAGCAGAGATGGGGTTTCATCATGTTGGCCATGCTGGTCTCAAACTCCTGACCTCAAGTAATCCACCTGGCCTGGGCCTCCCAAAGTGCTGGGATTACAGGCATGAGCCACTGTGCCAGGCCTCAAAACGCATTTTATACTTTTTTCCCTTTTTCTCTTTTCTCCTTAGTCTCAAGATGTAACGTCAAAACAAACTGCAGAAACCTTTTTTTCCCTCCTTAGTCTTTTTTTTTTTGAGACAGAGTCTCGCTCTATTGCCCAGCCTGGAGTGCAGTGGCATGATCTCGGCTCACTGCAACCTCCACCTCCTGGGTTCAAGTGATTCTCCTGACTCAGCCTCCCAAATAGCTGGGATTACAGGTGTGCACCACCATGCCCAGCTAATTTTTTGTATTTTTAGTAGAGACGGGGTTTCATCATACTGGCCAGGCTGGTCTCGAACTCCTGACCTTGTGATCCTCCCCTTCGGCCTCCCTCCTTAGTCTTAAAATATAGCCTTGAACTGTATTTTCAAACTCTGTCTCTCTCCCTTATCCCATGCACATTTATCTGGCTGTATGCTTGTATTAATTATGTGTTCACTTAGAAGTTCCAGGAGCTAACCTTGAAACATATCAGTCTTGGAGACCCAGCTGCAAAATTCCAGAGATTATCTCTAGGTGGTTTGTCAACAACCCGGCCATGGTTGGGATGATGCCAGGCTATGCTTCAGGTGGAGCAAGGCTCGAGATAGCCGCTGGAACAAGACAAACTGGCTTTGTACCCGGCACCACTCCCGTTCTAGGTTCCCTTTTTAAAATATTTTATTTTTTGAGACAGGGTCTAGCTCTGTCGCCCAGGCTGGAGTGTAGTAGCACAAATACACCTTACTGCAGCCTTAACCTCCTGGGCTCAAGTGATCCTCCTGCCTCAGCCTCCAGAGTAGTTGGGAGTACAGGTGTGTGCCACTGTGGCTGGCTAATTTTTTTATTTTTGTAGAGACAGGACCTCGCCATGTTGCCTAGGCTAGACTCGAAGTCCTGGGCTCAAATGATCCTCCCGCCTTGGCCGCCCAAAGTGCTGGAATGACATGTGTGAGCCACCGCTATGCCCAACCTTCCAAGTGCCCTTTTTTTAAGTCCCTCTCCCCAGGCTAAAGTTAGAAATGGTTCCTGTAAACACAAGCCTGGGCCATTTCCCCACCACTAGCCCTGGAATAAAGTCACTTTCCTTTCACTGCATCTCGTCCTTGTTATTGGCTTTGTAAGTGATCAGCAGCCGAGCCTGTGTATGGTTACAATAGGACTGCCAGAAAATAGGGGCCACCCAGATACATTTGAACTGGAAATAACACAAGTGATCTTTTTTTTTTTTTTTTTTTTTGAGACGGAGTCTTGCTCTGTCACCCAGGCTGGAGTGCAGTGGCACAATCTTGGCTTACTGCAACCCCCGCCTCCCTGGTTCAAGTGATTCTCCTGCCTCAGCATCCTGAATAGCTAGGACTACAGGCGCGTGCCACCAAGCTTGGCTAATTTTTTGTATTTTTAGTAGAGATGGGGTTTCACCTTGTTAGCCAGGATAGTCTCAATCTCCTGACCTCGTGATTTGCCCGCCTCAGCCTCCCAAAGTACTGGGATTACAGGCATGAGCCACCATGCCCGGCCACAAGTGATCATTTTTAAGTATAATTATGTCCCAAATATTGCATGGAACATACTTGCACTAAAAAAATTGTCATTTATTTCAAATTCTAATTTAGCTCAGTTTCTGTATTTTTTTCTTTTTTTTTTTTTTTTGAGACAGGGTCTCACTCTGTCGCTCAGGCTGGAGTGCAGTGGGGCAATCTTGGCTCACTGCAACCTCTGTCCCCCAGGTTCAAGCAATTCTCCTGCCTAAGCCTTCCTTGTAGCTGGGATTACAGGTGCACACCACCACGTACAGCTAATTTTTGTATTTTTAATCAGGATGGGGTTTCACCATGTTGGCCAGGCTGGTCTTAAACTCCTGACCTCAAATGAACAGCCTGCCTTGGCCTCCCCCAAAGTGTTGGAATTACAGGCGTGAGCCACCATGCCCTGCCTGAGTTCCCTTATTTTTATTTGCTAGATCTGGCAACCCTACCTGGGGAGAAATGACAGGATCGTCGTCAGATGCCAGGGAGTGGGGTGCAGATCTTAGGGGCCAGTGGGATCGTAGGGAGTGCCACTCATAGGAATGCTGGGCTGAGGGTGATGAGCAGCTGCTGGCTTTGGTGTGACAGGTTTGGGGGCTGCCACTTCCATCCTGCCTGGTGGGGACACGGAGTGCATCTTGGGCCTTTTCAGGCCCCAGATGTAGTCAAACTCTTTCCACTCCCCACTGACCCTCTATGCCAACTGCCCTTTGCTCGCAGCTAAAGAGTCAAACACTCTGCGTGTCTTACAGCCTGCCATGGTCCTGCCAGACTGACGTCTCCTTCCTCCCCTGGCCGAATGTTCTCCTCCAGCCTCTGGGTTCCAGCACCCTGACCTGTGTTTGCCAGAATTCACACCCAAGCCTCTGCCTCCTGGTCCAGGACTCCTGGGGTCACTGGAGAGAAAGACTGTGTGTGTACCTCTGTCCAGGTGCCCTATGTCCCGGGGGCACGCAGTGTGAGGCCAACAGGAGCCACTCAGGAAAGGCCAGCCCTGTTCTGCTGGGAAGACAGATATCCCCAGCAGAGGCCCCTGACACGAGGCTCCTGTCCTGTGTGCTGCTGGCCCATGGGGGCTCCTGACCCGAGACCCCTCTGCTGATGACCTTAAGTCACTGTCAACAAGGCCGCTGTTTCCTGAGCCCCTATTCAGAGAAAGGAATCTGACATGTTTTCTCTGGTCCTTCATCATCCTTGCCAGGTAGGGGGAAAGTATGGCGCCACTTTACAGATGTGGAGACTGAGGCCAGAGAGGTGAAGTCCCCTGCCTAAGGTGACCTGTCCCCTCCCCAACAAAGCCTGCAGACTCCAGATGTTGACCTCCAAGGTCAGCCAGAGGCCAGTGGCTACCTGAGCCTGGACCTCCTTCCCTGGGGTTGTTCTGGCTTCAAGGTCCCAAGCCCAGCTGCAGGGATCGGAGATGGGGTTGCTTCTCACAGGTCTACTCCCCAAATCCTTCAGGGGCCAAGACCAGTGTGGGTAGGGGGAGGGGAGAGGGCCAGTGTTTCCCAAAGGTCGGGCTTCCAAGCCCTCTCTGCGGCTCTTATTAAGGCAGATCTCCAAGCCGCAACCCTGGAGGTTCAGAAAACCTAGAGTGAGATCCTAAAATCTACCCTTTTGTTTGTTTGTTTGTTGTTTTTTTTCCGAGACTGAATCTCACTGTGTGGCCCAGGCTGGAGTGCAGTGGCGCAATCACAGCTCACCACAACCTCCACTTCCCGGGTTCAAGCGATTCTCCTGCCTCAGCCTCCTGAGTAGCTGAGATTACAGGCTTGCGCCACCATGCCCGGCTCATTTTTTGTATTTTTAGTAGAGATGGGGTTTCGCCATATTGGCCAGGCTGATCTCAAACTCCTGACTTCAAGTGATCTACCCACCTCGGCCTCCCAAAGTGCTGGGATTACAGGTGTGAGCCACTGTGCCCGGCCTAAAATCTACCTTTCAACCAGGTGTCTCTGCCGCAGCCAGTTTTAAAACCAAGATGAGTTCTCTGTGCAACCCTCAGGCCCTCTGCCCACCCCTCAGATTCAGGAAGCTGACCCCACAGAGGGCCGTCTGGGCCACGTGTAGAGGGAGGGTGCTTTCTTCCAAGGAGGGAATAATAGGGCTTCATATGTGGCCCCAGCATCTGTATCCTCAGCCCTCTGCCCCATGTGGACAGGTCAGGAGGGATGGAAGTGACCCTGTATTTATAGAGCCACCTCCAGATGGCAGGAGCTGAGGATATTTCTGGAGGAACCTCCAACCCAGTGGCTGAGAATGACAGTTGGTCCTGACTGGGGATTCCACGGGGGTTTTCCCATGACTCCAGGAACCCCAACTCAACAGACACCAACAGCTGGTGATTCTTAGGGTCAGAGAAAAAGCCCCTAAATGTTCTGCAACGGCTTCTTCCCTCCAGCTGCCCTCCTGCCTCCTTCCTCCCAATATCCCCTTCCCAGGCTGCTGGGGCCCCGCTGGGAGTGGGCCTCTCCGTTCACCCTTCTGGGCAGGAAGAGCTCACAGGCCTTTCTAGAAAACCAGGCCTTGGTGGTTTAGATCTTTACAATTCAAAGGGTGGTCCAGGGAGCAGCAGCATCAGCTTCTCCCACGGGCTCTCAGAAATGCAGGATCTCAGCCGGATGTGGTGGCTCACGGCTGTAATTCCAGCCTTTTGGGAGGCTGAAGCAGGCAGATCACTTGAGGTCAGGAGTTCGAGACCAGCCTGGCCAACATGGTGAAACCCTGTCTCTACTAAAAACACAAAAATTAGCCAGGCGTGGTGGTATGTTCCTGTAGTCCCAGCTACTTAAGGGGCTGAGGCACAAGAATCACTTGAACCCAGGAGGTGGAGGTTGCAGTGAGCTGAGATCTAGCCACTGACTCCATCTCAAGAAAGAAAGAAAGGAAGGAAGGAAGGAGAAAAGAAAAGAAAGGAAGGAAAGAAAGGAAGAAAGAATCTCAGCCCCTGCCCAGACCCCCAGACCCCCAGAACGCTGAGTCAGCATCCAGCTTCTAAGCCAACCCCAGGAGATTCATTTGCAGATTGAGGGGTCAGAAGCACTCATTTAAATCACTGGTTCTTTACCTTGCAGCCCAACACCTGGGAGCTTTAAAAGCACTGGTATAGGGTCCCATCCCCAGAGAGCCTGATTTAATTGGTCCATAACACAATCTGGGCAGTGTGTCTTTTAGAAGCTATCCAAATCGCAGCAGAGTTTGGCAAATATATATACATATACATATATATATATATATATATATATATATATATATATATATATATATACATACACACACACATATATACACATTGTATATATATAAATCTTGGTTCCTGAAGATCGCATAGTAGAGGCTGGGTGCAGTGGTTCATGCCTGTAATCCCAGCTCTTTGGGAGGCCAAGGTGGGTGGATCACCTGCGGTCAGGAGTTGGAGACCAGCCTGGCCAACATGGTGAAACCCCCTCTCTACTAAAAATACAAAATACAAAAATTACCCGGGTTGATGTCAGGCGCCTGTAATACCAGCTACCTGGGAGGCTGAGGCAGGAGAATTGCAGGAACCCGGGAGGCAGGGGTTGCAGTGAGCCGAGATCGCACCATTGCACTCCAGCCTGGGTGACAAGAGGGAAACTCCATCTCAAAAAAAAAAAAAAAGAGAAATGGCATAGGAGAAAGCACTTTCCCTCCACACACACCTGGCAGGCCCTTGTGGGGTCAGCTTAGGGAATTGGGGTGGGGGCGGAGGACAGAAAGCCTGGAACCCAGGCCCAGGATCAGAGATGAGACAGCTCCTGCCTCCACCTCCGCCCATGGAGACCAGCAGTGGGGAAAATGTGTCAGGGGCTTGTGGCCCAGGAGCCCTCTTTGGGGTCACCAGGGGCAGGGGACACGTACCTATTGTCCATGGTGGGAGGGCAAAGGGCAGGGTCACTGGCTTTGGCATCTCGATGCTCAGCCCTCTGTCCGTGGGTGGGGGATCAGGACAGGGAGAGGGCACGCAGGAGAGGAGAGTCACTGTGTCCTGGGCCAGGAAAGACCCTCAGGTGACAAGTTTTCTTTCCTGGGAGGTACCCAGGAAGACTTTCACTTCAAGAAACACTACTATTACTGTCAATAATAGTATTAATACTACTAATAACTTTGCGCTTAATAAGTGCCTGGCACGGCGATGCACGCAGATCTCACTGTGGTTCTGAAGCTGTGGCTATAGCAGCGCCACCCCTTAAAAGGCAGGTGAGGCCGGGTGTGGTGGCTCACTCCTGTAATCCCAACACTTTGGGAGGCTGAGGCAGGAGGATGGCTTGAACCTCGGTGTTCAAGACTAGCCGGGGCGACATAGTGAGACCCTCCTCTCTACAAAAATAAAAATTTAGCTAGGTGTGGTGGTGCAGCCTGTGGTCCCAGCTTTTCGGGAGGCTGAGGCGGGAGGACTGCTTGAGCCCTGGAGTTTGAGGCCACAGTGAGCTACGATGGCACCAGTGCTCTCCAGCCTAGGTGCAGAGAATGTTCCCAACAATCTCTGCACGCAAGAAATTCCCAGGAACCTTGTGAAAAGCAGATTCTCAGGCCCGGCCCGGGGGATGTGGAAGGCCTGGAGTGGGGCCCTAGAATCTGCCTTCCCCACCCCACCCCCCAAAAAAGAACACAGCAGGGCCCATCCTAACTGCATTTTGTCGTGGGGGGTGGGGGCGCGGGGAAGGCAGATTCTAGGGCCCCACTCCAGGCCTTCCACATCCCCCGGGCCGGGCCTGAGAATCTGCTTTTCACAAGGTTCCTGGGAATTTCTTGCGCGCAGAGACTGTTGGGAAACACTGACCTTCTCCCAACCCTGAATGCGGCTGCCCACCACTGACATTCATTCACTGCCTTATCATTCGCTACATCCACGTTTATGCGCCGTCCACACCATTCGCTGACGCAGCCGCCCCCCGCCCCCGACTCCCATTCCTCCCACTATCTCTGTCCGCAGTTCCCCAGGCCGTTGCCTCCCTGCCGCCGCTTTCTCTCCTGGGCGCGTCCCCGGCGAGCCGAGCCCCCTCCCCAGCCTGCGACTGCGCCTTAGGCCCCGAGCGCCCCGCCCCACCCGAGAAGCTGCGCTGAGGCTGCCCCACAGGGCGCAGGCCCCGACCCTCAGCGTCCACCGTCTGCTGCCTACATCCGCCCGCCCGGCGTCCGACCCCTTCAGCGGCGACGGGCGGAGCTGGAGCCCCGGGCCTGGGCGCCAGGTGGGCTCCTGGGAGGGTGATGAAGCAGGTAGGGCCTCGGGGATGCTGGGGCTGGAGGCGGGGCGGGACGAGGGGAGCCTGCGGGAGCGCTGGAGAAGCCGGGAGGAGGAGGAGGGATGCGCCGGGGCCTGGGGCTGGGCTGCACCCGGTGGTCGGGAGGGTGGAGAGGGCTTTGCACTGCAGCCGCAGCGGAGGGGCCCCGCCAGCTCGGAGGGTCCACTTGGGAACCCGGTGGGGTGCAAGTGGAGTCCAAGCCCAGGAGGACAGGGCGGGTGGGGTTGGGGTGTGCGCCGTGCTTGGGCCTGCCACCTGCCCTTGCTCTCCTCCCAGGCCCTGGTGGACGATACCGAGGATGTGTCCCTGGACTTTGGAAACGAGGAGGAGCTGGCCTTTAGGAAAGCCAAGATCAGGTGTGTTGGGATGGAGCTTGGGTCAGGCGTTCCCCAAAGCTGCAAATTCATTCATTTACTCACTCATTCATTCAAAATATATTGAGCACCTACTGTGTGCCAGGTCTGGGGCTGGGGACATATCTGTGGACACATCAGACAAAGTCCCTGCCCTCCTGGAGCCTGCATTGGGAGAGGGAGGAAGAAGGGGTGGAGTTGATGTTGAACAGGCAAGGAGATTAATGAGATAATTGAATGTGAGAAGAAAATCAGCCCTGTGATGAAAGAGAAGGTAACTAGAGAAGGCCACTTGCCTTAGTGCAGCCATGGAGGGCCTCTCTGAGGAGGTGGCATTTGAGCTGAGACCAGAATGATGAGAAGCAGCCAGCCATGGGAGACTCCAGAGGGAGAGTGTTCCAAGCTGAAGGAACAGCAAGCGCAAAGGCCCTGGGGCTATGTTGTAAGATCAGAGAAAGCCACTGAGGCCAGAGGGGAGCAAGCTTGGCAGTGGGCTGGACAAGTGGAAGAGAGCTTGGAGTTTTATTCTAATCCCTGCTGAGTCTAGCTAGACAGACTTGTCCTGGGTCAAGTCACTTAACTGCCTGAGACCTCTAGCATCCCAGAAGGTGGCATGACCAAGGCATGAGGGATGACCTGTGAACGTGGTTGCCGATGGCCCAGGCGGCAGCCACTTCTAGAAACACCCACAGCTCAGCCTCACTCACCCACCCAGTTCTGCTTCCAGCTATCAGAGCCAGTAGGCATGGGACGAGCCCTGGCACCCAAATGCCATTCCTTGTAAAGTCTCTGTTTTTAAAATCAAACTCTCTGATTCAAACCTAATAAACCCCAGAAAGTAATAGACTGTATTAGTTTCCTATGGCCGCTAGAACAAATTACCATTATCATCTTGGCTTAAGACAAAAGAAGTTTATTCTCCTGCAGTTCTGGAGGCCAGAAGTCCACAGTCAGTGTTCCTGGGCTGAAACCAAGGTGGCAGCAGTGCCACACTCCCTTCGGAAGAATTAGGGGAAAATCCATTCTTTGCCTTTTCCAGCTTTTGGTGACTGCTGGCATTCTGTGGCTTGTGGCCTGTTCCTCCGTCTTCAAGGCCAGTGTTATAGCATGTTCACATCTCTCTCTGTTCCATGGTCAGGTGACGTGTGTGTGTGTGTGTGTGTGTGTGTGTGTGTGTGTGAAGTTTCCCTGTGCCTCTTTCTTTTTTTTTATTTTATTTATTTTTTATTATTATTGTACTTTAAGTTTTAGGGTACATGTGCACAACGTGAAGGTTCGTTACATATGTATACATGTGCCATGTTGGTGTGCTGCACCCATTAACTCGTCATTTAGCATTAGGTATATCACCTAATGCTATCCCTCCCCACTTCCCCCGTGCCTCTTTCTTATAAGGACTATTGTGTTGGCATTTAGCGTCCACCCAGATAATCTAGGATAACCTTTGCATCTCAAGATCCTTAATTATAGGCTGAGTGCATGGCTCACACCTGTAAGTAATCTCAGCACTTTGGGAGGCCAAGGCGGGCAGATCACTTGAGGTCAGAAGTTTGTGACCAGCCTGGCCAACATGGTGAAACCCTGTTTCTACAAAAAATACAAAAATTAGCTGGGTGTAGTGGCATGCACCTGTAATCTCAGCCACTCAGGAGGCTGGGGAAGGAGAATCACTTGAACCCGGGAGGTAGAGGCTGCAGTGGGCTGAGATCACACCACTACACTCCAGTCTGGGCGACAGAGTGAGACCCTGTCTCAAAAAAAAAAAATTCTTAATTAAATAATTAAATTACATCTGCAAAGTCCCTTTCATCATATATGGTGGCTGTCACAATTTCTGGGGATTAGAACCTGGATTTCTTTTTTTTTTTTTTTTTTTTGAGATAGGGTTTTGCTCTGTTGCCAAGGCTATATAGTGCAGTAGTACAATTATGGCTCACTGGAACCTCAAACTTTTGGGTTCAAGAGTTCCTCCTGCCTCAGCCTCCCTAGTAGCTAGGACTATAGGTGTTGCCACCATGCCAGGCTAATTTTTTAAAAATTTAATTTTGTAGAGATGGGGTCTTGGTATGTTGTCCAGGCTGATCTGGAACTTCCGGCCTCAAGTACTCTTCCCGTGTCAGCCTCTTAAAGCCTTGGGATTACAGGCATGAGCCACTGCACCCATCCAGGACCTGGATATTTTCGGAGGCTATTATTCATCCCACCATAATGGCCAATGATTATCTTTAAGGGAAGACACTGCAAATGAAGATTCCAAAAGAACTGGAATCCTGGGTAAAGAATCTTCTAGAACATCTGAACTCATATGTGTTCAATTTCTATTGAGTATCTACTGTATGCTCAACTCTGGGCTAGTGGCTGGGGAAATGCAGTGTTCAGGACCCCACTCCTGCCTTTACAGATTGCCCAATCTAGGGCAGGTTTGCTTAATGTTAGCACTCCAGACATTTTAGGCCAGATACTTCTTTGCTGTAAGGAGTGTCCTGTGCACCGTGGGATGTTTAGCAGCATTCCTGGCCTCTATTCACCAGATGCCAGTAGCAGCCCATCCATAAAGTCTCAGGCATTGCCAAATATCCTCTGTGGGGCAAACTTGCCCCCGGTTGAAAACCACTGGTTTGCAGGGTGGGAGTAGGCATACCAGTGGCTATTACAACTCAGTATTTTTGTTTTGTTTTGTTTTTGTTTTTGTTTTTGAGATGGAGTCTCACTGTCACCCACGCTGGAGCACAGTGGTGCAATCTCGGCTCACTACAACCTCTGCCTCTTGGGTTCAAGCAGTTCTCCCGCCTCAGTCTCCCAAGTAGCTGGGACTGCAGGTGCACGCCACCACGCTTGGCTGATTTTTATGTTTTTTGTTTTGTTTTGTTTTAGTAGAGATGGAGTTTCGCCATGTTGGCCAGGCTGGTCTCAAACTCCTGATCTCAGCCTCCCTACCTACCTACTTCAGCCTCCCACAGTGCTGAGATTATAGGTGTGAGCCACTGTGCCTGGCCAGAACTCAGTATTTTAAACGCTGGGATAGGCAGAAGCTGGGGCTCCTATCCTGGCCAGAGAAGGAGGTACCAGCTAAGCTGGGACCCACAGGTAGGGTAGGAGTTGGTTAGGCTGGGAAGGGTAGATATACCATGGGGAGGCTTGGAGGTAAGGTCATGAATTTAGGGTGGTTCCATGTGGCTCAAGACCCAGGTGCTGGGAAGTGGCCTGCGTGGAGATCGGGGCCAGACCCTGCAGCACTTAGCAACCAAGCTCCAAGCTCTGGAGGTGCATTGTCCACTGAACCTTCTATGAGGATGGGGCTGTGCCTTTATCTGTGCTGTGCAGCACGGTGGCCTCAGCCACCTGTGGTGATTAAATGTCTGAAATGTGGCCAGGGCGCCTGAGGGACAAATGTTTTGATATTATTTAATTAATTTGAATGTAAATAGCCACATGTGGCTGTGGCATTGGGCAGGGCAGTTCCAGAGTTCGGTCACCATGGAAGGATTTTGCTCAGGGCAGTGATGGAGGCTGGGTTGTTGGGGTGGAAGTAGGATAGGAGATCAGACCAAGGCACTGGCAGGGATGACAGAGGAAAGGGGCCCAGAGGCACAGGGGAGGTAGAATCGGCCCGCCTTGCTGGTGGTCAAGATGTGGGGTAGGGACAGGGATCATCAGGGTGACACTCAGGCTGGTGGTCTGGTGAGTCAGGTGAAGAAGCACTTCTGGGGGAAAGATGTTGAACTCAGAGTGGTCCTTGTTAGTCTGTGTTGGAACATTCTAGTAGCCAGTGGACAGCTGGGAGGAGAGGCCAGGAGCTCGAGAAGTCACCAGGGCTGCAATCAGAGATCTGGGAGGCAGCAGTTCATGTATCCAGGTGGGTATGTTTGAGAGCCACCCATCCCAGAATCCTCGGTGTGCCTAATGCAGATTCCTGGGTCTGGCCCTGGACTTATTTAACCAGATTCACAGGGGATGGGCCTAGGAACATGAATTTAAAATAGCACCCCATTGATTCTGATGTGTAGGAATGTAGAGATGGCTCTAAAATCCTGAGAACAAATGAATTTACCCAGATTGCAGTGTAGAAAGGGAATTTTTTTTTTTTTTTTTTTTTTTTTTTTTTTGAGATGGAGTTTCACTCTTTTTGCCCAGGCTGGAGTGCAGTGGTGCGATCTCGGCTCACTGCAACCTCTGCCTCCCGGGTTCAAGTGATTCTCCTGCCTCAGCCTCCTGAGTAGCTGGGATTACAGGTGCGTGCCACCACGCTGGCTAATTTTGTATTTTTAGTAGAGACAGGGTTTCATCATGTTGGCCAGGCTTGAACTCCTGATCTTGAGTGATCCTAGTGCCTTGGCCTCCCAAAGTGCTGGGATTACAGGCGTGAGCCACCATGCCCGGCCTAGAAAGGGAATTCTTAACTGAGGTCTACAGATGGGCTTCAGGGGTTCAGGAAACCTCTGAAAACTATTATCTAAGTTTCATATGTGTGTTGTTTTAGAAAAAGGATCCAAACTTTATTTATTTATTTGTTTATTTGTTTGTTTATGAGACGGAGTCTTGCTATGTTGTCCATGCTGATCTCAAACTCCTGGACTCAAGCGATCTCTCTGCCTCATCTTCCCAAAGTGCTCCCAAAGGATCCAAACATTAATTGGATTATCAAATGGGCCCATGATCCAAAAAAGTTAAGAATCGCTAGTATAGAGTGAAAACAGTTATTTGTAAATCCCTTGTTGAAATGGATTCCAGGCTGACATCGAAAGGAGGTGATGCTGTGGAAGGGGGCCTGTCACAGGAGTCTGGGACATTGGGTTCATCTCTTCCTTTATCACTTTCTGGCTTTGTGATTTTTGGACAGGTCACCTTACTTTGCTGGGCCTCCATTGGCCAGTCGGTAAAATGGGGATAATTGTATCAGCCTGACTTCACCACGTGGTTATTATACAGTTTATTTACTAAATATTTATTCAACATCTGCCAGGGGCAGGTGCTGGGCTAAGCCCTGGGGATGGAGCTCTGGTCTCTGCTCTTTCTGTCCCTGGTTCCAGGTCAGTGAGGTGCAGTGTTGCGGTGGGGGGCCTGGGAAGTACATCACATCTTGCAGGATCAGTGGAGGGTGTGATTCCACAGCAGAGCTGGGCACACAGAGGAAATGTTAGCCATGCTGTATGTGTTTTTCCCCGGTGGGCAAACTTTTTATTTCTTTTTACTTTTTTTTTCAACTTTAAAAAACTGTGATTAAAAAAAACCCACAGCGTAAAATTCCATCTTAGTCATTTTAAATTATACAGTTTAGTAGTTCAAGTATAGTCACGTTGTGAAACAGAGTGTTTTCATCTTGCAAAACTGAAACTCTGTGCCGTTTAACAACTCTCCTTCCCCCAGCCCCTGGTAAATACCATTCTCCTTTCTGTCTGTATGCATTTGACTACTCTAGGGACCCCATAAAAGGGTCATACAGTATTTGTCCTTTTTTTATTGGCTTACTTCACTTAGCATAACGTCCTCAAGTTTCATCCATGTTACAAAATGTGCCAGAATTTCCTTCCTTTTTAAGGCTGGATAATAGTTCCATGATATGAATAAACTATGTTTTGTTGACCCATTCATCCACTTGGGTACACTTGTACCTCTTGCTGTTGAGAACAGTACTGCAATGAATGTGGGTATGCAAATCTCTTTTTGAGATTCTGCTTTCAATTCTTTTGGCCATATACCCACAAGTGGGATTGCTGGATCCTATGGTAGTTCTATTTTTAATTTTTTGAGGAACTACCATACTGTTTTCCACATCAGTTACACCATTTTACAATCCCATCAACACTGTACAAGGGTCCCAGTTTCTCCGCATCCTTGCCAACATTGTTATTGACTGTGTTTTTGATAGTAACCACCTCATGGGTGTGATAACCATGGTATTTCGTTGTGGTGTAGATTGGCATATCCCTAATGGTTAATGATGCTGCTGAGCATTTTTTCATGTGCTATGTGTCCACTTGTATATCACCTTTGGAGAAATGTCTATTCAAGTCTCTTGCCCGTTTTTTTTAATCAGTTATCGGATTTTTGTTGTTGAGGTCTTTATTCTGTATATTAATATTTTCTCTTATTCTATAGGCTGCCTTTTCATTCTGTTGGTTGTGTCTTCTGATGCACAAAAGTTTTTAGGTTTAATGTAATTCCGTTTGCCTTTTTGTACTTTTTTTTTTTTTTTTTTTTTGAGACGGAGTCTTGCTCTGTCCCCCAGGCTGGAGTGCAGTGGCGTGATCTTGGCTCACTGCAAGCTCCACTTCCCGGGTTCACGCCATTCTCCTGCCTCAGCCTGCCGAGTAGATGGGACTACAGGTGCCAGCCACCATGCCCGGCTAACTTTTTGTATTTTTAGTAGAGACGGGGTTTCACCATGTTAGCCAGGATGGTCTCGATCTCCTGACCTCGTGATCCGCCCGCCTCGGCCTCCTAAAGTGGCCGATTTGTACCTTTTGTTTCCTTTGCTTTTAGTGTCAGTGTATGTGTGTGTGTGTGTGTGTTTAATTTAATATAATATAATTCATGGCCAGGCACTGTGGCTCATGCCTGTAGTTCCAGCACTTTGGGAGGCTGAGTCAGGTGGATTGCTTGAGGCCAGGAGTTTGAGACCAGCCTGAGCAACATGGCAAAACCCCGTTATCTACAGAAAATACAAAAAGTAGCCAGACGTGGTGGCACACACCTGTAGTCCCAGGTACTTGGGAGGCTGAGGTAGGAAGATTGCTTGAGCCTGGGAGGTCAAGGCTGCAGTAAGCCATTATCACACCACTGCACTCTAGCCTGGGTGACAGAGCAAGATCCTGTCTCAAAAAACAAAATAAATAAAAAGAAATATAATTCACATTCCACCAATTTCTTCTTTAAAAGTGTATGATTCAGTTTTGATTTTGATACATTCACAAGGTTGTACATCCATTACTACTATGTAGTTCCAGAAGTTTTTCACTGCGCCAAATGGGAGCCCTGTACCCATCAGACAGTCCCTACCCATCTTCCCTTTCCCCAAGCCCCTGGGAACCACTAGTCTACTTTCTGTTCCTATGAATTTGCCTGTTCCGGACATTTCATGTAAATGAAATCTGGGTTAGTCATGGATCTCCAAAGAAACAAAACCAATAGGATATCTGTAAGTATGGAGAAAGAGATTTATTATGAGGAATTCATTCATGCAATTTTGGAGACTGAGAAGTCCCACGATCTGCCATCCACAAGCAGCAGGCCCAGGAACGCCGGTGGCATAAAACCCATCCTAGCCCGAAGGCCTGGGAACCAGGGGAGCCTACAGTGTCTCATTCTGAATCTGAAAGCCCCAGAACAGAGGGGCCGACGTGTAAGGCCTAGTCTGACTCCAAAGGCCCCAAAACCAGGAGGTATGATGTCTGAGAGGAGATGAGGACGGCTATCCTAGCTCAAGCAGGGAGAGGAAATTCCCTCTTCCTTTCTTTGTTGTCGTATTCAGGCCCTCAAAGGTTTGGATAATGCCCATCCAGATTGGGAAGGGAGGGCCTTCTTTTTTCTTTTCTTTTCTTTTCTTTTTTTTTTTTTTTGAGACAGGGTCTTGCTCTGTCACCCAGGCTGGAATACCATGGTGTGATCTCAACTCACTGCAGCCTCCACCTCCCGGGCTCAATTGATCCTCCTGCCTCAGCCTCCTGAGTAGCTGGGACTACAGGCATGCACCACCACGCCTGCCTAATTTTTCTATTTTTTGTAGAGACGGGATCACTATGTTGCCCAGGCTGGTCTTGAGCTCCAGAGCTCAAGTGATCCTCCCACCTTGGCCTCTCAAAGTGCTGGGATTACAGCCATGAGCCACTGCATGAGGGTGGATCTTCTTTTCTCCGTCCACCAATTCAAATGCTAATTTTTTTTTTTTCCTAGAAACACCTTCACAGACCCAGATGTGATCTGGGTATCCCTTAGCCCAGTCTAGGTGACACATGTTTTGTACAATATGTGGCTTTTTGTCTGGCTTCTTTCACTTAGCATATTTTCCAGGTTCATCCCGGTTTAGGTGTTTACCATTATTTCATTCCTTTTGATGGTCAAATAATCACCCATTGTGTGGACATACCACATTCTGTTTATCCATTCATACATTGATGGGCATTTGAGTTGTTTCTGCTTTTGTGTTGTTATGAGTAATGTTGCTATGAATGTTTATGTACGTGCTTTTTTTGGGGCATACATTTTTGGTTCTTTTGGGCACATACCTAGGAGTGGAATTGCTGGGCCACATGGTAACTCTGTTTTAGCCGTGCTGTGTTGCAGACCAGCTGTGAGTGAGTGTTGTGGGTTTCCAGCTGCCTTGGGATGCAGGAGGAGCCTGGGCTTTAGGTCAGACAGACCTGGATCTTGATTCTACCACTCCCTAGCCAAGTGACTGCACCCCCACAGTACAGTTCTGGGCCCAAGCTGGCAGGTGCAAATAGGCTTTGATATAAAACTATGTTTCCTCAGCTCTATAGGAAGACAGAGGTAGGGCATCTTCAGCTCATTGGGAGATCTAGCCCCTGCACCCACATAGCTCCTTTTGCTCTACTACTGCAAGAATTGTGTCTGGCTGCCACAGGCGAGAGCCAAAGCACTATGGGTTACCTTGAATCACAGAAGCTGTAGCCTCCGTTTCCCACCAACCTTTTCTATGACTCTGTTTACCCAGACCCAAGGCCTGCTGGCCAACTCAGTCCCTCCAGTGCAGGGGCAGTGGGTGGCAGATACAACAGTCCTCGTGGAGCCTCTGTGCTACGGGAGGCCAGGGTCATTCCCAGGCAGGCCCCCATCAGCCCAGGCCCGATGTTAACCCTTGACTCACAGTGACCTTGAACTTGAACAGTGACCATGACACCTTCTGGGTACCCACTTTTCTTTTCTGTAAAATGGGGTTGATGTTGGCTGTATTATAAGGTTGTAAAAAGATGATTAAATGAGGTGCACAATGTGTTTAGGGGACCTGGCAGGGCTCCTGATGCCCCTTGTGGGCTTCAGAAGTGGCACCTGTTATTCTGATCACGAGTGTGACTTCCGCATCCTGGGCTGTGCAGAGGCATGTTCTCAGCTCACCCCATCACACTGGAGTTCTCCTGGAGTTGGAAACTGTCTTCCTGTGGAAAGTTATGTTATGCTTTCAAGGCACTGTTTTCACAGAATTCCTCCGAACCCAAAGGTCATGGGCTTCCATGAATTTCCACCCAAAGTAGGAAAGTCTCTTCCTGCCACAGACAGATTTCTTAGATCTAATTTTGGTCTCAGCTGTCAGAGCTGGTTTTGTTTGTGGGGTTTGACCAGTGTTTCTTTTTCTTTTGGGGAGTTGTGGGGGGATAAGATCTTGTTCTGTTGCCCAGGCTGGAGTGCAGTGGTGTAATCATGGCTCACTGCAGCCTCAACCCCCTGAGCTCAAGCAATCCTCCCTTCTCAGCCTCCTCAGTAGCTGGGAATACAAGCATGCACTACTACACCCTGCTAATTTTATTTTTATTTTTTGTAGAGACCGGGTCTCAAAACTCCTAGCCTCAGTGATCCTCCTGCCTTGGCCTCCCAAAGTGCTGGGATTAAAGGTATGAGCCACTGCACCCAGCCTGCTTATTATTTCTTGGTTGGTCCTTGTTCAGCCTAGTGAATGTCATATTGAGAAGATCATTGTCCTGTGGTCTCAGACACTACAGGAAATCACATGTTAGTGGGCTCAGGTCTTCAGGCAAACACGTGAAGTAAAAATCACCCCTGAAAATCCCTAACTAGCCAATCAAGTAACTTTTGTCTTTCAAGAAGTCTTTAGCCATCACTTTATCTGCCATTGGATACAAAAGCAGTCCTGGACATGAGCCCCGCTTGAAATTGTTGGCTGCTGTTTGGGGGAACTTATGTTGAATGAAAAATAACAATAGCAAACACTTCCCCAGCACTTACTATATGCAAGCACTATTCCAGGTTTTTTATTTAGCATAATTCATTTCATCTTCATTACAAACCTAGGCACTATCATTTTCTCAGAGTCAAGATTAAAAAGACTGAAGCTAACAGAGAGAGCTGAGTGACTTGCTCAATGTCACACACCTGTTCACTTCAAGGAAGGGATTTGAGCCTGACACGGTGGCATGCACCTGTAATCCCAGTTACTAGGGAGGCTGAGGTGAGAGGATGGCTTCAGTCCAGGAGTTCGAGTCCAGCCTGGACAACATAGCAAGAACCCACCTCTAAAAAGAAAAAACAGAGGAGATTTGAACCCTTGGAATCGGGCTCTAGACTCCATATCTTACATTACATTGTGCGCAGATACTCACAGGGCGAGACACTCAGCGTGAGCTTTGCTGTGAGAACAGCAGATTCAGGGCTTCCATCTTAGGCTTACCCTGGGGAGTACTTTATATGTTCCTCCTGTAAATGCTGATGCAGAATTGACCCCACTCTTTAGAGCAGCTTCTCAGCCTTGGCACTATGGATATTTGAGGCAGATCATTCTATGTGGTGGAGGCTGTCCTATGTATCATAGGATGCTGGGCAGCACCCCAGCCCCCACCCACTACATGCCAGTAGCTTCCAACCCCTCAGATGTGACAATGAAAAATGTCTCCTGATGTGGCCAAGTGTCCCCTCACAGCCACATTGCCCCTGGTTGAGATCTCTGATTTAGATTATCCCCTCTCTGTCTGGGGTTTGGATTTGGATAAGTGAAATTTGTATTTGAGGGAACTCAAAGCACCTCTTAATACTTCTGTGTGTGACATTGACCCAAGAGAAGCCGGAGGTGTGGGGGGCAAGGAAGGAGAGGGCACAGGTGACAGTATTGATGACACCTTGGTGGGCACTCATCCTCTGAAATCAACAATAGCACATCTCTAATTGGTACCCACGCACAGACATGCACACACATCATGCTCCCACACACTAAGGAGAAGATTTTTAGTTTTTCTTTGTTGATTTTCCAGGAGTTCTGCTCACCTCAATGAGTGAGGACCCCTTATCCAGACCCCTGTCCCCTGAGCTTTTGGGGAACAAAGTTATATTGTCACCGGCTCTCTAAAATCTATTTTGAAATTATAGAAATATGACACATAAGCAGGTCCCATCAAGAGCTGATTGTTTAATTTTAAGGAAGGTCCATGATTACCAAGGAAAATAACCCACAGAATCACGGAACTAGACAAATTTCAGTTCTCTTTGATTAGGGCACGGAATTACGTATTTTGAAATTAACTCCTTACATCTAAGGCAGCTTAACTTCCTCTTATTTATATTTCTTGTTCACATGAAATTATTGCATAAGCTGTGTCCACAACAAAATCACTGAAGGGCCAGGTGTGGTGGCTCATGTCTGTAATCCATGCACTTTGGAAGGCTGAGGCGGGTGGGTTGCCTGAGCTCAGGAGTTCGAGACCAGCCTAGGCAACATGGTGAAACCCTGTCTCTACTAAAATACAAAAAATCAGCTGGACGTGATGGCAGGCGCCTGTAATCCCAGCTATTCAGGCGGTTGAGGGAAGAGAATTGCTTGTACCCGGGAGGTAAAGGTTGCAGTGAGCTGAGATTGTGCCACTGCACTCCAGCCTGGGTGACAAAATGAAACTCTGTCAAAATAAAATAAAATAAAAAACAATAAAATCTGAAGTGTGATTTCTGCTGACCTGTGACCCACATAATCTGGGAAGGCATTTGGGAGAGGACATTGGCCAGGTTCTTTGATGTTTTATCTTGGACGGCAGCTTGACTGCATGGACCTAGAGTATTTAGTTCTTTTCTTTTTTTCTTTTTGAGACAGACTCTTGCTCTGTCACCCAGGCTGGAGTACATTGGTACAACCTTGGCTCACTGCAACCTCCACCTCACAGGTTCAAGTGATTCTTCTGCTTCAGTCTTCTGAGTAGCTGGGATTACAGGCATGTATCACCATGCCTGGCTACATTTTGTATTTTTAGTAGAGACGAGGAGTCACTGTGTTGGCCAGGCTGGTCTCAAACTCCTGACCTCCAGCAATCCATCCGCCTCAGCCTCCCAAAGTGCTAGGGATTAAGGGCGTGAGCCACCGCATCCGGCCGAATATTTAATCATTCATTTATTTCAAGGTTGGCACTTTTGCCATTTGGGGCCAGGTCATTATCTGTCCTGTGTATCATAGGAGTTTTGCAGATGCTGGTAGCAGCCCCCACTGTGACAACCAAAATGTCTCCAGACATTGCTGGGGGACACTCCAGATCGCCCACCTCTTTGAGAACCACTGGCTTATTCTTTTGCTCATTCATTTATTCATTAAACCAACAAACATTTTCAAGGACCTTTGTGTGCCAAGCACAGTTCTAGGGACCACAGAGAAAACCAGATAGGCTTGGTCCCTGCCTTCCTGGAGCTGACATTTTACTTAGGGAGAAGACAATAAACATATAAGCAATGATCAAAACAAAGTAACTTGAGAGAGTAAAGCGGAATGTGATAAAAAAGCGTCCAGGGGCCTTTCTTCAGCCCTGAGGAGTCCTCTTCACGTGGAGCCCAGCCTCGGGGGTTCCATGGCCCCCTGCTAACCCTTCACTCGTGACAGGAGCAAGCCGGCTTCCGAGATGACTCAGAGACAGCCACAAATCATGTTCATGGATTCCCTGCATTAAAGTACAGATGTATCTCTCCCCTGGACTTTAAGATACTTTAGAATAAAAGTTGCAAAGTGACAGTCAGCCAACTGACTCCAAGCCTCCGGTATGCTCTTGTCGGCCAGGGAGATATTTTACATTAATTTGAATTTAAAATTTAAAATTAGAAAAGATCACATTAGGCTGGGTGCAGTGGCTCACACCTGTAATCCCAGCACTTTGGGAGGCTGAGGTGGGCAGATCACTTGAGGTTAGGAGTTCAAGACCAGCCTAGCCAACATGGTGAAACCCTGTCTCTACTAAAAATACAAAAATTAATCAGGCGTGGTGGCATGCACCTGTAATCCCCACTACTTGGGAGGCTGAGGCACAAGAATCGCTTGAACCCAGCAGGTTGCAGTGAGCCAAGATCACACCACTGCACTCCAGCCTGGGCGACAGAGCGAGACTCTGTCTGAAAAAAAGAAAGAAAAAGAAAAGATTACATTAAAAATCTGGATTGCTCAGAATAGATGAACACACCGAGACAGAGGCAGATTGGTGGCTGTCAGGATCTGGGAGGAGTGGGGAGAATGGGGAGAAACTGCCCAAGAGGTACAGGGTTTTGCTTTGGAGTGATGGAAATGTTTGGGACAACAGTATGAATTGTTCCCTTCATGCCACTGGAGTGTGTACTTTAAAATGGTTAATTTTGTGGGTTGTGAATTTCACTTCACTAAATTGGTTTTTAAAAATATGATTGCTGGCTTTTTTGTTTGTTTGTTTTAAAGACAATGTCTAGCTCTGTGGCGCAGGCTGGAGTGCAGTGGCATGATCACAGCCCTCAGCAGCCTCGAGCTCCTGGGCTCAAGCGATCCTCCCCCCTCAGCCTCCTGAGTAGCTGGGACTGCAGACATGTACCACCACACCGGCTAATGTTTTTGTTCTTTGTAGAGATAGGGTCTCTCTAGTTGCCTAGGCTGGTCTCAGACTCCTGGCCTCAGGCAATCCTCTTGCCTTGGCCTCCCAAGGTGCTGGGATTCCAGGCATGAGCTACTGTGCCCGGCCTGCTGGCTTCTTTTGGAAATCTGTTAGAGCCAGAAGAATGGTCTGGAGTTGCCAGGAGTTGCCTGTGGGTGAGCTTCGGCCCTCACCCACTCAGTTGACTGATTTCCCAGCTTTGCCCGGCCCTGTGAGCACCTGAGGTTGCAGCCCCCAACCCCAGCCCTGAAAACAGTGGTGAGAAAATATTATCCCAACGAAAGCATTTTCCAGGGGCCCAAGAGGCCTTGAGTTGGAATTCCTCCCTGATGCCGTGGTTTTCTCCCTAAACCTCTTGAAGCCACCTACAGGGGCCTGAGGGGCCTGTGTGGATAGGCCAGCCCCACGGTCAGGCTGTGCATATGGACATCTGAGGCCATCCAAGGCCACTCACCCAGAGCCCCATGTTCCTGTTCAGCCCCTGGCCTTTGTATATGCTGCTCTCTTGCTTCCTAAATTTGTCCTTAGATCTTTAAAACAAAATTTAAAATACATTTTTTAATTGAGATAGATTTCATATATCATGAATTCAAAATTCACCCCTTTAAATTATTTAATTCATTGGTTTTAGTATATTTACAAGGTTGTGCACCCATCACCACTGTCTAATTTCCAAACATTTTCATTACCCCAAAAAACCCCATGTCCTGTAGATCCTAATCTACATCACTGCTAAGCAGTGTTCTGTAACAAGGCATCTCTCCTTAGCTCCCACAACCCCAATGTCTACCCAGCCCTGATGGTCAGCTGTTGTGTCCACCTCTTGGGTCCTTGTGTTGGTTAAAATGTCAATAAAGAACCGAGAGCCTCATGGATACCCTGCTGGGACAAGCTCCCACAACTAAAGGGTCAGAACCCCGAACACCAGGACCAGCTGATGGGACCCTGCACCGTTGGCCATTCTCATTAGACAGTGGTCATCCCATATCAGTTGTTGAATATTTTGATTGTGACTCTGTTTACCCATTAATGACACTGTGCACACTGGGTCGAAACCACTCCTGAGCTCCTTTCCCTCCCTGCTAGAGATGAGTAACATCTGGGAGGGCAGAACTTTGTCCAGCCTGTTCACTGCCCTCTGACCTGGCCCTCCACCTGGTAGATGGGAGGTTCTCCACACATGTGTTGTTGTTGCTCTAAGCTCAATTTATGTGTTTTTGTTGTTGTTGTTTTGAGACGGAGTCTTGCTCTGTCGCCCAGACTCTGACACACACACACACACACACACACACACACACACACACACAGTGGCGCGATCTCGGCTCACTGCAACCTCCGCCTCCTGGGTTCAAGTGATTCTCCTGCCTCAGCCTCCTGAGTAGCTGGCATTACAGGCACCCGCCACCACGCCCAGCTAATTTTTGTATTTTTAGTAGAGACGGGATTTTGCTACATTGGCCAGGCTGGTCTTGAACTCCTGACCTCAGGTGATCCATCCACCTCAGCCTCCCAAAGTGCTGGGATTACAGGCATGAGCCACTGCGTCCAGCCTCTCAGCTCAATTTATTAAACTCAATGTTTCTTAAGCAGTGTTGAAAATCAATTAAAAACGTTTATGTGTTGACCATAAACTTAATTCTGTATCCTTGCGCAATTTAAATGACATCTCAAATTTAGCATTCGTGATTATGTGGAGCACCAAATAAACATGGAACCTAAAATACACACAGCAATGACAAAACTTACTATTTACAGAGTGGTGGGGATTTTTTAGTGGTTAATGAAACTGCAAATAAAATAAATATGTAAAATACAGCAGCAAGATACGTTGAATTGGAAAATGATATTTTGAGTTAGTGTCCTTAAAATAACTTAAAAAAAACTTTTTACTTTGAAATAATATCAGACTTACGGGAAGGTAGCAAGAATAGTACGAAGAACTGATGGGTACATTTTACCAAGATTCACTAATTGGACGAGTGCACTGGCTCACACCTGTAACCCCAGCAATTTGGGAGGTTGAGGCGAGAGGATCGCTTGAGCTCAGGAGTTGGAGACCAGCCTGGCCAACATGGCAAAACCCCGTCTCTACTAAAAATACAAAAATTAGCCTGGCATGATGGCACATGCTTGTAATCCCAGCTACCCTGGAGGCTGAGGCAGGAGGATCACTTGAACCCAGGAGGCAGAGGTTGCAGTGAGCCGAGATCACACCACTGCATTCCAGCCTGGGTGACAGAATGAGACTCTGACACACACACACATATACACACACACACACACACACACACACACACACACACACACACACGTATCATATAAACTCATGGATGCAGACATACTCTTGTTGTTACTCAAATTGTCCCATTGTTGACCAGTAGGAGCCTCTTCCAGTTGGCTTCTGAGTCTTCCTAGTTGTGTGTGTGTGTATGTGTGTGTGTGTGTGTGTGTATGTGTATTTGTTCTCTAAACTGTTAGAGAGTAAGTAACACATCATGCCCACTTGCCCCTAAATACTTCAATGTGCACTTTTTAAATTTATTTTTTATTTTTTGTAGAAACAAGATCTTGCTATATTGCGCCAGGGCTCCTAGGCTCAAGCAATCCTCCTGCCTTGGCCTTTCGGAGTGCTGGGATTACAGGCTTAAGCCACTGTGTCCAGCCATCAATGTGTACTGTAAGAAAAGGACATTCTCTTATGTAAGCAGAGTGCGATTATGGAAACTAAGAGACTATCTAATCTGTAGTTCATATTCCATTGTCCTTTAGAGTAATTTTTTCTCTCAGTTCGAGATTCAATCCAGAGGCTGGGCGGTGGCTCATGCCTGTAATCTTTTGGGAGGCTGAGACGGGAGGATCGCCTGAGCTCAGGAGTTTGAGACCGGTCTGGGAAACATAGTGAAACCCCATCTCTACTAAAATACAAAAATTATCCAGGCATGGTAGCATGTGCTTCTAATCCCAGCTACTCAGGAGGCTGAGGGATGAGAATCGCTTGAACCCAGGAGGTGAAGGTTGCAGTGAGCTGAGATCGCGCCACTGCACTCCAGCCTGGGTGACAGAGCGAGACTCAGGAAAAAAAAAAGAAGACTCAATCCAGGATCTCCATTGCATTTAGTTATTCTGGAACTATTCCGAGCCTTTCTTTATTTCTCATGACATGGACATTTTTGGAGAGTAAAAGGGCAGCAATTTTGAGGAATACACTTTAATTTGGGTCTGTCTGATGCTTCTCCTGATTATATCCAGGTTATGCTTCTTGGCAGAGATACTGCAGAAATGATGTTAGGATAAAGGGACATTTTCTTTTTTTGAGCTGTGCCACTACTAAAGATGGCCTAGAAATCGCATTTTTTTTTTCTTTCGTCATCCACTACCTCTTACCTACAATCCCAGGCCCCAGATTTTGGTCTTTCATTCTCTTTGCCACTCAAAGAACCCAGGACTCCTTAGAAAGGAGCTGATTCTAAGTCTTGAGGCAGAAACCAGTCAGACTGGATCTGGGACATCCTTTTGTTGACAAAAAGCAGGAATACTGTTTTTTTAACAAAGTATATTTTTTGAGACAGGGTCTTGCTCTGTTGCCCAGGCTGCAGTACAGTGGCACAATCTTGGCTCACTGTATCCTCTGCCTTCCAGGCTCAAGTGATCCTCCCACCTCAGCCTCCCAAATAGCTGAGACCACAGGTGTGCACCACCATGCCTGGCTAAGTTTTTAAAAAATTATTTTTAGTAGAGATGGGGTTTCGCCATGTTGCCCAGGCTGGTCTTGAACTCCTGAGCTCAAGCGATCCAACCACCTCAGCCTCCCAAAGTGCTGGGATTACAGGTGTGAGCCACCTGTGATTTTTGCCTGGCCAAAAATGCTTTTTAAAAAGTTATAGGCTGTTCAAAAAGAATAAATAAACTAAAGAGCCTCCCACAGGCCAGGTTGCAGTAGTGATTCAGTATTTGCTGAAGGAGTTAATATGACCACTCAATTCTCCCATTAAATAACCACTGAGTTAGGGTTTACCACTGATGTCCATAGTTTCTAGAATGCCATACATTTTAGGGTACATTGGTTTGGTTATAGCTTTTAAGAAGTAGAGGTGGGACATAAACACCATATTAAATATTTGCAACCATTAGTAGACACACCCTGGTTCCAGAAATATTAAAATGGTCAAAAATAAAAATGCAAGGGAAGACAAGATTCTTTCTCCATTTTGCAGATGAGGAAACTGAAGTTCCCAAGAGCCAGGTAGCAGACACAAGTGAGTATTTGCTGCCTTCAGATCTTGTCCAGTTTCTAGCAGAATCTAGAAGCTCTTCAGAAGAAAAAGCACAAGGCCAGGCACAGTGGCTGACACCTATAATCCCAACACTTTGGGAGGCCAAGGCAGGCTTGGCCCAGGAGTTTGAGACTACCCTGGACAATATAGCAAGACCCTGTTTCTAAAAAAAAAAATTGTTTTCAATTAAAGAAAAGAAAATGAAAAGCATATAACTGGGGGAATACTACTTTTTACTGCCAGTGCGAAAAAAAAAAAAAAAAAAAAAAAGAACCCCACTCAGGGTGAAAACAAAAACAAGAATAAAGGCTCCATAACTTCTGCAATCTCTGTGAGCCACTCCCTCTTTTCATGCCATCTGGCTGGCTGGTTTCTGCTCCAGACTTCTGGAAAGTCAGTCTCGGGCCTCTCTGCTCTTTTCTGTCCATCAGTTAATAACTCCGAGTCCCCTGTTTTGAAAAGGTGAATGTGAGTACAGCTGTCCTCATGGTCTCATCCACTCACCCCCAACTCTCCTCAAGTAAGCCTGGGACCCCTCATTTCACCATCTGCTTCTAAGAGGAACCTCACTCTCCTTGTCTTTCCTGCCCCTTGAAACCACCTAACACAACAACATACCTTATGCAGAGTTAAAATTCTTCAACAGGCCGGGCATGTAGGCTCACGCCTATAATTCCAGCGTTTTGGGAGGCAGAGATGAGAGGATCACCTGAGGTCAGGAGTCTGAGACCAGCCTGACCAACATGGCCAAACCCTGTCTCCACTAAAACTACAAAAATTAGTCAGGCGTGGTAGTAGGCACCTGTAATCCGAGCTACTCGGGAGGCTGAGGCAGTAGAATCATTTGAACCTGGGAGTCGGAGGTTGCAGTGAGCCAAGATCCCACCACTATACTCCAGCCTGGGCAACAGAGTGAGACTCTGTCTCAAGCAAACAAAAACAAAAAGAACTTCTTCAACATTAGAGCCTGTAGCAGGGAGCTTTTGATGCATGACAGATTTCCCCCAACTTAGCAGCTACAGATAACAAACATTTATTATCTTATACCTGAAGTTCAGGAATTGGAGCAGCTCGGCTGGGTGGTTCTGGCTCAGGGTCTCCAGAGGTTGTAGTCAGAGGTTGCTCAGAGCTGCAGTCATCAGAAGGCTTGACTGGGGCAGGAGGAGCTGTGTCCAAGATGGCGTCCTCCCATGGCTGTTGGCTGGAGGCCTCAGTTCCTTGCCATGTGGGCCTCTCAACATAGGGCTGCTCCCAACATGGCAGCTGGCTTGCCCTAGGGAGAATGAGGGAGAGAGTGATCAAGACAGAAACAGAGTCACCTGGGCTTGGTGGCTCACACCTGTAATCCCAGAACTTTGGAAGGCCAAGGCAGGCAGATCATGAGGTCAGGAGATCGAGACCATCCTGGCCAACATGGTGAAACCCCATCTCTTCTAAAAATACAAAAATTAGCTGGGTGTGGTGGTGTGTGCCTGTAATCTCAGCTACTTGAGAGGCTGAGGCAGGAGAATCACTTGAACCCGGGAGGTGGAGGTTGCAGTGAGCCAAGATCGCACCATTGCACTCCAGCCTGGCGACAGAGTGAGACTCCATCTCAAAAACAAAAACAAAAACAAAAACAAAACATAAGCTGCCATGTCGTTGATAACCTAATCTCAAAAGTGACATACAATCACTTCTGATATATTTTATTGGCCACTCT
This sequence comes from Homo sapiens, assembly GCF_000001405.40. Lineage (NCBI taxonomy): Eukaryota > Metazoa > Chordata > Mammalia > Primates > Hominidae > Homo > Homo sapiens. The sequence goes on along the minus strand of NC_000016.10, from coordinate 10,798,576 downwards.
GATGACCAGGACCCCTGCTTCATTGTGAGACGTGACTACACGAGGGTATGACCACCAGGCAGTCAGGATCACCGGTGGCCATCTCAGAGGCTGGCTACCACAGGTCCCATCCCAAAGAAGGAACAAACGCATGGGTATCTACCGTGTCCACTGTGCTCCAGGCCTTGATGTTAGGTAGATGTGATTATCTCCATTTTGCAGGTGAGGAAATAGGCCCAGAAATGTTGACTTACTTGCTCAAGGTCACACAAGTAAATGGCAGAACTGTAATTTGAAAGGAAGTAGTCTGCTTCCCTGATTACTTAAAAAAAGAAAAAAAAGGCCGGGCGCGGGCGCACACCTGTAATCCCAGTACTATGGGAGGCCAAGGCGGGCAGATAACAAGGTCAGGAGATCGAGACCATCCTGGCTAACATGGTGAAACCCGTCTCTACTAAAAAAAAAATACAAAAAATTAGCTGGGCGTGGTGGCAGGTGCCTGTAGTCCCAGCTACTCGGGAGGCTGAGGCAGGGGAATTGCTTGAACCCGGGAGGCGGAGCTTGCAGTGAGCCGAGATGGCGCCACTGCACTCCAGCCTGGGAGACAGAGCAAGACTCCATCTCAAAAAAAAAAAAAAAAAAGAAAAAGAAAAAATATTTACTATAGAGAATTCCAAACATACAAAATAGAATAATACAGTGAATCCCATGTCCCTATCACCCTCATTCAATGATGCCCAATTCATGACCAATCATTTCGCATTTCTATCCCAGCTTTTCACCTTCCCCCGATCATTTTGAAGCAAACCACAGAGATCACATCAATTCAAATATACATATTTTGATATCCCTAAGAGACAAAAATGATTTTTTTTTTAGAGACAGTATCTCACTTTGTCATCAAGGTTGGAGTTCAGTGGCATGATCTTAGCTCACTGCAACCTCCACCACCCAGGTTCAATCCTCAGTCTCCCAAGTAGTTGAGATTATAGGTGCGCACTACCACGCCTGGCTAATTTTTGATAAGAATCATTTTTTTTTTTTTGAGATGAAGTTTCTTCCTTGTTACCTAGGCTGGAGTGCAATGGCGTGATCTCAGCTCACCACAACCTCTGCCTCCCAGGTTCAAGCGATTCTCCTGTCTCAGCCTCCCGAGTAGCTGGGATTACAGGCATGTGCCACCATGCCTGGCTATTCTTTTATTTTTTTTTTTATGTTTTCATTTTTATTAGAGATGAGGTTTCTCCATGTTGGTAAGGCTGGTCTCGAACTACCGACCTCAGGTGATCCGCCCGTCTCGGCCTCCCAAAGTGGCTCCCAAAGGCCATGAACCACTGCGCCTGGCCAAGATTCATTTTTAAAAATAAAACTACAATAGAATTTTCTGAACTTTCAATCTTTTTTTTTTTTCTACAGGGTCTTGTTCTGTCACCCAGTCTGGAGTACAGTGGCATGATCAGGGCTCATTATAGCCTCGACCTCCCCTGCTCAAGTGAGCCTCCCACTTTAGCCTCCTGAGTAGCTGAGACCACAGGTCATGCCACCACGCCTGGCTAATTGTTTGATTTTTTGTAGAGATGAGCTCTCACTATGTTGCCCAGGCTGTTCTCGAATTCTTGGGCTCAAGTCACCTTCCTGCCTCAGCCTCCCAAGGTTCATGAGCCACCGTGCCCAGATTCCAGTTTTCTAAACTTTAAAATAATTCACAATACTCAAATGGAATGAAATATTTAGCCAGCGTCCCTATCCTTGATTGTCTCATAACTTTATTTTTTACAGCTTATTCATTTGAGTCGTAACTGAAATAACATCCACACATCACAATATTACAGTTGGTTGCTATATAAAATCCCTTTTATGGGCCGGGCGCGGTGGCTCACGCCTGTAATCCCAGCACTTTGGGAGTCTGAGGCGGGCTGATCACAAGGTCAGGAGATCAAGACCATCCTGGCCAACACGGTGAAACCCTGTCTCTACTAAAAATACAAAAAAAAAATATTAGCTGGGCATGGTCGTGGGCGCCTGTAGTCCCAGCTACTTGGGAGGCTGAGGCAGGAGAATGGTGTGAACCCGGGAGGCAGAGCTTGCCTTGAGCTGAGACCGTGCCACTGCACTCCAGCCTGGGCAACAGTGCCAGACTCCATCTCAAAAAATAAAATAAAATAAAATAAAATAAAATCCCTTTTACTACATAGGCTTCTCACCCTCTCCTCTCTCTCGCTCTCTCTTTCTTATCTTTTAAATTGTTCTTTTTTTTGAGACAGGGTCTTGCTCTGTTGCCCAGGCTGGAGTGCAAGTGGCATGATCACATCTCACTGCAGCCTTGAACTCCTGGGCTCTAGTGAGGCTCTCACCTCAGCCTCCCAAGTGGCACACACCATCACGCCTGGCTACTTTTTATATTATTATTTTTGGAGAGATGAGGTTTCACCATGTTGCCCAGGTTGGTCTCAAACTCCTGGGCTCAAGCGATCCTCTTGCCTCAGCCTCCCTAAGTGCTGAGATTACAGGCATGAGCCACCGTGCCCAGCCCATCTTTTAAATTTTTTTATTTTTTTTGCTTTGCAGGCGAGTTGTTGTTCTGTGAGGCTTGCTGGTTGCATCCTGTTGCATCCTTTAATATTTTCCTTGGTTCTCTGTATTTCTTGTAAATGAGTAGTGAGAGCTACAGTCCTGATGTTATCCAGATCCGAGTGTTTTCAGCATGTGGTCTTCAAAGGAGGGGGTATGTTCTTCCATCAGGAGGCTCCCAGCGCCTGGCGGTCTCTCAGGAACCGTTGGTGCTCAGTCCTCCATCCTTGAATTCTTCAGGGATTGTGACAGGGCGGTGGCATTCTGACTCTATCATTTCATTTGTGAGCTGAAGGGATCCAGAAGGAGAAACTCCCCTCATCGAATGTGTGGTCCTTGCACGGTACACTTTGTAGAGAAAAGGCATAATGCATGCTTGAAACTTGTCCTTCGCTGCTCAGTTTTCAAAGTAATGAGTTCGGTCCCCTGCGTCTTCCATGAGGTGAGCAATGAGGGTTTTTCTTAAGTGTCAGATAGGCCGGGCACAGTGGCTCACACCTGTAATCCCAGCACTTGAGGAGGCCAAGGCAGGCAGATCACCTGAGGTCAGGAGTTCGAGACTAGCCTGGCCAACATGGTGAAACCCTATTTCTTCCAAAAATGCAAAAATTAGCCAGGCGTGGTAGTGCACGCCTGTAATCCCAGCTACTCGGGAGGCTGAGGCAGGAGAATCACTTGAACCCGGGAGGTGGAGGTTGCAGTTAGCCAAGATCATGCCACTGCACTCCAGTCTGGGCAACAGAGCGAGACTCTGTCTTTAAAAAAAAAAAAAAAAGCATCATATAAACTCATGGATGCAGACATATTGTTATTGCTACTCAAATTGTCCCACTGTTGGCCAGTGGGAGCCTCTTTCAGTTAGCTTTCACCATGTTGCCCAGGTTGGTCTGAAACTCCTGGGCTCAAGCAACTTCCTTAACCTGACTCTCATGGCGTCTGGCAGCTTCATTGCTCTCTGGGGTGTTCCAATGTCCCTGCCCCATTGTGTGCATTTCTCCATCTCTACCTGGAATCTGCCATTTCTCCAGGGATCCCAGGCTCCTCTGAGTGGAGATTGGAGTTCAGAGGCCACTGCCTCGGGTCGCCTGTGTTACTAGCTCTCTGTGGTTAAGCCTGCTAATCTGAGGGTTCCAGGGGCAGCCTGGAAACCCTGGGCTGAGAGTGAGTGGGGACCTAGGACCTCCTGTTGATTCTGCCACTCAGAGCAGCTGCTAGCCCAGAGGATGTTACCCTGAAAACTAGGACAGGTGGCCCCCTCTCAGACAGACACAGACCCCTACCAGGTACCTAGCTGGGGAGTAGAGCATGGGCAGATTTCAGCACTTGCCCCCAACCCCCATCTCAGCCAAGCGCCCTCACCCTGTGCACCACCTGCATACATAACTGATTCTTTACTCCCACTCGGGGAAGCTCATGTCACCTCTCTGAGCACCAGTGTCCTCATCTGTAAAATAGCACAATGTCCTCTTCCTACCTCACTTATTTTCTCTGGCTCATTGGACCTAAGGCAGATGTTATAGGTTGAGCTGGGTTTTCCCAAAAGGATATGTTGACATCCTAACTCCCTCAAATACTGAACCTTACTTGGAACTAGGGTCTTTGCAGGTGTAATTAGTTAACATGAGGTCATACTGGAGTAGGGCAGGCCCCTAATCCAGTATGACTGGGGTCTTTATAAGAACATGTGAGGATAGAGACACAGGGAGAGGCAGAGATTGGAATGATGTGGCTACAAGACAAGCAATGCCAAGAATTGCCACTGTTATGGTTTGAATATTTGTCCCCTGTAAAATGCATGTTGAGATTTGATTGCTATTCTAACACTGTTAAGAGCTGGGACCTTTAAGTGATGATTCGGCCGTGAGGGCTGTGCCTCATGAGTGGGTTTCATACCTTTATAAAGGGGCTGGTGGGAGTGAGTCCTGTCTCAGGGCTCTTCTGCCCTTCTGACATGTGAAGACAGTGTTCCTCCCCTCCTGGGGGTGCAGCATTCAATGCATCACCTTGGGAGCAGAGACCGGACCCTCACCAGATACCGAGTGTGCTGGCACCTTGATCTTGGACTTGCCAGCCTCCAGAACTGTGAAAAATACTTTTTTTTTTTTTTTTTTTTTTTTTTTTTTTTGGTGAGACAGGGTCTCACTCTGTCACCCAGGCTGGAATGCAGTGGTGTGATCACAGCTCACTGAAGCCACAATCTCCTGGGCCCAATCAGTCCTCGCACTTCAGCCTCCCACATAGGTTGGACCATAGGTGTATGCCACCATGCCCAGCTAGGTTTATTTTTTTTATTTTGTAGAGACAGGGTCTCCCTATGTTTCCCAAGCTGGTCTCAAACTCCTGAGCTCAAGTGATCCTCCCACCTTGGCCTCCCAAATGCTGGGATTACAGACGTGAGCCACCGTACCTAGCCAAATAAATATTTCTGTTGTTTGTAAATTACTTGGTTGATGATATTCTGTTACAGCAGCACGAAATGGGCCAAGTTAGAAATTGGTACCAGAGAAGTGGAGTGTTGCTATAACAAGTACCTGAAAATGTGGCAGAGATTAGAATGATGCCACTACAAGCCAAGCAGTGCCCAGAGGTGGAGGGTGAAGGGTTAGAAGCCACACACAGGGCCCAGCCTGGGCCCAGCATCCAGAGGCACCCCCCCAACTTGTCCCTGGGGCTCACACTTTCATTTTGATGCTGAGCATACCCAGACTCTAGAGTCGATATGTCTCTTTATTTTTTTATTTTTATGTTTTTGAGACAGAGTCTTGCTGTGTCGCCCAGGCTGGAGTGCAGTGGTGCGATCTTGGCTCACTATAACCTCCAAGCGATTCTCCTGCCTCAGCTTCCCGAGTAGATAGGATTACAGGTGCGTGCCACGATGCCTGGCTAATTTTTGTATTTTGAGTAGAGACAGGGTTTCGCTATGTTGCCCAGGTTGGTCTTTAACTCCCAGCCTCAAGTGATCCACCCACCTCGGCCTCCCAGAGTGCTGGGATTACAGGCAGGAGCCACCATGCCCTGCTGGGTATGTCTCTTTAAAAAGAAATAAAGAACAGAAACAAGAGGAAAAAACTGTGGCAACCAGAGGGAAGTTTGTTCTTTTATTCACTTCTACACATAAACCTCTATTGTGCTGACCTTTGAATGGAAACTGAGCACTTGGCAATCAGCCTCTGCTCAGATATCCCAACAGTCCCAAACCCTGACCTCCCGGCTCAGATGTTGGGGCAGTAAGAGGATGTGCTGTCTTTTGAATTAAGAAGCCCGTTTCAGAAGGATGATGGAGCTAACATTGCATCTAGGTCACTCTGGAAAAGAAAAATCAGATCAGCCCAGATGGTTCATCCCCTGGGTTAGTGCAGGCCCCACGGCGTTCCTGAAGGGTTTATAGGGACCTTTGCTTTTTTAGGCTTGGGTTTCTTAAGTCCTTTCTGCTTTGTTGCTGAAACTGAGTTCATCTTGCAAATGGAAGAGAAGAGAGCACTTCAATTGTCCCACACAGAAGAATCACTCGGGAGACTCGTTAAAGTGCAGATTCTAGCTCAGGAGGCCTGGGGGTGGGGTTGTGGGTCCTGCATTTCGTAACTCCCAGGAGGTATGGTGGAACTAGTGGATGGAGAAGTGGCTGAGAATGTACTTCTTCCTGGGCAAACATCATCTTAGCTGCCTCCCCTGGCACCTGGGGGTTCCTTGAACCCAGCATCTTCATGGTGGCATGCCACTGCTAGTGAAGCAGTGTTGTCTGTGGTAAATACCTGGGGTTCATTGTCTCGTGCCAAGAAGATTAAGGACATGGACACACATAAGGAATGAGTTTAGAAGCAGAGGTTTAATAGGCAAAAGAAAGAGAAAGGGGAACAGCTTTCTTCCTAGTGAGAGAGAAGGGCTTCCGAAGGGAAAAATCCAGCCGGAGGTGGACCACAGCAGATTTTATAGGCAGGTTTGAGGAGGTGGTGTCTGATTTACATAGGGCACACAGATTGGTTGGATCAGGTGTGACGTTTATGTAGCACTCAGGGAAGGCTGGCCACCCCACCCTAATCTTATTACACAAATGGGCTTTCGACTTGGCCCATGCCATGTTGTTTGCTTCTTACTGTACACATGGCTGGCAAAGAGAAGGGAAGATGCTCACACCTGTAATCCCAGCACTTTGGGAGGCCGAGGCGGGCGGATCATGAGGTCAGGAGACTGAGACCATCTTGGCTAACACAGTGAAACCCTGTCTCTACTAAAAATACAAATTAAAAAAAAATTAGCCGGGCATGGTGGCACGCGCCTGTAGTCCCAGCTACTCAGGAGGCTGAGGCAGGAGAATCGCTTGAACCCAGGAGGCGGAGGTTGCAGTGAGCCAAGATTGTGCCACTGCACTCCAGCCTGGGCAACAGAGCAAGACTCTGTCTCAAAAAAATAAGAGAGAAGGGAAGATGGAGCCTCCATGTTGGACATGCCTGGTCCGAGGTAGCCTTTTCCTATTGGCACAACTTGGCCTTTTCCTATTGGCACAGCTGCTGGCATTCACCCTGGAAGCTTCCAGCTTGCTTGTCTATGTCTGCAGCTGGATTTTACAGGCTGCTCTTTGTTAGAAAAGAAAATAATTTGGGGGCTGATTTTCATTAAAAGGAAAACCTTAGTTGGTACTCCCATACCCTATTTGCCTAAGTAGTTTCTTCTGAACTCCTACATCAGTAGCAGAGAAGCCACCTGAGTGTAAGTGGGTGTCGGGGCCAAAGAAAGAAATAGCAACACCCTACTTATTTTTAACAATGGGGAAAAACATTCGTCTGACAAAGGATGTCCAAAAAGAGCGTTACTGGTCATGGTTTTTTCCTCTTTCTTCCGTTCTCAAAAATGTTGACTATTAATGAGTCAAGCAATAAGTAGAGTGATAGGAACCACAGCTGCTGGAGGGCTCTCTCTGATCTGGCATGGTAGTTTTTTATCTCCCAGAAGCCTGTAAACCAAAAATAAAAGTCTAAGCCCCCCAACCAACTGAATGGACCCCTCCTATCGGCCAAGGGCATTCCAAAGTTAACCTAAAGAACTAGTTCAGGCCATGATGGGAAGAGGTGGGGGTCAGACATGCCTCGTTCTACCCTCCTCCCATTGGAATCCAGGCACAGCTGACCAGCATTAACATTAACACAGGGACCTTAATACTGGACAAACAGATTGTTTTTAGCAATGACATCCCAACAGCACAGATAGCAGGCCCTGAAAGAAATTGAAGTATTTTACCGCAAACTACATTTGAGGACTAAACTCTAATTTTTTTCCTATCTTGCCCAAATTCCTATCTAAGGGGCCTGGATAGGACCCCTACAAACCATAAATTTTCATCAGATAGGTTTTATTTAACCCTATATATCGTGACTTACTTTCCAATCTGATTCTGGTGTAACATTACATGACAAAGAAGAAAATCAAAATATTTTACCCCAAGATGGTCGGGCGCAGTGGCTCACACCTGTAATCCCAGCACTTTGGGAGCCCGAGGCGGGCGGATCACAAGGTGAGGAGATCAAGACCATCCTGGCTAACACGGTGAAACCCTGTCTCTACTAAAAAATGCAAAATATTAGCCAGGCATGGTGGCGGGCGCCTGTAGTCCCAGCTACTCGGGAGGCTGAGGCAGGAGAATGGCATCAACCTGGAAGGCGGAGGTTGTAGTGAGCCGAGATCACGCCACTGCACTCCAGCCTGGGCGACAGTGCGAGACTCCGTCTCAAAAAAAAAAAAAAAAAAAAAAATTTTACCCCAAGACATGTTTCTTTGTCATATTTTGAAATGGTCCTGCAAAGCCATTCTTTGTGGGGGAAAATTTACATCTGTAAAGAATCTCTATTAACATAGCTAGATTTTTTCTTCCAGGCCCTCCCAATGCTGAAGAGATTAACTGAGAACCTAGCACCTTTTAAAGGTCTGAATAGGAAGCATTTGTCTTCTATTGTCTCTAAGGGCTGCCATTATAAGACTTCAAAAGAACCTTGGTCTCCACAATCTTTTATCTTCACCTGAACATTCCCTTTCTATTGATCCCAGGTCTTTAGACTCAACCAATTGTCAACCAGAAAATTTTAAAATTTATCTATAGCCTAGAAGGTCCCTACCAACCAGCCCCCTCCTCCTGCCCCTCTTTGAGTTGTCCCGCCTTTCTGAAACAAACAAATGTAACATTGTACCTTTTTTTTTTTTTTTTGAGACAGAGTCTCACTCTGTCATCCAGGCTGGAGTGCAGTGGCACAATCTTAGTTCACTGCAACCTCTACCTCTTGGGTTCAAGCCTTTTGCCTCAGCCTCCCAAGTAGCTGGGATTACAGGCACCTGCCACCACGCCTGGCTTTTTTTTTTTTTTTTTTTTTTTAGTAGAGATGGGGTTTCACGTGTTGACCAGACTGGTCTTGAACTCCTGACCTCAGGTGATCCACCAGCCTCAGCCTCCCAAAGTGCTGGGATTACAGGTGTGAATCACCACACCCAGCCCCAATGTATATCTTGAATGTATTTGATTGATGTCTCATATCTCCCAAAAATATATAAAACCAGGCTGTACCCCAACCACCTTGGGCACATGTTCTCAGGATCTCCTGAAGGCTATGTCATGGGCTACGGTCACTCATATTTGGCTCAGAATAAATCTCATCAAATGTTTTAGAGAGTTTGACTCTTTTCATCAACACATTTTTTTGTCGTATTTTGAAAGAGCCTACAGAACTGTCTCTTGGGGGGGAATTCTGCACTCTGTTGAGAACCCCCTTCCCTTTCCAGGTGCTTCCTCTGATCCAGGAGAGAATTCACTAAGAGTGGTGCCTTTTTAAGGCTGGTAAAAAACATTTGCCATCTGTTCTCTCTGAAGCTGGCTACCAGGAGGGCATCATCTGTGATATAAAAACCTTGCTCTTGTCCGGGCACGGTGGCTCATGCCTGTAATCCCAGCACTTTGGGAGGCCGAGGCAGGTGGATCACAAGGTCAGGAGTTCGAGATCTGTTGGGAAAAAGGCTTGTGGGGTGCCTGCATAAACTGGCCATAAAAATATGGGACAATAAGTTGTGGAAAGCCACAAGAGGCCGCTGAGGAGGAAAGCCTCCTAATTGCCATCATGTTCCCATGCTCAGAGTGAGACCTGCTCTCTTATCTGCAAACACTGTGTTCAAGGAGAAGGACACTCCTTTGAAGCACTGGAATGTGGAGAGACATGCAGGCTCCTTGTTAAGCCCACTCCTACTAGCTACTCTCTGTTAAGTTAAAAATACGCTGTTTGAGCACAAAGGAGATTCATTTAAACCGCTACTACTACAGTATGACATACTGTCTCCCTTTCCCCGTTTCACCCCTGAACATCTGCTTCTCAGATCTAAGTGACTGTACTCAATAAATAGTGTGGAGACCAGAACTCTGAGCCCTTTGCAGCCTCTGATTTGCTCTGGCCCCCTGGCTCCCACCTTTATGAACTCTTAACCTGTCTCTTCTCATTCCTTTGTCACCACCGGACTTCGGGTACCTTACGGGTGGTGTTGAGGCTGGTCCCCAACAGAGACCAGCCTGACCAACATGATGAAACCCTGTCTCTACTAAAAATACAAACAATTAGCCGGGTGTGGTGGCGGGCGCCTGTAGTCCCAGCTGCTCAGGAGGCTGAGGCAGGAGAATCGCTTGAATCCGGGAGATGGAGGTTGTAGTGAGCTGAGATCGCACCACTGCACTCCAACCTGGGCGACAGAGCAAGACTCCATCTCAAAAAAAAACAAAAAAAAAACCTTGCTCACAACCCCTCATCTTAACCCAGACACTCCTTTCTCTTGATTCCAGGTCTTTAGATAATAACTCAACCAATTGCCAATCAGAAAATCTTTGAATTTACCTATGACCCAGAAGCGCCCTCCCTGTTTGAGTTGTTTTGCCTTTCCAGACCAAACCAGTGTACATCTTGCATGTATTGATTGATGCCTTTGTCTCCCTAAAATGTATGAAGCCAGGTTGTAGCCCGACAACCTTGGGCACATGTTCTCAGGACCCCATGGGGCTGTGTCATGGGTCACGGTTCTCATATTTGGCTCAGGATTAATCTCTTTAAATATTTTACAGAGTTTGACTCTATTAGTTGAAAGCCTCCGGCATCTGACGCAAATGTTACTGTCTCATTTTATGGATGGATAATGTGAGGCTCAAAGTGAAGCGGCATTGTTGTCTGGGGTAAATACCCTGGGTTTGTCATCTCATGCCAAGAAGATCACGGACACTGACACATATGAGGAGTGAATTTAGGAGGGGAGGTTTAATAGGCAAAAGAAAGAGAGAGGAGAACAGCTCTCTCTCCTGTGAGAGAGAGGGGCTTCTGAAAGGGAAAAAAACCAGCCCACTGCAGACTGCACCAGATTTTATAGACAGGCTTAAGGAGGCAGTGTCTGATTTACATAGAGCCCACAGATTGGTTGGACCGGGGTGACATTCACATAGCGCTCACGGAAGGCTGCCCCCCCAACCCTAATCTTATTATGCAAATGAGCTTTCCACTTGGCTGGTGCCATGTTGCCTGCCCCATGTTGCCTGCCCCTTACTGTACACGTGACTGGAAAGGAGAAGGGAAGATGGAGCCGCCATTTTGAACATACCTAGTCCCAGGTAGCCTTTTCCTATTGGCACAGCTGTTGGCCTTCACCTGTGCAAGCTTCCAGCTTGCTTGTCTGCAGCTGGATTTTACAGGCTGCTCTTTATTGGGAAAGAAAATAATTTTGGGGCTGCTTTTCATTAAAAGGAAAACCTTACAGAGGACTCTCATATCCTCACTATCTGCCTAAATAATTTCTTCTTAACTCCTATATCAAAAAGGGTTTAGTACTTTGTCCAGGACTGCATACCCAGCAAGCATGGAGCAGGAGCGTGGGGCTGGACCCTCTGGCTTTCCCTGCACCACGCTGGCCAGGTGCAGGGAGGGTTGGGCATTTGTACTTCAGAGAGGGGTGGCCTCTTTTTTTGTAGAGGAACTGGTAAGCCCAGAAGAAAGGACCTGCTTTCTGGAATTTTCTTCATGTATCCAGCTGTAACAGTCCATTACTCAATGGGGGATTTTTAGGTCTAAATTTTTTTTTTTTTTGGACCACAGCTGGGCCATCTAGGTACCCAGAATATCAGCCCATGAGCTTGGTTTATCCCAAAAGGCATCTGGCCTCAATGCAAAGTCAGGGCTGCTTCTGCCGATTTCTTTCTTCTTCTACTTTTAAATTCAAATTTACGTAAAAGTATAGAGAACAATGAACCTGACGTTCCCAATGCCCATCCCCAGTCATCACCAGGTTCCCAATGCCCATCCCCAGTCATCACCAGGATGTGGCCCGTTTCATCTTCACCCCCTCCCATCCCCGCACACTCAGGTTATTTTTAAGCAAATTCTAGACATCATCACAGAGCAAAGCAAACCAAGAAGGGAAGAGAATGCCTTTCTTCAGGCCTGCCATACTGAGAAGCAGGAAGGTTTCCAGAGTGTCTGAAAGAGGACACAGAATTTAAAATGTGATGTTTCATGAGGAATTCTAGTTGGAGATGGGCTTAAAAAAAGGAGTACAGTTTTCAAAGTAAAGGGTATTTTTTTTTTTGACAAGTTCTCCCTCTGTCCCCAGGCTGGAGTGCAGTGGTGTGATCATAGCTCAGTGCAGCCTCAAACTCCTGGCCTCAAGTGATCCTCCTGACTCAGCCTCCCAAAGTGCTGAGATTACAGGCCTAAGCCACTGCACCTGGCCACAGGACAACTTTTAAAGACATTGTTAGATCACTGCCGAATTTAGGATGAACTCACCTTCCCCTGTGGATGAAAAATAAATCTTGGGGCCCCCATATCACTAAGCTAAAGGGAAAAGTCAAACTGGGAAATGCTTAAGGCCAACCTGCCTCCCATTCTATTCAAAGTCACTCCCCTGCTCACTGAGATAAATGCATATCTGATTGCCTCCTTTGGAGACACTCATCAGAAACTTAAAAGAACACAACCATTTGTCTCTAATCTACCTATGACCTGGAAGACCCCTCCCAGCTAATTGTTTGTATTTTTAGTAGAGACGGGGTTTCATCATGTTGGTCAGGCTGGTCTCTGTTGGGGACCAGCCTCAACACCACCTGTAGGGTACCCAAAGTCCGGTGGTGACAAAGGAATGAGAAGAGACAGGTTAAGAGTTCATAAAGGTGGGAGCCAGGGGGCCAGAGCAAATCAGAGGCTGCAAAGGGCTCAGAGTTCTGGTCTCCACACTATTTATTGAGTACAATCACATAGATCTGAGAAGCAGATGCCTGGAAAGGTGTTCCGCCTTTCCAGACCCAACCAATGTTCATCTTACATAAGTTGATTGTTGTCTCCTGTCTCCCTGAAATGTACAAAACCAAGCTGTGCTCTGATCACCTTGGACACATGTTGTCAGGATCTCCTGAGTGTGTTCTCAACCTTGGGAAAATAACTTTCTAAAATAACTGAGACCTGTCTCAGATATTCAGGGTTTACACCCCCAAATCAGACCTGCTTTAGAAGTTGTGGGACAGTGATGTTTGTGCCTCCTCCCAGTTTCTCTGTGTACTCTTAGACAGAGCTTCATACCTATGTCCACCCACTTTTATAAATTCTGGCTCTTTTTTTTTTTGAGATGGAGTCTTGCTCTGTCACCCAGGCTGGAGTGCAGTGGTGCGATCTCTGCTCACTGCAACCTCCACCTCCCCAGTTCAAGCGATTCTCGTGCCTCAGCCTCCTGAGTAGCTGGGATTACAGGCTTCCGCCACCAAACCTGGCTAATTTTTGTATTTTTAATAGAGGCAGGTTTCACCATGTTGGCCAGGCTGGTCGTGAGCTCCTGACCTCAGGTGATCCACCCGCCTTGGCCTCCCAAAGTGCTGGGATTATAGGCGTGAGCCACCATGCCCGGCCTGGCTCTATTTTTTTTTTTTTTTTTTGAGACGGAGTCTCGCTTTGTCACCCAGGCTGGAGTGTAGTGTTGTGATCTCAGCACACTGCAACCACCGCCTCCCGGATTCAAGGGATTCTCCTGCCTCAGTTTCCCAGGTAGCTGGGATTACAGGCGCCCGCCACCACATTCAGCTACTTTTTGTATTTTAGAGATGGGGTTTCACCATGTTGGTCAGGCTGGTCTTGAATTCCTGACCTCAGGTGATCCACTTGTCTCGGCCTCCCAAAGTGCTGGGATTATAGGTGTGAGCCACCACACCTGGACCTGGCTCTGTTTTTAGAGCAGTTTCAGTTTTGTAGCAAAGTTTGAGGAGAAAGTTCATATAATTTTTATATACTCCCCTTCTCCCCCAATTTCTCCATTTTAAACATCTTGCATTAGTGTGGTATATGTGTTACACTTGATGAACCAATACATTATTATTAACTAAAATCCATAGTTTATATCAGGGTTTACTCTTGATGTTGTACATTTTATGAGGTTTTTTTTTCTTTCTTTCTTCTTTATTTATTTATTTTTTTTGAGACAAGGTCTTGCTCTGTTGCCCAGGCTGGAATGCATTGGTGTGATCTCGGATCACTGCAACCTCTGCCTTCCAGGCTCAAGCCATCCTCCCACCTTAGCACTCCAAGTAGCTGAGACTGTAGGCGTGTGCCACCATGCCTGGCTAATTTTCTTTCTTTTTTTTTTTTTCTTTTTTTGGTAGAGATTGGGTTTTACCATGTTGCCCAGGTTGATATTTTTTCTTTTTTTTGAGACAGAGTCTTGCTCTGTCGCCTAGGTGGGAGTGCAGTGGTGAGATCTCGGCTCACTGCAACCTCCGCCTCCTGGGTTCAGGCAATTCTCCTTCCTCATCCTCCCTAGTAGCTGGGATTACAGGTGTGCACCACCTGGCTAATGTTTGTATTTTTAGTAGAGACAGGGTTTCACCATGTTGGCCAGGCTGGTCTTGAACTCCTGGGCTCAAGCTATCTGCCCCCTAGGCCTCCCAAAGTGCTGGGATTGTAGGCAGGCATGAGCCACCACGCCTAGCCCATTCTATGAGTTTTGGCAAATGTGTAATGTCAAAAGTCCTCCATCACAACATCATACAGAGTAGTTTCCCAGCTCTAAAAGTCCCCTCTGCTCCACCTATGCATCCCTCCCCACCCTCTGGAACTCCTGGCAACCACTGATCTTTTTACTGTCTCTAGAGTGTTGCCTTTTCCAGAACGTTGTATAGTGGAAGTTGTCCATACACAGCCTTTTCAGATTAACCTCTTTCACTAAGCAATACACATTTAAGGTTCCTCTATGCCTTTTTGAGGTCTGATAGCTCATTTCTTTTTAGCGCTGAATAACATTCTGTTGTCTGGATGTACCATGGTTTATCCATTCTGCTATTGAAGGACATCTTATTTGTTTTTTGAGACAGAGTCTCACTCTGTCACCCAGGCTGGAGTGCAGTGGTGCGATCTTGGCTCACTGCAACCTCCGCTTCTTGGGTTCAAGTGATTCTCATGCCTCAGCCTCTCCGGCAGCTGGGACTACAGGTACGCGCCACCACGCCCGGCTAAATTTTGTATTTTTAGTAGAGATGGATTTTTGCCATGTTGGCCAGGCTGGTCTCGAACTCTTGGTCTCAAGTGATCTGCCCACCTCAGCCTCCCAAAATGCTGCGATTACAGGTATGAGCCACCACACCTGGCCAATTGAAGGACATCTTAGTTGCTTCTGAGTTTTGGCAATTATGAATGAAGCTGCTATAAATATTTGTGTGTTGCTTTTTGTGCAGACGTAAGTTTTCAGCTCACTTCGGTAAACCCTGGGGATTGTGGTTGCTGGATTGTATCACATGTAAAATGTTCAGAGTGACTTGCAAAGGTTGGCTTTGGTCAGCGGCTTCCAACAGGAGATTCGTATGGTTCACTGAATTTTTACACACATGTAGTCATTAGATAAAGATACAGAACATCCCAGCATCCAGAAGTCTCCCTCATATCCCTTCCCAATCACTACCCCCTCACCCACTCCAAGAAAGAACACAACCCCTTGGGATTGTGCCAGTCAGGCAGCAACCACCCAACAGCTTTTGAAAGTAGATTTTTTTGGAGTGTGGGTTTGGGGAGCAGGTAGGGGCAGTTTGCTTCATTTTGGGTTGTTTTGAAGGGAGCCTAATGTCATCACCAAGTTGTTCTTGCTGGTCTGGAGCAGGGGTTGGCACACTCTCTGGGTATTTTGGGCTTGGTAGTCCAGCGAATGAGTGGGTGTGACTGTGTTCCAGTAAAACTTGATTTACAGGCTGGGCGCAGTGGCTCACACCTGTAATTGTAGCACTTTGAGAGGCTAAGATGGGAGGACAGCTTGAGCCCAGGAATTTGAGACCAGCCTGGGCAAAATAGTGAGATCCCATCTCTACAAAAAATTTTAAAAATTAGCCAGGTGTGGTGGTGTCTGCCTGTATTCACAGCTACTTGGAAGGCTGACATGGGAGGAGTGCTTGAGCCTGGGAGGTCGAGGCTGCAGTGAGCCTTGATCACACCACTGCACTCCAGCCTGGGAGACAGAGTGAGACCCTGTCTTAAAAACAAACAAAACAAACAAAAACGAAAACAAAACCAACAAAACTTCATGACACAGGTGAGCAGCAACTACCTGGGGCTGGTGGCACAGGTTTAAGAAGAATTTACCAAGACAGTTATAGGTAAAGACAGGCAAGTGTGGAAGTACATTTCAAAGGAGCAAGGGGCAGGCCAGCAAGAGAGGAGCTGACTGCCAGGAAACAAAGGCTTGCTGGGGATTTTCTGGGATAGTGCTTGTGCTGTGTGCTGAAGAGGGCTTTGGGAAGTACTGATAATGCCAAGGTTGCAGTGAGTTCACTTGTGATTTTTGTATCAGCTGAGGGTCTGATGACAGCTGAGTGTGGGAAGGTTGTGTTATTTGGCCAGGTACGGTAGCTCACACCTATAATCCTGGCACTTTGGGAGACTGAGGCAGGTGGATCACCTGAGGTCAGGAGTTCGAGACCAGCCCGGCCAACATGGTAAAACCCTGTCTCTACTGAAAATACAAAAATTAGCCAGGTGTGGTGGCAGGCACCTGCAATCCCAGCTACTCAGGAGGTTGAGGCAGGATAATTGCTTGAACCCGGGAGGCGGAGGCTGCAGTGAGCCGAGATCATATCACTGCACTCCAGCCTGGGCAACAGAGTGAGACTCTGTCTCAAAAAAAAAAAAAAAAAAAAAAAAAAAAAGATTGTGTTAGTTGTGAAGGAGGGCTGCGTGTTCTGGACCGTGAACAGAGGGAGATTTATAGCTTATCTGCCTTTTCTTTTTGTTTTCCCTCATTTCTGCCAACCTGACTCTCCCTAATTAAGACTCCACACTTCATTTACAAAAGCAGGCCATGGCCAGATTTGGCCCTTAGGTTGTAGTTTGCTGAACCCGGGTAGAGCTGTGCTTTTTCTTTGTGAAATTCATGTGTCCAGGTCCCACCTGAAATCTGAATCCTTGTATCCTGTGCACAACGTGAGACCTCCTCAGGTGGCTTTCACACACATTCCAGGTTGAGAATCTACTGTGCTTCCCTCCGGGGAGGAAGACAATGGGTGACAAGGGCCCAGAGCTGCATAAGTGGATCTAGAAAGAGAGGAAAGTTGAACAGAAGCCCCCATCAGGACTCTCCCTGCCTTGACAACACTTTACTTGAGTAATCCCTTTCCCCCTTTCATCACTGTGTCATTTTCTCACCTCTTCTTTTTTCTTTTTTTTTTTTTGAGATGGAGTCTCACTCTGTCACCCAGGCTGGAGTGCAGTGATGTGATCTTGGCTCACTGCAACCTCCACCTCCCAGGTTCAAGCGATCCTCCTGTCTCAGCCTCCTGAGCAGCTGGGACTACAGGCATCTGCCACCATCCCAGGCTAATTTTTGTATTTTTAGTAGAGATGGGGGTTCTTCATGTTGTCCAGGCTGGTCTTGAACTCCTGACCTCAAGTAATCTGCCCACCTCTGCCTCCCAAAGTGCTGGGATTATAGGCGTTAGCACCGAGTCTCCTCTTCTTGAAACAATGGGTTTCTATGTGGCTGGGGTTGGGGATGTTGGATACTGTGTGGAAATAGCACCTGTTCAAGTTGAACATGATGAAGGTTCATCTGGGGGAATGTGAGGGGCCCAGGAGTCTTGGGAGATCCCTGCAAAGACAAAAGGTAGTCCCCTCAGGAGTGAGAGAAAGTTGTGGTCAGAGGGGGAATTTCACAGTTTGGCTCTTGGTGGTGGAACCGTTGTTTCGAATGACACGGAGGACTGAGATGGTAATGGCTGTCACCTGTTTTTGAGCATGGTGTGTGTTTCAGGCACTTTTATGTACCACCCTCACCCGATGTTTTCAGTGTCTTAGGAAGTGGATCCTGTTGGCATTCCCATTTTGCAGAAGAGGAGATGGAGGGATCACAGAGTTAAGTAGCTTAGGGAAGACCACAGAGCTACTCAGAGATTAGAGCCAGGATTGGAATGCTGGTGGTCTAGCGCCCAAGCCCATGGGTGGCAGGCCAGTTCTCACTAACATAGGCCTCCATAACAGCTGTCTCAGCACTGAATGAGTGGTGAAGTTAAATATTAAAAGCTGAGAGAGCCAGTGCCCTTATACAAAGGCTGGAATGTGACAAAAGCCCACCTAGAGTTGTGCCCAGGTCTTTCCTGGTCCTTGAAGTATGACAAGATAACAAAGGACCCATTTAGGATGAAATAAGTTTATTGGGAGGTCCAAAGAAACTCCCCAGGCCTCCACAAACAAGTTTATTAGGGGTCTGAAGAGACTCCCCAAACCTCCATCATTTAGCAGGAGACAAGATAAGGGTAATCACCCCAGCACCTGGACCCATTTAGATTAAGTAAATTTACTGAGGCTCCAGAGGAAGGTCTTCAGGACTCAGATATTAGTTATAGATTAAAAGAAGTTAATCTTTATTTTATTTTATTCATTCATTCATTCATTCATTCATTCATTCATTCATTTTGAGATGGAGTCTCACTCTGTCGCCCAGGCTGGAGTCCAGTGGCACGATCTTGGCTCACTGCAAACTTTGCCTCCTGGGTTCAAGCAATTCCCCTGCCTCAGCCTCCCGAGTAGCTGGAATTATAGGCGTGCACCACCACACCCGCTAATTTTTGTATTTTTATTAGAGCCGGAGTTTTGCCATGTTGGCCAGGCTGGTCTCGAACTCCTGAGCTCAAGTGATCTGCCTGCCTCAGCTTCCCAAAGGGCTGGGGATTACAGGCGTGAGCCACCGCCCCCGGCCAATCACTTATTTTAGATGAATGCAAACTTATCCATGACATATAGCTCAGAAGGTATATAAGCTCTGGAAAACTTGGTAATTTTAAGTTGGCCTGGCGATATTTTCTAGGTCTTCTCCCTGTAACTGGCTACAGAAATAAAAACTTCCTCTCCCAGTTCATCTGCATCTCGTTTTTGGGCCACAAGAATATGCCGCCTGATTCTCAGTTGGTCCGGGAACACACGCAGCTGGTGCCATGCCCCTGTGCTGTTTGCCTCTCAAGGGGCAACCTCCCAGGTTGGTGCCTGGGAGGGCGGAGTTAGAGAGCAATGGCACTGGGAACTGGAGGTGATTGGTGGTGTGTGTGTGTGTGCTCCATGTTGCTGGGGAGCAGGAGGATGGAGGACCCGATGGCAGAGACGAGTGGACAGGACTTAAGCCATGACTCTCAAAACTCTGGAAAACTGGTCTGAGATCACACAGTATTAGCTAGAGGCACAGGCTGGGCAAACTCCAGATAGGGACTGAATGAGGACTTGGAGGATGCTGATGGAGCAACCTGCATAAAATAGGATTAAAGCAACATTTAAAAGGGCAACAGGCGTCCTCTTCTACTTGCTTTGGGCTTTGAACTCTGTTTGAGTAACACCACTTTCCATTGAGTTAATCAGGGCCCAGCTAAGTGGAAGCTATCAACAACTGGAAATTTTTCTGCATTTTATTTTAGGAGAGCCACAGCCAAAAAGAAAAAAGAAAGAAGCGGGTGGGCAAGGGATTTATTCGAATGCATTTACTTCCACATTTTACCATGGGTCAGCGCACACTTGGCTCACACTTTGACATTTTTTTGAGATCTGTATGTTTTGTTGTTTTGAGATGGAGTCTTGCTCCGTAGTGCAGTGGTGCAATCTCAGCTCACTGCAACCTCTGCCTCCCAGGTTCAAGCAATTCTCCTGCCTCAGCCTCCCAAGTAGCTGGGATTACAGGCGCCTGCCATCAGGCCTGGCTAATTTTTGTAGTTTTAGTAGAGATAGGGTTTCACCATGTTGGCCAGGCTGGTCTCGAACTCCTGACTTCAAGTGATCCAGCCGCCTCAGCCTCCCAAAGTGCTGGGATTATAGGCATGGGCCACCGCGCCCGACCCTCTATCTTTTTTTTTTTTTTTACATTTGTATTGTTCTACAAAGAGGACAGATGTTTCCAGTGATTCTAACTGACTCGATTACAAGGTTCAACATAACAAATATGTTTGCGGAGAATCTTAAATACTGGGTGCTTTTGGGGATATAAAAATGTGTTAAACATGGTCTGTGCCCTCAAAGAACTTTCAGTTATTGAAAGAGCATTTATTTATCTCCAGGGGCAAGGGACAAAATTTTATTCAGTTAGGAAATTCTCAATTAGGTTTACAGCAAAAAGAGACACCCAAGAGTCTTATCTTCTGGAACACTCCAGGAAGTTTTTAAGTTCTATGTGATCCTGTCTAATTCTTCGAGACAGCGATTTGCTCTGTTGCCCAAGCTGGAGTGCAGTGGCATCATCTCGACTCACTGCAACCTCCACCTCCCAGGTTCAAGCGATTCTCCTGCCTCAGCCTCCTGAGTAGCTGGGATTACAGGCACCTGCCACCACAACTGGCTAATTTTTGTATTTTTAGTAGAGACGGAGTTTTACCATGTTGGCCACGCTGGTCTTGAATTCCTGACTTCAACTGATCTGCCTGCCTCGGCCTCCCAAAGAGCTAGGATTACAGGTGTGAGCCACCACACCTGGTGATCCTGTCTAATTCTTCTTTTATTTTTATTTTTATTTTTTTTGAGACGGAGTCTCGCTCTGTCACCAGGCTGGAGTGCAGTAGTACGATCTCAACTCACTGCAACCTCCGCCTCCCAGATTCAAGCAATTCTCCTGCCTCAGCGTCCCGAGTAGCTGGGACTACAGGCGCCCACCACCACGCTCAGCTAATTTTTGTATTTTTAGTAGAGACGGGGTTTCACCATGTTGGCCAGGGATGGTCTCAGTCTCTTGACCTCGTGATCCACCTGCCTCAGCCTCCCAAAGTGCTGGGATTACAGGCGTGAGCCACCACGCCCGGCTTGATCCTGTCTAATTCTTAAAAGCCGGGTGCACTTCCTGGGTTGGTTTTCATTCAGGTCACCAGGAGAGCCAAGAGCCTGAGAGGCTCAGATGAGACCCATCCTGGTGAATAGTTGGTGCTTTGCTACGCAAAAAAGTCACTGTGAAGTCTGCTTCTGAATCTTAACATTCCCCTGGGAGTCGGAAGCCCCACAGTTGTAGAGGCACCTGTGGTTTGTTGACTCGGACTCCGTTTCTTCTTGGGGAGAATGAGCAGGCGCTTTCCCCTGCAGTTCTGTGTGGATCTCTGTGACCACCCCATTCGGCCCCGCATTTTCCAAAGCCCACAACATTTTGTAACCTAATCCAGAGGTTGCAAGCTCACTGCTCGCAGGCCAGTGAGAAACACAGACTGATATTTCAGTAAAAGAATTAGTGGCCATCATTTAAAATCAGATTTCCCATTGCAAGTCTGGATTTCTGACTTCTCATGAAAATCTTGGCTCTGGCAGTACTGGGTCTGGTTTGCACAGCTGCCTGGTGCTGGGAAGAGTCCCTTTCATCCCTCCCTTTTCCTCCCCTGCCCTGAGGTGCGGGTTTCATTCTCATCCATCACTGTGTCAGAGGCGTGTGAACCAGAGCAACTCCATCTTGAATAGGGGCTGGGTAAAACGAGGCTGAGACCTACTGGGCTGCATTCCTGGACGGTTAAGGCATTCTAAGTCACAGGATGAGATAGGAGGTCGCACAGGATACAGGTCATAAAGACCTTGCTGATAAAACAGGTTGCAGTAAAAAAGCCGGCTAAAACCCACCAAAACCAAGATGGCCATGAGAGTGACCTCTGGTCGTCCCCACTGCTACACTCCCACCAGCACCATGACAGTTCACAGATGTCATGGCAACGTCTGGAAGTTGCCCTATATGGTCGAAAAAGGGGAGGCATGAATAATCCACCCCTTCTTTAGCATATCATCAAGAAATAGCCATAAAAATGGGCAACCAGCAGCCCTTAGGACTGCTCTATCTATAGACTAGCCATTCTTTATTCCTTTACTTTCCAAATAAACTTGCTTTCACTTTACTCAATGGACTTGCCCTGAATTCTTTCTTGGGTGAGATCCAAGAACCCTCTCTTGGGGTCTGGATCTGAAACCCTTTCTGGTATAACAACTGGGCTCGTGCCATTGATTTCCTGATCATAGTTGAGTATCGTTCTCTACCTGTGTGCTCTATTTAAACTGGGAAACCACAGAAAGAAACAGAAACCCACAAGTGTCTTCAGTCTGGCCCACATCACCCACTGCCATCACCTGCTCTATACAATTTGGTAACCTTTCTTTTCTTGTTTTTATTTTTTTATTTTTTTATTTTTTGAGTTGGAGTCTGACTTTCTCACCCAGGCTGCAGTGCAGTGGCGTGATCTTGGCTCACTGCAACCTCCGCCTCCCAGGTTCTAGTGATTCTCCTGCCTCAGCCTTCCGAGTAGCTGGGGTTACAGGCAGCCGCCACCATGCCCAGCTAATTTTTGTATTTTGAGTAGAAATGGGGTTTCACCATGTTGGCCAGGCTGGTCTTGAACTCCTGACCTCAGGTGATCCGCCCGCCTCGGCCTCCCAATGTGCTGGCATTACAGGTGTGAGCCACCGTGCCTGGCCTATATCAGACTTACATTAAAAAATAATAATAATAAAAAAAATAAGGCCAGGCGTGGTTGCTTATGCCTGTAATCCCAGCACTTTGGGAAGCCAAAGTGGACAGATCACCTGAGGTCAGGAGTTCGAAACCAGCCTGGCCAACATGTTGAAATCCTGTTTCTACTCAAAGTACAAAAATTAGCTGGGCGTGGTGGCAGGCGCCTATAATCTCAGCTACTTGGGAGGCTGAGGCAGGAGAATTGCTTGAACCCGGGAGGTGGAGGTTGCTGTGAACCGAGATCACGCCACTGCACTCCAGCCTAGGGGACAGAGCAAGACTCCATCTCAAAAAAAAAAAAAAAAAAAAAAGAAAAGCAATTTACACAGGATGAGCATGTTCCCCTTGGCTCCCTCTCTTCTTTCTGGCCAGGTTTGTGTCTAAAGGCACAGTGAACAAGAACCACCTTCCCCTAGATTAAATGCCAGGATTCACGTGCCATTCACCACTGAGCAAGTATGATGAGTTAGACCTGCCATTCACAGGTCACATGTTTCCCTCTGTCCAGGAACACGCATTCCCCGATGACATGAGACACCTGCCCCGTGGGCTGCGTGTGAGCTTGGAGCTCAGTGACTGGTGGTGGAAAAACCCAACCTTTACCTTTAGGGAACTGGCCGTCATCTCTGCTAGGCGGGAAGGCAGTGACTGCTGTCACGTTTCACTTCAAAGATGACCGTGTTTCGAAGAGGGCAAGTGATATTTGGAGTCAAGTGGCGGGAAAGTACTGGATTCTTCGAAGGGGAGGAAAAAAAACAGTGTCAGCATGACTGTCTGGGGACTGCTGACCTAATGATGTGTCCCCAGGGCTACAGCCTGAGTTTCTGCGTCATATGCACCGGGGAGAACATTCCATTGAGCCACGCTAACACCCCCAGCAAAGTCTGAAGTGGTAAAGGGAGTTCAGTGACCATCCGCTTAGCTCTTGGAGTGAGGGCGCCTTCTGGGTCCTTTCCTAGACACCCCTTGGCCACCTTTTTCCACCTGTTTTTCCGAGTGAGTGCCATCGTCACCTACGTGAGCTGCGACTGGTTCAGCAAGAGCTTTGTGGGCTGTTTTGTCATGGTGCTGCTCCTCCTGTCCCTGGACTTCTGGTCTGTGAAGGTGAGGCCCTTTCGTGTGATGTCATCACTTCCGAAACACGAGGCTTGTCCCCTGTGTGCGTGGTACCAAGAGGTACTTTGGTTTAGACTCCTGAGACATGCTTAAGAGTGCTGAGCAGTGTCACTTAAAAGTAAGGGGAATGGAGAAACCCCGTCTCTACTAAAAATACAAAAATTAGCCTGGCGCGGTGGTGTGTGCCTGTAATCCCAGCTACTTGGGAGGCTGAGGCAGAAGAATCACTTGAACCCGGGAGGCGGAGGTTGCAGTGAGCCGAGGTTGTGCCATTGCACTCCAGCCTGGGTGACAAGAGTCAAACTCTGTCTCGGAAAAAAAAAAAAAAAAAAAGAGAGAGAATGAGAGCCAAGTGAGAGGGGTTTCCCTTATAAAAACCATCAGATCTCGTGGCACTTATTCACTACCATGAGAACAGTGTGGGGGAAACTGCCTGTATGATTCAATTATCTCCCACCCGGTCTCCCCCACAACACGTGGGAATTATGGAAGCGACAATTCAAGATGAGGTTTGGGTGGGGAGACAGCCAAACCATATCACTTGTATACGAATTAATACATATATTTAAAACATATATAATATGAACATATAAATTATATATGTTTTGTGGGGGGAGTGTGTAACTTTTTAAAGTAAGCTTAGTTGAAAACTAGAAGTCTTGACATCTGAGAATCCACTACAATTCAAGGCCTTTTTTCTTCCTGCTCCCAGTACAAGTCTGAAATGAATCAAGGAACTTTTGTTTATCAATACAGTGAATAAGCCTCTTTGCCTGTGACCTGCTCAGAGTCCTTTGTCTATTGTTCTCAGAATGTAACCGGAAGACTCCTGGTGGGCCTTCGATGGTGGAACCAGATAGATGAAGATGGGAAGAGCCACTGGATCTTTGAAGCCAGGAAGGTATTCTCCATGACGAGCTGAACTAACCAGAGCGGGGATAATGGGTGTGGAAAGTTTCTGTGGGTTCCTTTGGAGTTTTGTGCATATCTGATTCCTGCCTTACACAAAAGCCACCATTGCCAAGGTGCTCTGGTGAAACATGGGTGTGGCAAAAGTGTCTCCAAAATAGACCGGGCGTGGTGGCTCACGCCTGCAATCCCAGCACTTTGGGAGGCGGAGGTGGGTGGATCACTTGAGGTTAGGAGTTTGAGACTAGCCTGGGCAACATGGTGAAACCCTGTCTCTACTAAAAATACAAAAATTAGCTGGGCGTGGTGGCAGGCACCTGTATTCCCAGCTACTCGGGAGGCTGAGGCAGGAGAATCACTTGAACCCAGGAGGCGGAGGTTCCAGTGAGCCAAGATCACGCCACTGCACTCCAGCCTGGGTGACACAATGAGACTTTGTCTCAAAAACAAAACAAAACAAAACAACACCAACAACAAAAAATCCCACAGCAACAAAAGCATCTGCAAAATAAAATAAATGAAAATGTGAGCACGCTCGTTTGCAACCATTTCCACTTGTTTTGACATTTGAATTACTTTCCTTTAACAGGTCTCTCCGAATAGCATTGCTGCCACAGAAGCTGAAGCACGAATCTTCTGGCTGGGCCTCATAATCTGCCCCATGATATGGATTGTGTTTTTTTTTAGCACCTTATTTTCCTTGAAGCTAAAGTGGCTGGTAAGGCCAGATCTTGACTTCCACATTGCTTTGATGTCTCTGCAAAAAAAGTGTTTGCACCACTAGGCTTTTGTTGTTATTTGTTATTGATTGATTGATCAATTATAACAAGTTTATTGAGATATAATACACATTCCATACAATTTACCCATTTAAAGTATACAATTAGGGGCTTGGCATGGTGGCTTACGCCTATAATCCCAGGCCTTTGGGAGGCCAAGGTGGAAGGATTGCTTGAGCTCAGGAGTTCGAGACCAGCCTGGGCAACATAGCAAAACCCCATCTCTGCAAAAAATGCAAAAATTAGCCAGGCATGATGGTGTGCACGCTTGAGCCCGGGAAGCAAAGGTTGCAGTGAGCCAAGATTGTGCCACTGCACTCCAGCCTGGGTGCTAGAGTGAGACCTTGTCTCCAAAAAATAAAATAAATACTAAGTGTGGAATTCAGTGGCTTCTAGTGCAGTCACAGAGTTGTACAGCCAAAACCACCATCAATGTTAGGAAATTTTCATCACCGGAAGAAGCCTTGCGCCCTTTTGACATTGCTTCCCTGTGCTTCTGTTCCTCCAAGCCCTGGCACCTATTAATTTTTCTGTTTCTGTGGATTTGCCTATTCTGGGCATTTCATATAAATGGACTCACACAGGCTGGCACAGTACCTCACATCTGTAATCCCAGCACTTTGGGAGGCTGTGGCAGGTGAATCACCTGAGGTCAGGAGTTTGAGACCAGCCTGGCCAACATGGCAAAACCCTGTCTGTACTATAGATACCAAAATTAGCTGGGCGTAGTGGCACACGCCTGTAATCTCAGCTACTTGGGAGGCTGAGGCAGGAGAATCGCTTGAACCCAGGAGGCGGAGGTTGCAGTGAGCCAAGATCGTGCCACAGCACTTCAGCCTGGGTGACAGAGTGAGGCTCCGTCTTAAAAAAAATCAATAAATAGAGAAAACAAAATATTTGTAGATAGTAAAACAACAGTGTCATTTAATGAAAGTGCGGGCCCTGGAATTTGGATCCCGGCTCGACCACGCTCCAGCTCTGTGACCTTGGGCAGCTTTCGTCTTCCTGAGCCTCAGTTTCCTCTTTGTAAAATGGGATGATGATGGTGGCAACCTCTCCAGTTGTAATGATTCTGAGGTGTCCGTGGGTATTTGCAAATGCTCAGTAAATGTTGGCTGTTACTATTCTTAGGTGCAGGCTAGAGCATTTCTACGTGGCTTGAGAGGTGCATTTCTGTAAATGCTCTTAGAAAGTGACCTTTGCGTCAGATGGAGACCATCCTGGCTAACATGGTGAAACAGTGTCTCTACTAAAAATACAAAAAAATTAGCCAGGCCTGGTGGCGGACGCCTGTAGTCCCAGCTACTCGGGAGGCTGAGGCAGGAGAATGGTGTGAACCCGGGAGGCGGAACTTGCAGTGAGCTGAGATCGTGCCTCTGCACCCCAGCCTGGGCGACAGAGCGAAACTCTGTCTCAAAAAAAAGTGACCTTTGCTTTCTTTGTCTGAGTGCAGGCTCTGGTGGTTGCTGGGATCTCTCTCCAAGCTGCAAACCTGTATGGCTACATCCTTTGTAAGATGGGAGGCAACAGTGACATTGGCAAGGTCACAGCCAGTTTCCTGTCCCAGACAGTGTTCCAGACGGTGAGTAACTGAGGTCTGACTCTTGGACCACTCCTCTCCAGGTAGTCAAAGTCAAGGTGGCCTGCTGGCAACTGCGGTTTGTAATGTAACATATCCGCCAGGCTGCCAATGTTTTATTGTTTATATATTTTTTGGGAGACAGGATCTCGCTCTGTCACCCAGGCTAGAGTGCAATGGTGTGATCGCGGCCTATTGCAACCTCCATCTCTTGGGCTCAAGCGATCCTCCCACCTCAGCCTCTGGCACAGTTGGGACTACAGGTGTGTACCACCATGCCTGGCCTTTTTTTTTTGTAGAGACGAAGTTTTGCCATGTTGCCCAGGCTGCTCTAGAACTCCTGAGCTCAAGCAGCCCGCCTGCCTTGGCCTCCCAAAGTGCTGGGATTACAGCCATGAGTGAGCCACTGTGCCTGGCAGTTTTGTTTTTTAATTGTAAGATTTACATAAAATGTACCATTGTAACCATTTTAAAATGTATAGTTCTGTGGCATTAAGTATAACCACTTTATTGTGCAACCTTCACCCCACCCAGCTCCAGAACTGCTTTCATCTTGCAAAACTTAAGCTCAGTACCCACAAAACACTAACTCCCCCTCCTCCTCGCCTCCTAGCCCTAGCAACCAGCATTCTGCTTTCTGTATCTATTGGTTTGACAGCCCTAGGGACCTCCTATAAGTGCAATTATAGTTTTTGTCCTTTTGTGACTGCCATTGTTAGTTTTCAGTGATTTTTAAAAGTATAGAATTAAGGAAAGAGTCACAAACGGTTTTTCAATTTTTTTTTTTTTTTTTTTTTTTTTTTTGAGATGGGAGTCTCACTCTGCTCCCAGGCTGGAGTGCAATGGCATGTGTTGGCTCACTGCAACCTCCGGCTCCGGGTTCAAGTGATTCTCCTGCCTCAGCCTCCCAAGTAGCTGGGATTACAGGTGCATAACACCATGCCTGGCTAATTTTTGTATTTATAGTAGACGGGGTCTCTCCATGTTGACCAGGCTGGTCTCGAACTCCTTGCCTCAAGTGATCTACCAGCCTTGGCCTCCCAAAGTGCTAGGATTACAGGCGGGAGCTACCGTGCCCAGCTTGTTTTTGTTTTGTTTTTTTTTTTTAACTTAATAGATATTTCTAAAAGTGAGAGACAGAAGTCTTTGAAATTTGACCAGGTTCATCCTGAAATGGGTAGAACCGTCCTAAATTTGAACAGCACTGCTTTATGCCAAGACATCAAGCAACCAATTCCGCAGGTTTTCTGTACTTTGTGGGTTTTCTCTGGCCTTCCATCAGCAGGATCGCCCCACTCGCGTGTAAGGACAGAAAACCATGGTTGACTTTTCCCCTTGCAGGCCTGCCCAGGTGACTTTCAGAAGCCTGGCCTCGAGGGGCTGGAGATTCACCAGCATTAGGTGAGAAATGGATCATGGCACCCGTGTGGAGGAACTGGGGAATTCTGAAAAATGCAGCTCTTGGGGCACAGGGGCCCGGGGTCTGGGTGGGCTTCCCCTGTTCCCTGGGGTGGCCAGGCATGTGACCAGGCAGGAAGCAGACTGGGCAATGGGCCTGCCCTGGGCTTTGCAGCCTCATTGCTCTTGGCGTGAGGAGCTGGGGGTCGGGGGGCGAGGTCACACCTTCCTCACACTGAACATGTGCAAATCTGATCATATGTATGGTCCTAGGGAAGGGCGGGGAGGGAAGAGACAAGGGAGGGAAAGAACAAGGGGATTTGTTCTTGTTTCCCACCCACCCACTTTTATGCCCCAGAGTGGAGGGAAAACAGGAATTTACTCTTCTCCCACGTGGTCTCAGATCCTGTGTGTCTCAAACAGAGCAAGCACCTCATGGCAAAGAGGATGATCGTAGAGTTTACATCTGTCCCTCTTTTTTATATAATTAAAAAACCTGAAAGTTGGTTTGCATGACACTGGACATTACTGGATATACTGTGCACATATTACTACACAGGGAATTTACACAGACCCCACATTCTGTCTTACTGGGTGATTCAAGGACTCTTCAAGGGCTTTTTGATTTGACCCAGCTGTGTCATATGCAGTGATTTTAGAACGAAGCCCAGCCTGAGCTCTGTTGCTTTTAGATTTTTCCTCAATCTGAAGAAAAGCGTTTGGACTGTGGTGTTTGAAAACAAGCCTGTGTGTTCTGCAGTGAAGCCGCACACTCACCCCTTTGGTTCTTTTCTAGGCTTTCTTATCTTCACAGGCAGAAATGGCTTAAACGGGAGTTTCTACAATCGACTAAGCTTCCGACACAGCAGAATCCCACGATCCCACAACCCATTTGTTTTTTACGTGAAACAGGCCTCGGGGGAGAGATTTGAGGGGGTTTTATTCTTAAAACGGCACATTTGTAGAGAATGCCCTTTATATATGTTCTAAAGAAAAGTGTACAAATACTCAATGATTAAAGTGTCTCTGAGAAAGTGGCTTCGGACCACACCAGCATCTGGTCCTTTTGCTGTGACCCACCCCATCCCGGAGCTGGTCGGGTCTGGCTGGATGTGCTGCCCAGTGAGTGCCTCGCTCGGTAACTGCTTGGTCCTGAACATTCTCTCGTTTCAGGAACTGATGAGGTTCTCTTCTTTTGACTGATGGAGATTACAAAACTCTTGGATTCCTGGAAAACAAGACGACAGGCATAGAGTGCTAATGGCTTGTCTACCCCTTGACAGCCCTGTCCTGTGCTGGGGAGGGCTGTGTTTTGACAGGGGTGGAATCCTCTGGCTAGTTCCATAAAAAGACCTGTGTCTGTGATGCCCTGAGTCTTTGAAAGTGACCGGAATACCTCACACTACCCATCTTGCTCATAACCAGTGGCTGCGGCCTTCCTCGGACCATCTATAGATGGAGGATTCTGGGAATGCTGTTTCCTTACCCTTGACATCATTCTTCTAGGCAAGTAAAACCCAGCCACAAACTCAGAGACCACAGCTTTAACAAACACTGACACCTCTGCCCTAACTCTGGGGCCTCTGATGGCTGCCACTGGCTGAATGTGGCCTGCACGTGGGTTTGGTCTGGCTCAACAAAGTTTTTATTTTTATTTTTTATTTTTTTGAGACACGGTCTCACGCTGTTGCCCAGGCTGGAGTGCAGTGGCGCGATCTCGCCTTACTGCAGCCTCCGCCTCCCAGGTTCAAGCGATTCTCCTGCCTCAGCCTCCTGAGTAGCTGGGACTACAGGCATGCGCCACCACACCCGGCTAATTTTCATATTTTTAGTAGAGACAGTGTTTCTCCATGTTAGCCAGGCTGGTCTTGAACTCCTGACCAGCCTCAAGTGATCTGCCTGCCTCCTTCACCCAAAGTGCTGGGATTCCAGGTGTGAGCCACTGCACCTGGCCTTTTTTTTTTTTATCAGTTACTTTTAAAAATGAATTACTTTATCCCTTTATTGGGATGTATTTCCTAAGCCATAAATTTCACCCTCACCATGTTTTTTAAACTATGAATTAATTCACAATACTCACACATTGAGAGATTTCTCATGGACTCCTGGCTTCCTCGGCTATGGGGGCCACTCTGTGGTCATCACAGACCCCACCACCCACCTGTCCTTCCACACCCCTGGCTCCTTTATGTTGCTTCCTGCCCCACAGGCATCTGCATTTAGTACTCATGGAAATACTTACTCTGAATTATACTTCTGTAGGCTAACGTGGCTGGGGAATCTGGGGCGTCAATGAAAAAAGACTGGCCTTTGTCACAATTCTTACCTTAAAAAAGAAACAAACGGAAGACAATTCAGTCCAAGAGGAAAACAGAATGGCCACAAGATCTTGGGGCTCTTTCCGTGCTGGTGACAATGGGAAGATCTTGAGCCCGCTTCACTCGTAATGAAGAACAAAGTAGAAAAGACCAGTGGGGTCTCAGGGACCTTCCTTCCAGCAGGGTCCCCAGCCAGCATTTCAGCGTGGCTAAATAATCAGGTGGTGTACAGAAAATGCAGGTTCCAGGGCCCTACAGAGAACTGATTCAGCAGCTTCCACATGGGCCCAGGAGTCTGCATTTTAAGAGATTAGCTTTTGAGTGAAAGGATCATGAATGCACATGGTTAAAAAAAGTACAGAATGCAAAAGGATATGGCATAAAAGGCCAAGTCCGAAAAGGGCTACTAGTGTTCTAGGTGTCTTTCCAGAAAGATTATGCGCATATAAATGTGCACACTTGCATGTGTGCGCACACACATACACACACTCTCATATACCTAAAATACGAATGGGAGCACATGACACACACATTCTGCCTGCTGCTTTGTCTGTGTATAATTTTATCTTCCAGGTCATCTGTGCTGGTGTCTATCAGTCTGCTAGTCTTTCCCCGCCATGTGGCCATTGTTCCAGTCCCCTCCTATGCACACCCAGGTTTCTCTAGGACCATGTTATCCCAGAGCCAGGTGGACAGGACACAAGGGGCTAGGGGTCAATGGGGGTGTTCTCGCCTCCAGTCTGCCCTGCCAGCCCCCAGTCGTGGGTGGACCTGCCATCAGCTTGCTCTGCCCACTCCCCAGGCCTGAGCTGCTGGCGAAACAGGCAAGTGACTGCACTGCCCATGGCCGGTCACCAGCCTCAGGTGAACCCCAGGAGGGGTTCCTACCTAGCACTCATCATTTCCTCAACTTCACTACTGTGTCGCCCTGTGGGACAGGGAAGTCCAAGTCGGGGAAGAAGCCTGTGGGGAGGGGTTGGTGGGAGATGGGGAGCCCATATGGCCCAGTGAGTCAGGAAAATAGGGTCCAGAGGCAGGGAACATAAGGCCAATTCGCACTTGAGCCATAACAGGAAATGTCCTCTCCATAGGACGTATGCCGTAAATGACTTTGTAACTTTACTTCATCCTTTTCGTTTATATAGGGCGTACCTCAAGTAGAGGGTATTTAAACACAAAAACTCTGTAATGGGGCCTTTGAGCCCCTATTCTCAGGCCCGTTCTCCTCCCACACCGTGGAGTTGACTTTCATTTTCAATAAATCCCTTCCTTCCTTCCTTTCTTTGTGCGTTTTGTCCAATTTTTTGTTCCAGACACCAAGAACCTGGACATCCTCCGCCGTTAACGCTGGGCCCATGAGACCATGTGGAACTCGCTAGGGAGGCCCCTGAGTGCACGTTCGCTGGGCCAGACCTGGGAGGTTGGGGATCCCAGAATAGTCATGCTGGGGCTACTTTCTGTCCCTGACTTTCACCCAGGTCTCCCTTCCCCAGAGGGCTCCCCAGCCCCCAACACACATATATGCTCTAGTGTTTTCCCTTCCTAACTGCATTTCCCCCTGGGCTCCCACCTCTCCAAGAACGGGCAGCATTATCAGAACAGCTGGTGTGAGCACAGCCCTGTTCCAAGAGATCCCAGGCATCCTCTCACCCCACCCTGGCAGATCCCTCTCACTAGGCACCACTGTCACCTGCATTTTACACACGGGGCCATCGAGGCTGAGAGCGGAAATGACTAGCCCAAGTCCCACAGCTAGTGGTGGCGGAGCAGGGCTCTGAGGCCAGCCCTTCCTGTGATCCTCAGCACACCGGGACCAGGACCCATAGCACCAGAGCGCTGGCATCTGTAACTCTTTGCCACCATGTCCCCAGAGGAGACTGAAGTGCTGTCCTCATGCCTTCCTGTCTGTTCCTAGGAAGGTGGGTTTTCCCCCACTCTGTCCCCAGTGACCTTGCCAGATGCGTGTCTGTCACTTGGCCCTCATGCTCCACCCTCTTGGGTGGGTGACAGTGTTAACCACCCCTTCCTTTCTGGCACTCCCTGGCCTTGCTATCTGTGGCTTCCCCTCAAGGTGAGCTTCTGCAATGTGCCATTTGACACACAGGACCATGCCCACTAGAAGGCACTTAATGTTCTCAGCTCAGAATGAGCCTCGCAGCTGTCACTGGTGGCTCCTCTGCTTTGAAATTAGCTCTTGTGAACCACCTGGAACTTTGTTTCTTTGTGAAAAGTGGCCCTGAAAGGAAAGACCAGGGCCAATGCCAGGGCTTGGTGTGAGGGAGGTGGGAAGATGGAGGTTGCTGGCTCTTTGGAAGAAAAGCCGTATCAGGATCTAATAGCCCCAAGGTCACTTCCTGATCTGTCAGACAATGGCAAGGGCAGGCCTGTGGCTGGGCCCGTGGACATATTTGGGTGGGTCAGCAAGCATGCCATTTTTAAATTTTTTTTTGAGACAGGTTCTTGCTCTGTCGCCCAGGCTGGAGTGCAGTGGTGTGATCATGGCTCACTGCAACCTCAACCTCCCTGGGCTCAAGTGATCCTGCTAACTCAGCCTCCTGAGTAGCTGGGACCACAGGCACATGCCACCACACTGGGTGAATTTTTTCCTTTTTTTTTTTTTTTTTTTTTTAAGAGATGAGGTATCTTCCTGTGTTACCCAGGCTAGAGCATGGTTGTGTGTGTGTGTGTGTGTGTATTTAATGGAGTTAGTTGCTATCATTTAGTATCAGGAGACTTTGGGTAAGGATATAGATTTCTAGCTCTTCATTAAACCTTGGAAAATGTGGCAATTGTGATGGCCATAAGGACACACCTCTTGGATCTCTGGCAGCAGCTGCCATGCTCCAAAATCCACCACCACGTTTGTGTTGAGGCAATGCCACTCCCAGGCTGCTCCTAGCTAGTGACTGAGACGAGCATGGCACTCGGGCAGGCACGCTTCTGGGAGATGCAGCCCCTCTGATGGGTAAGTGGGCTCAGGAATGCCCTGGTGGCTGTGCCCAGCTTTCCTCGACAGCAGCCAAGACACTCCAGCAGACAGATGCTCCAACAGACTGACATACTCCAGCAGACTGAGATGCTCCAACAGACTGACATACTCCAGCAGACAGATGCTCCAACAGACTGACATACTCCAGCAGACTGAGATGCTCCAACAGACTGACATACTCCAGCAGACTGAGATGCTCCAACAGACTGACATACTCCAGCAGACTGAGATGCTCCAACAGACTGACATACTCCAGCAGACTGAGATGCTCCAATAGACCTACTCCAGCAGACTGAGATGCTCCAATAGACTGACATACTCCAGCAGACTGAGATGCTCCAATAGACTGACATACTCCAGCAGACTGAGATGCTCCAATAGACTGACATACTCCAGCAGACTGAGATGCTCCAATAGACAAATACTCCAGCAGAATGAGATGCTCCAATAGACAAATACTCCAGCAGACTGAGATGCTCCAATAGACTGACATACTCCAGCAGACTGAGATGCTCCAACACACTGGCATACTCCAGCAGACTGAGATTCTCCAATAGACAAATACTCCAGCAGACTGAGATGCTCCAACAGACTGGCATACTCCAGCAGACTGAGATGCTCCAATAGACTGCCACACTCCAGCAGACTGAGATGCTCCAATAGACAAATACTCCAGCAGACTGAGATGCCAAAAAGCAAAGTACACTGAGGTGCTCCAGCAGGCTAAGATGCTCCCATGGGCTGAGATGCTCCAGTGGGCTGAGACGCTCCTTCGGGCTGGGATGCTCCCGTGGGCTGAGATACTCCTGTGGGCTGAGATGCTCCTTTGAGTTGGGATGCTCCCGTGGGCTGAGATACTCCTGTGGGCTGAGATACTCCCTTGGGCTGGGATGCTCCAGTGGGCTGAGATGCTCCTTTGGGCTGGGATGCTCCCATGGGCTGAGGTACTCCTGTGGGCTGAGATGCTCCTTTGAGTTGGGATGCTCCCGTGGCCTGAGATACTCCTGTGGGCTGAGATACTCCCTTGGGCTGGGATGCTCCCATGGGCTGAGATGCTCTTGAGGGCTGGGATGCTCCCTTGGGCTGAGATGCTTCCAGGGGCTGAGATACTCCTATGGGCCGTGATGCTCTTTCGGGCTGATATGTTCCTTCCCCCACTCCTTCATCGTGGGCTAACGCTCTCCCTTGTCATTTTCTCCCACAGATGTTTCCCCTGACAAACGTCCTGCCCACCAATCCCATCTCGGCAGAGCTGAACTGTGGCAGAGGTGCAGGCTGGCAGGAATGGATGTGCCCTGGGCTGCTGCAAGCTCCTGTCCCCAATCACATCCATTCATGCAGCCCAACTGCCTCCAGGGGCCTCAGAGGGCAGCTCTCATCACCACTTCCGGCCACTGCAAAAGCTGCCTGGTGAGTGTTTTATGATGCTGGGGAAGGTTGAGAAAGCAGCTGTACTTTTCTGCATGTTGTTGGGGAAATCACATGCCAGAGAAGTATTGTGGGATGTGGGAATAAGGGAAAAAGGATTTGGGGACACAGCCTCCTGGGCACATGGGGTCTCTGGCGTTCTCCCGGGCTGTTCCCATCTTCAGAGTGGCCCTCGCACCCTACCCCCCTACCACTTCCTCGAGGCAGCCATCCCCCAACACTGTCCTCCTGGCTCCCGCTTTCTGCACGGCCCCTTGGCAATCCTGTCCATGTCCTGTGGCTTCAAAACTCAACTGCACGGACATGAACCACCTTCTCCTGACGGACCCCAGAACCTGCTGACAACCTGAGCCCCCGAGCCCCTTAGCCGCAGCACCCCAGAGGGCCCGGCCTCCCTCTACCACCCCTGCTTCACTGTCTCTGAGGGACGGACCCTCCTCCAGGTGACTTGTACTGGCAGCAGGGACAACCTTGACCCTCAGATGCCGTCACTTTCTCTCTTGTGTGTGTCCCTTCCTTTCTACACCAACGCCAGAACCCAGGGCCTCATCCTGAACCCCTATCCCAGGGCAGCCACTCCTGAGCCTCCTGTTCCCAGGCACATGACACTGACAGTCGTTTCCCACAGGCTCCCATTCTCCCCATGCAGCCCTTCCCCAAGGCTCCCCACGTGGCCTCCGCCCTCCCCGCCTCCAGGCTCTCCACGGGCCCCGCCCTCTCCCCAAGCACGCGGCCCCCACCCTCTCCTGGCCAGGCCATACTTCACCCGCCCGGCCCCTCTCTCCTGTCCCGGCACAGACACCTCACACTGGCCTTGGTTCCCTGACAAATGGAGTGGAAGTTCCGAGGCATGGGTGCAGCCGGCACTCCTGGATCCCGGCCTCCCCTCCAGCCTTCTCTCTCTGTTCTCCCCTCAGACCTAAAGGCGAGTGCTGGACGCCCCGCAGGAGCCCCACTAAAGGGCCCCAGTAACGGAGGCCCGCCCGGCTCCGCGGTCCTGGGGGACAGCAGCCTCCTGGGGGAGCAGCTTCGAGTGTAGGCCCTGCCCAGCGCCCCGCGGCGAGTGGGCGCCCGGCGGGCGTGTGGGTGGAGACGTGAAACCCCGTCCCTCCTTCAGCCTCAGGGCCACTCAGGGAGTGGGCATCTCTTGGGATCCTGGGAGACCCACGTACTTAAGAAGAGCATTTTTTGGGAACTTGGCCCCTGCTCGCAGGCCAGTGATCCGCGTTCCGGTCTGTCCCGGTGCTGGAGACAAAGGGGCCTCATCTGTGCCGTGCTGGCTTCTCCGGGCACAGGAGGCCCGGCCCCTTCCTAAGGGATTTTCACCTCAGGCCGCCTTCCTCTGTAACCTGGACGCCATGTGCATCCCCTGGAGCCGCCCCTCTATCGGGTGCCCTCCTCAGTCCCCTGCCACCACCACCCTCACCAACCTCTACCCCATTCTTCCAGGCCTCACCCCTCTGCCTGAGGCCTGCTTGCTCCCGCTACCTGCCCGCAGGGGTCTCGGCCTCTCTCCCGGTGGCCTCTTGGGGTGCCAGCTGGAGGGTGGGTCTGGCTCCAGCGCCCCATTGACCCTCCTCCTTCCATTGCCCCTCTCTGTAGCCGCCCCCTGTTGTGCCCGACCCGTGCCTGTGGGGCTGACCGAGGAGTGAGGTGCCGCCCCACACTGGGGTCACCCACCTATGAGCGGATCCAGGGGCACTCTGCCGAGGAGAGGGACCTCCAAGTCCTGGCACATGAGCTCCGCGCCCCCGGTTGTGGGAGGGAATATCTGAGATTCTTTCTGCAAGGCAAATTCAAAGGGGAGGAAACATAATTTTTTTGCAGAATCACAAGGATGGACCACATTTTAAAGAAACTTAAAAAAAAAAAAAAGGCTTAGTTTGAATGTGGAACCCTTAACACCTAAAGAACTTTCCTTTAGTCAGCAGAAAGGGATTTTAATTGTGATTCCACTTCCCAAAATGACAGGGAAAGCAGAAATAGTTTGCAGAGCAGCCTTCCGATCGTTTCCTCATCCATGAGAGCAAGATCTTGCTCGCCTGGCAGCCCCACGCGCCCTCACCTTGCACTTAGGACAGATGAAGCCACTCATGTTCTCCACCACCCCGATGATGGGCAGCTTCACCTTGCGGCAGAAGTTGATTTCTTTCCGGACATCCTGGAGTGACACCTCCTACGAAGGTGAAAAGACCAGTGATTCCAGCATCAAAGTGCGAGAAAGGGAATGTCTGTGCAACCGAGGGGATGGCTGCAATGCAGTGGATCTGCGATCATAAAGCCTTAGAGGTTTCTGCCCTGATAGGGTTTGGCTCTGTGTCCCCATCCAAATCTCAGCTCGAACTGTAATCCCCATCATCCCTACATCCCTACAGGAACAGGCAGTTCCTGGTGGGAGGTGATTGGATCATGGGGGCAGTTTCCCCCATGCTGGTCTCGATAGTGAGTTTTCACGAGATCTGATGGTTTTGTAAGTGTTTGACAGTTCCTCCTAC
This sequence comes from Homo sapiens, assembly GCF_000001405.40. Lineage (NCBI taxonomy): Eukaryota > Metazoa > Chordata > Mammalia > Primates > Hominidae > Homo > Homo sapiens. The sequence continues at coordinate 10,761,044 of NC_000016.10, read as the reverse complement.
ACACTCTCTCTCTCACTGCTGCCACTGTGTAACATGTGCCTGCTTTGCCTTCCACCATGATTGTTAAGTTTCCTGGGGCCTTCCCAGCCATGCAGAACTGTGAATCAATGAAACCTCTTTCCCTTATAGGTTACCCAGTCTCAGGCAGTTCTTTACAGCAGTGTGAAAATGAACTAATGTATGCCCTCTGCCAAATCCATATTTATTTAGTACCTACTAGTGCTAAGCCCTGTTTGTTCGAGGTGCTATTTACTTCCCACACAGCCAAATAGCAAGAAATCAACCTAAAAGAAAATGACTTTTTTTTTTAGAGACAGGATCTCACTGCTGCCCAGTCTGGAGTGCAGTGGCATAATCATTGCTCACTGCAGCCTTGACCTCCTGGGCTCAGGCAATCCTCCTGCCTCAGCCTCCAGAGTAGCTGGGACTACAGGCATGTGCTACTCTGCCTGGCTAACTTTTTAATTTTTTATAGAGATGGTTGTTGCCCAGACTGGTCTTAAGCTTCTGGTGTGAAGTGATCCTCCTGCCTCGGCCTCCCAGAGTGTTAGGGTTAGAGGCGTGAGCCACTGTGCCTATCTGAAAATGACCTTTTAACGCATCTACATGCTCCATGTCCCTATACTATACTATATTAAGCCAGTGTGTGCACTGTTTTCTAGACCAGAGCTTGGCAAACCCCAGCCTGGGGGCTGAATCTGGCTGGTTTTATAAATAAAGTTCCTCCGGAACCAGCCATGCCCGTCCCTCTAGGCACCGTCTGTGGCTGCTTCATGCCACAGTGGCACGGCTAAGGGGCTGGGACAGGGACCGTGGGGTCCGCAACGCCTACTTCCTATCTGGCCCTTTACAGAAAAGTTTGCCAATCCCTGCTCTAGATAATTATAAACACAAACAACTGACTAAAAGGAAATAAGGAATACTGCCCAATGTGGACAACTTTGCATTTCCTTCTCAACTCTGAGTTTTTCCAATGTGATTACTGTGTATAAACACCGCTCAGTAGCTCCCTATTTTCCTCAGTTAATGTTATCACAGATCCCTGTACCCAAGTCCTGCTGTGGCTTGTCACTGTCAGGTGTAGTGACTCCTTAGCACCTGGAGCTTCACCACTCACGTGAGCCCGAAAGGCTCGCAGCTTTGGGCCTGTTCTTTTCCTGAGATGCCTGTTTGGCTCTTGACACTGAGGCTGGGATGCGGAGGAAGGGGCGCTCAGCTAGAAAGTCAATGGGCTGCGACTCAGTCTCTCATTTCTTTCTTTCTTTTTTTGAGACAGAGTCTTGCTCTGTCGCCCAGGCTGGAGTGCAGTGGCGCGATCTCGGCTCACTGCAACCTCTGTCTCCTGGATTCAAGCACTTCTCCCACCTCAGCCTCCCAAGTAGCTGGGATTACAGGTGCCCACCACCACGCCTGGCTAATTTTTGTATTTTTTTGGTAGAGACAGGGTTTTGCCATATTGGCCAGTCTGGTCTCGAACTCCTGACCTCAAGTAATCTGCCTGCCTCGGCCTCCCAAAGTGCTGGGATTACAGACATGAGCCAGTGTGCCCAGCACCAACCACTTTTTAAAAATGGGACAGAAAACATTCCTAAGGACAAATACACTTTCTCTCCACTGCCATCACCCGGGCCAGGCCATCCTCCCTCCTGTCCAGGGTCCCAGCTGGTGTCCTGCTCCTCCTTGCGTCCCCATGTCCCCTCTCTGCAGGATGCCAGGGTGGACATGAATCTTGCACCATTTTCTGACCCGGACACCCTTCCCATGGCCGCTGGGCCTGCCACTCCATTGGCTGTACCCTCATCCCTGTGTCCAGCACCTGTGTTCCTCAGGGAGCCACAGGGGCCACCAGGGAGAGCCAGGCCTTTTTACTGCCCTGGTGCCCGGCATGTCAGAGTCAGAGCTCAGTGAGTGCTGGATGAGGTGAGACTATGGGTCGTCCTGACTGATTCTGGCCAGTGAGATCAAATCAAACCTCCTTTGCTGGGCTTTCTTAAGTGTGGAGGAGAACGTCATGAAGAGAAGTCAGGCGTAACTGTGGAGATGGAGAAGAGCCCTCAGTTTCTCAGGCCCCTGAGATGGATAGCACCATGGTCCTGCCTGCAGTTGCTCTCTGCAGGACTTACAGAGAGGAAACTTCCTATCGCTCTCCTCTCAGCTCGGGCTCACCATGGGCCTTGGAGTACAGCCACTAGGTGACTGCTACAGAGGGTTGCTGGGTGTCACTACGGAAGAAGCGAAGGCACCCAGTGGCTTATCCCGAAATCCCTATCTGCACCCAGCTGGTTCTGTTGAAAACTGGAGAGATTTCCTAAATCATCCTGGGATGTAAACGGAAAATCCACTGTAGGCTGGGGGACCTGACACATGGACACGGCAAGGCTGACGGGGCCAGGCAGCACAGTATGAATTATAACTGCACTGGTGGTTTCCCTAGTTTCCTCAAGGAAAGTTCAAAAAGCATTCTTGACCCACTATTGTTTAATCCATGGACTAAAAAAAAACCAAATCGTTGAATGGTTGTCAGCTGCAAATGTCTAGACCAAAGATGAAGTTTTTCTTATTTTTATCTTTTGGGACAAGGCCTCACTCGCTTGCGCTGGCTGGACTGCACTGGCGTGATCATGGCTCACTGCAACCTCCTTTCCCCAGGCTCAAATGATCCTCCTACCTCAGCCTCCCAAGTAGCTGGAACTACAGGCGCGAGCCACCATGCCTGGCTAATTTTAAAATATTTTTTGTAGAGATGGGGTTTTGCTATGTTTTTCAGGCTGGTCCCGAACTCGTGGGCTCAAGTGATCCTCCCATCTCAGCCTCCCAAAGTCCTGGGATTACAGGTGTGAATCACTGTGCTGGCTGAAGTTTTTAACACGAGGTTTCTGCAGACCCACATCAGATGCAGCTGCGGAACACACACTGGGAAGAGCCTTGGTGAGACCAGAGTATCAGAGCCAGGTAGGAAAGAAATCTCACAGTGTGGAGCACAGTTTGGACCCAGCTCCAGCTGGCAGCTCGCTCACCTGGGGAGTGGTGATGATCACTGCTCCATCGATGTGTGCTGTGGCCAGGTACCGGACGACCGAGAGGTGTTCATCCGACGTCCCAGGTGGGGTGTCCACAATGAGGTAGTCGACCTCTCCCCAGTCCACATCTCGGAGGAACTGCTTGATCATGCCTAGAAAGAGGAATCCACAGGGGATGCTTACTTTTCCTTTCTTTTCTGTACTTTCAACTCCCTCTTTTTTTTTTAAAGGATGGGGTCTTGCTATGTTGCCCAGGTTGGCTCTTAACTCTGAGGCTCAAGCAATCCTCCCACCTCAGCCTCCCAAGTAACTAGGACTATAAGTGCGTGCCACTGTGCCCAGCTCACGGAGAAGCATGATCTGATCTTTTTGTGCCTTTGGTCTATGCTGTAAGTCAGTGGCTCTCAACTGGGAGTGAATTGCAATGTCTGGAGACATTTTGGGTTGTCACAAATAGAGTAGGGGGTGCTACTGGCATCTTGTGGGTAAAGGCCAGGGACACTGTTTAACACCCTATGGTGTAGAACACGGTCTACTCCTCCCCCCAACAAAGACTTATCTGGCTCAAAATATCAATAGTGCTGAGGCTAAAGCTTGCCCTGATAACACTTTCACATTATTACCTTAAGTCTCAGTACCAGATCAACCTCCTGTTGATCTCACCTCTCTGACCCAAATAAGCCACTATAAAACCATGATAAAAATAATTTCAGGGTTCTATAGCTTTTTTTTTGAGAAAAAGTCTCGCTCTGTCACACAGGCTGGAGTGCAGTGGCATGATCTTGGCTCACTGCAACCTCCGCCTCCTGGGTTCTCCTGCCTCAGCCTCTCGAGTAGCTGGGATTACAGGTACGTGCCACCATGCTCGGCTAATTTTTTATGTTTTTGGTAGAGACAGGGTTTCACCATGTCGGCGAGGCTGGTCTTGAACTCCTGACCTCAGGTGATCCACCTGCCTCGGCCTCCCAAAGTGCTGGGATTACAGGCGTGAGCTACCACACCCGACCAGGGTTCTACAGCTTTTAAGGAGAGAAAAACTCACAGCAGATATTTATAATTACGTAATGGAAACTGGTATTTCTATTAGCTCTTTTCAACCAGTGAAGAAAGAGGCACTGGATGGTTAAAAATAATATACTGTGAAGTCCAGCAGGCTGAGACTGGCAGGACAGGGAGCAGATAAAGCCAAGAGCCACAACGCTCGTGGAAGAATGTGAGAGACAAAAAAAGGCAGAGTGGCAAACCGTTTTTCTTGGGTCCCCTCCAGATAACAGCATCATCAGGACTGCTGAGCAGGAAGCCCACTGACATCACCCCCAGGTTGTCTTCCACGTACTGCAGAGGGAACAGGGTGAGGGCAAGACACGCTTTACTCAAAACCACACAGTGAGGCCCTCCCCCAGGTCTTCTGTTTGAGCTCTGACTGAAAAAAACATTTTCAGGACAAAACTACCATGTGACCTATGAGCATATTCACTCTTTGCTCCTAAATCATTTTTGGAAAAAAAAAAAAGGGTACCATGTTGGGGGATTTGAAAGAGGCACTGTATGTCCATGGGCTGCAGTGACGGCAATGACAGGGAACTCAGCTAAAATAAGTAAATGTCATCTCCTTAACTCTTTTATTTTTTTATTTTTCATTTTTTTGAGATGAAGTCTGGCTCTGTTGCCCAGGCTGGAGTGCATGGTGCAATCTCAGCTTGCTGCAGCCTCTGCCTCCCGGGTTCAAGCAATTCTCCTGCCTCAGCCTCCCGAGTAGCCAGTGTTACAGGCGCGTGCCACCATGCTCGGCTAATTTTTGTATCTTTAGTAGAGATGGGATTTCGCCATGTTGGCCAGGCTGGTCTCGAACTCCTGGCCTCAAGTGATCTGCCTGGCTTGGCCTCCTAAAGTGCTGGGATCACAGGTGTGAGCCACTGCACCCTGCCTCCTTAACTCTCTTAACCAGAGATTTACAAACTATGGACTTCAGGGCCAAATCTGGCCCACCATCTGTGTTTGTAAATAAACTTTTATTGGAATACTGTCCTGGTTGTTCAGTTACATATTACTACTTTTGTGCTACAACAGCAAGGAATGTAGGCCCACATGCTGAAAATCTTTACCGTCCCACACTTTACAGAAAAAGCCTGCCAATCACTGGTTTTAATCACATCCTCTGTGCCTCGAAAAGTACCCTAATAAATACCTATGGACCAACAAACCACAAACCCATTATGTACACACAACCACACACTACTGTGAAAATAGGGCAAAGAGGTGAAAACTCACCACTGGAGACCAGCCTGAGCCACTCTGGTGAACCTGTGTGAACATGAGCACCGATGTTCATTAGTAGAAATCATGTACCCTGGTCACATTTCATGCACAGACAAATTGTACAAAGTAAGACGATGGTTTTTTAAAATATAATTCATTGTCTTACATGGTACCACGAAATTCCTAAAAGGAGGTGAACAGCTAGGGCGTGGGTAATAAAGATGCAACTCAACTCCCTTTGTGCCCTAAGCTGGGTTATTTGGAAACTCTACTTGGATGTCTAGATAGGGAACCAAAGTTACTCAAGTTCAAATATGATGTTGTGTCTAAGGTATCTTAAAAGAGTCATAAAAATCGGCTGGGGACTGATGAGAAAATGCAGATACCTGTGGAGCAATGAGGTGGCTTTTGTAAAAGCACAGGAGTGAAGGGAATGAGCTCTCACGAAACAGCTGATTCAGAACCTGTCCCCAATCAGCTCCAGCCACAAAGGGGAGCTTCCTGGGGCAACAAGATTCAGACCTCTTCCCCCCAGCAGGTGTCCAGCAGCACACAAAGCGCACACTGAAAGTTTAATTTTCTTGATGAAGCCTTACTTTTCTCAACAGATTTACTGAGACATGATTCATAGACAATATGACTCACCCATTGAATGAGTGGCTTTCTGTACAGTCACAAGCATGCAGCCATCACCACAGTTTTATTTTTTATTTTTATTTTTGAGATGGGGTCTTGCCCTGTCGACCAGGCTGGAGTGCAGTGGCGTGATCCTGACTCACTGCAACCTCCACCTCCCAGGTTCAAGTGATTCTCCTGCCTTAGCCTCCCAGGTAGCTGAGATTATAGGTGCCCGCCACCATGCCCAGCTAATTTTTGTATTTTTTGTAGAGACGGGGTTTCACCATGTTGGCCAGCCTGGTCTCAAACTCCTGACCTCAAGTGATCCACCCGCCTTGGCCTCCCAAAGTGTTGGGATTGCAGGTGTGAGCCACTGTACCCAGTCACCACAATTTTAGAACATTTGCCTGACTCTTAAGAAGAATCCCTATACCCCTCAGCTGTCACCACCCCCCACAGTCTGTCTCACATCCTCCCAGCCTTACAGGACCCCTAATCCACTTTCTCTCACTGTGGACTGACCTATTCTGCACATTTCATGTAAGTGGAATCACACAACATGCGGTCCTCTGTGACTGACTTCGAAGTTCTATTAAAAGACACCCAGCCAGGCACAGTGGCTCACACCTGTAATCCAAACACTGCGGGAGGCTGAGGCGGGAGGATCACCTGAGGTCAGGAGTTCGAGACCAGCCTGGTCAACATGGTGAAACCCCAACTCTACTAAAAATACAAAAAATAGCTGGACGTGGTGGCGTGTGTCTGTAATGCCAGCTATTCAGGAGGCTGAGGCAGGAGAACTGCTTGAGCCCGGGAGGCGGAGGTTGTGGTGAGCCGAGATCGCGACACTGCACTCCAGCCTGGGCAACAAGAGTGAAACTCTGTCTCAATAAAATAAATAAAATAAAATAAAATAAAATAAAATAAAATAAACCCCACAAAACCATTCATTCCTATTTACACTCGTTTGCTAAGTCCATTTGTCTTAAAAGAGGGGTAAACAGGATGATCCAATAGTGCAGGAGAAGAAAATAGGGAAACTTCTATTTTCTTTTATTTTAAAATTTTCTGTTTCATGAAATAATTACGTGTGATGACAGTAGCTTATACCTTCACTGTGGCGTGTGCTACCAAATCCATTGGGGTATGTGACCAAGCCTCACAGGGTGACATCGCTCTCCTTCCCTACTCCCTCGGAAGCAAACCCCAAGGCCTTAGAAGTGCCTGCAAGGCCGGCCCCATCTGCTTCGGGCCACCCTCCAGCCCCTCTGGTCACTCCACTGAGGACACAAGGACACCTTGTGTCAGCGGCCCATGCAGTTGCTCCCTTAGCCCAGAATGCCCTTCCCCCAGCTCTCCCCTCCTGTCATCCTCTGCTCAAATGCTATCCCTCAGTGAGGGCACCTTTGACCACCCCTCAGCCCCTCTGACTCTGCCCTACTGTCCATCCCCTCACTCTGGGTTGGTTTCACATTATCTAGCATCTGCCTTCTCCCACCCAGACAGGGGTCTTCATGGACCTTGTTCACCACTGCATCCCCAAAACAGGATTAATGCATTCCTGGCACTAATTAAAGAAAGAACCAATCTTGAGACTCTCGGGACATCCCAGCACCCCCAGCCCCAGCTTCCATGCACTGCCCTTGGGGGAATCCTCTCTTGGAGAGCTTCTTGCTAGCAAGAAGAGGCCAGCAACTACATAGACTGCTACAGCCCTGCCCCCAGCCCACATCGCTCACCCGCCCTGCAGTCTCAGTTCCCCAGGGGAGACCACAAGGGCAGAAATATTCCCTTGCTTCCAGGGTACAGACCCATAGCAAGCCCTGGTCTAATGTTCCCAGTCAGAGCTAAATTTCCGTGTCTTACTTCTGCATTTCACTGGCTGTTTCCCTTCCCCTCTGAGGAGGCATCGAAACCAATGCTTCTCCAATGGTGTAGACAGACTTCATATACAATCCCGCCCCTCCCCCGCCAAGACTCACAGTTGTTGTTAAAAGTAGACAGATGGACTACTGAGCATGTATGAGCTCCTCATGTCCACATAAACATTTACAGGCCAGGTGCGGTGGCTCACGCCTGTAATCCTAGCACTTTGGGAGGCTGAGGCAGGTGATCACTAGAGGTCAGGAGGTGGAGCCCAGCTTGGCCAACGTAGTGAAACCTGGTCTCTACCAAAAATACAAAAATTAGTTGGGCATGATGGCACACCACTGTAGTCCCAGCTACTCAGGAGGCTGAGCACAAGAATCGCTTGAACCCAGGAGGTGGAGGTTGCAGTGAGCTGAGGTTGCACCACTGCACTCCAGCCCGGGCGACAAGAGTGAGACCTTGTCTCAAAAACAACAAAACAAAACAACAACAAAAAAACATTTATGGGCTCCGCATGCCTCTTTGTTGAGGTTTGACAGTTCAGTGCTACAGAGTTTGCCTTAAGAGAATAATTTCCTGAGTTCTGTAACCGGCTATTACCTGCTCTCCTTCCAATCCCATTATCTTGGGAATCGATGGCCCACATATATCGATGTCTAGAAGAGCAATCTGGGGACAAGAAGAGACCAAAGCGGTTATATAACTGAATGCACACACTCCAGACACACACAACTAGGAGGGGAGCGGGGTTAGAGGAAAAGGACAGGGGAGAAGACAGAAACTGGGTTAAACTTGGAGCCATCAGATTCTCCTGAGGGAGAGTCCTAACGCTGATCTCAAGGTTCATAAACACTGATGCCCCCATTCCCCTACCCCTCAGCCTGGCTGAGCTCCTCAAGGGTGATCTTACAGACCTGGCTGTCAGGTCACTTGGAGGCTCGGGCTCAGACCTTGTTTACTGAGCCCTGGTTGGAGGAGACGGGGAAAGGGACCTAGCGCCTGTTTGGCTTGTGTGACAGAATGGATGGAACAGCCAAGAGACGGCAGTGTTGGAGCCACCCTAAACAGCTCTCTTTTGCTCACCCCTCACCAAGCCTTGGTCTCTGCATCTTAAATTTTTCTCAAACTCATCCTATCTTGTTCAGGAGTCTCAGATACAAGCCAAATCTAGACTATTTAAGCAGAATATGAATGTATTAAAAAATATTGGGGGCTGGGTGCAGTGGCTCACGCCTGTAATCCCAACACTTTGGGAGGCTGAGGCGGCCATGTGCCTAGAAGGTAAGTATCATTATCTCTGGTTTACAGAGGAGGAAACTGAGGTTCAGAGGGGACCAGTTCAATAAGCAGGGAACAGAGCTGGGACATAAACTGAGGTCTTTCGGCCCCAACTGGGGCTCTTTCCAGTACACCACGGGCCTGCTGTGGAGGACCAGAGTGGAGCCTCTAGCTGAACCCTGACCAAGCCCTGTTTTCCTTTGATCCTGAAGGTGAATGATGGTTTAGGCTAAACTTACAGAACAGAAACTTAAAGTAAGATGGAAACCTGGAAAAGCTCTTTAGTTGTGACTCAGGTGCAGCTTCAGGCGACCCCATTCCACCCCAAGCCTTCCCCTCTGATACAGGAGGTCTGAGACGGCCTTCAGGAACCTTCTGAGAACAGGGCTAGTATTCATCTTGAAAGCTGCAATGACTCGGATCCAAAGTGCTGCACCTCCGCGTCACTTTTTAACTTGCCCTGAATTAGTTTCTTGCCACCCTCTTCAATCCTCTCAACAAACCCAGCCTCCTACTTCCTCAGCACCCAGCGCTGTCTCAAACTTGTGCACGGGAAAACGCCATCCACAGACCAGCACTGGCCTCAGGTGCCCTCTATGGAGCCATCCGGGGAGAACAGCAGAGCGACATCATCGGAAAACCTGACTTGCTCTCTCCGGACCTTGATACTTGGGACTGATGTGTCAATGATCCACGGGGAAATGACACTATCACTATGACTGTGATAGAGACTTTCCTCGATACTCTCAGGTTTCTAGTGACTCTGTCTCCATGCCCTTCCTTTAGGGAACAATTTAATCAATTCCCTTTAGAGGAATTTCACTCCCTTGGGGAGTGAATCTTGAGCGAAATGATGTAAGGATATGAGAAGCAGATCCAGCGCACTCTCTCACTCCCGTGGCAGGCCCGAGAGGCTGTTGACAAGCTCCTGCTACCCAGATGGCCAGGACGGCCCTGGGTCCTGTCTGTTCAGACTTCCTGTTGATCTTATTACTACCCCAAAATCTGTCCATTTAATTTTGCTTAGGTTAGGCCAGAAAAGCAAAGCTGAGAGCAATGCGCCTGCGTTCCTCCCAGCAGGACCTCTGGGCCTGTGTTTGCAGCTGATGGGAAGAGGCCGCGTTTGCTGCAGAAGGTGGAGATGCTGCAAGGCTGTCGGGACCCAAAGCGTCTCCTTTACTCAGCACCCCAAACTGCCCCTGATGAGGAGGGTAGGGGAAGAGGGATTTAGTCCTAACTTTTAGTCCTTGCACAAGTTGCTTCTGCTTTCGAAGCCTTGGCTGTCTGGGCTTCTGATCTGTGAGACAACTGCTCCGGGGTCATCAAGGCCCCTCTCAGCTCTGCAGTCCCAGGACCCAGAGGAGGGCCTCGCACACTCAGTCCTGAAACACCTAGTGCTGACCTTGTTATGACAGTTTGCCTTTCAGATCACAAAGATCATAAATGTTTAATTTATGGTGGCTGGGTGTGGTGGCTTACGCCTATAATTTCAGAACTTTGGGAGGTTGAGGCAGGCGGATCACCTGAGGTCAGGAGTTCGAGACTAGCCTGGCAAACATAGTGAAACCCTGTCTCTACTAAAAATACAAAAATTAGCTGGGTGTGGTGGCACACGCCTGTAATCCCAGGTACTCCAGAGGCTGAGGCAGAACTGCTTGAGCCCGGGAGGTGGAGGTTGCAGTGAGCTGAGATCACACCACTGCACTCCAGCCTGGGCAAAAGAATGAGACTCCGTCTCAAAAAAACAAACAAAAAAAGTTTAATTTATGGAAGTTGGTGACTTGTTATTTATTCATTGTTTTTGAGGTAGAGTCTCACTCTGTTGCCCAGGCTGGAGTGCAGTGGCATAATCACGGCTCACTGCAGCCTTGACTTCCCAGGCTCAAGTGATCCTCCTACCTCAGTCTCCTGAGTAGCTGGGACTACAGGTGCTTACCACCACACCTGGCTAACTTTTTTTATGTTTTATGTTTTGTAGAGACAGGGGTCTCACTTTGAAGCCCAGGCTGGGAGTCGGTGACTTTTGCAGTGGAAGACAGTGTATGACTCTTGGCTGTCTCATGGCTCAGGCTTATGCTACAGAGGCTCCTTCTGCCTTCACCACAACTTACACACTCCCTGGGCAGCCTGTGACTCGTCAGGGGTGTTTTCTAATTCTGCTCTCTCTTGATCCAAGGCCCTTTGTGCCAATGAGATGACAGGCGCCTGCCTGCCTCAAGCGCTAACATGGAATGGTCTTGCACAGAGTTAGAGCCAAGCTTCCACCAGATGGCAGGCAGAAAAAGGTCAGGGCATGTCCCACCACCCTGCTGGATTTAGGGCAGGGAGAAATCTGTGCTGCTTGACTTTAATCAAGACATATTCAGCATTTTCCATGTGTTGACACTTTGCAGATAGTGATGTCACTGTCATGAGTAGGTCTGCCTGGGGAAAACACACTTTCCTAAATGCTGACTTCTTTTTTTTTTAAACCACCACTGCATAAAAAAATACAGCTGATCTAGCCATATTTCCACACTGAATGGTGTGCTTTCCTTCTGTATACTGCAAAGTCTAGACAGGCATGCAGCAAAGACTTCAGAACGTAATTACATGAAAGTGAAGGATGTAAACAGTTGTCTACTCACAAGTGGTTACTTGCAAGTGGTGAGATGAAAGCCCATCTCCAGTGAGCTGTTTAGGAATATTCCTGACAGCTTCGAAAAGCAAAGATTCTTCTAAACGATACAGACAATCTGAGAAAGCAGATTTCTTGGCCAGCCCACTAGGCCAGTACAGATTTGACCCTCAAATGGCAAGAGATCGCTGACTCACAGAATGACGAATCAACGTGTGTGTGTGTGTGTGTGTGTGTGTGTGTGTGTGTGTGTGTGTATGTGTCTGTGTATCTATCTATATCCTTTTTTTTTTTTAAATGGAGTCTTGTCTGTCACCCAGGCTGGAGTGCAGTAGGGCAATCTTGGCCCACCGCGACCTCCGCCTCCTGGGTTCAAACGATTCTCATGCCTCGGCCTCCCGAGTAGCTAAGACTACAGGCACGTACCACCATGCCCAGCTAATTTTTGTATTTTTTAGTGGAGACAGGGTTTCACCATGTTGGCCAGGCTGGTCTCAAACTCCTGACCTCAAGTGATCCGCCTGCCTCAGCCTCCCAAAGTGCTGTGATTACAGTGTAAGCCACCATGCCCTGCCCAACAAGTGTATTTTGAATCTGCCCAGTACTATACCTTGGGTAGGCTACAAACTCATCTCTAAGGCAGATGTAATCATCATCCCTTCATATCCAGAGAGTGAAATAAAGTAATAAAAATGGTGGCCATCACAGACCTTTACTGAGCATTGACTATTCGTCGGGCCCCGTGCTAAGTGCTTTACTGTGCCATCTCACTCAGTCCTTGGAGTCCCATTTTATAGATGAGAAAACGGAGGCAGAGTAAGCCTGGTAACTTGCCCAAGGTCACAGCAGTGGTGTAGATGGAGCTGGGACCTGAGTTTGGGCTGTCTGACTCCAGAGTGTGTGCTCTTAGCGACCCACCAACCCCTTTTATTAAAGTTGAGATCCAGAGGGCAGCAGTGGGTAATCTGAGTTTTCATGCTCGTCTGTATGCATGGGTGGAAATGAATAAACTCGTGTAAGGGCCAGCAAAAATTTTCCACAAGGGCCAACAGCAAATATATTATTAGGCTTTGTGGGCAAAATCAAGGATCATATGTAGGTACTTAGGTACTAATTTAAAAATTGCAATTTTAGGCCAGGCACGGTGGCTCATGCCTATAATCTCAGCACTTTGGGAGGCCGAGGCAGGGGGACGCCTTGAGTTCAGAAGTTCAAGACTAGCCTGGGCAACATGGCAAAACCTCATCTCTACAAAAAACCCAAAAATTAGCCGGGCATGGTGGCAAGCACCTGTAGTCCCAGGTACTTGAGAGGCTGAGGTGGGAGGATAGCTTGATGAGCCCAGGAAGTAGAGGTTGCAATGAGTCCTGATCATAGCAATGCACTTCAGCCTGGGTGACAGAGTGAGATCCTGTCTCAAACAAACAAAAAACATTTCAAAAATGTGAACATTCTTAGTTCAAAGGCCATAAGGCAGGAGATGGGCTGGATTTGGCCCACTGGCTATAGTTTGCAGGTCCCTGGCTTAGAGAAAAGCTAAAAGGGGTTAATAAAGAGGAAAAAGAAGCGTGAACGTAATGTAATAAACTATCCACATGCAAGGACAGATGTACATCTGCTAGCCATTTTCTTGGCTAGGGAATCCAGTGAAATGCTTCATTTGACTACTGGGCATTTCTTTGCTCTCTGCCGGATTGAGATTCCAAAGAGGCCAATTCAACTTAGTATAAGGAATCATTTTTTTTTCTTCTTGGACAGTCTCATTCTGCCACCCAGGCTGGAGTACACTGGTACAATCTTGACTCACTGCAACCTCTGCCTCCTGGGCTCAAGCGATTCTCATGGCTCATCCTCGCGAAAAGCTGGGATTACAAGCCTGCGCTACCACGCCCAGCTAATATTTTGTATTTTTAGTAGAGACAAGGTTTTGCCATGTTGGCCAGGCTGATCTCAAACTCCTGGCCTCAAGTGATCTGCCCGCCTTGGCCTCCCAAAGTGCTGGGATTACAGGCATGAACCACTGCGCCTGGCCTAGGAATCAGTTATTTAGTAGCCATCACGACCCTCAGACAAAATGAGCATCTCCCAGTGGTTCCTGAGGTCTCACCTGTGTGTTTTCATCCTCTGCTAGGCCATGGGCAAGGTGGGCGCTGAATGTGCTTTTCCCAACACCGCCTTTCCCAGACAATACCAAGATTTTGTGTTTTACAGTCTTCATTTTCTCTTTGATTTCCTCTATAGCTGCAAAGAAAACCAAAGTTCAGGGGATGAGGTCCCACACCAAACCTCGAATGTCACGCTTCCAGTCAACTAGAAAGAGCTAAGTCCTAGTCCTAGTACTAGTCCTGGGGCTGTTTAAAACGATCCTCTGAAATACCTCTCAGACAATGGTAGAAATAAGTGCTAGGAAGAAAATAAGGCTATTATCACACTTGAAGGGGTCTCATTTATTGGTTTACACGTTTGTCTCCCCCAACTAGAACATAGTCTCCACAAAGGTAGGAACTGTCTGAAGCTTTCAGTGCTGTATTCCCAGCTCCAGAAGAGAACTTTGCAAACAGCAATGGTCACCAACTTGGGGACAAAATCCCCCAGAGACATTTGGTAATGTCTGGAGACACTGTTCTTTCTTTCTTTTTTTTTTGAGACAGAGTGTTGCTCTGTCGCCCAGGATGGAGTGCAGTGGCGTGATCTCGGCTCACTGCAACACTGCCTCCTGGGTTCAAGCGATTCTCCTGCCTTAGCCTCCCAAGTAGCTGGGATTACAGGTGCCTGCCACCATGCCTGGCTAATTTTTGTATTTTTAATAGAGACGGTGTTTCTCTATGTTGGCCAGGCTAGTCTCGAACTTCCAACCTCAAGTGATCCACCCACCTTGGCCTCCCAAAGTGTTGGAATTACAGGTGTGAGCCACCATGCTCAGCCTGGAGACACTTTTCATTGTCACAGGAGAGGTACTGCTGGCATTTAATGGGTACAGCCCAGATTGTGCTAAATGTCCTACAATGCACAGGACAGCCCCCCACAACAAAGAGTGATCCTGCCCCAAATGTCAGCAGTGCTGAGGTTGAGAAACTCTGATAGACAGCAGGCACATACTAAGTATCTGCCAATGAAACTATCTTATTTCAAATCCTTAAAACAATACACGAGGTATAAAGGAAATTAAAAAGTCTCATGACTGGCCAAACTCAAGTGAAAGTTAAGCCTGGAAACCTCCCAACACTGCTGTCCTCCTCCCCATCAACAGACAGCTGTTACTTCCCAACCTTGTGTCAAAGCATTCTACATTAACCAGACACCTGCAAAAGGCCAAAGGCCCCATGCAATCCATTGTGGGATGACTGCCCTCACAAGTTGCTCCTAAGGAACTCCTTTGCTGGCCCCTAAATCTTTGAAGATGAGTATCCTCCCATAAACAAGGACATGCCAACTGTAACTTTAGGACTGTAACCTCAGTCTAACTCCTTCCCTATTACTGATGTCTGTTAAACGCCACACTGACCATGTCCATTACAAGCTTATCCTCCCACATGCCAAACAAAGATGGGATGAGATAGTCCTTCCTCTCCTACCCTGAGACGTCTGCCTAATTAATTCTTCCTTTATTCCCTCTTTTGAATGTTTACTTTATTTTCTGAATAGTGTAGATATACTGGGCACGAATTAAAACCTCACAAGAATGTAACTACCTGCCACGAGGCCTACTGCACTTTTTCCTGCATGCTTTTTCCCCTTTTAATGAAATATATAAACACCAGCCTTCTGGAACCACTCCATCGAGCACAGGCCACAGATGTTTCTGTCACTTGTATTTTCCAGGGCACGCCCTCAAGCTCTGGCCCAATAAACCTCCACTGAGGCTCAGTTCAGTCTCTCCATTGCATTGACAGAGATAACTATTTTTCTCTTCATTTTTTTTTTTCTTTGAGACAGGGTCTCACTCTGTCACCCAGGCTGGAGTGCAGTGGCACGATCTCAGCTCACTGCAACCTCCACCTCCCGGGTTCAAGTGATCCTCCCACCTCAGCCTCGAGGGCGGGCATGCACCACCATGCTGGCTAATTTTTGTATTTTTAGTAGAGACAGGTTTCACCATGTTGGCCAGGCTGGTCTCGAACTCCTGACCTCAAGTGATCCATCCACCCGCCTCGGCCTCCCAAAGTGCTGGGATTACAGGCGTGAGCCACTGCACCCGGCCTGTCTCCATTTTTGATGAGGAACCAGAAGCTCAGAGAGGTTAGGACTATTGCTGAAGGTCACACCGCATGGATCCAAGAATCAAATCCAAGTCTCTCTCTGAACTCCTTCAAGATTCTCCCCCTTGGCCAGGTGCAGTGGCTCATGCCTGTAATCCCAGCACTTTGGGAGGCCCAGGCAGATGCATCACTTGAGGTCAGGAGTTCGAGACCAACCTGGTCAACATGGTGAAACTCTGGTTCTACTAAAAATATAAAAATTAGCCAGCCGTGGTGGCAGGCGCCTGTAGTCCCAGGTACTCGGGAGACTGAGGCACGAGAATCGCTTGAACCTGAGAGGTGAAAGTTGCAGTGAGCCGAGATCACACCACTGCACTCTGGTCTGGGCTACACAGCAAGACTCTGTCTAAAAAAAAAGGGGGAAAAAAAAGAAAAAAAAATATTGTCCTCCTGCCTCCTGCTTTTTAAGGTCCTTCTGAGCAGGCTCCCTGGGTCCTCTCATCCTGGAATCTGTGCTTCACAGCACTTAAAGCTGCGGTGGTTTAGTTGCTAGCTCACGTGTTTGTTTCCCCAGTAAAGCTAAACTCCACTAGAGCAGTGACCACGCCTGATCCCCAGCTGTGTCCCCAGGACAGCACCAAACCTACGAGGCGATCAACACATTTCTGCTGAATGAGTGGGAGAATCACTCCTCAAAAGGAAGAAAATTGTGTCAAGAAAGTAGCTGGCAGAGCCAGGATGTAAGTCCGAAGACTCCCCGACTTCGAAGCTTATCCCGTTTTTCTCTGCGGTCTGTTATTGTCACTCAAACCTCTGGCCCCGACCCTCTTAATTAATGTCCCTTTCGACTCCGCGCCGGTCAGTCTCCACCCTCCATCCGCGCCAGGTCCTTCGCGCTCGCCTTCTAAAGGCCTCGTTCCTGTCAGTCATTCCAAGCTCCGCCCTCACCCTGCCCACTTTCCACGCCCCGCCCCTTCTGGGCCCCACCCCTCTCCGAATACAATACCTTCTAGCCTGCCGCTGTCAGTCATTCTGCAGATCCCGCCCCCTCCCTCCCACGCCCCGCCTTTTCCGGGCCTGCGCCTCTAAGTTCCTGTTGAGGCCTTGCCCTTTTCTCACCCGTGTCCGGAGTGGCCCCCGCTCCAGAAGCGCACAGCCGCTGGTTGGGGCATCCCTGACATGAAGCCCCTCTGCCCGCCTGGGCGCTGTCGGCCCCTGGACAGTCTGCGCAGAGACAAGACCACAGTTAGAGCAGCTCCCGACACTTTCGCCCCGCGACCCACGCCCCCTCCGCGAGCTTACCGTGAGGCACCTCCTCCATTCCGTCGCCTTTGCCGCCTTCGTGGTCACCGGAACCCGCTGTCGTACATTTCCGCCTTGTGGGCACAATCTGATTCTCCGACCGCGCGAAATAAGTCTCGGAAAGGGGGCTGTGCGCACGCGCGAACCTTGGGCCGAAAGACTGGGACTCAACGTCTGTTCCTTTTCAGAGATTTCCTATCATAAATACTTCTGCAGTGCATCTCCTAAGAACAAAGCCATTCTTCATGACATCAGTGCCATTTTCATACCCAAGAGATTTAATATCGATGCAGTACTAGCCAATGCAGTATTAGCCAATAGACAGTTTATATTTCAATTTCAGTTGTTAGACCCCCTCCCCTGCTGGATTCACTCACTGCCTGGAGTTATTTCTCTTCGGTCTCCTTTAATTCAGATCAGTCCTTCTTTTTTTAGGGGGGGTCTCATCACCTTGATAATTTTGACGGGTCCAGACCAGTTGTGTAATAGAATATCCCATATTCTTGATTTGTCTAATCCTCCCCTCCCTCTTGCCTTGTAATTAGATAAAGGTTAATTTTTCTTTTTTCCTGCAGAACACACTTGGATAATGTCAGTTTGTCCCGTTTTTGGTAATGTGAAGCTTGATCGCTTGCTAAAGGTGGTGTCTGCCCCATTTCTCCATTTAATGTTTCCTTCTTCCATTTGTAATTAACAGGTACTCTCTGGGACCATCTTCTTCTCTATCAGCCTTTCACTCAGTGATTTTAGCAGCATTTATATATATATATATAAAACTATAGATTATATATATGATAAATATATATCAGTTTTATACCCTCTCTTTTTTTCTTTTTTTTCGAAGACTCACTATGGATTCCTGGATTTTTTAAAATTGTCTTTTATAATCAATTATTATTCTTTCTGGTCGATTTTTTTTCCCCCAGATGTGGCCAGTGAAGCCCCTTCAAGACAGTTCTTATGTTCTTTGGGCACTAATCCAGCTTCTTTGAGCATTTTCTTGCTTTCTGATACAAGATGTTTCAGTCATCCCTTCTCCCTGCTGCAGTCATTTCTTCAGGGAGCCTTGGTTACTTTTTAGCAGACAACAGTTCAGAAACCAAGATGTGGATGCCACAAATGCTCATTGCTACTGGAGTGTCATTGCTCACAGGTTTGGCACCTGGAATATTAATGAGTGAACAAACTTTACCTAGCCCCAGACACTAAGAATATGGAAACGTTTATTTATTTATTTATTTTTGAGGCGGATTCTCGCTCTGTCACCCAGGCTGGAGTGCAGTGGTGGGATCTCGGCTCACTGCAAGCTCCGCCTTCTGGGTTCACGTCATTCTCCTGCCTCAGCCACCCGAGTAGCTGAGACTACAGGCCACCACGCCCGGCTAATTTTTTGTATTTTTAGTAGAGACAGGGTTTCACCATGTTAGCCAGAATGGTCTCGATCTCCTGACCTCGTGATCTGCCCGCCTTGGCCTCCCAAAGTGTTGGGATTACAGGCATGAGCCACCGCACCCGGCCTCGGAAACATTTATTAAACAGCAGTGTATCAGCTGCCTGTCACTACCACTAATTATAGCCAGCATTTTGTAGAATACTTACCGTTTGGCAGCTGTCATCTTTGTGCTTTCATGTGAATTACCTAATTTATGTCCTTTCATAGTCCTACTGTCTCCATTTTTGGATAAGGAAACTGAGGCTTAAAGTAAACTACTTTCCCGAGGTCGCATGACTGGTAGCAGGGGAACCAGGGTGATAAACTTGGTCTGTCTGGCTGCAGAGCCTGCACTTAGTAACACATGGTCCCAGCCAGCACTGGGCTAGATGCCAATGATTCCAGACTAACCTGGACCCTGCCATCTGGAGCACAGTCTGGTCGGGAGAAGAGGACCAGAGTGATGGGGCATCAGCAAAGGCCTGGAGAGCAGAGAGGAAGTCACCTATCAGGTAGGGACTGTTGTCATTTCCGTTTTACAGGTGATAAGATGGCTGCAAAGATTTACTTGTCCACAGTCTGAGAGGCAGAAAGAGCAGAACTGGGTTTTTAACCAAGTCTGATACAGGGCCTTTGCTATTAATCACTATACTGTATATTAGAGGGCAGGATGCAAGTTATTCTCCTTTTTATTTTTATTTTTGTGGGATGGAATCTCACTCTGTTGCTCATGCTGGAGTGCAGTGGTGTGATCTTGGCTTACTGCAACCTCCACCTCCCGGGTTCAAGCAATTCTCCTGTGTCAGCCTCCTGAGTAGCTGGGACTACAGGTGCCCACCACCACGCCTGGCTAATTTTTTGTATTTTTGGTAGAGACGGGGTTTTACCATGTAGGCCTGGCTGGTCTCGAACTCCTGACCTCAGGTGATCCACCCGCCTCAGCCTACCAAAGTGCTAGGATTACAGGTGTGAGCCACCGCGCCTGGCCAGGGCCGCTTCTTAAGGTGAGTGCTCCCCAAGACTCTGTTCTTGGGCCACTTCCAGTCCCACTTCCCACTTCCTCCTGGGCAAGCAACTGACAGCCCTGATGCTATCCATCTTCTGTCTCCAGCTCCCACACCTCTTGCTCCGTGAGTTCGGATCTGTGGATCCTACCTTGTGCCTATTGGATTTTATTGCATGGACATCCCACAAGCGTAACAAATAAACGTCTACAACTTCTTCTCAAGGCGGTTCCTGCCTCTGGATTTGTTATACCTGGACAGGGCATGACCCCTGGGCTAAGAACTCAAGCCGTAAATCTGAGTATCAGCCTTGTTTAGTTTTCTCCATCTCCATCAGTGATCAAGTGCTGTGTGACAAGTCACCCCAATATGTAGTGGTTTAAACCCACCATGGTTTATTGCTTCCTGTGACTCTTCTGGTTTCACCTGGGCTCCCTTAATGTGGCTTCATTCAGCTGGGAGTTGGCTGGAAGGTCTCAAATGGCTTCACTCTCACACTGGCCTTGATTCCCCCCTCGTGGCCTCCCTCTCTCATTTTTCAGTGGTCTAGCCTGTGTCCCTTTAAATGGCAGCTGGGAATGACAAAGCTGGGAAGTGGCAGTCACTTTCACCATGTTCTCTCGGTCAAAGTGTCACAGACACAGACTCCTCTTGTTGATTAGTGGGGTGGCGTACCTATACAGGGATGGGGGTCAGTGTTGTCCATAGAGACGCCCACAGCACCCCCTGCATCCAATCAGACATCAGGTCAGCAGCTGCACCCCTAGGTGGTAGGCTGGTAGCACACATGACCCCACTTCTCTCCCTGTCTGGATCTGTGCCCTTGGCTGCTGAACTTTGCAGTGCCCTCCCACGTGCGGGGAGGGGGTTCCATCCTACCCCTTGACTCTGTGCTCAGGCATGTGACTTACTTTAGCAAATGTGATTCAAGAAAAAGCTTGTAATGGGGCTTTTGCCTGTTTTAATCCCTCTCCAGCTCCCCTGCCACTTAAAGGTACACAGGCTAGGAGAAGGTCTGGGCTCGCCCATGGGAGGTGAAACACCTGGAACTGAGCTGAGCCACCCCTGTGCTCTCAGTGAAGGCCTCCTAAACCAGCGGCCCAAGACACATGAGAAGAGTCCAGCCAAGAGCTGCAGATCCACCCACCCAGACCCACAGATCCACCCATCCAGACCCACAGATCCACCCACCCAGACCCACAGATCCACCCATCCAGACCCACTGATCCACCCATCCAGACCCACAGATCCACCCATCCAGACCCACCGATCCACACATCCAGACACACAGATCCACCCATCCAGACCCACCGATCCACACATCCAGACCCACAGATCCACCCATCCAGACCCACAACTGGCCATAGATGCGTGAGTCCTGAAGAACCACCTGGCCAATGCACAGGCTGGTGAACTAGCTAAATGCTGGTGGTTTGACACTGTTGAGTTTGGGGTAGCTATAGACAACTGACACTCCATGCCTTCCAGCATCCCTCCTGCCTCAGCTCAGGCCCCCTCCTCCTCCTGGTCCTGCAACAGTGTCTGTTTCAGCCAGGATAGGCTAGTCTGCGCTGCCAAAACAGACATCCCCAAACTGAAGTGGCTCAAGGCAATCAAGTTTATTTTGGCATTTGCTCCATATGTAACTTCATGGACAGAGGTTCCTGCTCCCTGTGGTTCCTCAGGGACACAGACTGAAGCTCCACCGTCTCCTGTGGCCCCTTTTGAACACAGAGGACACAAGCCAGGGGAATTGTACCCTGATTCTGAAATGCTTCCACTAGAAATGACACCTATCTGCCCACTTTTCATTGGCTACAATTAGTCACACACGTCAGGTGCAGTGGCTCACACCTGTAATCCCAGCATTTTAGGAGGCCAAGGCAGGAGGATTGCTTGAGGCCAGGAGTTGGAGAACAGCATAGTGAGACCCTGTCTCTACAAAAAATTTAAAAATTAACTGGGCAAGGTGGTGCATGCCTGTAGTCCCAGCTACTTGGGAGGCCGAGGCAGGACGATTGCTGGAGTTGGAGGCTGCAATGAGCTGTTATCACAGTACTGCCCTCCAGCCTGGGCAGCAGAGTGACACCTTGTCTAAAAAAAAAAAAAAAAAAAAAAAAAAGGCCAGGCGCGATGGCTCACGCCTGTAATCCCAGCACTTTGGGAGGCCGAGGCGGGTGGATCACCAGGTCAGGTGTTCAAGACCAGTCTGGCCAACATAGCGAAACCCTGTCTCTACTAAAAATACACAAAAAATTAGCTGGGTGTGGTGGTGTGCGCCTATAATCCCAGCTACTCAGGAGGCTGAGGCAGGAGAATTGCATGAACCCGGGAGGCAGAGGTTGCAGTGAGCCAAGATTGTGCCACTGCACTCCAGCCTGAGTGACAGAATGAGACTCTGTCTCAGAAAAAAAAAAAAAAGGTTGGGCGTGATGACTCATGCCTGTAACCCAGCACTTTGGGAGGCCGAGGCGGTTGGATCACTAGAGGTCAGGAGTTCAAGACCAGCATGACTAATAGTGTGAAACTCCGTCTCTACTAAAAATACCAAAAATTAGCCAGGTACAGAGGCGCATGCCTGTAATCCCAGCTACTTGGGAGGCTGAGGCAAGAGAATTGCTTGAACCTGGGAGGCAGAGGTTGCAGTGACCCGAAATCACACCACTGCACTCCAGCCTGGGCAACAAGAGCAAAACTCTGTCGCAAAAAAAAAAAAAAGTCACATGGTCATGCCTAAAAAAGTATAGGAAGTACAGTTTTATATGACTGGAAGTGGAGGAAAACCAGATATCCAGGATCACAGTGATGTTTCCCACAGTTCCCTGAATTGTTTCTCAGTCTTAACATTCTTTCCCCATGAAAATCAGACCAAGTCACTCTGCTGCTCATAAACCGTCAGTGGCTCCCTATGGCCCACAGGATAAGGCCCAGTTTTCATATGGTGTTCAGTAGCCTGCATGACTCATTTTGACCCTTCCAGCCTGAGTGTCACTGAGAATATCGAGTCTATTCACTAAACAGCTGGCCTTTGCCTGGCACCCTAGTTCATTGCTGTCACTCACACAGGCCCTTCTGCCAGGAAAGGCCACTGCCTGTCTCTCGCCTATCTGGCTGTGGCCCAGTCCTCTGTGACAGGCCAAGTCTCAGCAGCATCTCCCCATGGAGGCCATTCCTGGCCTGCGGAACTGAACACACTGCGTTCCAGAAGTCTGAGCACGGTTTTCCATTCTAACAACTTCCGAAGTATGAATGCCATAAACTTAACAAAAATTAGCATTTGAAATTTTGTGTAATTTTCCTTTACACTTACTTAGTTCTGTGATTTTGAAAGACTAGATTTTAAATTTAAATTTAAATTTTTTTATTTCAGTTCCTCTGACTGAAGATGGTGAATAATGACTAAAAATGAAAGTTAAATTTACAAAGCTAAGTAAGTGCCAAGGATTTAAATAGACTTCAAAATAATTTTAAAAATAAATTAGTAAAACTATAGAGTCCGAAGATCAGGGTTGCTAGGAGTTCAGCGGGTGGGAGGGGATAAGGGGTAAACGGGAGCCCAGGGAACTTTTAGGGCAGGGAAGCTGCTCTGTGTGACTATGTAATGGTGGATGCATGTCATTATGCATTCGTCAAATCCCATAGAACGTACGACACCAAGAGTGAGGCCTAATATAAACCATGGGCTTTATTTAATAATAATGTGTCAATATTGGTTCATCAACTGTGACAAATGTACCACACTAATGCAAGATGTTAAAAATGGGGGAAACTGGGCAGGCGTGGTGCCTCATGCCTGTAATCTCAGCGCTTTGGGAGGCCGAGGTGGGTGGATCACCTGAGGTCATGAGTTTGAGACCGGCCTGGCAAACATGGTGAAACCCTGTATCTACTAAAAATATAAAAATTAGCCGGATGTGGTGGTGTGCGCCTGTAGTTCCAGCTACTCGGAAGGCTGCAAGGCAGGAAAATCGCTTGAGCCTGGCAGGCGATCTCACCACTGCCCTCCAGCCTGGGCAACACAGCGAGAATCTGCCTTACCAAAAAAAAAAAAAAGATTAGTGGATGAAACAAGACTAAAACCTGGTTACAGCGGCTAAAAATTTCAGCCAGACAGGGGCACTTTAAATATTCAAACAAGGTCAGCGAGCACCCTTAGAAAACACAGGAAGTGCCTGCGGTTCCTTAGTTATACCAGCAGGTGGAGCTCTCCCCCCACCTATGATCAAGGTACTCAGGCAATGGAAACAAAATTAAGTTTAGGTGTAGAAAATTTTCTGCTTCTTCCCTGGGATCCGGCAAATATAACAAGGGGCTATATACACACCAGGTGTTCAACACATAATTGAGTCGAAAAACAAGGCTCAGATGCATTATATAGAGAGAAACTGGAAAGGACGTGGATCCTTGAATGCCAGGTGTTCGCATTCAGGCTCCCTGTCTCAGTTTCCGTCTCTGAAAAATGTCAACAATAATATTCAAGGAATTATTGTTGGGAAGATTAAACAAGTTAATGAGTAAAACAGTTTTTTAGAGTGTCTGGCACTTTCAAGCCCTATATAGGTGTTAGTAATTATCAGTTTATTTCTTTTTTTAATGAGACAGAGTTTCGCTTTGTCTCCCAGGCTGGAGTGCAGTGGCACAATCTCGGCTCGCTGCAACCTCCGCCTCCCAGGTTCAAGCGATTCTCCTTCCTCAGCCTCCTGAGTAGCTGGGATTACAGGTGCCTGGCACCACGCCCGGCTAATTTTTGTATTTTTAGTAGAGACGGAGTTTCGCCGTGTTGGCCAGGCTGGTCTCGAATTCCTGACATCAGGTGATCCATCCGCCTTGGCCTCCCAAAGTGCTGGGATTACAGCCGTGAGCCACCACTCCCGGCCGGTTTATTTCTTAAGCTGCTTTGTTGAGGTATACCTGATATACAACAAACTGCACATATTGTAAGTATACAATTGCCAAGTTTTGACATATGTATGTACCCAAAGGTTTCCTTGTGGTCCGCTCTTGTTCTTTAGCAATCACTGACCTGTTTTCTTTCACTGTAGATTAGTTTGGATTTTCTAGAATTTTATATAAATGTAATCATACAGCATGCACGCTTTTTAATTCAGCTTCTTTCACTCAGCATATTTATTTTCGTTTCATCCACATTGTTGCGTGTATGAAGCTCGTTTCCTCTGGTTGCTATGTGGTATTCCATTGTATGATTATACTAGTTTATCTGTTAATGGACATTTGGCTGTTTCCAGTTTTGGGGTGTTACAAATAAAGCTGCCGTGAGCATTTTTGTGCAGGTCTTCATAGTGACGTGTATCTTCATTTCTCTTGCTTAAATACCTAGGAGTGGAATGGTAGATGTGCATTTAACTTTTAAGCAACTACGAGGCCGGCACGGTGGCTCATGCTTGTAATCCCAGCACTTTGGAGGCCAAGGCGGGTGGATCACGAGGTCAGGAGATCGAGACCATCCTGGCTAACTCAGTGAAACCCCCATATCTACTAAAAATACAAAAAATGAGCCGGGCATGGTGGCCTGTAGTCCCAGCTACTCGGGAGGCTGAGGTGGGAGAATCGCTTGAACCCAGGAGGCTGAGCTTGCAGTGAGCCGAGATCGCACCACTGCACTCCAGCCTGGGCAATGGAGCGAGACTCTGTCTCAAAAAAAAAAAAAAAAAAAGAAACTACGAAACTGTTTTCCATAGTGATTATGCATATTCACCTGCAGGATATGAGACTTTTAACTGCTCCATATTCTTGCCAGCAGTGGGTACAGACAACCTTGGATTTTAAATATTTCAATAGATGCATAGGTTACAGACAACCTTGGATTTTAAATATTTCAATAGATGCATACTGCTGTATTATTGTAGTTTTAATCTGCATTATTTTAATGACTGTGTTAAACATCTTTTCCTATTTATTTATTTATTTATTTATTTATTTTGAGACAGAGTCTCACTCTGTCCCAGGCTGGAGTGCAGTGGCCCAATCTCTGCTCACTGCAAACTCTGCCCCCCAGGTTCAAGTGATTCTCATGTGTCAGCCTCCCGAGTAGCTGGGATTACAGGCATGTGCCACCACACCGGGCTAATTTTTGTTTTTTAGTAGAGATGGGGTTTCACTGTGTTGGCAAGGCTGGTCTCAAACTCCTGACCTCAAGTGATCTGCCCACCTCGGCCTCCCAAAGTGCTGGGTTACAGTTGTGAGCCACCAGGCCCGGCCTGAACATCTTTTCATGTGCTCACTTGACATTACATATTTTTTGTTGAGAGTGTTCATTCAAATCTTCAAGTCCACTTTATAAAATTTGGTAATTTGTTTTATTATTGAATTTTGATATTATGTATATATTCTGGATGGAAGTCTTTTTTTTTTTTTTTTTTTTTGAGACAGAGTCTCACTCTGTTGCCCAGGCTGGAGTGCAATGGCATGATCTCGGCTCACTGCAATCTCCGCCTCCTGGGTTCAAGCAACTCGACTGCCTCGCCCTTCCAAGCAGCTGGGACCACAAATGCATGCCACCACGCCTGGCTAGTGTTTGTATTTTTAGTAGAGATGGGGTTTCACTGTGCTGGCCAGGCTGGTCTCGAACTCCTGACCTCAGGTGATCTGCCTGCCTCGGCCTCCCAAAGTGCTGGGGTTACAGACATGAGCCACTGTGCCCAGCTGGAAGTCCTTTATCAATAATGTGTTTGGCAAATGTTTTTTCCTAGACTGTAGCTTGTCCTTTTATTCTCTTAAAAGTGTCTTTTGAAGAGCCATTCTTAATTTTGATGAGGTTTTATTTGTTCATTTTTTTCTTTTATGTATTGTATTTTTGATATTATATCTAAGAAAGAGTTAACCGAATGCAATGCCACAAAGATTTTCTCCTGTTTTTCCTTCTAGACATATTATAGTTTTAGACTTTACATTGAGGTCTCTGATCCATTTGGAGTAAATTTTTGTAGGTAATTGTGGTATGTAGTGTGAAATATGGGTTGAAATTCATTTTTTTCTGTTTGGATATCCAATTGTTCCAACATCATTGGTTGAAAAGTCTAGCCTTTCTCCACAAAATTAACTTTGTACCTTCATTGAAAAATCAATGGACCATTTCTGGACTCTCTCTCTCTCTGTCTATCTATCTATACACACATATACACATATATATACACATTCATATATACACATATATACACATACATATATACGCATATGTATATACACACATATATATATTGAGCCAAAGTCTCACTATGTTGCCCAGGCTGGTCTTGAACTTCTAGACTCGAGCAGTCAGCCTGCTTCAGCCTCCTGAAGTTCTGGGATTACAAGTGTGAGCCCCTTCGCCTGGCCTGGAGTCTTTATTCTGTCCATTGATCTATTTGTCTATCTTTATGCCAATACCATATGGTAGTTTTATAATAAGACTTGACCGTGATCATACCACTGCACTACAGCCTGGGCAACAGAGTAAGACTCTGTCTCAAAAAAAAATAAATAAATAAAAATAAAAATATATAAGGCTTGAAGTCAGAGAGCCTAAATCTTCCAACTTTTTCTTTCCAAAGTTGTTTTCGGCTATTCTAGGTCTTTGCATTTTCATACAAATATTACAATTAATTTATTAATTTGTACCAAAAAAGCCTACTAGGATTTTGAATGGGATTGTGTTAAGTCTGTCCATCAATTTAGGAAGAATTGACATCATAACAATATGAAGCCTTCTGGTCCACACGTATGACATATCTTTCTATTTAAATTTCTATTTTATTTTATCTATTTTAAAATTTTTTTCAGCAACAGTTAGTAGTTTTTTCCTCAGTCTTTTTTTTTTCTCTTTGTTTTATTTTGGATACTTTCTATTGCCATGTCTTCAACTTCACTAATATTTTCTTCTACAGGGTCTAATTTGCATTGTTATGAATGGAATGCTTGTGTCCTCCTCCCCCAGATTCATATGTTGAAGCCCAAACCAAATACCAATGTGATGATATTTGGAATGGGGACTTTGGGAGGTAATTAAAGCTAGATGAGGTCATGAGGATGGGGTCTTCATAGTGAACTTTGTGCTTTTATAAGAACAGACACCAGAGAGATTGTGCCTTCTCTCTCTCCATAGGCACACACCAAGAAAAGGCCATGTGAGGGCAGAGCAAGAAGCCAGTCTGCAAGCCAGGAAGATAGTCCTCACCAGAACGCAACCATGCTGGCGCCTGGTCTTGGACTTCCAGCCTCCAGAACTGTGAGAAAGTAAGTGTCTGTTGTTTAAGCCCCCCAGACTATTATTTTGTTATGGCAGCCTGAGCTAAGACATGTTCTTAATCCCATCTTGCATCAAGATGGGATCAATATTTTGCGTCTCAGACATTATAGTTTTCATCTCTAGAAGTTCAGCTTAGGTTTTTTTTTTGTTGTTGTTTGTTTGTTTGTTTGTTTGTTTTTAAGTATCATTCATTTTTAAGACTGAATGTGCTGAATCTTTTTTCTAGTTTCTTGAACACATAGAATACAGTTATAATAACCTAAAATATCCTAATCTACTAATTCCATTATCTGTGTTATTTCTGGTTTGGTTTCAATTGATTGATTTCCTCCCCTCATTTTGGGTCATATTTTCTTGTCTCTTTGCATGGATACTGCCTTTTTTTTTTTTTTAAATTGCATGCCAGAGTGCTAAAAATGTTTGTGCTTTTACAAATATTCTTGATCTTTTTTTTTCTAGGACACAGATAATTTACTTGGAAACATTTTTATCATTTTGAGACTTCCTTTTAAGCTTTGCTAGATGGGGCTGGGTGCGGTGGCTCACACCTGTAATCCATGGCTCACACCTGTAATCCCAGCACTTTGGGAGGCTGAGGTGGGTGGATCACTTGAGGCCAGGAGTTTGAGACCAACCTGGACAACATGGTGAAAACCCTGTCTCTACTATAAATACAAAAATGAGCTAGGTGTGGTGGCACATGCCTGTAATCCCAGCTACTTGGGAGGTTGACGTGGGAGAATTGCTTGAACCCAGGAGGTGGAGGTTGCAGTGAGCCGAGATCAAGACACTGCACTGCAGCCTGGGCAACAGAGTGAGACCCTGTCTCAAAGGAAAAATTAAAAAAAAAAAGTTTTGTTAGATGGGACCAGAGTGGTATAAGTCCAGAGCTCATTTTGCCTTAATACTGAGGTAAAACCTTTCTGGGATCTGACTTGATGCTACATGAATTATGACATTTTCTATTGCAGTTGTTGGGATCAGGAACTACCCAGCCTTGCATGAGCTCTGGGAATTGTTCACTTTAAGGCCGGGGTGGTTCTTTCCCCAGCCTGGGGTTGTTTGCTTGCATGCACCTGCTCAACTGAAGACTTAGGGGAGCCCTCTGCCCATCTCAGGACATTCTCTGCATGGCCCTCTGCTGCCTCTGCTCCATCCTTCACACCCTAGCCACATCGGCACTCCTCCTTCCCAGCTCTGTCTCTTGAAGGTCAATGGACTCCCTTTGGCGGACTGTTCGTGTGCCAACGCCTGGAAACTTTCCTCAGGCAGTCAGCTGGGCAATTATAGGACACACTTCATCTCTTTCCCACAGCACGGGGATCACCATCCTTCAAGACCTGATGGCCGGTGTCTGGAACACCATTGCTTTATGGTTTTTGAGTGTTTTTGGAGTCATTTCAGGTAGGAGGGTAAGATCAATCCTTGTTTACTCAATCTTGTCTAGAAGGTGAAATCTATTAGATTTTTATTGATACACATATATATGTATATTTATATTTAAATACATATATATGTTATATGTATGTATATTTATATTTAAATACATATATATGTTATATGTATGTATATTTATATTTAAATACATATATATGTTATATGTATATTTATATTTAAACACATACATATGTTATATATATGTTTGCTTTTATGTTTTTGAGGAATAAATATATAAATAATGGTATGGAAGGGCTTGACTGAAAAGTAAAAGTCTTCTTCTGTACCCCATTCCCCTACTCCACACCTGCCCGGCCCACAAAGATTTCTCACTTTGGCACTGTTTCCTGTGTATCCTCCCAGAAGTGTTTGTGTGTACAATTCCATATGTATCTGCTTAAGTGGTATCACACTATATTTGCTGTTTTATACCTTGGTTTCTTCACTTAATATACCCTTTTATTATTTTTTTTTGAGACACAGTCTTGGTTTGTCACCTGGGCTGGAGTGCAGTGGTATGATCATGGCTCACTGTAGCCTCCACTTCCTTTGCAGCCTCCACTTCCTGGGCCCAAGTGATCCTCCTACCTCAGTCTCCCAAGTAGTTAGGACTATAGGTGTGAGCCACCATGCCTGGCTAAATTTTTTATTTTTTGTAGAGGTGGAGTCTCACTATATTGTCTCATTTTGGCCTCAAGTGATCCTTCCACCTCAGCCTCCCAAAGTGCGTGAGCCACTGTGCCCAGCCATCTAATACAAAATCTTTCCTTATCAGCCAATACTGGTCTGACTTACTGTTTTTTTTGTTTTTTTTTTTGAGATGGAGGCTGGCTTTGTCGCCCAGGATGGAGTGCAGTGGCACGATCTCGGCCCACTGCAAGCTCCGCCTCCCAGGTTCACTCCATTCTCCTGCCTCAGCCTCCCGAGTAGCGGGGACTACAGGTGCCAGCCACCACGCCAGGCTAATTTTTTCTATTTTTTAGTAGAGACGGGGGTTTCACTGTGTTAGCCAGGATGGTCTCGATCTCCTGGCCTCAAGTGATCCACCCACGTCGGCCTTCCAAAGTGCTGGATTACAGGCGTGAGCCACTGTGCCCGGCCACTTAATATGAACGCTTTCCTTATCAGCCAATACTGGTCTGCCTTACTCTTTCTGTGTTGCTGAACTTTCTGTAGAATGGGTGTTCTATATTTTATTTAGCTGCCCTTACTTGGGGATATTTGGTCAGTTCTACCTTTTTTGCTGCTTGCGGTCAGTGCAGCAATGAACATAGTTCTGCGTGTGTTTTTAGCACACGTGCGTGTGTCTGCAGGTAGATTTCCTGAAAGATTATTGGATCACTGGATGCCAACCAGGGCCAGTGCTCTAAACACAGAAAGATTTCTTCTGAAACTGAAAATGAAAAACAAAATGCTTTGCTATAAAATACATTTTAGGTTTTGAAGGGTACAAAATGATAGCCGGGCGTGGTCGTGGGCGCCTGTAGTCCCAGCTACTGGGGAAGCCGAGGCAGGAGAATCGCTTGAACCCGGGAGGCAGAGGTTGCAGTGAGCCGAGATTGCGCCACTGCACTCCAGCCTGGGTGACAGAGCGAGACTGTCTAAAAAAAAAAAAAAAAAAAGTTGAATGATACAAATTGAGATGGATGCTGAATTGTAAGCAGAGCAGGTTCTTTTTGGGTTTTCTCTGTCTCGTGTGTGTGTGTGTGTGTGTGTGTGTGTGTGTGTGTGTGTGTGTGTGTGTGTGTATGTCCCCATTTCCCTGTTTCCTAAGCACTGCTTAGAGCCACCTCCAGTCACAAATTTTGGCTTCGAGGAAGGCAAAGGTTAGACAAGATTCCTGCCTGCCATAGGGTGCGCCAGTGGAACGCCTGTTGGCTCGAGTGGCACTGATGACTCATTTGATCTGAGGGATTCTCCCTTTCTTCCCCTCCTCCTCCTCGGAATATCACGTTGCCTCCCGTGCTTGCAGGGATCTGGGGCTGGGTGAACAGGGATGAGTGAGGCTGTGTAGCTGCTCCTGGGCGGGTTGGAGGGTGCTAGGTGCCCGCTGTGAGCAGGCCCTGAGTTGGGGCTGGGTGGGGACGTGGCCGGGAGATGACAACATGAAGTTCTCAACTCAGGAGGCTCTGCCATGACAGGGGCTCCAAACCCAACAGATGCCATTGCTGCTGCTACCACCTTCTATGCCAAACCCTTAGGAAACATTTCTCCAAGCACAGCCAGCTCCCCCTGAGTCAAACGCCAGCAAATTAAATTTCCACCATCCTATTGTGTGGTTCTCACTTAGGGGTTTCCTCTCCACCTCCCACACCAGGCTGAGCCCTCCAAGGTCGGGGTTTGTGTCTCATCTGTGTTTTTCTTCTTCGATGACTCCCATGCCTGATCTCACACACAGTGCACACACACACGCACCCACACTGACACACAGCCTCACACCTCTCCAGGCTCACTCTCACACACAGAACTCGTTCAGTCTCACGCTTACATATACACTTGCACACACGTACTCTTACACTGTCACACACACCTACCCCCACTCACACCCATACTCAGCCACACACACACATTCACACACTCACATTTGCTGTTTCTCACACTCACTGCACATTCTCCCACTGATTCTTTTACAGACTCACGCATCCACACTCACACATTTACACACACACTATCCTCTCACACACCTATCCTCTAACCTACGCACACACATAATTTGCATTTGCGTATGCACACAGTCATATTCACTCACGCACACACACTCATTCTCACTCCCATTCTTATACACTCAACACACGTGCACTCACATTCACACACCCATTCTTTCACAGCTATCCGCCTGCACACTGTGGCCACATCCCCTGACCCAAGACATATAATAAATGTTATAATATGCCCATATAGCATATAATATACCCATATGCTGTAATAATACCCAGCAATATTCTGCTCCTCCCCTGCAGCCATTTAGCAATACCTTTCAATGGGTCAACATTTGGAATCAGTAATACATTACCATAGTTCAAAATACAAAATGTACAAAAGAGCACACCTGGAAGCTCTCCCTCTTGCCCTCTGCCAGCTCCTCTCCTGTCCTCTTCCTTGGTCCTTCTGGCGGGTTGTGTACCTCTGCAAACACCACCCTCCACCCCCGTTTTCAGCCAAATGATAGCAGATTGGACTCTTGCCTCTCCCTGCACCTCATGCATCCCTCTGCACGGTTACTCCACATTAGCACACATAGATTTTCTAGCCCCGTGCTGTCCAGTATGATAGCCAGTGGCCACATGTGGCGATTTAAATTTCAATTAAGAGTTGGCTAACCACATTTCAAGTGCTCAGTAGCCACATGTGGTTAGCGCAGAACAGTACATTTCCATTGCTACAGAAACTTCTGTCAGACAGCGCTGTGCCAGCTGTCACCTAAGACGGTCCCCAATGCGTTCCTTCGGCAGGCAGATGGGTTTCACATCAGGTTCACAGATGCAGCGCGGTTTCTTTCCAGCCCGTGGAGCTCAAGCAGCTGTCTCAAAACAATCTGGGCAGGTTCCAGGCAGAGATGGCAGGAAAATGGCCCGGCGACCTTGACCTGGAGCGTCCAAAGTGTGGGAGGCCCAGGTGGGGGAGCAGGATCAGGAATCCTGCTCCTAGGGACAGTGAGGTCTCTGCCTCTCCCATCTCTCTGACCCTCCTCCTCCACTGCCCACACAGGGTAGGATTCTGCTGGCCATCTGGCATTTCAGAAAGAGAATGTGTTTCCCATGAATAAATACGGTTTAAGAGAGATTGAAAACAATCTTGGTGATGGACGAGAGGCCTCTAAGCAGTGGTGTAGCTAGGGTATTTGCATTGGAGTAGATCATTTTTTTTAAAACACTTTCCTCCACTGTACAACATTTTCAGTAATAGTTATGTTTTTGGTTAGTTTTATGGTTTTGTAACAATTAAATAAAAGGAGAATATAGTTCAATTTTCTTTTTTTTTTTTTTTGAGACAGGGTCTTGCTCTGTCATCTAGGCTGGAGTGCAGTGGTGTGATCATGGCTCATCAGAGCCTCAACCGCCTGGGCTCAAGTGATCCTCTCACCTCAGACTCCCCAAATATCTGGGACTACAGGCACACGCCACCATGCCTGGCTAATTAATTTTTTTTTTAATAGATGGGGTCTCGCCACGTTGCCCAGGCTGGTCTGGAACTCCTGGGCTCAAGCGATCCTCCTCTCCTCAGCCTCCCAAAGTGCTGGGATTACAGGTATGAGCCACCATGCCTGGCCAATGTTTTTTTTTTTTGAGATGGAGTCTTGCTCTCTTGCCTAGGATGGAGTGCAGGGGCACGATCTCGGCTCACTGCAAGCTCCGCCTCCCGGGTTCACGCCATTCTCCTGCCTCAGCCTCCTGAGTAGCGGGGACTACAGGTGCCAGCCACTACACCCAGCTAATTTTTTCTATTTTTTTAGTAGAGACGGAGTTTCACTGTGTTAGCCAGGATGGTCTCGATCTCCTGACCTCATGATCTGCCCGCCTCGGCCTCCCAAAGTGCTGGGATTACAGGCGTGAGCCACCGCGCCCGGCCGCCTGGCCAATGTTAAAGACATTGTTTGGAATCAGTAAAAGATTTCATGGAGGAACTAAAAATGTCATGTTCCAAACAAAAATATTACACCTTGCAGGCTGCACTCTGCTTTACTGTTGGACTCTTGACATAGATTCTTATCTCTCTTTGCAGCAGGGAAAAATGCACACGGGTTATACACACATGCACACACTGAAGCAGAGATCATATTTTGTCCATATATATTATATATGCAAAGTCAAATATCAGAAATTTGAGATTCATTCTTTCCTTCAAGGAGCCCCACCTTGCTTAGGAAGATCAAGCAAGAGCCCCAAGTGGATGGCAGATTTTCATGGGGTCTGTCCTCACTCAATTCCCCAAATCACTCAAGCAGCTGACCTGGAGCCCAGATGAGCAAGGTCCCAGACACCTCCAGCCTGCAGAGAGCAGTCCACCCTGGAAATCACCAAGGGACGTTTTTTGGCCTCTTGCTGTCCTTTTCTAAGGCTCTGCCTTCCCCTCTACAGCAGCCCCTGTAACTGGCATCAGTTTGGGGGAATCTTGGGAAGCCCCTTTCTGGCCTTGGTGTTCACTCCTGAGCTCCCCTACACCCGAGCACCAGGATCCCAACCAACTCAAACAGGCAGGAGCTGCCAAGCCTGAATGGGATCTGTTGGCATCTGAGCCAGGGCCCAAGGAAAACCCTGTATGCTCCCTGCAGAGACCCTTAGAACAGAATATATGCACGTAAAAAGTACTTAGTAATAAAGTGTATAACAAGAGGTCCACAGGAGCGAGAAAACATCAAGATGATAATATAATGGGGGCCGGGCGCGGTGGCTCATGCCTGTTATCCTAGCACTTTGGGAGGCTGAGGGTGGTGGATCACTTGAGGCTAGGAGTTCGAGACCAGCCTGGCCAACATGGTGATAACCCGTCTCTACAAAGAATAAAAAATTGGCCGGGTGTAGTGGCACACACCTGTAGTCCTACCTACTTGGGAGGCTGAGGTAGGAGAATTGCTTGAACCCAGGAGGCGGAGGTTGCAGTGAGCCGAGATCGCACCACTGTACTCCAGCCTGGGCGACAGAGTGAGACTGTTTGAAAAAATATATATATAGCAAGTAAAAAATACACACGCTCTTCAATCCTGCAGCTTCTTCTGAAGTTATCTCACATATGCCCAGAAGCGTATATGGAAGGATATTTATTGCTTTTAACATTATGCTAAGTGAGAGTGCTAGACTCAAAGGACTGCGTCTTATATTATTCCTTTTATGTGACATTTGTGGGGATCAAGGGCCCTATTGGTGGCGGGGGAAGGGACAAGGAGGCTTCCTCGGGTGCTGGAAATGCTCTGATCTTGGCTGTGAGTGGGGCCACGCCTGCATGACTTATTCAGGACTCAGGAGCTGTGTGCTGAAGGAGGAGAATTTCACTGCGTGAACATTGCACCTCGATAAACTTGACTTAAAAAAGTTGCACGTGGAAAGATATTTATTGCAGCAATGCTTGTAGTAGCAGAAGTCAGGGAATAACTCAAATGCCCAGCCATAGAGAATGGTCAAATAAATAATGGGATATCTGTACAATAGAGTACTACACAACTACTAAAAAGGAAGAGAGTGATGTTTATAACTCGAAGTGGTATGGTCTCCAAGAGCATTTGTTATGTGGAAAATGGTTTGTATGGTATTAACCATTTATTTTATACATATATATACACATGCAGATATCATAGATGATATTCTTCATATCATAGTGGTTAACAACATTAGGGATATTATAAATATTATAGAGATGTTATTTTATTAATACCATTGTGTGTTAACACTAGAGGTATTATAAATAAATATCATAGAGATGATATTCTATTAATATCAAAACGCAAAAGCATAAAACCCCCTGAGAATTAAAATGAATGAAAATCTATTCACCTTTTTTACTACCCCGACAATCCTAGGTCTACTCGTAGTAGATTAATTATTTTATTTCCCACCATGCTGTTTCCTACCTGAAATCACCTAATCAGTAATCGACTGATTTCCATCCAACAATGATTAGTTCAACTTGTACTAAAACAAATAATAATCACCCATAACATTAAAGGACAAACCTGATCCCTTATGCTGATATCCCTAATTCTTTTTATTGCTTCAACCAATCTCCTCAGACTTCTTCCCCATTCATTTACACCAACTACACAACTATCAATAAATCTAGGTATAGCAATCCCCTTATGAGCAGGAACAGTAATCACAGGCTTTCTCTTTAAAACCAAAATATCCTTAGCTCACTTTTTACCACAAGGCACACCTATGCCACTTATCCCTATATTAGTCTTCACTGAAACTGTTAGCCTATTTATTCAACCTATAGCGTTGGCTGTGCGATTAACAGCCACCATTACAGCTGGTCACCTACTAATACACTTAATAGGAGATGCCACACTAGTACTGTCAACTATTAGTATCCCCACAGCTTCAATATCTCTCATTATTCTAATCCTACTGAGTATTCTCGAATTCGTCATAGCTCTTATTCAGGCTTATGTCTTCACACTATTAGTAAGCCTTTATTTATATGATAACACGTAATGACCCACCAAACACATGCCTACCATATAGTTAATCCCAGCCCCTGACCGCTAACAGGAGCTCTCTCGGCTCTCCTAATAACATCTGGCCTGGCCATACAATTTCACTTTAATTCTATAATTCTTTTAACCCTAAGCCTAGTAACCAACACACTAACTATATATCAATGATGATGTGATATTGTCCGAGAAAGTACATTTCAAGGCCACCATATGACAATTGTCCAAAAAGGTCTCTGATATGAAATGCTTCTGTTTATTATCTCAGAGGTGTTTTTCTTTACCGGTTTCTTCTGGGCATTCTACCACTCTAGAGCTTAGCGCCAACTCCAGAATTAGGGGGACACTGACCTCCAACAGGCATTCTTTCCCGTAACCCTTTAGAAGTACCTCTCCTCAATACGTCTGGGTTACTCGCATCAGAAGTTTCCATTACTTGAGTTCAGCACAGCCTGATAGAAAGTAGTCGAAGGCAAATAATTCAAGCATTATCCATCACGATTACCTTAGGTATCTGCTTCACTCTTCTACAAATCTCAGACTATTTCAAGACCCCTTTTACTATCTCAGATGGAATTTATGACTCAACATTCTTTATAGCCACAGGCTTCCACGGACTTCATGTTATTATTGGATCAACATTTCTCACTATCTACCTCCTCCGCCAATTAAAATATCACTTTACATCCAACCA
Source organism: Homo sapiens (assembly GCF_000001405.40). Taxonomy (NCBI): domain Eukaryota; kingdom Metazoa; phylum Chordata; class Mammalia; order Primates; family Hominidae; genus Homo; species Homo sapiens. Next base: position 10,723,923 of record NC_000016.10, on the reverse strand, counting down.
CCACTTTGGCTTTAAAGCCGCCGCCGGATATTGACACTTCGTAGATGTAGTCTGATTATTCTTATATGTCTCTATCTACTGATGAGGGCCCTACTCTTTTAGTATAAGCATTGACTTTCAATCAATTAGTTTCGATAAGATCTGAAAAAGAGTAAATAACCTGACACTAGCCCTAGCAACCAACACTTTACTGGCCCTATTACTAATAATAGTTACATTTTGACTCTCACAACTTAATATTTATATAGAAAAATCCAGCCCTTATGAATGTGGATTTGATCCACTAACCTCTGCCCGCCTCCCCTTCTCCATAAAATTCTTCCTAGTAGCCATCACATTTCTCCTGTTCGACTTAGACGTCGCTCTACTACTAGCCCTGCCATTGAGCCCTTCAAACAAACAAGCTAACACTAATAATTAGTACAGCCCTTATATTAGTTATCATTTTAATCCTAGGCTTAATTTATGAATCAACCCAAAAAGGATTAGATTGAGTTGAATTGATAAATAGTTTAAGTTAAAATAAATGATTTTGACTCATTAGATTATGATAGACCATATTTACTAAATGCCCTTTATTTATATTAACATATTAGCATATACCATAGCACTGCTGGGAATATTAATCTATCGATCCCACTTAATATCATCGTTATTATGCTTAGAAGGCATAATATTATCAATATTTATCATAAGTACTCTTGTAACTTTAAATATACATTTTATTCTAGCATCCATAATGCCCATTATCCTCCTAGAATTTGCTGCCTGCAAAGCTGCTGTGGGCCTTGCCTTACTAGTTTCAATCTCCAACACATACGGCCTAGATTATGTACAAAATTTAAATTTACTCTAATGCTAAAAGTTATTATTCCAACAATTATACTGTTACCAATAACATGACTGTCAAAAAATTCTGTAATCTGAATTAACATAACTATTCACAGCATATTCATTGGCCTCATTACTCTACTATTTTTTAACCAGTTAAACGATAATTCATCTAACTTCTCATTAACCTTCTTTCCTGACCCGCTAACGTCGCCCCTTCTAATCTTAACATCCTGACTACTACCTCTTATAATTCTAGCAAGCCAATATCACCTGTCCAATGAATCACTTCTATGAAAAAAACTCATTTCTATATTAATTTCCCTATAAATTTTTTAGTTATAGCATTCACAGCCACTGAACTAATTATATTTTATGTCCTCTTTGAAACCACACTTATTCCTACCCTAATTATCATCACCTGCTGAGGTAACCAAACAGAACACCTCAATGCAAGCTCATATTTCTTATTCTATACACTAGTGGGATCCCTTCCCCTACTTGTCACGCTTATCTATACTCAAAATGTCTCAGGTTCACTAAGTATGCTAATAATGACGTTTACCACCGAAGAACTATTAAATGCCTGATCTAATAACATTATATGACTAGCATGTATCTTGGCTTTTATAGTAAAAATACCTCTATATGGGCTTCACCTATGACTTCCCAAAGCCCACGCAGAAGCTCCTATTGCCGGCTCAGTAGTACTTGCAGCGGTACTCCTAAAACTAGGCGGCTACAGTATCATAGGGCTTACCCTTATCCTCAGCTCCGTAACAGAATACATAGCCTACCCTTTCCTCATATTATCCTTATGAGGGATAGTCATGACAAACTCAATTTGTCTACCACAAACCGATTTAAAATCACTAATCGCTTACTCCTCTGTAAGCCATACAGCACTTGTTATTGTGGCTATCCTCATTCAAACCTCTTGAAGCTTTACAGGCGCAGTCACCCTCATAAATGCCCATGGACTCACTTCATCCTTACTATTCTGCCTAGCAAATTGGAACTATGAACGAGTCCATAGCCGAATTATACTACTTCTCCAAGGCCTTCAAACATTGCTTCCACTAATAGCCTCCTGATGACTTCTAGCAAATCTTACTAACCTTGCCTTACCCCCTACTATTAATCTAGTAGGAGAACTCTTCATCACTATGGTTTCATTCTCCTGATCAAACACCACCATTATGCTTATAGGACTTAATATGCTAATCACAGCCCTTTTACTCCCTGTGTATGCTAACCACGATACAATGAGGAACACTTGCGTATTACCTTAACAGTATTAAACCCTCCTTTACATGAGAAAATACACTAATACTTACACATGTTGCACCTATTTTCCTATTATCCTTAAACTCTAAAATTATTGTGGGATTTGCATGCTGTAAATATAGTTTAACCAAAACATTAGACTATGAATCTAACAATAGAAGCCCGCAACTTCTTATCTACCGAGAAAGTATGCATGAACTGCTAAGTCATGCCCCTGTGTCTCACAACATTGCGTTCTCAACTTTTAAAGGATAAGAGTTATCCATTGGTCTCAGGAACCAAAAACATCGGTGCAACTCCAAATAAAAGTAATAAACATGTACTTTTCCACTACTATAACAATTCTAATTCCCTTAATCTTACCAATTATTATCACCTTAGCCAACTCCTGCAAAAAAGATTCATACCCATACTATGTAAAAATATCTATTGTGTGCGCCTTCATCGTTAGCCTCATCCCTGCGGCAATATTTATATATACAGACCAACAAGTAATTATCTCAAACTGACGTTGAATAACAATCCAAACTCTTAAACTCTCACTAAGCTTCAAACTAGATTACTTCTCCACAATATTTCTCCCAGTAGCACTATTTGTTACTTGATCTATTGTAGAATTCTCAATATGATAAACTCAGACCCTAACATTAATCAATTTTTCAAATACCTACTCATTTTCCTCATCACAATATTAATTCTAGTTACTGCCAATAACCTCTTTCAACTTTTTATCGGATGATAAGCTATAGGAATCTTGTCCTTCTTATTAATTGGCTGATGATACGGCCAAGGAGATGCTAATACAGCAACCCTCCAAGCGGTTCTGTATAATCATATCGGTGACATTGGCTTCATTTTAGCTCTAGCATGATTCCTCTTGTCCTCCCACACATGGGAGCTTCAACAGGCATTTATTATAGATTCTGCCTCCAATTCTCTTCCGTTAATTAGTCTTCTCCTAGCAGCAGTAGGAAAGTCAGCTCAATTCGGCCTTCATCCCTGACTTCCTTCCACCATGGAAGTCCCAACCCCACTGTCAGCCCTAATCCACTCCAGCACTATAGTATAGCAGGAGTTTCCCTACTCATCCGCTTCTACCCTTTAATAGAAAATAAACTATTAGTGCAAACCTTCACATTATGCTTAGGGGCTATGACCACCTTATTTACAGCAATCTGTGCTCCAACACAAAATGGCATCAAAAAAATCGTAGCGTTCTCCACCTCAAGCCAACTAGGCCTTATAATAGTCACAATTGGCATTAATCAACCATACCTAGCATTTCTTCACATCTGCACCCATGCCTTTTTTTTAAAGCTGTATTATTTATATGTTCAGGATCCATGATCCATAACCTCAATGATGAACAAGACATCCAAAAAACAGGAGATCTATTCAAGACTTTACTCCTCACTTCCTCCTCCCTAATTATTGGTAGCCTCACACTTACAGGTATGCTTTTCCTCACAGGCTTTTATTCTAAAGATCTTATTATCAAAACCGCAAACACATCATATACCAACGGCTGAGCCCTCTGTATTACTCTTATTGCAAACTCCCTAGCAGCTGTCTATAGTATCCGAATTAATTTTCTTCGCTCTGATAGGACAACCCCGCTTTACAAACCTGATCATTAGTAACGAAAATAACCCCTTCCTAATTAACTCAGTTAAATGCCTGATAATTGGCAGTATCTTCGCTGGGTTCCTTATCACCAACAGTATTATTACTACTTCATTCCCCCAGACAATTTTACCGCATCACCTAAGACTTACAGCACTAGATGTAACTACCCAAATAAATTGAAAACACTATTAACCCCACGAAAGCCCCACGAAAGTTCAACACAATATGACAACCTACAGTACCACTAACAACCTTAAACCCCCATAAATAGGAGAAGATTTCAAAGAAAAACCTGCAAACCCTATAACCAAAAGAATACTTAATGAAAATAAAGCATATGCCATTATTCCTACATGGACTATAATGATGACCAATGGTATGAAAAACCGTCATTGCACTTCATCTATAAGAACACTAATGACCAAAATACACAAAACGCACCCACTAATAAAAATTATTAACCATTCAGTCATTGATTTCCCCACACCGTCCAACATTTCCACATGATGAAACTTCGGCTCACTTCTTGGTGCCTGCCTAATTGTCCAGATTATCACGGGATTATTTCTAGCCATACACTATACATCAGATACCTCAACTGCTTTCTCTTCAGTTGCCCACATCAGCCCAGATGTAAATTATGGCCGAATAATCTGCATTTTCATGCTAACAGCACCTCAATATTCTTCATCTGCCTCTTCCTACACATTGGCCGAGGCTTATACTACGGGTCATTTATATTTCTAGAAACCTGAAATATTGGTATTATCCTCCTACTTACCACCATAGCAACAGCATTTCTAAGCTACGTACTTCCATGCGGCCAAATATTATTCTGAGGTGCTACAGTAATTACAAACCTAATATCAGCCATTTCATATATTGGAACTCCTTCTACAATGAATCTGAGGTGGATTCTCAGTTGACAAAGCCACCGTTACACGATTTTTCACCTTCCATTTCATCTTACCTTTCATCATTACAGCTCCAGCAACTGTTTACCATTTATTCTTACATGAAACAGGATCTAACAACCCTTCAGGAGTCTCATCAGACCCAGACAAAATCACTTTCCACCCCTACTGCACGATCAAAGATATTCTAGGTTTAATTTTTCTCCTCCTCCTCCTAATAATTCTAACACTATTTTCACCTGACCTTCTAAGCGACCCAGATAATTACACTTTGGCCAGCCCACTAAATATCCCCCCCCACATTAAGCCAGAGTGATATTTTTTGTTTGCATATGCAATTCTACGATCCATCCCTAACAAACCAGGAGGTGTACTAGCTCTTATATCCTCCTTTCTCATTCCAGCAATTATCCCATACTTCATACATCTAAACAATAAAGCATAATATTCTGTCCATTAAGTCAATGCCTATTCTGAATCTTAATAGCTGACCTGCTCACACTTACATGAATCAGAGGACAGCCCATCCACTACCAGTTCATTATTATTGGACAAACAGCATCCATTGTGTATTTCTCCACTCTCCTCACCCTTATGTCACTCACTGCCCTGAAGGAAAATAAGCTATTTAAATTAAACTACCCTTATAGTATAATTCAATACTCTGGTCTTGTAAACCAGAAATGGAGGATTCCCTTCCCAGGACAACTCAGGCAAAAAGCATTCCCACTTCACCGTCAACACCCAAAACTGAAATTCTAATTAAACTCTTCCATGTACTTTTCTCAGCACACATTTTAACTACCATGTCAGTATTAATAAACTAGCACTAATACATTAGTTCTTCTGTGTACTTCGGGCATTACTGTTAGTCCCCAAGAATAATATATTGTACTATATATACTTAATCGCACATAGTACATTCATATATTAAAGTACATACAAAGTTAGCCCACATACATATAAGCATGTATCAAAATTTCTTAATCAACTATAGAACATATACTATTATTAACTGTACAATAAAATCTATCCAACACGAATATTCACCCATACGGAAAACCCTTAATATTACATAGGAATATTACTCCACGATATGGTTTGCAATATCCAGGAGGGAAGAGGGGGTGATATTACTCCTCATATCGGGGGAGGTGTTCACCTACCCACAATATGGTTCGTAATATCCAGAGGGGGAAGTGGAGTGATATTACTCCCCGTATCGCAGGAGGGTGATCATCGCCCCACGATATGGTTTGTAATATCCAGGGGGGAGGGGGGATGATATTACTCCCCATATCGCAGGGGGTGTGATATGTTTCATAACATCCAGGGGTGGGGAGAGGAGGGTGATATTACTGTCTACATCGTGGGGGGTGTGATATGGTTTGAAATATCCAGGGAGGGAGAGGGGGGTGATATTACTCCCCAGTTCTCAGAAAGTGTTCACCCCTCTGCGATGTGGTTGCTAATATCTGAGGGGGGAGAGGGCGGTGATATTACTCCCCATATCGCGGGGCGTGTTGACGCCACTGCAATGTGGTTTGTAATATACAGGGGGGAAGGGGGGGTGATATTACTCCATATATCGCGGGGAGTGTGATATGGTTCGTAATATCCAGGGGAAGAGAGGGTGATATTACTCCCCATATCGATGGGGGTGTAAATCCCCCTGTGATATGGTTTGTAATATCCTAAGGGGGATAGGGTGATATTACTTTCCCTATGGAGGGCTTGTACAATTCCCCATGATATGGTTCGTAATATCCAGGAGGAAAGAGTGTAATATTACTCCTTATATCGCACGGGATGTACACCCCCTGTGATATGGTTCGTAGTATTCAGGGAGGGAGAGGGTGATATTACTGCCCATATATCAGGGGGCGTATACCTTCTTGTGATGTTTGTAGTATCCAGGATGAGAGATGATAATATTACTCCCCATATTGCCGGGGATGTACAACGTCTTGAGATATGGTTTTTAATATCCAGAGGGGGAGGGGATGATATTTCTTACCATAGCGCAGGGTGTACACTTTCATGTGATATGGTTCATAATATCCAGGGTTATCAAAGTTAGCCCACATACATATAAGCATGTATCAAAATTTCTTAATCAACTAACACATACTATTATTAACTGTACAATAAAATCTAGCCAACACGAATATTCACCCATGTGAAAAACCCTTAATATTACGGGGAGTGATAAGAGTTGCTACTCACACCATAGGGGTTGTACCCCCCTCGCAATATTGTCCGTAATATTCAGGAAGGAAGAGGATGATGTTACTCTCCATATCGCAGTAGGTGTACAGTCCCCTGCAATATTGTCCGTAATATCCAGGGTGGAAGAATGTATTGCAGAATGTATACACCCCCTTGTGACATATTTCATAATATCCAGGGGTGAAGAGGATGATATTACTCCCCATACTGCAGGGGATATACACCCCCCTGTGCTATTGTTCATAATATCCAGGGAGGGAGAGGATGATATTACACCCAATATCGCAGAAAGTATACACCTTGCTGTGATATATTTCATAATATCCAGAGGTGAAGAGAATGATATTACTCCCCATACCGCAGAGGGTGTACACTTTCCTGTGTTATTTTTCATAATATCAAGGGAGAAAGAGGATAATATTACTCCCGATATCGCAGGGGATGTACACCCCCCTGTGATATTGTTCGTAAAATCCAGGAAGGGAGAAGATTATGTTATTCCCCATATTGCAGTAGGTGAACACCCCCCCGTGATATTGTTCATAATATCCAGGGGGTGAGTGGATGATATTACTCTACATATCGTAGGGGATGTACACCCTTAGCGATATTATCCATAGTATCCAGGTGAAAAAAGGATAATGTTACTCCCCATTTCGCAAGGGGTGTCTGCGATGTAGTCCCTAATAGCCAGCATAGCCAGCAAGGAAAAGCATGATGTTACTCCCCATATCGCAGGGAAATACTATTCTCCTAATATCACAGTGGATGTACATACCATATGTACACCCAGAAATATTATTTGTAATATTCTGGGGAGATATTACTCTCCTAATAACACAGGGGTTGTACACTATGTGTGTACACCTTGTGATTTTATTCGTAATGTCCTGAGGAAATATCCTGAGGAAATTCGTAATATCCTGTGTACACTCACCGTGATATTATTCATAATATCTGAGAGAGATATTACTGCTAATATCACAGTTGGTGTACACCATGTGTGTACGTCCTGTGATATTAGGAGTAAAATCCTAGGGAGATATTACTCCTAATATCACAGTAAATGTACATCATGTGTGTACACCCTGTGATATTATTTGTAATATCCTAGGGAGATATTACTCCTACTAGCACAGTGTGTGTACACCATGTATGTACACTCTGCAATATAATTCATAATATCCTCCAAAGATATTACTCCAAATATCACAGTGGGTGCACACCCTGTGATAATATTTGTAATATCCTAGGGAGATATTACTCCTAATTTCTCAGTGGATGTACACCCTGTGATATTATTCATAGTATTCATAATATATGGTGATATATTACTTCTAATATCACCATGAGTGTATACCCTGTGATATTATTCATAATATCCTCAGGAGATATTACTTTTAATATCACAGTGGGTGTACACCATGTGTGTATGCTCTGTGATATTATTCATGATATCCTGTGGAGATATTACTCTAAATATAAAAGTAAGTGTACACAGTGTGTGTACACTCTGTGATATTATTTGTAATATCCTTGGGAGATATTTCTTTTAATATCACAATGGGTGTACACCATGTGTGTACACTCTGCGATATAACTCATAATATCCTCCAAAGATATTACTCCACATATCACAGTGGGTGTATACCATGTGTGTGCACACTGTGATATTACTTGTAATATCGTCGGGAGATGATATTACTCCTAATATCATAGTGAGTGTACACTATGTGTGCAAAGCCTGTGATATTATCGATAATATCCTCAGGAGATATTACTTCTAATATCACAATGAGTGTACACACTGTGATATTCTTCATAGTATCCTAAGGAGATATTACCCCTAATATCACAGTGTATGTACACCATATTTGTACACTCTTTAATATTATTCATAATATCCTCAGAAGATATTACTTTTAATGTTACAGTGGGTGTACACACATTGTGTACACCCTGTGATATTATTTGTAATATCCTAGGGTGATATTACTCTTAATATCAAAGTGGGTGTACAACATGTGTGTACACCCTGTGATATTATTTGTAATATCCTAGGGAGATATTACTCCTAATAGGACAGTAGGTGTACACTTTGTGATATTATTTATAATATCCTAGAAAGATATTACTCCTAATATCAAAGTGGGTGTACAATGTGTGATATTATTCATAATATCCTAATGAGATATTACTCCTAATATCCCAGTGGGTGTACACCCTGTGATACTGATCATAATATCCAAGGGAAATATTACTCCTAATATCACTGTGGTTGTACACCCTGGGATATTATTTTTAATATCCCAGGGAGATCTTTCCTTTAATATCACAGTGGGTGTACACCATGTGTTTACACCCTGTGATATTACTGGTAACATCCTAGGGTGATATTACTCCCAATGTCACAGTGTGTGTACAACACGTGTGTACACCCAGCGATATTATTTATAATATACTAGGAAGATATTACTCCTAATAGCACAGTTGGTGTACATCCTGTGATATTATTCATAATATCCTAGGCAGATATTACTCCTAATATCACAGTGGGTGTACACCATGTGTGAACACCCTGTGATATTATTAATAATATCCTAGGGAGATATTACTCCTAATATTACAGTATGTGGACAGCCTGTGATAATATTATTTGTATTATCCTAGGGAGCTATTACTCCTAGTATCATGGTGGGTGTACATTCTTTGATATTATTCATGATATCTTAGGCAGATGTTAATCGTAATATCACACAGGGTATACACCCTCTGTGATATTATTTGTAATATCCTAGGGAAATGTTATTCATCATATCTTGGGCAGATATTACTCCTAATATTACAGTAGATGTACAGCCTGTGATATTATTCATGATATCTCAGGGATATATAATTTCTACGATCACAGTGAGTGTACATTCTGTGATATAATTTGTTATACCTTAGAAAGGCATTACTCCTAATATTACATTGGGTGTAAACCTGTGATATTATTCATGGTATCTTAGAGGGATATTACTTTTAACATCATAGTGAGTGTACACCCTTTTACATTACTTGTGATATCTTAGGGAGATAATACTATGAATATCACTGTGAGTGTACACCCCATCATATTATTCGTGCTATCTTAGGAAGATATTACTCCTAATATCACAGGGGGTGTACACCCTTTGAAAAGATTCGTGATATCTTAAGGATATATTACTGCTAATACCATGATGGGTTTAATCCCTGTGATATTATTCTTGATATCTGAGGGAGATATTACACTTAATATCACTGTGAGTGTACACCTAGTGATATTATTTGTGATACCTTAGGCACATATTACTTTGAATTTTACAGTGGGTGTACACCTTGTAATATTGTTCGTATTATCTTAGAGAGATATTACTCCTAATATCACAGTGGATGTTTACCCTGTAATATTCATGATATCTTAGAGATATATTATGACTAATATCACAGTATGTGTACGCCATGTGTGTACACCCTGTAATACCATTCATAATATCTTAGGAAAATATTACTCCTAATATCACAGTGAGTGTACATTATCACCCTGTGATATTATTCATAACGTCTTAGGGAGATTATACTCCTACTATCACAGTGGGTGAACCAATGTGTGTACACCATGTGATATTATTCATAATATCTTAGGGATGTATTTCTCCTAATATCACAGTGGGTGAACACCATGTGTGTACACCAGTGATATTATTCGTAATATGTTAGGGAGACATTACACCTAATATCACAGTGGGTGTACACCCTGTGATATTATTCGTAGTAGCTTAGAGAGATATTACTACTCATGTCATAGTGGGTGTACACCCTGATATTATTCATAGTATCATGGGGGGATATTACTCCTAATATCGAAGTGGGTGTACACCCTGTGATTTATTCATAGTGTCTTAGGGAGATATTACTTCTAATATCACAGTGGGTGTATACCTTGTGATATTATTTGTAGTATCTTAGGGAGATATTACTCCTAGTATCACAGTGCATGTACACCCTGTGATATTCATAGTACGTTAGGGAGATATTACTCCTAATATTACAGTGGGTATACACCCTGTGAAAGTATTCATAGTACCTTAGAAAGATATTATTCTTAATATCACAGTGGGTAGACAGCCTGTGATATTATTCATAGTATCTTAGAAAGATATTACTCCTAATATCACTGTTGGTGTACAGCCTGTGATATTATTCCTAGTATCTAAGGGAGAAAGTACTTGTAATATCACAGTGGGTGTGCAGCCTGGGATATTATTTGTAGTATCTAAGAAACATATTACTCCTTATATCACAATGGCTGTACACCCTGTGTTATTATTTGTAATATCCTAGGGAGATATTACTCTTCATAGCACAGTGGGTGTACACCCTGTGATATTATTCGTAATATTATTACGAATATTAGGAAAATATTAGTAATATCCTAAGGAGATATTACTCCTGATTTCACAGTGGGTGTACACCCTGTGATATTATTTGTTGTATCTAAGAAAGATATTACTCCTAATATCACAGTGACTGTACACCCTTTGACATTACTTGTAATATTTTAGGTAGTTATTACTCCTAATATCACAGTGGGTGTACACCACTTCTGTGATATTGTTCCTAATATTCAAAGGTGAAGAGGATAATATTATTCCCAATATCGCAGAGGGCGTACACCCCCCTGTGATATTCTTCCTAATATTTAAAGGAGAGAGGCTGAAATTACTCCCAATATCACAGGGGGTGTACACTTTCCCTGTAATATTGTTCATAATATCTAGTAAGGAGAGGATGATATTACTTGTAATATCACAGGGGGTGTACACTCCCCCTGTGATATTATTTATATTCAAGGGGAGAGAAGATGATATTACTCCCAATATGGCAGGGAGTGTACACTTTACCTGTAATATTGTTCATAATATTCAGGGAGAAAGAGGATGATGTTACTTACAATATCGCAGAGAGCGTACACCTTCCCTTGATATTGTTCCGAATATCCAGGGAGGGAGAGGATGTTATTACTCACAGTATTGCAGGGGATGTACACCCCTTCTGTGATATTGGTCCTAATATCCACGGGGAGAGAAGATGATATTACTGTCAATATTGGACGGGGTATACGCCCCCTGATGATATTATTTCTCATATCCAGTGGCAGAGAGTATGACTTACTCCCAATATTGCAGGGGGTGTACACCCCTTTGTAACATTGTTTCTAATATCTAGGCGTGGGGGGAGGATGTTATTACTCCCAATATCACAGATAGTGCACACAGCCCCTGTGATATTGTTTATAATATTTAGGGGGCGAGAGGGTGATATTACTTCCAATTTTGCTGGAGGATGTTCACATTTTCTGTGATATTATTATTAATATCCACGGGAGGAAAGGATGATATTACTCTGAATATCACAGGGGGTGTAGACCTCCCCGGTGATATTGTTTCTTATATCCAGGGGAGCAGAGGATGATATTACTCCCAATATCGCAGTGGGCGTATGCCCCTGCTGCGATACTGTTCTTAATATCCAAGGGAGAGAGGATAATATTACTCCCAATACCGCAAGGAATGTACACCCCCCTGTGTCATTGTTTCTAATATCCAGGAAGGGAGGGTGATATTACTCCCAATATCATAGCACGTGTACACCCTCCCCCTTTGATATTGTTTACAATATCCGGGGGGGAGAGGATGATATTACCTCTAATATCGCAGGGGGTGTACACTCCCTCTGTGATATTGTAATATCCTAATATGCAGTTGAAAAGAGGAGGATATTACTCCCAATATTGCAGGGTGTATACACCCCCCTGTGACTTTTTTTGTTTGTTTTGTTTGTTTTGTTTTGTTTTGTTTTGTTTTGTTTTGTTTGAGACAGAGTCTCGCTCTGTCGCCCAGGCTGGAGTGCAGTGGCACGATCTCGGCTCACTGCAAGCTCCGCCTCCTGGGTTCACGCCATTCTCCTGCCTCAGCCTCCCGAGTAGCTGGGACTACAGGCGCCAGCCACCACGCCTGGTTAATTTTTTTTTTTTTTTTTTTTTTTAGTAGTGACGGGGTTTCACCGTGTTAGCCAGGATGGTCTCGATCTCCTGACCTCGTGATCCGCCCACCTTAGCCTGCCAAAGTGCTGGGATTACAGGCGTGAGCCACCACGCCCGGCCGATATTGTTCTTAATATCCAGAGGGGGAGAGGATGATATGACTTCCAACATCGCAACTGGTGTACATCTTTCCTGAGACATTGTTCCTAATATCTAGGCGGGGAGGGAGAGGATAATATTACTTTCAATATCGCAGGGGGTGTACACCCCCCTCCCCGTGATATAGTTTCTAATATCCAGGGAGGAAAGGGATAATATTACTCCCAATATCATAGAGGGTGTACACACCCCCCCTTTGATATTGTTCCTAATATCCAGGGAAAAAGAGGATGATGTTACTCCCAATATCACAGAGGCTGTATACCCCCGTGTGATATTGTCACTCATATCCAGTAGGGGGGAGGATGATATGTCTCCTAATACCATAAGGGGTGTACACACACTCTGTGATATTGTTTATAATATCCGAAGATATGAGAGGGTGATATTACTTCCCAAATCGGTGGAGGTGTACACCCTCCCTGTGATATTGTTCCTAACATTCAGGGGTGGGAGAGGATGATATTACTCTTAATATTGCAGGATGTGTACACCCCCCCCCCCGTGATATTGTTCATAAAATCCAGGGATGGAGAGAATAATATTATGCCCAATATTGCTGGCATTGTACACTCCCCTGTGATATTGTTCATAATAATAACCCATTATTATTATTGTGATATTCAGTGGGTGAGAGGATACTACTTTGAATATCGCAGAAAGTGTACACCCCTCTGTAATATTATTTTTAATATCCAAGGAAATGAAGATGATATTGCTCCCAAGATAGAAGGAGTTTTACAACCGCCTGTTATGCTGTATGTAATATCCAGGGGGAGAGAGGATGATGTGACTCCCACTATCGTAGGGGGTGTACTCCCCTCTGTGATATTGTTCATAATATTCAGGGGAGAGAAAATGATATTTTTCAAAATATCGCATGGGGTGTACATCCCCCTGTGATACGGTTCATAATATCCAGAAGGGGAGAAAATAGTATTACTTTCAATATCGCAGGGGGTGTACACTCTCTGTGATATTGTTCGTAATATTTAGAAGGGTAGAGGATCATAGTATTCCCAATATTTCAGGAGGTGTACACCCCTCTGTAATATGTTTCTAATATCCAGAGGGGAAGAGGATATTGTTACTTTCAATATCTCAGAAGGGTGTACAACCCCCCCCCCCCCCGTGATATTGTTTCTCATATCCAGAGGTGAGTGGATGATATTAGTCCCAATATTGCAGGGAGAACGTACACCCCTTCTGTGATATTGTTACTAATATCCAGGGGGGGAAAGGATGATATTACTCCCAATATCGCAGGCTGTGTACACACCCCTGTGACATTATTCGTAATATCCAGTGTAAATAGGAAGATACTACCACCAATATCACAGGAAGTGTGCAGCATTTCTGTGATATAGTTCCTAATATCCAAAGGTGGAGAGAATAACATTACTCCCAATATCGCAGGGGTTGTACACCTCCCCTGTGATATTGTTCTCAATATCCAGGAAAGGAGAATATGGTATTACTTCCCATATCGCAGGGAGTGTAGAGCTGCCCATGATATTCTTCCTATATCCAGGAAGGGAGAGGATATTACTCACAATATTGCAGGACATGTACACGCCTCCTGTGACATGGTTCCTAATTTCCAGGGGGAGAGGAAGGTGATATTACTGTCAATATTGCAGGAAGTGTATACACCCCCTGTGATGTGGTTCCTAATATGCAAAGAAGGAAAGGATGATATTACTCTCAAAATCGCAGGGCGTGTACACATGCCTGTGATATTGTTCATAAGGTCCAGGGTGGAGAGGAAGATATTACAACCAATATCCCAGAAAGTGCACAGCACTTCTGTGATATTGTTCCTGATTTCCAGGGGAGGAGAAGGTGATATGACTGTCAAAATTGCAGGAAGTGTATACCTGTCTGTGATGTGGTTCCTAATATCCAAGAGTGGAAAAAAAGATATTATTTCCATTATCTCAGAGGGTCTAAACCCCCTCCTGGTGATATTGTTCGTAATATCCAGTGAGGGAAAGATGATATTAAACCCAATATCGCAAGAGGTATATACTCCCCTGTGATATTGCTACTAATATCCAGGAAAGAAGAGGGTGATATTACTCCTCATATCTCAGCTGGTGTACACATCCCTGTGTTATTCTTCCTAATATCCGGAAAGGAGAGAATGATATTTCTCTTTATATTGCAGGGGGTGCAGACTCCTCCATCATATGGAGATGATATTTCTTCCAGTGTCGGAAACACGGCGAACGAGAGGGGCGAACAGCCATGGCTCCTAACAGTCAGGGCGGGATAGGAGGGTTAGTCCCCATATCGCGGGGGTCGTTCACCCCTCTGAGATGTGGTTTGTAATATCCAAGAAGAAATTGTATAATATTACTCTTTATGTCGCGCGGGGTGTACACCGTCCTTGTGATATGATTCGTAATATTCGATTTGGATTTGGTGATGTTATTCCCCATGTCGCTGGCGGTGTTCACCCCACTGTGATATAATTTATAATTTCCAGGGTTGGATAGGGTGATACTACTTTTTATATCACGGTGGGTGTTCCATCCTCTCTGATGTGGTTCTGAATATCCAAGAGGAAAATGTATAATACTACTCCTTATATCGCACGGTGTGTACACCTTTTCTGTGACATCGTTCGTAATATCCGGTGGGGAATTAGTGATAGTACGCCCCGTATCATCCACCCGTGTTATGGTTTGTGACATCCAGAGAGGGAGATGGTGACATTTACTACCCATATAGCGGGGGGTGTACATTCACCTGCGATAGGGTTCATCACATACAGAAGCGGGGAGGTGGTATTTACTACCCGTATAGCGGGGGGTGTACACTTTTTTATGATGTTGTTCGTAATATCCAGGATGAGAGACGATACTATTGCTCTCCATATCGCTGGGGGTATAAAACGTCCTGTGATATGGTTTTTTAATATTCAGAGGGGTCGTGGCTGATATTTCTCACCATACCTCATGGTGTACACCTTCATATGATATTGTTCATAATATCCAGGGGTGGAGAGGATGATGTTGCTACCCATATTACAGGGGGTGTAACCTCCTTGCGATATTGTCGGTAATATTCAGGGGTGGAGAGGATGATGTTATTCCCCACATTGCAGTGGGTTTACAAAATCCTGCGATATTATCCTTAACATCCCGGAAACAGAGGATGTTGTTACTCACCATATCGTAGGAGGTGTACACCCCCCTGCGATATTGTCTGTAATATCCAGGGTGGAAGAGGATGATATTACTCCCAATATCACAGAAAGTATAAACCCCCTTGTGCTATATTTCATCATATCCAAGAGTGAGGAGAATGATATTACTCCCCATACCACAGGGAGTGTACACCTCCCTGTGCTATTGTTCATAACATCCAGGGAGGGAGAGGATGATATTACACCCAATATTGCAGGAAGTAATATCCAGGGAGGAAGAAGATGATATTACTCCCCCTACCGTAGGGGGCGAGCACCCCCCCATTTTATTTTTCATAATATCCAGGGAGGGAGAGGATGATATTACTCCCAGTATCGCAGGGGATGTACACCCCCCTGTGATATTGTTTGCAATATCCAGGAAGACAGAAGATTATATTACTCCCCATATCACAGTAGGTGAACACCCCCCTATGATATTGTTCATAATATCCAGGGGGTGAGTGGATGATATTACTCTGCATATCGCAGGGGTTGTACACCCCCGTGAGATATTGTCTGGAGTATCCAGGTGAAGAAAGGATAATGTTACTTCCCATATCGCAGGGGGTGTATATAGTCCCTAATATCCAGCGGGGAAAAGGATGATGTTACACCCCATATCACAGGGAAATATTTTCCTAATATCACAATGGGTGTACACACCATGTGTACACCCAAAAATATTATCCATAATATCCTAAGGAGATATTACTCTCCTAATAACTTAGTGGGTGTACACCATATGTGTACACCTTAAGATTATATTTGTAATATCCTGAGGAAATATTACACTTCTAATATCACAGTGAGTGTATGCCATGTTTGCCCAACCTGGGATATTATTCATGATATCCTGGGGAAATATTTCTCTTTGAAAATCACAGTGGGTGTACACCACGTGTGTGCACCCTCTGATATTATTCATAATATCAGAGGGAGATATTATCCGAGGGAGATATTATTCGTAATATTGTAGGGAGATATTACAGCTAATATCACAGTAAATGTACACCATGTGTGTACACCCTGTGATATTAATAATATCCTAGGGAAATATTACTCCTAATAGCACAGTGTGTGTACACCATGTGTGTACAGCCTGTGATATTATTTGTAATATCCTAGAGAGATATTTCTCCTAATAGCACAGTGTGTGCACCCCTTGTGATAATATTTGTAATATCCTAGGGAGATATTACTCCTAATATCGAGTGTACACCCTGTGATATTATTCATAATATCTTTCGAATATATTGCTTCTAATATCACAGTGAGTGTACACCTTGTGATATTATTTGTAATATCCTCTGGAGATATTACTTTTATATCACAGTGGGTGTACACCATGTGTGTACACTCTGCGATATTATTCATATTATCCTCCAAAGATATTACTCCAAATATCAAAATGGGTGTACACCATGTGTGTACACTCTGAGATATTATTTGTGATATCCTCGGGAGATATTTCTTTTAATATCACAGTGGGTGTACACCATGTGTATACACTCTGCTCTATTATTCATAATATTCTTGGGAGATGTTATTCCTATTATCGCAGTGGGCATACACCATGTGTGTACACCCTGGGATACTATTTGTAATATCCTTGAAAGATATTACTCCTAATACCAAAGTGTGTGTTCAACCTGTGTATACCCCCTGGGATTGAATTCGTAATATGATGCAGAGATACTCCTTATAGTATCACAGTGGGTGTACAGCATGTGTGTACACCATGGGATAGCATTGGTAATATCCTGGAAAATATTACTCCTAATATCACAGTGACTTAGGGAGATATTACTCCTAATATCACAGTGCGTATACTCCATGTGTGTACACACTGGTATAGTATTCATAACATCCCGGGGGATATTACCCTTCATATCACAGTGGGTGTACACCATGTGTATATATCCTGTTATTGTATTCTTAATATTTTGGGGAGATATTACTCTAAATATCACAGTGCTTACACCATTTGTATACACCCTGTGATAATATTCATAATATCCTAAGAAGATATTTCTCCTAATATCACAGTGGGTGTACACGATGTGTGGGATAGTATTTGTAATATTTTATGGAGTTACTACTCTTAATATCACAGTGGGTGTACAACGTGTGTACACCCTGGGATATTATTCATAATATCTTGTTGAGATATTACTCCTAATATCACAGTGGTTGTACACCATGTGTGTACACCTAGGATAGTATTCATAATATCCTGGGGAGATATTGCTGTTAATATCACTGTGGGTGTACACCATGTGTGCACACCCTGGGATAGTATTTGTAATATTTTGGGAGATATTACTTTTAATATCATGGAATATTATTCATAAAATACTGGGGAGATAATGTCACTGTGGATGTACACCATGTGTTTAAACCCTGAGATAGCATTCATAATATCCTGTGGAGATATTAGTCCTAATATCACAGTGTGTGTACACCCTCGGAAAGTGTTTGTAATATCCTGGAGCGATATTTCTACTAAAATCACAGTGAGTGTATACCATATATGTACACCCTGGGATAGTATAGTATTTGTAATATCCTGGGGAGCTATTACTTCTAATGTCACGGTGGGTGTACATCATGTGTGTACACCACTGGATAGTGTTTTTAATATACTGAAAAGATATTACTCGTAATATCACAGTGGTTGTGCACCATATGTGTAGAGCCTGGTATAGCATTCGTAATGACATTGGGTGGTATTACTGGTGATATCACAGTAGTTGTGCAATATGTGTGTACATCCTGAGATAGTATTCATAATATTCTGAGGAAATATACTCCTAATATCACATACATGGTGTAGACTCTGTGACAGTATCCATAATATCCTAAACGGATATTACCCCTAATATTATGGTGGGTGTAAACCATGTGTGTGCACCCTGGGATAGTATTCGTAATATCCTGGAAAGATATTACTCCTAATATCACAGTGGGTGTACACAAGGTGTGTACACCCTGGGATAGTGTTCATAATATTCTGGGGATATATTACTCATAATATCACAGTGGGTGTATGCTATGTGTGTACACCCTCAGGTAGTATTCATAGTATTCTTGGGTGATATTTCTTCTACTATGACACTATGTGTGCCTATTATTTCTTCTAATATGACACTATATGTGTACACCAGGGATAGTATTCATAATATCCTGGGGAGCTATTACTCCTAATATCACAGTAGTTGTACACCATGTGTGTACACCCTGTTTTAGTATCTGTAATATTTTGGGGAGATATTCCTCCTAATATCACAGTGTGTATACATCATGTGTGTACACCCTGTACACCCTCATATACTATTCATAATATCCTGGTAAGATATTACTCCTAATATCATGGTGGGTGTACACGATGTGTTGGATAGTACTCAAAATGTCCTCGAGAGATGCTACTCCTAATATCATAGTGGGTGTACAACATGTGTCTACACCCTGTAATAGTATTCGTAATATCCTTGGGAGATATTACTCCAAATATCACAGTGGCTGTACACCAGGTGGGTACACCCTGGGAGAGTATTCACAATATCCTGGGAAGATATTACACTTAATATCACAGTGGGTGTACACCATGTGTGTACACCCTGGGATAGTATTAGTAGTATCCTGGGGAGAGATATTACTCCTAATATCTCAGTGGGTGTACACACATGGTGTATACATTATTCGTAATATGCTGGGCAGATATTTCTCCTGATATCACAGTTGGTTTACATGACGTGTGTACACCCTGGGACATTATTCATAATATCCTAAAAAGATATTATTCCTAATATCACAGTTGTTGTGCACCACATGTGTACACCCTGGGACATTATTTGTAATATCCTGGGGAGATATTACTCCTAATATCACAGTGGGTGTACCCCATGTCTGTACACCCTAGGACATTATTGTAATATCCTGGGAAGATATTACTCCTAATATCAAAGTGGGGGTAGGTACACCATGTGTGTACACCCTGGTATATTATTAGTAATATCTGGGGTGATATTACTCCTAATATCACAAAGAGTGTACACCATATGTCTGCACCCTGGGATAGTAATCATAATATCCTGGGGAGATACTACTTATAATATCACAGTTGGTGTACACCATGTGTGTACACACTGGTATAGTATTCGTAATATCCTGGGGAATATTACTCTTAATATCACAGTGGGTGTTCACTATGTGTGTACACTCTAGGATAGTATTTGTAATATCCAGGGGAGATATTACTCCTAATATTACAGTGGGTGTACACGATGTGTGTATACCCTGGGATACTATTATTAATATCCTTGGGAGATACTACTTTTAATATCGTGTGTGTACACCATGTGTGTACACACTGGTATAGCATTTGTAATATCTTGGGGAGGTATTACTCCTAATATCACAATGCTTTTACACCATGTGTGTACACCCTGGAATAGTATTAGCAATATCCTGGCAATATATTACTCCTAATATCACAGTGGGTGTATACCATATGTGTATACCCTGAGATAGTATTCATAATTTCCAGGGAGATATTACCTTTAATATCTCAGATGGTGTACACCATGTGTGAACACACTGGGATATTATTTGTAATATCCTGGGGATATATTATTTCTAATATCACAGTGGATGGACACCCTGGGATATTATTTGTAGTATCCTGCAGAGATATTACTCTTAATATCACAGCAGAGTGTACACCATGTGTGTACACCCTAGAACACTATTCATAATATCCTGGGGAGATATTATTCCTAATATCACAGTGGGTGCACACCATGTGTGTACACCCTGGGACAATATTCACAATATCCTGGAGAGATATTACTCCTAGTATCACAGGGGGTGTACATCAAGTGTGTACACCATGGGAAATCATTTGTAATATTCTGGGGAGATATTACTTCTAATATCACAGTTGGTGTATACGATGTGTGTATACCCTGGCACATTATTGATAATATCCTGAAAAGATATTACTCCTAATATCACAGTGGGTGTACACCATGTGTGTTCACCCTGGGACATTATTTGTAATATCCTGAGAAGATATTACTCCTAATATCACAGTGGGGGTACACTGTGTGTGTACACCCTGAGATATTATTAGTAATATTCTGGGGAGATATTACTCCTAATATCACAATGGGTGTACACCATGCATGTACACCCTTGTATAGTCTTCATAATATCCTGTGGAGATATTACTTATAATATGACAGGGGGTGTACACCGTGTGTGTACATGCTGGTATAGTATTTGTAATATTCTGGGGGATATTAATTTTTTTTTTTTTTTGAGACAGAGTCTCGCTCTATCACCCAGGCTGGAGTGCAGTGTCGCGAACTGGGCTCACTGCAAGCTCTGCCTCCTGGGTTCATGCCATTCTCCTGCCTCAGCCTCCCGAGTAGCTGGGACTACAGGCGCCCGCCACCACGCCCAGCTAATTTTTTTATATTTTTAGTAGAGACGGGGTTTCGCCATGTTAGCCAGGATGGTCTCGATCTCCTGACCTCGTGATCCACCCACCTCGGCCTCCCAAAGTGCTGGGATTACAGGCGGGAGCCACCGCACCCAGCCTTAATCTTAATATGACAGTGGGTGTACACCATGTGTGTACTGTTTGGGATATTATTTGTAATATCCAGAGCAGATATTGCTCCTAATATCACTGTGGGTGTGCAGGATGTGTGTTCACCCTGAGATAGTATTTGTAATAGCTTGGGGAGATATTACATCTAATAACATAGTAGGTGTACACCATGTGTGTTCACCCTGGTATAGTATTCGTAATATCTTGGGGAAATGTTACTCCTAATATCACAGTGGGTGTACACCCTGGAATTCACAATATTCAGGGAAGATATTACTCCTAATATCACAGTGGGTGTACAACATGAGTGTAAACTCTGAAATAGTATTTGTAATATTCTGAGGAGATATTATTTTTAATATTACAGTGAGTGTACACCATGTGTGCACACACTGGGATATTATTAGTAATATCCTGGAAGGATACTGCTCTTAACATCACTGGGATATTATTTGAAATATCCTGAAGAGATATTTCTTCTAATATCACAGTGGGTGTACACTCTGGGAAATTATTTGTAATATCATAGGGAGACATTACTCTTAATATCACCTTGGGTATATGCCATGTGTACACCCTGGGACATTATTTGTAATATCCTAAGGAGATATTACTCCAAATATCACAGTGGGTGTACACTGTGTGTGTGCACTCTGGGACATTATTTGTAATATCATGGGGAGATATTATCATTAATATCATAGTGAGTGTACACTGTGTGTGTACACCCTAGGACATTATTTGTAATACACTAGGGAGATATTACTTCTAATATCACATTGAATGAACATCCTATGTGTACATCCTGAGATATTATTTGTAATATCCTGGGGAGATATTACTCTTAATATCCCAGTGGATGTATACCATGTGTACATGCTGGGACATTATTTGTGATACCCAGAAAAATATAACTTTTAATATCAGAGTGGGTGTACACCATGTGTGTACACCCCAGGACATTATTTGTAATATTTTTGGGGGATATTACTGCTAATATTACAGTGGTGTACACCATGTGTGTACACCCTGGGAAGTTATTTATAATAACCTGGGGAGATATTACTCCTAATATCACAGTGGGTGTACAGCCTGTGTGTACACCCTAGGACATTACCCGTAATTCCCCAGGGAGATAGTACTCCTAATTTCACACTGGGTTTGCATCGTGTGTGTACACTCTGGGACATTATGCATTATATTCTGGGGAGATATTTCTCCTAATATCACAGTGGGTGCGCACCATGTGTGGTCACCCACTGTGACGTTAGCAGTAATATCTACTGTGATATTATTTGTAATATCCTAGGAGGATGTTATTTCTAATGTCACAGGTTATGTACCCCTTTTTGATACTATCAGTAACATTTTAGGGATATGTTACTCCTAATGTCACAGGGGGTGTACACCCTTTGATATTATTCTTAATATCCCAGGGGGATGTTACTCCTAATGTCACAGGGTGTGTATACCCTGTTATATTATTTGTAATATTTTAGGGTGATGTTACTCCTAATATCACAGGGGGTGTATACCCTGTGATATTATTCGTAATATTGTAGGGGAATTTTAATCCTAATATTACAGAGGGTGTACACCCTGTGATATTATTTGTAATCTCCTAGGGTGATGTTACTCCTAATGTCACAGGGCATGTAAACCTGTGATATTATTCTTAATATCTTAGGGGAATGTTAATTCTTAGGGGGATGTCACAGGGGATGTACACCCTGTGGTATTATTCCTGATATTCTAAAGAGATGTGTTCCTAATGTCACAGGGGGTGTCCACCATGTATGTACACCCTGTGATATTATTCGTCTTATCCTTGGAAGATGTTACACCTAATGTCACAGTGGGTGTACACCATGTGTGTACATTCCCTGTGATATTATTCCTAATATCCTCTGGGGATTTTACTCCTAGGATGTTACTCACAGGATGTACACTCTGTGATATTATTGATCATATTCTAGAGAAATGTTACCCCTAATGTCACAGTGGTTGTACACCATGTGTGTACACCTTGTGATATTATTCATCATGCCCTAGGGGGATGTTACTTCTAATGTCACAGTGGGTGTATACCACGTGTGTACTTCTTGTGATAGTATTCATAATATCCTAGGGTAATATTACTTCTCTTGTCACAGTGGGAGTACACCATGTGATATTATTCATAATATCTTAGGGGGATGTTACTCCTGATTTCACAATGGATGTACATCCTGTGATATTATTATTATTTATTTTTTATTTTGAGATGGCATCTCGCTCTGTTACCCAGGCTGGGGTGCAGTGGCACAATCTCGGCTCACTGCAAGTTCCACCTCCCAGGTTCACACCATTCTCCTGCCTCAGCCTCCCGAGTAGCAGGGATTACAGGCACCCACCACCATGCCTGGCTAATTTTTTTGTATTTTTAGTAGAGACGGGGTTTTACCGTGTTAGCCAGGATGGTATCAATCTCCTGACCTCATGATCCACCCGCTTAGCCTCCCAAAGTGCTGGGATTACAAGCATGAGCCACCACGCCCGGCCTGTGATATCATTTTTAATATATTAAGGGGGATATTACTCCTAATGTCACAGTGGGTGTACACCCTGTGATATATTTCATAATATCCTATGGAGATATTACTCCTAATGTCACACTGGGTATACACCTTGTGATATTATGCATAATATTCTAGAAGGATATTAATCCTAATATCACAGGAGGTGTACACACTGTGATATCACTTGTAGTATTCTAGGGGGATATTACTTCTAACTTCACAGGGGATGTATGCCCTGTGATATTATTCGGAATATCCTAGGGAGATATTACTCTTAATGTCACAGAAAGTGTACACCGTGTGTACACCCTGTGATATTATTCCTAATATCCTAGGGAGATATCACTGCTAATGTCACAGGGGGTTTACACCATGTGTGTACACCCTGTGATATTATTCCTAATATCCTAGTGAGATATTACTCCTAATGTCACAGGAGGTGTACACCGTGTGTGGACACTCTGTGACATTCATAATATCCAAGGGAGACATTACTTCTAATGTCACAGAGATGTACATCATATGTGGACACCCTGTGATATTATTCATAATATTCTAGGGAGATATTACTCCTAATGTCACAGGGGGTGCGATATGGATATTTCATTAATATCCTACTGTGTTAACACTAGATAATATAAATGTCATGGATACTTTCTTAATGGCATAGTGTGTTAGCACCCTGTGATAACATTAGATATTATGAATATCATAGATATATTATTAGTATCACATGTGTTAATACTACATAGTATAAATATCATGGATATTTTATTAATACCATAGTGTGTTAACACTGGATATTTTATTAATATCATAGTGTGTTAACACTAGATATAAATATCATGGAAATTTTATTAATGTCATAGTTTGTTAACACTGTGTGTAAACAGTAGATATTATAAATGTCAGATATTTTGTTAATATCATAGCATTTTAACACTAGATATTATACATATCATAGATATTTTATTAATATAGTGTGTTAACACTAAATATTACAAATGCCATAGATATTTTATTAATACTGTAGTGTTTTACCACTAGATATTATAAATGTCTTGGATAGTTTATTAATTTCATAGTGTGTTACCTCTAGATATTATAATTATCATGGCTATCTTATTAATATCCATGATATTAATTCCTGAATATTATGCATATTTTATTAATATCATTGTGTTTTTACACTAGATATTATAAATGTCATGGATATTTTATTAATATCATAGTGTGTTAACATTTGATATTATAAATACCATGTGTATTTTATTAGTATCATACTGTGTTAACACTAAATATTATAAATGTCATAGATATTTTATTAATAGCATAGTGTGTTAACCCTGTGTGTTAAGACTATATATTATAAATATGGATATTTTATTAATATCATAGTGAGTTAACAGTGTGTATTAACACTAGCTACTATAAATATCATAGATATTTTATTAATATCTTAATGTTTTAACACTAGATATTTTCAATATCATAGATATTTTTTAATATTATAGTGTGTTAACACTGTATGTTAACACTAGATATTATAAATATAGATATTTTATTAATCATTGTGTGTTTACATTAGTTATTATAAATATTATAGATATTTTATGAATATTATAGCATGTTAACACAGTGTGCTAACTTTAGATATTATAAATATCATAGATATTTTATTAATATCATAATGTATTAACCCTGTGTGTTAGCACTAGATATTATATTTATCATAGCTATTTTATGAATATCATAGTGTGTTTACACTGTATGTTAACACAAGATCGTGTAAATAGCATACATATTTTCTTAATATCATAGTGTGTCATGACTAGATATGATAAATATAAAGATATTTTCTTAATATCATAGTGTGTTAACACTGTAAACACTAGATATTATAAATATCATAGATAGTTTGTTAATAGTGTGTTAACACTAGATATCACAAATATAGACATTTTATTGATATCATAGTGTGTTAACACTAGATATTATAAATATAGAGATTTTATTAATATCATTGTGTGTTAACACCATGTGTTAGCACTAGATATTATAAATATAGAGATTTTATTAATATCACAGTGTGTTAACACTAGAATTTGTAGCTGTGTTAGTTTACTAATATCACATTGTGTTAACACTAGATATTATAAATATCATAGATATTTGTTAACATCATAGTGTGGTAACACTGTGTGTTAACACTTGATATTATTATAAATATTTTAGATATTTTATTAATATCATAGTGTGTTATATATGACAATATCTAGATATATGCTATATATGTATGAATTATCTCTGGAAAAATCTGATAATATTAGTTATATCTGAGGAGGCTACAAGAAGCCAAGGATGATGAGAAACCCTAAATTTCACTTTATACTTGTTGATGTTACACAAAAAACCTTTTTTCCCCTCGCCTCCCCCTACACTTCCTCCAAAATAATATTTTACCATAACCATTTAGTGCTTAAAAAAATACTCGAAACTTTTTCGTCCATTTCTTGGCTGCCTTCTGTGTGTAGTCCCCTCCTGTATGTGACGTCCCATCTTAGAAGATCCTGAGAGGTAAGGGTTGTGAACGTCGGGAGGACCAGGGCCCACTTGCTTTTCTGATCCCACGCTAGAAGATGTGGGTGTGATGCCTTCCTTAAAGGTTTTCTGTGGAAATGAAATAAATGAGTCTATGTAAAGCACAAGAACATTGAAGATGCTTACTAAATGTTATTTATCTTCATTTTTGCTGCCTTGGTCCTCTCATACCCACTCGTGATTTTAGGCGATTGGGGGAAAATTGCTATTGAACATCATACTCTACTAACAAAGACCATTTGAGAGTTAGATTCATCTCTTTCCCAGTTCAACAGCAGAAAGAAGCCCCACAAATCAAGCACTCCTCTTGTTCTGTACCTTGTCACTTTGTTGCTACTCTCACCAGCCAAAGAGGGAGGAAAATTTCTTGGTGTAATTAAAATATTGTTATAGGCTGGGTGGTGGTGGTAGGGTGGGGGTGGGGGGCTCGTGCCTGTAATCCCAGCACTTTGGGAGGCCAAGACGGGACGATCGCTTGAGGCCAGGAGTTTGAGACCAGGCTGGGCAACATAGTGAGACCCCCATCTCTACAAAAAAAAAAAAAAATTAGCCAGGCATGATGACATCCATCTGTAGTCCCAGTTACTCGGGAGGCTGAGGCAGGAGGATCACTTGAGCCCAAGGGTTTAAGGCTGCAGTGAGCTACGATCATGCAACTGCACTCCAGCCTGGGCAACAGAGCAAGACTGTCTCTCTGAAAACAAAAAATTGTTATAGAATGTAGAGTTAATAACTTTTCTGGAACAAGAAAGCTCTCGTTTTAGATACCCATTCATTCACTCATTCAATAGTGTGCTGGATGCCAGGAATTTAATGGTGAGCAAAATAGACGTGGTCTCTGCCTCCTGATGCTCAAGATCCCTCCCTCTATTTTTAAAAATCAGGTTTATTGAAGTATAATTGATGTACAGTAAATTTTACTCTTTTTAGTGGAAACTTCTATAGGTTTCCACTAAATGTGTAACCAACACAATTAAGATCTAGAACATACTGTCTCGCCCCTCCCGATTTTCTTGTGCTCCTTTGGAGCCAACAACTCTCCCCCAACCTCTAGACCCTGGCAACCACTGATCTGTCCTCTGTCCGTATGGATTTGTCTTTTCCAGAATGTCATATACATGGACTAATACACAGTGTCATCTTTTGAGCCTAGCTGCTTCCACATAGCTTAAAATTTGAGATTCATTTGTGCTGTTTTGAGTAGTATTGCTGAGTGGTATTCCATGGTACCAATGAACCTTGTTTTTTTATTGGAGACAGTCTTGCTCTGCCACCCAGGCTGGAGTGCAGTGGTGCGATCACAGCTCACTGCAGCCTCCACCTCCTGGACTCAAGCCATCCTCCTGCCTCAGCCTCCTGAGTAGCTGGGACCACAGGTGCCAGCCACTGTGCCCAGCTCGTTTTAAAATTCTTTTGTAGAGATGGGGTCTCAATAAGTTGCCCAGGCTAGTCTCCTATACTAGTCTCCTATACTAGTAACTCCTGTACTTGAGTGATCCTCTGGCCACAGCCTTCCAAGGTGCTGAAATGACAGGCATGAGCTACCATGCCTCACCTCAGATGGACCATTTTGATGCCATGTTGGGGACAAAGAAAGAAAGAAAACAACTCGCTTTGACCAAATTGTCCCTGAGCTGATGAATTCACTGGGTAAACTACATTAATTTTCCTCCCGCCCAGTTGTAATAGGAAGATAAAATGTCACTTCTTGCAACCGAATCTGTGGATTATGAAACTCACATTCACTTTGCTGATTATTGTTTTTGTCTTTTTGTTTTGGACAATATGGCTGCAGCTGGCCTGTAAGTGAGCAAAGGCCCCGCTAAGAGTCCCTCTCCCCAGGCTTTATGACACCAGTGCTGAGTCATAGAGGTTCTGCTAGTCCCCAAGAGAAGCACTTTCACCTTTCCTGGTGATGCCTTTGGCTCCTTGAGCTGAGTTTTGCCCGAGTGGGGCTCATGAGGGAGGATGGAGTTTCTTGGGACTACTCAGACCGCCAGTTACTGTGGTCCCAAGAAATGCTGTGGCTTGACCTCACTGCCAGCTGTACAGGCGCCAGTGATCCAGGAATGCTATCAGCCCTACTACCTGCCCGGGTACCGCTACCTCAATTCATGGAGGCCTAGCCTCTTCTACAAGATAGCCAACGTCCAGACCTGCCCGGACGAGAGCACCAGTACCCTGCGGCCGCCCACCATCCTGCCCACACTGCGCTCCGCACTCTTCTCTCGCTATAGCCCCCACGACTGGGACCAGTCCAACCAGCTGCAGGTGCGTGGGGCCGAGGCCTCCCGGCTGTGGGCCAGCCGGCTGACGGATGACTCCATGAGGCTCTTGCAGGACAAGGACCAGCTGACGCACCAGATGCAGGAGGGCACCTGCCGGAACCTGGGCCAGAGGCTGTCGGACATTGGCTTCTGGAAGTCAGAGCTGAGCTATGAGCTGGACAGGCTTCTGACTGAGAACCAGAACTTGGAGACGGTCAAGAGGCGGCTGGAGTGCGCGGCCAATGAGGTGAACTGCCCATTGCAGGTGAGTACAGGGGTGGGGACAGGGCTGTGGCTGTGTCCTGGGGATACTGCACGCTCATTCTGCTTCCCTTGACTGAAGATGAAGGTGGCAGGCACCTTGCAGGTCGGTTTGAGCTGCATCATCGAATACGATCAGTAATACAATCTTAGTCAATTCAGGATAATCCCAGTCAAATCAGGGTTTCTTGGACTGAATAGAATTTCCTTTTCTCCTTGAAGCTACATCAAAGTTGCAGGGGTTTCATGAAAATATTGTGTGCATACTTATGCATGCCTGAGCATGTGTGTGTTCTGGTCCTTAAAGCACATGCTTAAAATAACTGACTTATTTATTTATTTTTTACACAGAGTCTCCCTCTGTCACCCAAGCTGGAGTGCAGTGGCTCGATCTTGGCTCGCTGCGACTTCCGCCTCCTGGGTTCAAGCGACTCTCGTGCCTCAGCCTCCTGAGGAGCTGGGATTACAGGTGCCCGCCACCATGGCCAGCTAATTTTTGTATTTTTAGTGAAGACAGGGTTTTGCTATGTTGGCCAGGCTGGTCTCGATCTGATCTTCCCGCCTTGACCTCCTAGAGTGCTGGGATTGCAGGCATGGGCCACTGTGCCTGGCCCATAACTGCCTTATTTTTCCCCGTAATACTTATCATTTAACATGCTCTATACTTGATTGAATATTAGAATACAGTATAGTCTCCATCAAGGTAGAGATTTTTGCCTGCTTTGTCACTGATGTATTCAAGACTGCTATTCAGTGCAGGGCACCTGTATGTCTGTGTGGGTCCGTAGTGACCAATGTCGGTGCTGACTGGTATTGTTTACACTAATGTTTTGAATGTATTCCCAGCCTAGGACAGGGCGAAGCACAGAGTAGGCATTCAATAAATACATGCTGAATAAATGAGTAAATATCTAAATGTGACTGGGCACAGTGGCTTACACCTGTAATCCCAGCACTTTGTGAGGCCAGGGCAGGTGGATCACCTGAGGTCAGGAGTTTGAGACCAGCCTGGTCAACATGATGAAACCCCATTTCTACTAAAAATACAAAATTAGCTGGGTATGGTGGCACATGTCTGTAATCCCAGCTACTTGGGAGGCTGAAGCATAAGAATCTCTTGAACCCAGGAGGCGGAGGTTGCAGTGAGCTGAGATTGCGCCACTGCACTCCAGCCTGTGCCACAAAGCAAGACTCCATCTCAAAAAACAAAACAAACAAACAAACAACAAACAAAAACTAAATGTGGACATTCCTAACACTTCCTTGGTCTCCTAGCCTCCAGTTGTCTCCCTGCTCAGTTAGGATAGTTTTTAGCCGCATGTAACAAATACTCCACGATAGTGGTTTAGCCAAACAGGAATTTATTTTTCTGTCATGAGGAAAATTCCAGAGGGAGACAGATCAGGCGGCTCCAGCCTCAACTTGGTGCCAGAAGGGACCCAGGCTCCTCTCTCTGTTCTGCCACCCACAGCATGTGGTTTGTGTTCTCCTGTTCCCAAGGAGGTTTTGCATTTTATACTGCAAGTTCCTGCATGCCAGGGGCCTCTTGATATTCTCATTCGAGGCAGGAAGGCAAGGGTAGAACAAAGAGCAGAAGCATCAATGGGCACCATTGCTTTTTATCAGGGAATGTCTTTTCTAGAAGGTCCGTCGTGTGTCTCCATGTTTAGCCTATTAGCCAGCACTCTCATGGACCCTGGATGCAAAGGGGTCTGGATAAGTGAATGTTTCTCACCACGTCCAGGAGAAAATCATGGAAGGGGTTGAGTGGACACTGGGTAAGGAACCAGCAGCACCTATGGGAACTGACTTTGGCCACAGAGGAAGATGATCGGCTGCTCCCTGGAGTGTGTGGGGAACTCAGGACCTCTTGCCTGGAAGCCTCCTGCAGCTACAGGGGCTTCCGTAGGAGAGATCCTGCCTCCGGATCTCCCTGGGAGACATGGCATAGGTTTCTATCACTCTAGGATGTCCAAATCCATGGAATGCAGGGAGCAGATTCTATACAACCCCAGATTCTCCCTGGGAAGAATGATGGGCAGGGCAGCTTTTCAGAGCCCTACAGCAGTATCCCAGACCTACTGCTCTCCCTCCCATTCTCTTCTCACTCCCCCATCCTGTCTGGAAAGTCCAGCTTTGCCTGGTCACATTTGGCTTTCTCTGATCAGCCATGTGGTGGCAGGGGGACCATCGACATCTCAATTCTATCTCCTAGGCTGCCCCCACAATCCAGGCAGCCTCTCCCTGCGCAATGTAAGCCACCTGGTCTCCCAATTCCTGCTCCCTTCCAATCCATTGTCCTTACAGCAGCCACTGGTTCCCTTGATGGCCTCCCAGAAATTAACAACCTTTTTTTTTTTTTTTTTGAGATGGACTCTCGCTCTGTTGCCCAGGCTGGAGTGCAGTGGTGCGATCTCGGCTCACTGCAAGCTCCGCCTCCCGGGTCCACGCCATTCTCCTGCCTCAGCGTCCCGAGTAGCTGGGACTACAGGCGCCCGCCACTATGCCCCGCTAATCTTTTGTAGTTTTAGTAGAGATAGGGTTTCACCGTGTTAGCCAGTATGGTCTTGATCTCTTGACCTCGTGATCCGCCCACCTCAGCCTCCCAAAGTGCTGGGATTACAGGCGTGAGCCACCGTGTCTGGTCCCCCAGAAATTAACATCTTAATTCCGGAATTCCTCCACCCCTCCCCATAACCCCTGTCCCCGCTATTGCTCTAGACTCGCTTCCTCTATTCCAGGGCCAATGGCTTCCTGTCTGTTTCTCTGCTGACCTCAGGGCCTTTGCACCTGCTGTTTTCCCTTCTGGTGCATTCCTGCCCAGCTCTGCATCTCTGCTTCTCATGACACAGTCCTTCTCCTCCTTAGAGAATTCCTCCCTGACCACTCCGCTGGTTACTCCTCACCCACTCACCTCACCCTGAATATTTTCCTCTTGGCCCTTCACACAGTTGGAAATGATTGAGTTCCTGGTTTGTTGATGTTGTTTGAGACAGGGTCTTTGTCTGTTGCTCAGGCTGGAGTGCAGTGGCATGATTTTGGCTCATTAGTTGACCTCCTGGAGTTAAGAGATCCTCCGACCTCAGCCTCCTGAGGAGCTGGGACTATAGGCATGCACCACCATGGCTGGCTAATTTAAAATTTTTTGTAGAGATGGGGTCTCACTATGCTGCCCAGGCTGAGCTTAAGTAATCCTCCCACCTTGGCTTCCCAAAGTGTTGAGATTAAAGGCATGAAGGAGGCGCTGTGCCCAGCCTGACTGAGTTTCTTATGGGTGTTCTCTCCCCTAGTAGAACACAGGCTGTGTGAGAGCAGGGACTCTCAGCCTGGTTCGTTGTGCTATCCCCAGCACCTCAGCAGAGCATGTCTCACAGAAGGGGCTCCGGAAATCCTTGTGGCACGGGTCAGTGACCCCCTCCCATTTCTGAGTTCTCACATACATTTGCATCCTGACATCCAGACCTTGACATCCTGCTTCCTTCTGCTCCTGGGCCCTTTGTGACATCACGGGCTGGTTTGCTAATCACTGCTGTTTGTCAGCTTCCCATCATAGAGCGCCCCTGAAAAGCCCCTTGTCCTGTCCTCTCTTCTGCTCTGCCCAGGTCTGCATGAGAGTTGTAAGGCCCAGGGCTAGGTGGCAGGGTTGTCCTGACCACTTCCCCAAACTGTCCCTCCACTGGGAGATCTGCAAAGAGGGGTTTTCATGCATATTCACAGGTAATATTTAGGGGCAGTGTTCTCAGTGATTTACACTTGTCAAGCCGACTTCACCTGCACAATGAACCTGTGAGATAGGCACCAATATGGCACCCATCTGCAGAGGAGGAAACCAGCAGAGAGGTTAAGCAGTTTGCCCAAATGCACACAATAGGAAGTGGTCAAGCCCCGATTGAAGTCAGAAGAGAAGCTACATGGAAGATGGCCGCCAACACTGTCTTATCTGAAATTATTATGAAGTTTTATTCTATGTATTATTGTATTGTGGGAAGGCTTGGGGCTGCTGATGCAATTATGGGAATCAAAATTGGTTCTTGGGATGCTACTTTATCCTGTTTTCTCTACATGGGCCTTGCATCTCCGGATGCCTTGGTCATATGACAACCCACAGCTCTCATCCGGGGAGAAGGGGAGGCAGAAGCCCATCCAATGCCCAGTAGTGAGGTCACATGAAGCACCCAGGTTTCCGGGAGAAAGGAACAGATTGTGGCAAGGGTGGATGTGAGTCCCTTCTGCTCAGGGTCTACATACAGCTACAGGAAGAATACGTTCTTTCTGCTGCTTCCCACAGGTGGCCTTGGAGTGTCTGTACCATCGAGAGAAGAGGATTGGGATTGATTTGGTCCATGACAACGTGGAGAAAAACCTTATCCGGGTAAGGCATCTCCTGGTTCTGCCCAGCCCCCTGAAGGAGGCGGGAAGGCCAGCAGGTCAGAGAAATTACTGAGCTACCTGTCAGGAGCAGAAGCCACACGTGTCACTGTGTGGAAAGTGAGGGCTCAGGAAGCATGGGTGGAGGTCTAGTTTGCAATTTAGGAACAGGGAGTAATGGAGTTATTTGACCCTCAGTCTTTTCATCTCCAAAATGGGCATGATAATAATATACCAATAACAATAATAAAAGCTAGCGTTTATTGAGCACCTACTATATGTCATAGGCTGTACCACATCATATGCATTATTTAATGTAATGATAATCTATAAGTGAGTGCTTGGCACATGGTAGGTGCTAAATTTTCTTTTATTCTGGGAGTCTATAAAAAGAAAGTAGGGCAAAAAAAAAAAAAAAAAAAAAGGTGGAGCCTCCACAATCAACCCTTAGCTGCCTGGCCCTGGGGTCACGTGGATTGAGGCGGGGCCCCACGCTGACATTTCACCTCCTGGGGTCGAGGGTGGTCAGTGAGAGGGGAGGGGAGAGCTGAGGGCTCTGGCCTGGGAGAGAAGACTGTGAGGTTCTAAGAGGCACTGCTCTTTCTGACATTTTTCATTTCAGGAAGTGGATTTGCTAAAATGTTGCCAAGAACAGATGAGAAAATTAGCTCAAAGAATTGATATCCAGATGCGGTAAGGGCTTTTTTTTTTTTTAATTCCCTCTCCTTGGGGTTTGTTTTAGGACTCTCAGATTTCTGGGGGACAAGCCAGATGGGCCCACTTGTCTCTGGGTGGTTCTTTTGGTCAGTGGTATGCTGGTAAATGTTCAACAACCAGCCTTCTAGGAAAAAAAAAAAGAGTCCTGATCATAGTATCTGCCAGTTTCGCTGGTGTAAATGTTACCACAGTGGCTGATTTTAAGCTGCTAATATGATGTTACTGAGATGTGTACAACTGACTCTCACAACCCGTGCATCGCTGGTTTCTCTTGTTTACAGCGAGAGCCCTGGCCAGAGGCAACTGGCCTCCCTGAGGCCCCTCTTAGCCTGTGGCTTCCCCATTTGAGTTCTGAACCTTGGGAGATGACAGAGGGTGGGTGGTATTAGGTAGCAAGGCCAGGGGCTGGGCACCTCCACAAGGGAGCTGGTGGACGCATTGAGCCAGAAGTCTTCAAACAAAATCAGCTTTTTGTTCTTACAAGATTATGTAACCAGTATCCCGACAAGCCTGGGGGCCCCTCACATAATTAAAGGGAGACTTAAGTTTTACGGGGCTTGGGGCCCATAGTGAAGCCCTTGGCACCAGCTCCCCCGAAAGCAGCCGCCTCACCTCCACCTGCAGCTGGCACTCACCTTTGACTCTTTCAGGGCACGCTGCTCTGCTGGTTTTTCCACTTCATTCCCTCTTGACACAGAGACACAGAAAGCACGGGACAGCCTGGCAACCTGGCAATGGCTGTCCCTCCCGCTGCCTGGTGCACATGGGCAGTTGGCGTGGATGCAGGGGGGGCGGGCACCTTCCAAATCAGCCCTGGGAGCACATATCTTGGTTTGCTGTGCCCCAGAACCCACCTCCTCCTCTAGGAGCCCTTGGATCCCCCGAAGGGGTTAGTTCTGGGTGTTAGGGAGAAAGACATCGCAGGCAAGCTACCCATAGAGCAAAGAGCTTGGTCACGGACAGACACATTGGAGACCCCTAGAAAGACATCGGGGTGGAGGTGTACAGAGAAGATGCAAATATAGCAGGAGGGATGATGGCTGAAAGGACACAAACAGAGTTGAAGTTCAATAATTTGTGTGCCCCTGTTCTAATTTCTCACAATTCCACCTATCACCGGGACTATTGTTACCTATAGTTTGTCTATAAATTGATTCACTTAAAAAAACCTTAAGCACAACAGGGTGACTACAGTCAACAATAATTTATTGCACATTTAAAAATAACTTAAAGAGTATAAATGGGAATGTTTGTAACACAAAGAAATGATAAATGCTGGAGGGGATGGATACCCCAGTTACCCTGATGTGATTGTTACAAATTGCATGCCTGTATCAAAATATCTCAGGTACCCCACAAATATATACACCTACTATGTACCCTTAAAGGCTTAAAAAATAAAATAAAATAAATAAAAATCAATTCAGTAAATAAAATCCCTTAAATGTTCATATTTATTTGTTTATTTATTTGTTTGAGACGAAGTCTCATTCTGCTGCCCAGACTGGAGTGCAGTGGTATGGGCTCAGCTCACTGCAACCTCCACCTCCCAGATTCATGCGTTTCTCCTGCCTCAGCCTCCCGAGTAGCTGGGATTACAGGCCCATGCCACCACACTCAGCTATTTTATGTATTTTTAGTAGAGACAGTGTTTTGCCATGTTGGCCAGGCTGGTCTGGAACTCCTGACCTCAGGTGATCTGCCCACCTCAGGCTCCCACAGTGCTGAGTGCTGAGATTATAGGCATGAGTCACTGCGCCTGGCCTAAATACTCTTATTTAAACAGGCAAATTTTAACAAAGGGAGAATTGGGACAGGCCAGTGTCTTTGTTTTATTGCATTTTTCTTACACTTATTTTTTTAATTACTTATTCATTTTTAATTGACAAAAGTGGTATATGCTGTACATATAAAACATGATGTTCTGAAATTACGTGTGTATTTCAAAACATTGAACTAATTGGAACTAATTAACATATATGTTACCTCACATACTTATTTTTTGTGATGAGAACACTTAAAAGCTCAGTGATTTTCAAGAACACAGTACATTGTTGTTAACTATGGTCACCATGTCTCTGGAACTTATTCCTCCTGACGAACTGAAATTTGTACCCTTTGACCACCATCTCCCCAATACCCCACCCCCAGCCTCTGGTAACAACCATTCTACTCTGTGCTTTTATTTGTTCGCTTGTTTTAGATTCCACATACATGTGTGATCATGAGATATTTGTCTTTCTGTGCCTGACTTATTTTACTTTACATTATATCCTATAGGCTTATCCATGTTGTCACAAATGACAGGATTTTCTTCTTTTTTTAAGGCTGAGTAGTATTCTGTTGTGTATACATGCCACCTTTTCTTTATCCATTCATCTGTTATGAGATACTTAGGTTGATTTCGTATCTTGGCTATCGTAAATTGTGCCGCAATAACTTTGTCCATTTTAAAACTGGGTTGTTTTCTTGCTATTGAGTTGTCTGAGTTCTTTACATATTTTGGATAGTAACCCCTTATCAGAGGTGTAGTTTGCAAATATCTTCTCCCATTTCTGCGGTTGTCTCTTCAGTCTCTTGTTTGTTTCGTTTGCTGTGCAGAAGCTTTTTCGTTTGATGTAATCTCATTTGTCTATTTTTGCTTTGATTTCATGTGCTATTGGGGTCGTTGTCCAGACCAATGTCATGGAACTTTTCCCCTATGTTTTCTTCTAGTAGTTTTACAGTTTCAGGTGTTACATTTTAGTCTTTAATCTATTTTTTTTTTTTTTTGAGATGGAGTCTCCCTCTGTCACCCAGGCTGGAGTGCAGTGGTGCAATCTCAGCTCACTGCAACCTCCTCCTCCTGGGTTCAAGTGATTCTCCTGCTTCGGCCTCCTGAGTAGCAGGGGTTACATGTGCCTGCCACCATGCCCAGCTAATCTTTAATCTATTTTGAGTTGATTTTTGTCTGCAGTGTGAGATAGGGCTCTAACTTATTCTTCGGCATGTACCTTTCCACTTGTATCAATACCATTTGTTGAAGAAGCTGTCCTTTATCCACTGTATGTTCTTGGCATCTTTGCTGAAAATCAATTGACTGTAAATGCCTGGATTTATTTCTGGGCTCTCTATTCTGTTCTTTCTTCCAGTTATTTTTGTGATCTTCTATTTATGGCAAGAGAGAATGGTTTTCCATTTGTAGCTGCGATGGGATGTGAAAAACCGTGGCGCTGGTGGGGACAGGAGGGCTGACGTTTGGGAAGTGGGATAGTTTGAGCCGGCAGAGTGAACTAATCCCAGACTTGAAGTGGGGAGCTGGACCTCAGAGGAGAAATCCTGAGACTGGGATCAGGAGGCCGCTTTTGCAACCCCAGATGATGCAACCAGAGGTGGGGGGATCTGGGAGAACCAGGAAGACTGAGACAGATGGAGACAGTCCCAGAGACTGAGAGACACAGAGAGAGAGATGAGCACTGACATCAAAAGAGACAGAGACATGAAGAGATAAACAGAGACGGGTGGGGAGTAGGGAGACAGACGGACAGAGAGGCACAGAGTCAGATATGCCAGAAGTATCTGGCAAGAGATGAGATAGAGACAGAGAAAGGCAAAGAGAAGGAGAGAGACAGATATGGAGAAAGAGGAAAAGAGGCTGGGCGTGGAGGCTCATGTCTGTAATCCCAGCACTTTGGGAGGCCGAGGTGGGTGGATCACTTGCGGTCAGGAGTTCGAGACCAGTCTGGCCAAAATGGTGAAACCCCGTCTCTACTAAAAACACAAAATTAGCTGGGTGGTGACACATGTCTCTAATCCCAGCTACTCAGGGGGCTGAGGCAGGAGAATCGCTTGAACCCAAGAGGCGGAGGTTGTAGTGAGCCAAGATCGTGCCACTGCACTCCAGTCCGGGCCACAGAGCAAGACTGTCTCAAAAAAAGAGAGAGAGAGAGAAAGAGAGAGGGAGATGCTTGAGCTTGGATAGAGACCGAGAGAGATGAGAGCAACTGAGGCAGACAGCAGGAGAGAGAGAAAGCAAGCACAGAGTGAGTGAGGAAGAGGATGAGAGCAGGTCAGGGCAGCATTTCACTTTGTGGAGACTGGAGGCCGAGCCACGCCGGATGGAGGCTGTTTGTCGCTGGGCAGTGGCTGTGTGTCAGATGACTCCTGCCATCTCACAGCTTGTGCTGCCAGAGGGATTGGGGTTATACTAATTAACCGAGAGCCAGCCAGAGCCTCATTAGCCAGGCAGAGTCTGGTGTGTCCTCACCCCCTTGGGGAAGCTCTGCCACTGACCTGCTCAGGTGGCCAACACCAGGCTCTTGGCTCATGGTTTTCTGCGAAGCCTGAGGCCCGCATCTGGGCAGGGTGGGGTCCTTGCTGCACCAGGTGAGAAAAGGCTCTTCCTGATAGAGAAGGAGCCACGTTTGGTCTTTTCCTGGTGGGCTGACAGCAGGGTGAGCTTGGCATTGGTCTGGCCCTTGGTTGTGGGCCGAGTAGGGAGGACAGGACTGCCTCCTCTTTCCCTAGGCCTCATGACAAGGGCCAGGCAGCTGGACACGCTGGACTCTGAGGCCCCCAGGTTTCCCTCTAATTCTCTAACATGTTTGCTTTCCACATCCTGGCCTCGCTTCACATTCCAGCTCATTAGGCAGGACAGGGCCCCATTTCTCCAGGACTCTGCCAATTTGGAAACCCCAAGGGCCCCGGGACTGGGGTTCCTCCTGCTCCGACATGACCCGAGCTTCCTGATAGGTGGGAACCGCCACCACTGTGAGGATTTCACTTCCTGGCTCCTGGCCTGCTGGGAACCCCTCACCCGCAACCAACATCCACAGCAGGAAAAAAAAAAAAAAAGATGGAGGGGAGGGAGGGAGAGACCCACAGAGACACACAGAGGCTCAGACAGAGAGAAACCAAGAAAGAGACAAAGGTTAGAGAGACAGAGACATAGACACAAGAAGGGAGGGAGAGAGAAAGGCAGAGAGACAGATAGAGAACAGATACACTCGGTTTAGCTGGTGTCTGACATACCCTCACTTAATGGAAGTTACTCCCTTCTCTACTCTAACAATTCTTCTAAACACTTCAAGGCAAAAGTTTCAGCTGCTGCTTATGTGTCTGTACCATCAACTGATCTCTTTTTTTTTCAGCCAACAGGGAAACAGAAAAAGGTCCAGGCTTAGAACCTTCTGGAGGAAATAGATTCTAGCTAGGATTTAGCGAGTGCCTACGTAGTATTAATATTTAGGTCTGAGGTGATCTTCTATTAATGGAAAGGGTGATGGGTTTTTCTTTAAAGACAGGGATGTAAATTTTCCTTTTATCATACATTTATTTACATTTTTAAAGTGATTTTAGGCCAGGTGCGGTGGCTTATGCCTATAATCCCAGCACTTTGGGAAGCCAAGGCAGGCGGATCGCCTGAGGTCAGGAGTTCAAGACCAGCCTGGCTAACATGATGAAACCCCATCTCTACTAAAAAAACACAAAAATCAGCCGGGAGTGGTGGCGGGTGCCTGTAATCCCAGCTACTAGGGAGACTGAGGTAGGAGAACCCCTTGAACCCAGGAGGCGGAAGTTGCAGTGAGCTGAGATCGTGCCACTGCACTCCAGCCTAAGCGACAAAAGGAAAACTCCATCTCAAAAAAATTAATTAATTAAATAAAAGTGATTTTAAAAAGGAAAAATAAGTAAATAGTCGAGTTTGGTATTTGGCAAGAATCGTGGAAGTGATTCTCAAATGTCTGGAATTTGGCAGTAATCTTTAAGTCTAAGCTTCTTAGCCGAGATACCAACCAGCCCTCCTGGCTTAAGCCCTGGCCCTGATCCATTGTCCTCTCTTTACCTCAGCCCAGTCTCTGATCCCACCCAGCCCCAACCCTACCCAATTCCTGTCTTCACCTAGCCCCCGACCCCGCCCAGTCCCTGACCCCACCCAATCCCTGTCCTCACGTAGCCCCTGACTCCACCCAGTTCCTGATCCTGAGGTCCCTAAACATCTGGTGTTTCTAGCTTCTCTGTGTTGGCACGTGTGATGTTGTCGGCTTGGAATTCTCATTCCCCCATAAGGTCTACTCCTATTTATTGTGAAAACCCAGCTCAGACACCTTGGAAAGCCTTCCCTGACCACCCTCTCACCCTCAGTTAATGGTTTCCTCTGTGTTGTTTCATATTTTCAAACCTGCACAATGCCCTTACCATTCTGTTCTGTACATATATACATATATTTTATATTTGTTCACACAAATCTGTGAGCAACCTGAAGGGAGTGACTGGGTCGTCTTATTTGCGTCTCATCCCTCGGTGCCCAGCATAGGGTCAGACACAATGATTGATTTACAAAGTGATTTGACTTGCATCAGGCTTTGTCCAAAGTGTGGATTGATATCTTCAAAATTAGGTCAGCAAGCTACAGCTGGAGGGACAAATCTGGCCCGCCATCTGTTTTTGTAAATAAAGTTTTATTGAGATGAAGCCACATGGATTTTTACATATCTGCGACTGCTCTCGTGCACAGTTGAGTAGTTGCAACAGAGACCATATGACCCACAAAGCCTAAATTATTTATCATGTAACCCTTTACGGTAAGTGCTTACCCATCCTTCTTCTAAAGGACAGCAGGGGCCAGGTGTGGTGGCTTATGCCTGTAATCTCAACCCTTTGGGAAACTGAGGCAGGGGGATCACTTGAGCCTAGGAGTTCAAGACCAGCCTGCGCAACACAGCAAGACCATGTCTACAAAAATATTTAAAAAGTTAGTCGGGCTTGGTGGCCCATGCCTGTAGCCCTAGCTACTCAGGAGGCTGAGGTGGGAAGAGTGCTTGAGCCTGGGAGGTCAAGGCTGCAGTGAGCCATGACTGCACCACTGCACTCCAACCTGGGTGACAGAGTGAGACTCTGTCTGGAAACAAAAAAAAAAGAATAAAGGACAAATCTGTTTGGATTGGGGGGAGCCTCTGGGTATGTGGTGGGACATGGAGGTGGGAAGAGGACTGAGAAGCTACTGGGTGGCTTTCTGGGAGTCCAGGGCTTGCAACACACACCTGCTGTGTGGCCCAAGCTGGGTACTCTGTGCAGGTGCATAGTCCAGGAATGACTCCTCCCTCCCTGCAGGGATAACCGGGATGCTCAGCACGTGCTGGAGAGGGACCTCGAAGACAAAAGCTCGGCCCAGTGTATCGATGAGAAGTGCTTTAACCTGAGAAATACGTCAGACTGCATCAGCTTCTTCCACGGCATGGAGAAAATTGACGGCACGTAAGTATCAGACTCCCCCTCCCCATCCCTGGCGTGTCCAACTGGAGTGAGGGCTTCTGCTCCTGCCAACGAATGGCGAAGGGGCATCGTGCACCAGTTAAGTGGGAAGTGGCATGGTTGAACGGGGATCCTCTAGCGCAGGCGGCAGAATCCAAGTCGGGTTAGCTTAAGACAAGATGGAATTTACCGGAGGAGGTATGGGGGAGCCACGAACTCAAGGGGAAAGCGGGAAGGAAAGGTTCTGGCAGTAGGAGCTGTGTGGTCAGAGCGCCTTCATCTTTCCATCCTTGCCCCACCATTCAAGATCCAAATTTCAGGAAGAGAGGGCATGGCATTGGCTTAGTGAGGGTCGCACAGCCACTGCCACTCAGCAGTTTCACCAAAAAAAAAAAAAAAATTCCGAAACAAGTGACAACCTCGGCAGGGAGACCAACTGGGGTCGGCTGGTGGCGGGGTGGTTTAACAGAGTGAATTCTTGCTTCGCCAGGCTTGTTGGCTTACCCCTGTAATCCCAGCCCTTTGGGAGGCCAAGGCTGGAGGATTGCCTGAGGCCAGGAGTTCCAGGAGTTTTCCAGACCAGCCAGAGAGAGAGAGAGAGAGAGAGAGAGAGAGAGACAGAGAGTGGAATCTGGAGCCAGGCTACGTGGCTTCAAATCCCAGCCTCTACGCTAACACTGAGCAAGTCACTTCATTTCTTTGGGCCATTTCTGAATCTATACCACTGGGAGAAAATTAAGTACCCACTTCCCAGGGCTGCTGGGAGTATGAAAAAGGTGGGTGTGTGAAGTTTTAAGCACAGAGCCTAGTATAGAATAATCACAGCCAACATTTATCAAGTGCTTACTGTGTGACCTCATTTTCTCGTCACAGCAGCTATGAGGTGGTGCCTTCTGTGAGCCTGTCATGATCGTGGGCATATCACAGCATTGTGAGGTTTTTTTTTTTTTTTTGGTATTTTTCTTATTTATTTATTTATTATTATTATTATACTTTAAGTTTTAGGATACATGTGCACAATGTGCAGGTTAGTTACATATGTATACATGTGCCATGCTCGTGCGCTGCACCCACTAAATCGTCATCTAGCATTAGGTATATCTCCTAATGCTATCCCTCCCCCCTCCCCCCACCCCACAACAGTCCCCAGAGTGTGATGTTCCCCTTCCTGTGTCCATGTGTTCTCATTGTTCAGTTCCCACCTATGAGTGAGAATATGCGGTGTTTGGTTTTTTGTTCTTGTGATAGTTTACTGAGAATGATGATTTCCAATTTCATCCATGTCCCTACAAAGGACATGAACTCATCATTTTTTATGGCTGCATAGTATTCCATGGTGTATATGTGCCACATTTTCTTAATCCAGTCTATCATCGTTGGACATTTGGGTTGGCTCCAAGTCTTTGCTATTGTGAGATTTTATGCAGAATGAAA
The DNA here is from genome assembly GCF_000001405.40 of Homo sapiens. Lineage (NCBI taxonomy): Eukaryota > Metazoa > Chordata > Mammalia > Primates > Hominidae > Homo > Homo sapiens. The sequence goes on along the minus strand of NC_000016.10, from coordinate 10,680,561 downwards.
ACATGCTTCCCAGTTGGTAGTCTGAGGTCTGAGAGATGCTCGGGATGAGAAAGAGGGTGGAGTCTATCTTAGTTCTGCCTTCTTCTGTTAAAAAAAAAAAAAAATCCCTAGCACATAGAATTGTGCTTGGCACATGTTGGTATGCAATAAATTTTTATTGAATAGAAGAATGAATGAAGGAGGAAGGGAGGGAAAGAAGAACCACAGGAAGGGAGGAAGGGAAGCGAGAAGGAAGGTGTTCCTTGGCATTCTCCTTGGCCCAAGCCTGGGGTCACTTTCTGGATCTTACAAATGTCACAGTGCTGAGGTGACCCTTTGGGACTTCTGGTAATGACAACTCCTGGGGACTTTCCTTCTCTTCCTGACAAGGTGCTCTCCTCCATGGCACTGGCAAGGTGAGCAGGACTTTGGGGGCTGGGCCCCCCTCATCTGCACAGGGAGTCCAGAGGGTCTCTCTTCCCAAACAGATTCCTCTCCAGAAACCTGGCAGCCCCAGAGCCTCCAATTTCCACACCCAGGAGGGACCTGCTCCTTAAAGTCCCCCATCTGGAGACTCCATCTGGAGAAGAGAGCTGCTGTTTGTAGCAACTAATTGCTCCCCAGATGTGCTAGCTTGGGGCTTTGTATTTGTGGTTTTCTTATTTATTTATTTATTTATTTATTTGAGACCGAGTTTCGCTCTTGTTGCCCAGGCTGGAGGGCAATGGTGCGATCTCGGCTCACCACAGCCTCCATCTCCTGGGTTCAAGCGATGCTCCTGCCTCAGCCTCCTGAGTAGCTGGGATTACAGGCATGTGCCATCACGCCCAGCTAAATTTTTTGTATTTTTAATAGAGATGGGGTTTCTGCATGTTGGTCAGGCTGGTCTCAAACTCCTGACCTTAGGTGATCTGCCCGCCTCGGCCTCCCAAATTTCTGGGATTACAGGTGTGAGCCACCACCCCTGGCCTTAGGGTTTTCTTAAAGCAGGGCTATGTCTGGGCGGATGAAACAGGACGTTTGGTGACTGTCTGAATTGCAGTATCTCTATTCACTGCAGTTCTCATTACCATGGATTAACAATGATGATAATGATGATGGCAGTAGACACCTTTTTTTTTTTTTTTTAGACAGAGTCTCGCTCTGTCACCAGGCCAGAGCGCAGTGGCACAATCTCGGCTCACTGCAACCTCTGCCTCCCAGGTTCAAGTGATTCTCCTGCCTCAGCCTCCCGAGTAGCTGGGACTGCAGGCACATGCCACCACGCCTAGCTAATTTTTGTATTTTTAGTAGAGACAGGGTTTCACCATGTTGGGCAGGGAGAGACACCTTTTACCTGGTGTTTGCTATGTGCTAGACATTGTGCTGACAGCTTCATATGCAACATCTCATGAATAATAAACATTTTTTGGGCGCTTACTCTGTCCAGTGCCATGACAAGGACTTCACATTTAAACACTCAGCAACCCTGGGGGTTGGTACCATTATTATCTCCATTTTACAATGAGGAAACTAAGGCTCGGAGAGGTGAATCGATTGGCTCAAGCTCACACAGCAAATGGCAGAGCTGTGATTCTGAATCTACATTGAATACTGAGCCTGTGTGTTTTACCAATGGTGCCTTCCTGCCTCTCCAGCAAAGCCAGCTGTCCTCTCCATCTTTAGAGAACAAAGACTCCAGAAAGCACTTCCCCCTACTGAGACACACTGCCTGCTGAGGAGGCAGACTGTCTTTGGCAAATTCCTCCCCAGGGAGAATGTGATTAAGCGGGTTATTTTCTCTGGGGAGCTCAGCTGCCTGCTGCAGGGGAGGACAAGGGCTTAGAGGTTGCTGTTTATGACACTGACACTGTCCCCCCATTCAGAGGCAACAGAGACACTCAAAGTAAATCTGCATGTTTCTCTCTGCTGTCCTTATTGTCTCCTCTTTCCTCAGTGTCCTGGGATGGGACGTTGTTGTGCGGCCTTGAACAAGATGCTTCACTCTCTGAGCCTCAGGTCTTGGTTGGATGAAAGCTCTGAACCTGACTTAGTGCCACTCCTATCTCCAGAAGCCCGAGATGCCTGTTTATTGCTTGATTTTTAACTCCTGCAAAAGCCAAGCAAAACAATCACACAAGCTATATGATTTTTAAAACTTTCTATGCACCATGCAACCTAAGTGTGCTTTAAAATGTCTGAAAAGAGGCCGGGTGCGGTGGCTCAGACCCGTAATTCCAGCACTTTGGGAGGCTGAGGTGGGCGAATCACGACGTCAAGAGATCCAGACCATCCTGGCCAACATGGTGAAACCCCGTCTCTACAAAAAATGCAAAAATTAGCCAAGTGTGGTGGCACTCGCCTGTAGTCCCAGCTACATGGGAGGCTGAGGCAGGAGAATTGCTTGAACGTGGGAGACAGAGGTTGCAGTGAGCCGAGATCCCGCCACTCAAGACCTTCAGAAGTTACCCAGGACCTGAAGCCAGGTCAAAGAAATGCATGCCCTTCCTCAAAGCCTTCCCAGATGAGAAAACCCCACATAGTCCATTGGTTGCTTGTTGCAGGGATTTACATGCTCTGCCAGGAAGAACTTTACTGAGGAGTTCCTCATGTGTCACCACCTCTAAGAAGCCTTCCCTGCCTGCCTTTGCTAATGTAGCCTGTGTCCATGTCCATTGATCTCCCCAGATCCATTCTCCAGCTACCACGCTGTGAGTCCTGCATGGCCGACTATCCTCTGCAGACCTCTCCTGGGCTCTCTGTCCTTTGGTTTCCAGATGGTTTCAGCCTGGAGGAGGGGTACCAGCAGAAGACAGAGTGTGGGAGGGGAGAGGCTGCGATTTCTTCTCCTGCTACCTCCCTCCCAGACACACTGGTCAACCATGGTTCCTCCTTTTCTGGGGCTTTTATAACACCTATTGCTTCCTTTTCTCTTGCCCTTTACAGCTGGGATAGTGACAGCTTCATGCATTTTCTTTTTATTTTTTTGTTGGGGGGGACAGGGTCTTACTCTGTTGCCCAGGCTGGAGTGCAGTAGCGTGATCTCGGCTCGCTGCAATCTCTGACTCCCAGTTCAAGTGATTCTCCTGCCTCAGCCTTCCGAGTAGCTGGGATTACAGGCGTGTGCCACCACACCCGGCTAATTTTTATATTTTTAGTAGAGACGGGATTTCACCATGTTGGCCAGGCTGGTCTCAAATTCCTGGCCTCAAGTGATCCGCCCGCCTCGGGCTCCCAAAGTGCTGGGATTACAGCCATGAGCCATCACATTCAGCACTTCATACATTTTCTAATCCCAGACGATCTCAACACCCTTCCGAGTATTCCATCTATTCCCGTTTACAACCCTGACCAACACATAATGACACCACTCCATTTGTCTCTTTCATCCTCCTGCTGCTGCTGCTTCTTTTGAGACAGGGTCTTGTTGTGTTGCCCAGGCTGGAGTGCAGTGGTGCGATCATGGCTCACTGCAGTCCCGGACTCCTGGGCTCAAGCGATCCTCCCACCTCCGCCTCCCAAGTAGCTGGGACCACAGGCATGCACCACCACATGTAGGTACTTTTTTTTTTGACATTTTTTATAGAGATGTGGGTTTCACCACATTGCCCAGTGTGGTCTTGAACTCCTGGACTCAACTGATCTGCCTGCCTTGGCCTCCCAGTGTGCTGGGATTAGAGGCATGGCTGGCCCAGCCCTCCAGTTTCTAAATCCCTTCCCAGCACATAACACAATGTGTAACTATCTCCTCATTCACTGTCAATCTCCCTCCTCTGGCACTTAACCGCCATGAGGACACGGATGTTGCCGTTCTTGTTCATGGCTCTCTCCTAACTGCCTGGAACAATGCTTGGCATGTCGTAGAAGTTGAAGAAATATTCCATGAATGAATGGCAGTGAAAGTAGCGTGGCCACATTCCCATCGCAGAGTTAGGGGGTTCAGGGACCCCAATGAAGAAGCAGGCCCAAAGCCTGCTTCTTGGCTTGTCCACGTTGTGTTTCTGGTGGTGGTGGTGTGGGTGTTAGGGAAAAGAGCTCTCTGCGGGAGCCCCTCTCTTTGACCCACTCACTGAGTGCCCTTCTGCCAACCAGCTGCTCTCTTTAGGGTTCTCTTGCTTCCCCTGTAAAATGAGGGTATTGGATCAGGACAGTGGTTCTCAACAAGGGGCGACTGCACCCTCCCATTTGGCAGGGTCATTTGGCGATGTCTGGAGCCATTTTTTGGTTGTCACAACGGGGTGGTTGGGGAGCTACTGGCATCTAGTGGGTAGAGGCCAGGGATGCTGCTTAAACATCCCAAGCACCCTACAATGCACAGGACAGAGAATAATCCCGACCCAGAGGCCAAGACTGCCAAGGCGGAGAAACCACAGATTCTGAGGTCTTCCAGGACTGCTGCAACTCACCCTTGTGCCTTTGCAGGATCTCCGTACCTGAGACCTGGGCCAAGTTCAGTAACGACAACATCAAACACTCTCAGAACATGCGGGCCAACTCCATCCAGCTGCGGGAGGAGGCGGAGCACCTCTTTGAGACCTTGTCGGATCAGATGTGGAGGCAGTTCACAGACACCAACCTGGCCTTCAACGCCCGCATCTCTGAGGTGACGGATGTGAAGAATAAGCTGCAGACGCAGCTGGCGAAGGTGAGCAGATCCTCCCAGGACCCCTGCCTTCTCTGCCAAGCCCTCACCCTTCTCCCGTGAATCTGAGTGTTATCTGGGCCAAGCTGGCCCTGCCCCTGGTGCCAAAGCAGTACCCTCTCTCCCAAGGTCTGTGGTCTTTTTCTTCCTAAAAGGGGCCAAGGGCTGAGCTTCCTGGGGGGATTTAAGCATCCATAGTCCATCTTGTCTTGCTTACAAGCCTGGAGCTTGGCCTAGCTGTGCCCAAGAGGCTGTGACACTCCCAGGACCCCTTATTTTCCATCTAAGACCCATGTGGCCGAGCGCGAGTGCAGAGAACGGAGCCCGGCACACCATAGTCTCTGCCACTTCTGCACATCTTCTCCGTCCACAGCAGCATCTTTGGAAGTGTAATCTTTGACTTCCAAAGGCCTGAACGGTACCGTAACAGTCTAAAGGTTCCCTGCTGAGGGGTGGGGTGCTTTTTGGATCTGAGGAGTCTGCAGCACTGCCCGATTCTGTCGTCTGCGTGCTATGCCTACACCAGTGTGCCCTTTAGGCGTTTTGCGTCATGCTTTTTCACACCTCTGGGTTGGCTCTTGGAGTCCTCTTTGGATGGAATTTATAGTCCCTGCTCAATGCAAATTTAGATTCCCACTGGGTGCCAGATGCTGCGCTAGGCACTAGGAATAAAATGAGGAGCCGTATAAACATGGGCGCTGGCCTCTGGGGACTTGACATTCTCCTGGAGGAACAGTGGTGGCTGTGAAATTTATACACAGAAAGAACTTGGATGATAGTCAAGTCAGAGGGAACTAGCCTTGAATTTGTGTTTGCAGAACAGTACCCCTTTTTAAGGCCAAGCACAGTGGCTCACACCTGTAATCCCAGCACTTTGGGAGGCTGAGGCGGGCAGATCATTTGAGGCCAGGAATTTGAGACCAGCCTGGCCAACATGGTGAAACCCTGGCTCTACTAAAAATAGAAAAAATTAGCCAGGTGTGGTGGTGCTTGCCTGTAATCCCAGCTACTTGGGGAGGTTGAGGTGGGAGAACTCGCTTGAACTTGGGAGGCAGAGGTTGCAGTGAGCCAAGATCACACCACTGCACTCCAACCTGGGTGACAGCGAGACCCCGTATCAAGAAAAAAAAAAAAAATAAGAACTGTGCCCTTTCTTATTGTGTCTCTATCTTTGGGGGGATTAGTGGGCTGCAGGCAGGGTTTGATGGAAATTACAGTGGTAGTTTCAGCCCACCTACATCTGCCACCCGTTGATCTGGTACTCCAAAAGAGACAATAAAATAAATAAATAAAGTTTATTTTTCTTTTCTTCTCTCTCTGTTTTTTTTTTTTTTTTTTTTTTTTCTGAGATGATCTTGCTCTGTTGCCCAGGCTGGAGCACAGTGGCACAATCACGGCTCACTGCAGCCTTGAACTCCTGGGCTCAAGCGACCCAAGTAGCTGAGACTACGTGTGCGTGCCACCACACCTGGCTAGGTTTTTTAGTTTTTTGTAGAGACAGGGTTTCGCTATGTTGCTTAGGCTGGTCTCAAACTCCTGGGCTCAAGCAGTCCTCCCACCTCAGCCTCCCAAAGTGTTAGGATTACAGGCGTGAGCCACCATGACTGGCCTCGAAACAGGAGTTTCCATGAAATCATTGCAACATTTTTATAGGGAGGGAGCAAGGGTGGGTGAGCCAGATATTCTCATGGGACCCACACTGGGTGGAGCAGAGAAGCAGGGGACGTTGCCACCGAGAACAGATCAACAGGGAGTTGAGCGGCCAAAAGTTGGTGGGAAGAGGATTCCGGAGAGAGCAGCAAGGGCAAAGGAAGCGTCCGGGATGAAGCTGGAGGAAGGGGCAGGTGGGTCTGGGTAGGCCTGGTGAAGGGTTTGGATTCCTACCTAAGAGCAATGGGGAGCCTTTGAAGATTTTAAGCAGGACAGTGTTTGGATCCAAGCTTGTCCTTTTGTTGATTTCTTTTCTGCCTGCGTGGCAGAAGGGACGCAGAGGTTAAGAATGGATGCAGCGGCCGGGCGTGGTGGTTCACGGCTGTAATCCCAGCACTTTGGAAGGCAGAGGCAGGAGGATTACTTGAGGTCAGGAGTTCGAGACCAGCCTGGCCAAGATAGTGAAACTCCATCTCTACTAAAAATACAAAAAATCAGCTGGGCATAGTGGCATGCACCTGTAATTCCAGCTACTCGGGAGGCTGAGGCGGGAGAATCATTTGAACCCAAGAGGCAGAGGTTGCAATGAGCCGAGATCTCACCACTGCACTCCAGCGTGGGAGACAGAGTGAGAATCTGTCTCAAAAAAAAAAAAAAAAAAAAAATAGAATGGGTGCAGTGGTTAGGAGGCTCCAGAAGAGGCCCAGGGAGTGGGGAAGGCTGCCTGTGCTGTGGTGGTGACATCAAGTGGAAGAAGGACCAGAAAAGGGTGAGATACCTGGAGAAGGCAAAGTTGGCATCGAGTTGGCCTGTGCACCTTCCCTTTATCTTTCATGAACTATTTTCCTACTAATCCTCTAGGACAGGGTTGGCAAACTTTTCCTGTCAAAGGCTAGATGATAACTGTTTTCAGCTTTGCAGGCAATACGGTTTCTGCCTCTATACTGCAAAAGCAGCCGTGGACAATCTGTACAAAAATGAGTGTGGCTGTGTTCCAATAAAACTTCACAAAACTAGGCAGTGGGCTGGATTTGGTCCACAGGTTGTAGTTTTGACAACCCCTGCTCTGGAACTTAGCTCAAAAGTCGCTTCCTCCAGGAATCCTTCCTAAACTCCACGGTTTATTTGCACTCACCATCTCTGGGTGGCCACTGCGTTCTGAGACTGTGTTTTCATTGCTCCTTCCATCTCATATCTTTTGGCTAGAAGCACTGACCCTGAGCCAGACTGCATGGTTATGATGAATCCTCTATAAACTTGGACAACTTTCTTAACTTCTCTGAGCCTCAGTCTCCTTGTTTGTAGAATGAGGATAGGAATTACTGTCACAGGAGGCTGAGGCAAGGAGGATCACTTGAGCCTGGGAGGTGGAGGCTGCAGTGAGCTGTGATTGCACCACTGCACTCCATCCAACCTGGACAACAGAGCAAGATCTTGTCTCAAAAAAAAAAAACAAAAAAAAACAAAAACAAAAAATAACTGCCGTGAGGATTGAGTTAATGCAGGCATAACACCTGAAGGAGTGCGGGCACATAGTAGGCACCATGTTTGTGCTAGTGGCTGTGATCTTAATGTACTAGTTGATTTACTTGCCTATATGTTTTCAGAGCACTGCTCCTGATTTAACCTTGTCCCCCTACTGCTTAATAACTGCCTGGTACTCCTTACATCTTTCTGCAATGAATGGAAGGAATCTACAATGTTGAGGTGGTTTTTTTGAGACAGTCTCGCTCTGTAACCCAGTCTGGAGTGCAGTGGCGCAATCTCGGCTCACTGCAACCTCTGCCTCCCTGGTTCAAGTGATTCTCCTGCCTCAGCCTCCTGAGTAGCTGGGATTACAGACACCCCCCGCCATCACGCCCCAGCTAATTTTTGTATTTTTTGTAGAGACGGCGTTTTGCCATATTGCCCAGGCTGGTCTTGAACTTCCGGGCCCAAGTTCCCTGGGCTCAAGTGATCCACCTGCCTCTGCCTCCCAAAGTGCTGGAATTACATGTGTGAGCCACCATGCCCAGCCTGCAATGTTGAGTTTTGTACTGAGGTTTTTTTTTAAAGAATGAAGCATGCATGAATGAATGCCTTAAATGTCCCTTTTTCTTTTTTTCATGCAAAGACCCATTTTTATTATGGTAAAATACACATAACATAAAACTTAGCATTTTAACCACTCTTAAGTGTACAGTTCTGTGGCATTAAGTACATTCATACATTGTGCATCCATCACCACAATCCATCTCCAGAACTTTTCCATCTTCCCAGTCTGAAACTCTGCACCCATTAAACACTCCCTCCCCTTTTCCATCTCCCCCCATATCCATGGTAATATCATTTGGCTGTGTTTCCACCCAGATCTCATCTTGAATTATAGCTCCCATAAACCACATGTGTCAGTGGGAGGGACTCAGTGGGAGGTAATTGAACCATGGGGGCAGGTTTTTCCCGTGCTTTTCTCGTGATAGTGAATAAGTCTCTTGAGACCTGGTGGTTCTATAAAAGGGAGTTCCCCTGCACATTCTCTTTTGCCTGCTGCCATGTTAGACGTGCGTTTGCTCCTCCTCTGCCTTCCACCATGATTGTAAGGCCTTCCTAGTCATGTGGAACTGTGAGTCCATTAAATCTCTTTTTCTCTATAAATATCCCAGTCTTGGGTATGTCTTTATTAGCAGCAGCATTAGAACAGACAAATACAAGTAACTACCATTCTGCTTTCTGTCTTTGATAATTTGACTACTCTATGGACTTCATATAAGTGGAATCATACAGTAGTTGTCCTCCTGTGACTGGTTAATTTCACTTGGCATAATGTCTTCAAGGCTCATCCATGTTGTAGCATGTGTCAGAATTTCCTTCTTTTTCAAGTCAGAGTAATATTCCATTGTCTGTCTATACCACGTTTTCTTTATCCATTCATCCATTTATGGAGACTTGGTGGCGTCCATCTTTTGGCTCTTGTGCATCTTCTTTTAATGAGGCATCTCATACGGTGGATCAAATGTAGTTCATTGTCATGTTTCATTGCCTGAAGTTTGTGGTCTGGGGATGACTTGGAAAGGCTCTTTTAGTTGGCTATTGGTACCTGGTTTCTCACCTGTGAAACAGGGATAAGAATTTCTACATGGTAACATTACTGTATTAATGAGGTAATCTCTGGAGCTCTTAAAACAGTGCTTGACAAATGATAAACACTCAGTAAAAAGGTAACTGTAAGTATTAATATAATTACTGATGGAGAGAGAAAGGATCTTTTGAATGGAGGTGGGGAGAGCAAAACCTTTTCGCTTTCCAAATTCCTCTAGTGAGGATCCCTTGAGCCCCGGAGTTTGATGCTGCAGTGAGCTATGATCGTGGCACTGCACTCCAGCCTGGGTGACAGAGCAAGACATTGTCTCTAAAAAATTAAAATTAAAATAAGTTGAAATAAATAAATAAATACATAAATAAATAAATAAATAAAAATAAAAATTCCTCCAGGGAAGTTTTGAATTATTACTAACAACCTCATCACTACAGACTGGAGGGTTTTTGCAACCTCATGGATTTTTATTAATAGTCATAATTTAATCACCAGCTGTTCTGCAAATAAGTTAGCACCCATCTGAAATGCACCAAACTCCAACCCTACGCTATTGACATTTTCCTGAGCAAGGATTTGTCTTCTGGTTGGTGAATTTCACATGGTGTTATTCTAAAATAATAAAGGAATTTGATGCAATGAAGATAAATGTATAGCAACCATTTCACTTTTCAACAGTTTACTTTGGCTAGAGGATTTGAAATGCTCTCTTCTTTTTTTGAGGTGGAGTCTCACTCTATCGTGCAGGCTGGAGTGCAGTGACGAGATCTTGGCTTACTGCAACCTCTGCCTTCCAGGTTCAAGTGATTCTCCTGCCTCAGCCTCCTGAGTAGCTGGGCAGCTGCCACCATGCTCGGCTAATTTTTGTATTTTTAGTAGAGATGAGGTTTCACCATGTTGACCAGGCTGGTCTCAAACTCCTGATCCCAGGTGATCCACCCGCCTTGGCCTGCCACAGTGCTGGGATTACAGGCTTGAGCCACCGTGCCCGGACTGAAATGCTCTCTTTAAAAATGTAACTGTTATTAGTTGAGCTTAGCCTGATAGTCCTTGGCAAAAGGCATTTCTGGAAAATTCCAAGTGCCCATCCTTACCTATGCTGCAAGGCAGTTATTTCCCAAGTGGTCACAGGAATCCACCTTGTAAGACCAAATCTACACGGCTCCACGTGCAGACAGTGGTTTGGGGCTGTGCAGACAGCCTCATCTGTTCACTGGGATGCTAGAGTTCTGTCACCTCGGCCACACCCCAAGCCTCATAGCTTGCCCCGGGGCCTCATCCTTGCACTTTGAGGCTCCAGGTATCACTGTGTCATACTGACCACTGCTAGCAAAGGAGCTGGTGACTTCTCTGGACTAAAGAAGTTGGTGGCCACAGAGTGGGTTGCTGCCTTTGAGTGCTGATTCCTCTGAGACCCAGGGCCCTGGAAACTTCCAGAAAAACAACCCCTCATTTACATGCAATTACCCAAGTGAATGTGCATTTGAGTGGGGGATCTCTTAATGTGTAGGGGGAAAAGATGCATAAATATGGTTTTTGGGGGTAGGATGTGTGGGGTCAGGGATACTTCTATGGAGAAAGTGCTTATTCTGACATTGTGGGAACTAGACCCTGGCAGGTGAAATATTATATGTGTTACATGGATATAGCATTAATATCACTGAATCATACAATGAGAAGGTTATTCCTTCTTCATTGCTTCTGACCATCTCAAAAGTGCTAGAATGCCTTCCTTACCTCTTTTAACACCTGCCAATCTCCCTTTTATAATTTTTTTTTGGAGACAGGGTCTCTCTTTGTTGCCCAGGCTGGAGTGCAGTGGCACGATCTCGGCTCACTGCAACCTCCGCCTGCCAGGTTCAAGCGATTCTCCTGCCTCAGCTTTCCGAGTAGCTGGGATTACAGGCATGCACCACCTTGCCCAGCTATTTTTTTTTTGTATATTTAGTAGAGATAGGGTTTAACCATGGTGGCCAGGCTGGTCTTCAGGTGATCCACCGGCCTCAGCCTCCCAAAGTGCTAGGATTACAGGCGTGAGCTACCGTACGTGGCCTCACCTGTTGATAAGCATTTCGGTTGTTTCCAGTTTGGGGCTGTTACAAATAAAGCTGCTGTGAACACTCATGTACACATATTTGTATGCACTCTCACAGAGTTCAAAAAATATTTGGTAAAAAATGGTGATTTCACATAAAAAAATTTCAGATTTCCAGCGTCTCTTGAAAAATTAGTAGCTCTAGCAATTCAGAGCTCATGTTTCTACAGGGGAACAGTGGGTAAGGGTTGAGTGGCTGCTGCCTCTCTTTGGGTCAGGTGCTCCAGTTAGCCTCAGACCCCACCACTCCCTATTACAGCACGCTTCCCTCATTTGCATTATTTACTTGATCCTGTAGCCCTGTATTTGTGCACTCTGCTTTATATATCAGAGGAAACTCAGACAGGCAGATAAACAAAACATCCAGGCATAGGAAGAGGTTGAACAGAACAGAGAAGGGCTATGAATTTTAACCTTGAAGGGCTTTGGTTTCATTCTGAAGTTTCTTTGGGGTTTTGACTCCCAAGCAGCCATTGTTAGCATCAGCAAAACCACCCCTTCCCAGGAAGGCCTGGGCAGGAAGGCCTGGCGTCTGAGGGGTGAGGGCCCCTGCTGGTGATCTGAGGCCCTGCGTGTCTACTGCCAACCCCTCTGTTTGTCCAAGGAGGTCTGGAACCCATTGTGCAGTGGGAAATGCTTTTGTGCTTTGCAGCCGATTCCTTCCAGCACTGGAGCCTGCAGCCAAGCTACTGACGGCTGGTTTCTAAAACCGGCCCAGCCCTGGGGAAGTGGAGCTGGCAGCCTGGCCCTGTGCTACCCTCCTCATGAGACACCACTGCATCCCAGGGAGAAAGTCTCTCTCTTCTCTGATGGTGTCACGGAGGAAGACTCATCATGATGCCGACCTCTCTTTAACACCTATCCTTCCTTTGCCCGTCTGCCTTTCTAACAAAGGCATCAGGCCTCAGGCTTAGAAGCTTTGGAAAGCAATAGAACCTAGATATAATTATTAACTTCTTTTTTCCAGCTAGGTGTGGTGGCTCACATCTGTAATCCCAGCACTTTGGGAAGCCAAGGCAAGCAGATCACCTGAGGTCAAGAGTTCCAGATAAGCCTGGCCAACATGGTGAAACCTCCGTTTCTACTAAAAATACAAAAATTAGCTGGGCATGGTGGCGCATGCCTGTAGTTCCAGCTACTTGGGAGGCTGAGGCAGGAGAATGACTTGAACCTGGGAGGTGGAGGTTGCAGTGAGCCAAGATCATGCCACTGCACTCCAGCCTGGGCGACAGAGCGAGTCTCCATCTCAAAAAAAAAAAAAAATTATTAACTTATTTTTCCCATTTTGCCTATTGTTATGGTACCCTCTATTGGTGGAAAACAATAGTAGTTTTCCACTTGTGGAAATAATTTAAAGATTTCATTTCAAATACATATGTTAAAGCCTGAAACAGGCTGATTTGAAGAAAAATATTAAATGATTATGTAGATGGTATGTGGATATGGGAAATATGATGACGATGCTGCCCAGTACCTGAAATTTGGGAATGTTAAAAGAAAAACTTAAAGCAGATTAAATTTAACAGAATTTAATTGAGCAAAGAATGATTCGTGAATTGGGCAGCCCCCTGAACCAGAATGGATTCAGAGCAACCCCAAAGCTGCCACGTGGTCGGATGATATTTACAGACAGAAAAAGGAAAGTGATGCACAGAAGACGGAAGTCAGGTACAGAAACAGCCAGATTGGTTACTGCTCATTGTTTGTTTGCCTTATTTGAACATGATTTGAACAGTTGGCTGCCTGCGATTGGCTAAAATTCTGTGATTGGTATAGGAGTCGGTTCCAGGCTGTTCACACATCCAGTTAGGTTACAGTTCACTGTGTAGGGGAGAGATCTTTAACATACGTAAGGAAGGAAGCCAGGCGTGGTGGCTCATGCCTGTAATCCCAGCACTTTTGGAGGCTGAAGTGGGAGGATAGCTTGAGCCCAGGAGTTTGAGACCAGCCTGGGCCACAGAGTAAGATCTTGTTTCTACAAAAAACATAAAAATTAGCTGGGCATGGTGGCATGCGCCTGTAGTCCCAGCTACTTGGGAGGCTGAAGTGGGAGGATCACTTGAGCCCAGGAGGCCAAGGCTTTGGTGAGCTGTGATTGTGCCACTGCACTCCAGCCTGTGCAACAGAGTGAGACCCTGTCTCAAAAAAAAAAAAAAAAAAAAAAAGTAAGGAGCCAGTGTTAGGCTGAATGAAGTTTAGTTCATTTCATCGGAATCCCTGGCAGAATAGTTACCCCTGCATCAGTGTAGATAGTTCATATGGGCAACTGTGCCATGAAAGTGACTGCCATGTTTTAGGAAAACACACCCGCATCAGTATTCAAATAAGGAAACAGCCGTATGTCCTGATGGAGGGATGACCAGGTTGCAAGGGCACTTTTGACGAGACACAGTTCTCACGCCTTGTATTGACTTCAGAACAACACCCCATCCCTGGCTTCATAAGGTGATCCACCCATGCAGACACTCAGTAATCAATGGCTGCTGTTCATTCCTGTGCAGGCGTTCCCTCTCTCTGCAGTCTGCATTTTCTTAGAAGTTGTGGCCTGAGTAATTCTTCACTGTAGTGGTTGTCAGCTGAAGGCAGTTGTGTCCCCCAGAGGACACTTGAAATGTTTGGAGGCATTTTTGGTTGCTATAGTTTGGTGAGGGGGTGCTGCTGGCATCTACTGGGCAGAGGCCAGGGATACTGCTAAACATCCCACACGGCGCAGGGCAGCCCCCCACAGCAAAGAATGTTTGGGCCTGAATGTCAGTAGTGCTGAGGCTGAGAAACCTTGTTTTAAAGGAATTCCAGGCACCACCGAGGAACAGGAGGGGAGGGTTTGAGGAGGTAGAAGACCTCCAGAATTCTTCAGATCTGCGTGAGTCCTGAACTCATGAACTGTTGCCTGAACAGGCCAATTGCCCTCTTATAAACTACAAGATTCCAGAAGATAGGAAGAATCTGAGTGTATAAAACCTGGACTGTGCCTACTCCCCGTGGCTTGGTAAACAGGGTGGTTCTTCAGGGCATCCACACCCCTATATGGGTGCACACCACCATGCCCGGCTAATTTTTGTATTTTTAGTAGAGACAAGGTGTCACCATGTTGGCCAGGCTGGTCTCAAACTCCGAGGTCCACCAGCCTCGGCCTCCCAAAGTGCTGGGATTACAGGCCTGAGCCACCGCGCCCAGCCCCTGTTCTGTTGAAGACTGCGTTCCTGTAGGTGCTGGGCTTGGTGTGAATGTGGCTTTCAGAGGCTCTGCTATCTGTGGGTTTCCAGCTATCTCAGGCTATAGCTCTCAGGAAAAGGCTCAGGGCCATATGCATGCATAGGTAGGTCTCTACCTGATGCCCACCTTAGCACCAGGAGGAATCAAAAGCCCTTCCAGTGTCACGTGGGCTCAGGTCTCATCATAGTACGTGGGTGGTGTGTGCCTGGATGGACCCAGCATGAGGGGTCCCTGGGAGTTCAGACATGGGAAATTCTGAGAGCTGTGCCAAAAGGTGGGCTGGTCAGGGTGACTGTGTCACAGCTTATCAGTTCATGGGAACACTATGCCAAATGGGAGAGGAGCTGCTGGAATCAGGAAGGTGGAGCCAAGGTCCAGAGCTGGGGAGGTAGGCGACAGATGCAGGAAGTTGGAGGGACCATGCAGGAGATGGAGAGAACGAACACGGGAGAGGGCAGCACAAACGAGACTGTTTCTAGCTCATTTTGTGAACACCACCTATGCTCAGGAACGCTAGTACTTCTTTCCTCCCATGGCTGGCTTCAAATGGTGACAGCCAATCATATGCTTTGCCTGGAAGCCCTGGGCAGGGCAATCACTGGGATTGGTTCCTGGTGAGATGAGAAGAATATAAGGTGCAGCCTGGCCAAGGCAGAGGGTTGCGGTGTCATCTCCCGGGTAATGTTATGCCCCAGCATTCCCCTAATTTTTTCCAAGTGATGACTCCTCCACCTTTGTGTCTTTGTCTGCTTGCTAGCATGGGACCTACTGGCTAGCCTCACCTATGCTCCAGCTTTGACATCTGCTGGCCTCCTCCTTGGTCCAGCCTCCCCTTCCATCTCCACCTTCTGTGTCCCGACAGGTAAGACCCATAGTGTATTGCAGAGTGCTGGGCTCATTTCTGGCTCCAGCACTTCCTGGCTGTGTGGCCAAAGTCAGGTTGCCCTACCTCTCTGTGCTTCAGTTTTTTCCTCTGTCAAATGGGAGTAATGATGATTGACAAGCAGTTGTGAGAATAACAGCAGCTGTGCCCATCCCTTAGTGATAATGACTATTAGCTATAAAAATAGTACAAAGCTATGGTCTGCTTTCTCATCTGCTGATGTGGGAGGGATGACAAAGTAACGGAAAGAACCTGGCACCTGGTTTGAATTTTGGTATGACTAAGGGGTCTTGAGGAAGTAACTAACCCTTCTGAATCTGTTTCCTAATCTATAAGAAAGGAACAATCCTACCAGCTGTGAGGAACAAGTGAGAAGGTGCAGGTGAGCCGCTCTCAGCCTTAGTGCCACATTGGAATTGCCCAGATGCCTGGGCCTCACTTTAGGGATTCTGATTTAATTGGCCAGGGTCTGGCCTGCAGCAGATCTTTTTAAAACTCCCCAGGTGACTCTAATGCACAGCCCAGGACTGAGGACCAAAAGTTAGGTCTTCAGACCAGTGGTTCTTAAAGTGTGGTCCTTGGACCATCAGCATCAGCATTACCTGGGAATTTGTTAGAAATGCACGTTCTCAGGCTCCATCCAGGACCCACTGAATCAGAAAGTCTGCCAGTGGGGTCTAGCGATCTGAGTTTTAACAAGCCCGCTAGGTATATCTTCCAGGTGTAGACATGCAACAATTATCTGTTGTTCCCTCCCTCCCTCTTCCTTCCCTCCCTGCAGCAGATATGTACTTAGCCCATCCTATGTGCTAGACTGAGTTAGGCGCTGGGGATTCAACAGTGAACAACAGACAAGATCTCTGCCCTCAGGGGGCTTACATTCTAGAGGGGGAAATAGAGTTAAAAAAATAAGCAAACACACAATTAATTAAAAGTGGTAATAAGTGTTAAGAAGGAGGCCCTCAAAGGCCTGAGATGATGAATTATCATGAATTTTTTTAAGAGCATATTGGTCTCTCAGGCAAGAAAGCTTCTACCCGTTTCTAACCCCATTCAGGACTTTCAGGACCTCTGACCTCAGACAGCCTCTCAACAGCTGATGCATGTGCTGGCCTGACATATTCCGAAAGCAGCTGGGCTACCACTTGAGAGAAACGGCTGCGAGCAGGACCTGCTCAACATTTATCTCCTGGAGTAGTGGTTCCCAACCAGGGTGAATTTGCACCCCACTGGCATTTGCCAATATCTGGAGACATTTTTGGTTGTTGAAATGGCTGGGGGTGGAGAATGCTACTAACATCTAGTGGGTAGAGACCAGGGATGCTGTGCTAAACAGCCCCCAATGCACAGGACAGCCCCCACAGCTGAGATATATCTGGGCTCAAATGTCAAGAGTGCCAAGGGTTGAGAGTCCCAGCTCTGGGGCGTTCATGCTCTGAATCCCTGACCGGGTCCCTCCGGAGCGCTCCTCTCCTCTTTCTCTCTCTCCTTGCTCCTGAATTTGGCTGAACTTGAAAATCTTCCACCATTTGACCAGAAAAGGATTTCAAGCTGCCTTCCTCTTTCCTGAGCTGGGGATCTGCACTGAGCCAAGCATCTCCTTGGAAACTCCTTGGCTTCATGCAATTTGGAAAACAATAAATTTGCAAGGTTGCACAAAACATCCAGAAGCCTAAAGCTGGCTGGAACTACTAAATCCATTTTTTTCCTTCCACATCAAAAATAATTTCTTGGCCTTAGAGGCTTTCTCCACTGTCACAAGACACAGGCAGATAGTTTTACATGGTGAACAACCCTGCCAAACATATCTCTGCTTTCAGAGCTGTTGGGTGGATTTCTAGTCCAGCCAGGAATATCAGCACACTTTTCCACTGAGCCGAGGTTGGTTTTATCTGAGGCAGACCTGATAATTGCCTTTCACACCCCATGCATGGCCAGAGACCATTCCCAGTGCTGACCTCAACCCTTTCCACATTCTGGGTGCAGGGTTGAGGGTGAGTGGGTGGATGGAGTGGAGATTTGCTTCCGGCTTCTCCTCTGCAGGGGGTGAGAGTGGGTGATCATAATTGAGTTTTCCATCCTGCTGCAAGCCGAAGGAGAAAGAAAATGATAACTTACTGTAACAAAGACATATTAGCCTTACTGAGAGCTTTACTTAGGTGAGCTTATCTTTCCCTCCCATGAAGAAGGGGTTATTATTAGACCTGTTTTACAGATGAGGAAACTGAGGACTCATTACAAAAAGTGATTTGCCTAAAGTCCCCACCACTAACCACTCCAGCTAGGAAATGGCAGAGCTGTGTTTTACTCCAGGTGGTCCTGTCATGGGTGCAACTGGCTGGGGCCAGTGCTGTGGATGGTAAAAGAATTTGCCAAGATAGTCATGGGTAAAGAAAGGCAGATGTATTGGAGAAAGTACAAGGATACGTTGCAAGAAAGCAATGGGCAGCACAGCACAGAAGGGGCTGCCTGCAAAGAGGCAGGAGCTGGAAGGAAGTTTTATAGGGTGGTGGTGCCGGGGCTACGTGCAGAACAAAGTATTTGGGAACAGAATGCTGTGCAAGTGAGTTGTTTGTGGTTAACCGTCTCTCAGAACAATTGTTCTCCCCAACCTGGGGCCGCCTCCTCGTTGTTGCTGACTTAGGACTCCACAAGTCCTGCTCTAGATTCTGAGCTTCAGGTTAATAGGGACACTTCCCCCACCTCCACCCAGCCTTATGACAACAGTAATAGGTCAACATCTAAAGCAGCAGTTCTCAAACAAGGTGATTTTGCCCCCATTTCCCCCAGGGGCATTTGGCAATGTCTGAAGACATTTAGTTGTCACAAATGGGGGTGCGTGCTACTGATGATTGGCATCCAGTGAGTAGAGGCCAGGGATGCTGCCAAACATCCCACAGTGCACAGGACAGTCCCTACCCCCCACCATGGAGAATCACCCAGCCTCAAATGTCAATAGTGCCAAGGCTAAGAAACCCTGATCTGCTAGCATTAAGGTTTAATTTAAGAAGAGAGAAAGGAAAAAAGATAGTAGATAGGTAGATGGCTAGGCAGATGGTAGGGTAGATAGTGTGGAGGCTGAGGGACCCAGGGCTCTGAAGGGCTTACTGTGTGCTGGCCACAGTGCTGAACACATTACACGGGTTACCTAAATCCATCCTGGAAGTCACCTTCTAGGATAGATGCTATTATCATCTTCTTTATACACATGGGGAAACTGAGGCTCACAGAGGTTTGGTGATTTGCCAAGGCCACATGCTTGGCAGTGGCTGGTGGCTCCCCAACCTCTCTTCTAGAAGGTTCCTCTGGATTGTAGTGAGGTGGGCACACTGGAATCCGAATACCACTGGCCTCTCCTCACTCCGCACATTCCATAAGTTCTCAAGTCCTTCCTACTTCATCTTTTGGATACTTTGGTGACCTCGTTTCTTTAGCAATTGTCCACACTGCCTGGGTGTGAGTCCTCCTGTCTCTCAGCTTGTCCAGATTGTCCCCTCTGTCTATCCTCCAAATGGCAGCCAGAGAGATCTGCATGAAACTACAAACATAATCATGTCTTTCTCTTGCTTTAAAGCTTTAATATGCATATGAATAGCTTGGGAGTTTGTAAAAATGTAGATTCTGTGCTGAGATCTGGGGTGGGGCCTGGGTTTCTAACAAGCTCTTCAAGTCCAAAGATGCTGGTCCAGGGACCACACTTGGAGTAGCGAGGTGCTGCAGAAATTGTTCTCTGAACACAGAAACCCCAGAGGAGCAGCAGACTTACATGAGATGGACAGCTTTGGGGGATTGTGATTTCCCCTGGAATAGTTTATAACAGGGGTTGCAAACTCACAGCCCCAAGGGCCAAATCCCCGCCCCTCCGCCTGTTTTTGTAAATAGTTTTATTGGAGCACAGCCATGCCCAATACATTTTCATGTTGTCTGCAGCTGCTTTTGTGCTACAGTGGTCAGGTTGAGTAGTTTCAACAGAGATCATAAAGCTGTATATTGAGACTTGCAGCAATTTAAAGAGGATGGACTTGAAGAAGAAAAAACAAAACACAGCCGGGCGCGGTGGCTCACGTCTGTATCCCAACACTTTGGGAGGCCAGGGTGGGCAGATCACTTGAGGTCAGGAGTTCGAGACCAGCCTGGCCAACATGGCGAAACCACATCTCAACTAAAAATACAAAAATTAGCCGTGCGTGGCGGTGTGGGCCTGTAATCCCAGCTACCCAGGAGGCTGAGGAAGGAGAATCTCTTGAACCCAGGAGGTGGAGGTTATAGTGAGCTGAGATCATGCCACTGCACTCCAGCCTGGGCAACAGAGCAAGACTCTGTCTTCAAATAAATAAATAACACACACACACACACACACACACACACACACACACACACACAGCCTTGCACTCCTGCTGGTAACATTCTCAGACTGGCTTTTGAAGGAAGTGGCGGCTCTGGGCATGTGTGGGAGTTTGAAGGTGGAATTCATAGAGAACATTACCTGGCCAGTCTCTGTCTCCCGGATGAGGAGATAGCGGCTCAGAGCAGTCAGGGGTTCTGAGTGGGGGTCTGGGCCCCACAGTTGGTTTGTGTTAGGGCTGAGATGGGAACCTGGGCCTCCTGACTGACCTTTTACCTCCAGGACACCCTGCACAGAATTCTGCCAGCAGGTGGGGGTGGGGTGGGGGGAGTTACTTAACATGAAACCCTTTGGTCAGCCAAAGGTGGGGGCATGTGGCCCAAAGAGCCACCTGCCACCTGCCTTGGGCAGGCTCTTTTTCTGAGCCACATTCCAAAGACTGAGGAGAGCCCTTTTCTATTACACAGGCAACCCCCGTCTTGACCCCTTACACTGGAATAAGTGGGTTGAGGGAGGCTGGGCTAGGGTGGGGGATGTTAAATTGGATCCCATACTGGAGATCTGGGGATCTGCCTCTCTCCAGCTGTGACCTCATCACGTTGCCTAATGTCTCAGAATGTTGCCTGTGATATCCAGGGAATTGGATTAAATGCTTCTGAAGGTGGATTCCTTGTAAATTAAAATAGTAATACGTATTGAGAGTGGTGGAGACAAAAATGAGTTTTTTCCTTTATTAAGGTGAAATTCGCATAACATAAAATTAACTACTTTAAAGTGAACAATTCACTGCCATTTAATATTGATAATATTGTACAACCACCACCTCTACCCAGTTCCATTTCCGTCACCCCAAAACAAAACCCTGTGCCCACTGAAATCTATCCTCCCCAAACTTTCCCCATTCACCTTTCACCTTTAAGCTATCGTAACACTAATAATGAGCGTACAGGCCTTTCATGGTTTTCTTATTTTGAATGTGAATACATTGATTTGTTTTCTCTGCGGTTGCCTTATTAAAACTTTTTTTAAAGTGAGGTATTGCCAGGTGTGGTGGCTCACGCCTGTAATCCCAGCACTTTGGGAGGTTGAGGCGGGCAGATCACGAGGTCAGGCTAACATGGTGAAACCCCATCTCTACTAAAAATACAAAAAATTAGCCAAGTGTGGTGGTGGGCACCTGTAGTCCCAGCTACTCGGGAGGCTGAGGCAGGAGAATGGTGTGAACTCGGGAGGCAGAGCTTGCAGTGAGCCGAGATTGCACCACTGCACTCCAGCCTGTGTGACAAAGCGAGGCTCCATCTCAAAATAAGTAAATAAATAAATAAATAAGGTATAACACAGCAAAGAACACAACTGTATTAATCTTCAAATTTTAAAAAATGGTTAGTCATTATGGAGACATAATAGTTGTACATATTCGTCAGGTACATGTGATATTTGACTGCATTAATCTGGGTACAGTTTGAATTTGATTTTTACGTGTGTGCGCACATGTGTGACCAGTACCTAGTTCAGTGGCTCTCAGTCATGGGGTGATTATCCCCTCAGGGGATATTTCGCAATGTGGTTGTCACAGCTTGCGGGGTGGATGCTACTGGCATTTAGTGGGTAGAGACCAGGGATGCTACTAAACATCCTTCAATGCACAGGACAGATACCACACACAGAATGATCTGGTCCCAGACTGGGCACCGTGGCTCACATCTGTAATCCTAGCACTTTGGGAGACTGAAGTGGGTGGATCACTTGAGGCCAGGAGTTCGAGACCAGCCTGACCAACATGGTGAAACCCCATCTCTACTAAAAATACAAAAATTAACCGGGTGTGGTGGCGCATGCCTGTAATCCCAGGTACTCAGGGGACTGAGGTACGAGAATTGCTTGAACCCAGGAGGCAGAGGTTGCAGTGAGCTGAGATGGCACCACTGCACTCCAGCCTGGGTGACAGAGTGAGACTCTGTCTCAAAAAAAAAAAGAAAAAGAAATATCTAGTCCTAAATGTCACTGAATGTCAATAGGTGATGAGGTTGGGAAACCCTGTTCCAGATCAAAGGCTAGGACATTTCTAGTTCCAGGAGCCCCCCTCATACCACCTCTCAGTCTACACCCCCTCCCCAAAGGAACTATCATTCTTACTTCTATCACCAGCCGTTAGATTTGCCTGGTCTTGAAATTCATATTGATAGAATCATGCAGTATGTTCTTTTCTTGTGCTTGGCTGCTTCTACTCAATATAGTATTGGTGAGGTTCATCCATTGTATTGGTATGTGTGTGTTAGAAGTTGTTTTTTACCGCTGGATAGTGGTCTATTGTGGGGCTATTCCACAATTGATCCATCCTCCTGTTGATAGATGTTTAAGTTGTTATGAACATTCTTGAACATTCTTGCACAAATCTTTTGGTGGACATATGGACTCTTTCTCATGGGCGTTCCCAGGAACGGAATCCCTGGCTCATAGAGTGGGTGTATCTTCAGCTTCAGTAGGTTCTGTCAAACGGCTTTTCAGAGGTTGACAAATATTGACTTCCACCAGCCGCATATAAGTGGTCCAGTTTCTCTGCATCCTAGTCAACACTTAGAATTGTCATCTCTTTCATTTAGATTACAAGTCAATAATCACATTCAAAGACAGGGGATACAAAGTTTCTTTTGTGGGTGAGTAATGAAAGTGTTCTAAATTAGATTATAGTGATGGCTGGACAACTGTAACTATACTGAAAACCACAGTACATTTTAAGTGGGTGAACTTTGTGGTAAATTGTATCTCAATAAAGATGTTGGAAAAAATTGAAAGGGGAGGCCGGGCGCAGTGGTTCACGCCTGTAATCCCGGCACTTTGGGAGGCCGAGCCGGGCGGATCACGAGGTCAGGAGATCGAGAACATCCTGGCTAACACGGTAAAACCCTGTCTCTACTAAAGATACAAAAAAAAAAAAAAAAATTAGCTTGGCGTAGTGGTGGGCGCCTGTAGTCCCAGCTACTCAGGAGGCTGAGGCAGGAGAATGGCATGAACCCGGGAGGTGGAGCTTGCAGTGAGCCGAGATTGCGCCACTGCACTCCAGCCTGGGTGACTGAGCGAGACTCCATCTCAGGGAAAAAAAAAAAAAATTGAAAGGGGAATGACTTTTCTACAACGTGACTTAATGTTATCATTTACCACTTAAAATCACTTTGGAAGTCATTGGTTATAGCACTGGATTCACTCCTATTTCTCTACTGTCTTATCCTCTTGATTCCTATCCTAAATACAGTTGTTTAAAAGCAGCTCTAGGCCGGGCATGGTGGCTCATGCCTGTAATCCTAGCACTTTGGAAGGCCAAGGCGGGTGCATCACCTGAGGTCGGGAGTTCGAGACCAGCCTGGCCAACATGGTGAAACCCTGTTTCTACTAAATACACAAAAAAATTAGCTGGGCATGGTGGTGCATGCCTGTAATCCCAGCTACTCAGAAGGCTGAGGCAGGAGAATCGCTTGAACCTGGCAAACGGAGGTTGCAGTGAACCAAGATCACACCATTGCACTCCAGCCTGGGCAACAAGAGTGAAACTCTGTCTCAAAAAAAAGAAAAAAAAAAAAAAGGCAGACCTAATTTTTGGCTTTATATACAACTAATTGTCCATCAATCTGAGTCTAGGCTTGAATTTCAAGTCAAAAATATAGGCTGGGTGCAATGCCTCATACCTGTAATCCCAGCACTTTGAGAGGCTGTGGTGGGAGGATCACTTGAGCCCAGGAGTTCAAGACCAGCTTGGGCAATCTAGCAGACCCCATCTCTACACAAAATAATAAATTAGCCAGGCATGGTGGTGTGCATCTGTAGTCCCAGCTACTCAGGAGGTGGAGGTGGGAGGGTCACTTGAGCCCAGGAGATCAAAGCTGTGGTGAGGAGTGATTGCACCATTGCCCTCCAGCCTGGGCAACAAAGCAAGACCCTGTTTCAAAAACAAAACAAAAAGTAGTTTGCATGTACCCAGTTGAATACCTTTCTAGAGAGATCAGTATAACCTAAATGTTTGTGTCTTTGGTTATCTTTTCCTCTTGACATCAGTTTATTATATCTCAGGTGTTTGTATTCATTTCTAGGGGTTCACTTCTATAGGCCTTACCTCTTTGGCTTCCAAATTTCTCAATAAATAAATCAAGATGGCTGGGTGTGGTGGCTCACACCTGTCATCTCAGCACTTTGGGAGGCCAAGGCGGGTGGATCGCTTGAGCCCAGGAGTTTGAGGCCAGCCTGGGTAACATGGTGAGACCCTGTCTCTAAGAAAAATAAAAATAATTAGCTGGGTGTGGTGGCACACGCCTGTAGTCCCAGGTACTCAGGAGGCTGAGGTGGGAGAATCGCTTGAGCCCAGGAGGCATAGATTGCAGGGAGCTGACATCACGCCACTGCATTCCAGCCTAGGTGATGAGCAAGACTCTCAAAAAAATAAAAATAAAAATAAATAAATCAAGAGCAGTGGTTCTCAACCTGGGGCAATTTTTTCCTCTAGGGGGTAGTTGGCAACGTCTGGAGATAATTTTGGTTGTCACACTGGAAGTGGGTGCTACTGGCATCTAGTGGGTAGAGACCAGGGAGGCTGCTAACTAAACATCCTTCAATGCACAGGACGGTCTCCTCCACAAATTTTATCAAAGAGTCTATCAAAATGTCAGTAGTGCTGAGGTCAAGATACCCTCATCACGGATGATTTGCTATGAACTCTTTGGTCATATATGACAACTCATTTGGGATTAGGTTCAGCCACATGTAATAGAAGACCCCAAATAACACCAGTTTAAGTAAGTTAGAAGTCTACTTTCCTCTCACATAAAATAAATCTTGGGTTGCAAGATGGCTTCATGGTATCATCAGATGCCCAGGCTGCTATTTTTCTGCTTCACCATCCAAGCATTTATTTTTCACACTTAGACCTCATGGTCCAAGGAGGCTGCTGGAGCTCCACCATCACATCTTAAGTTTGAGCTAGCAGGAAGATACCTGAGAAAGAGAAGGGTACAACCACCCCCTTTTAAAAGAGACTTCCCAAGAGTCCCAAACAACATTTTGATTCCTTTCCACTGGCTAGAATTAGTCACATGGCCTGGAGCTACAAGGGAGCCTGGAAAATGTAGTCTTTTATAGTGTTCCACAGGTTAAGAGGAAGTGGGTATTAATATTGCCCTTTCTATGTGTCAACTAGCCACAATGCCACAAACATATAAACATACATAATCTTACATAACCCTCACAATAATCCTATATGGCAGGCCTTAAAAATATTATTTCATAATTTTAAAAAAATACTGAGGTTTAGACAGATCAGGTAATTTTTACAAGGTTGAATAGGGGGTAAGTAGTGGAACTGGGATTGGAACCAGGAGTTCCGGTGGGTTCTGAAGTCCTACTTTTCCTAATGGACTACACTCCCTCCGTTTAGACTGGGAGCGATAAGAACGTGTAAATATGGTTGGAGGCTGTTTGTAAAGGCAACATTGTTTATGTAATTGGGCTTTTGAGTTACCCGTTCAGCATGTGTGTGTATGTAAAAGAGACAACAGTTCTTGAAGGATAAATGTAGTCCTCAATTGTTTTTTTAGGAAAGGCAGTTTTTTCTCCAGCAATAAGTCTCTCTTCCTGCCTTACAGAATTTAAGTTGCCTGCAAAGACAAATTCTTTCAAGCAAATCTGAATTTCCTATTGTCTTACATTAAAAAACAAAAAAATCAATGATCCCAAGTGAAAAATCTCGTCACAGACTGGGGGGGGGGGGTGGGGGAGGGGAGGGGGGGGAGACAGGACAGTCCATGGCATGGTGGCAGACACTGGAATAAGCAATTTACACACTGTTTTAAGGGTCTCCAGAGAAACAGAAGCAATACGATATATAGAAATGTATCTGAGAGGAGATTTGTTGTAGGAATTGGCTTGTGAGGTTATGGAGGCTGAGAAGTCCCACAACCTGTGGTCTGCATGCTGGAGACCCAGGAAACCTGGTGGTGTAATTGAGTTCCAGTCCTAAGGTCTAAGAGTCAGGGGCTGAGGCTGTAAGCTTCCGTCTGAGTCTGAACCAGCAACTCTGATGTCCAAGGGTAGGAGAAGATGGATGTCCCAGCTAAAGCAGAGAGAGCGAATTCACCCTTCCTCTGCCTTTTTGTTCTGTTCGGACCCTCAGTGGGTTGGGTGATGCCTGCCTACGTTGGACATGACCGCAGAGTTCATCAATTCAAACGTTAGTTTCTTCCAGAAACACCTTCACAGACACACCTCAAAATAATGGTTTACCAGCTATCTGGCTGTCCCTTTAAGTTAACATATACAATTAACCCAGTCAAGCCAGTCAAATTGACATATAAAATTAACCACTGGCTGGGTGCAGTGGCTCACATCTGTAATCCCAGCACTTTGGGAGGCTGAGGTGGATGGATTGCTTGAGCCCAGGAGTTTGAGATCAGCCTGGCCAACGCGGGAAAACCTCATCTCTGTGAAAAACACAAAAATTAGCTGGATGTGGTAGCATGTGCCTGTAGTTCCAGCAACTCGGGAGTCTGAAGTGGGAGGATCCCTTGAGCCTGGGATGTTGAGGCTGCAGTGAGCCATAATAGTGCCGCTGCAGTTCATCCTGGACAACAGTGTGAGAACCTCTCTCAAAAAAATGATAGAACAGCCACCACACACACACATGTGCACACACACACACATGCACACACACACACACGTTCACACACACACAATTTTACTTAGTTCCCCCAGTAACCTTGTGGGCAAGTGTTTTTCTTTTGTTTTTGTTTTTGTTTTTGTTTTGAGACAGAGTTTCACTCTTATTGCCCAGGCTGGAGTGCAATGGCTCGGTCTCGGCTCACTGCAAATTTTGCCTCCCAGGTTCAAGTGACTCTCCTGCCTCAGCCTCCCAAATAGCTGAGATTACAGGCTCCTGCCACCATACCTGGCTAATTTTTGTGTTTTTAGTAGAGACGGGGTTTCACCATGTTGGCCAGGCTGGTCTCGAACTCCTAACCTCAGGTGATCTCCCCACCTTGGCCTCCCAAAGTGTTTGGATTACAAGCGTAGGCCACCACACCTGGCCGGGCAAGTTATTATTAAGCCTGTTTTTACAGACAAAAGAACAAGTGTCCTACACAGTGTCTGGCAGCTAGAAAGGGCTCAATCGATGTTGAATGCATATTGCATGAGGCACAGAGAGGTTGTGATCCATGCAAGGTCACACAGCAGGAAGTGGAATTGAACCTACATCTGTGCAACTGTAGAGAGGCTCAGGAAGGTGAAGTAACCTGTCCCCAGGTGTACAGCACATGGGAGGCTTAGGACTCCTGCTCCCCAGTCTTGCCTCATCTCCACTGGCAGGCAGCCTACTGTATGCAAAGCACAGAGTTTGGGCGGGAAAGGGAGTGAGGTGAGCCGTCTACGCCACCACCCTCTTCCCACCAGAGTTCCAGCTCCCAGGCAGGGCTGGGCGGGGAAGGCAGGGCTGGCTGCCAGACCCAGGATGCCAGGACTCCTCCCATGGGGTGACCCCCTGAGCCAATCCCCAGCAGCCTTGCCCAGCCACTAGGATATGCCAGGCTGTGCCCCAGAAGCCTCTTTTCCCCAGATTCCTCCAACTTCATGGGAACAGGAAGGTTAACATCCCTGGGGAGGGGACCTGCAGTGGGGACTCTGGGGAAGCCCCTCAGAGCTTGGGGGATGGGCAGAGAGATGCCAGCTCTGTGCATGTGTGCGTCTCTGCCTGTGTATATAAGAGATTGTTCTACCTGACCTGGAGAGGGAGGGTGTGTGTGTGTGTCTCTGCCTGTGTATATAAGGGATCGCTCTACCTGACCTGGAGGGTGTGTGTGTGTGTGTGTGTGTGTGTGTGTGTGTCTGCCTGTGTATATAAGGGATCGTTCTACCTGGCCTGGAGGGTGTGTGTGTGTGTGTGTGTGTGTGTGTGTTTGCCTGTGTATATAAGGGATCACTCTACCTGGCCTGGAGGGTGTGTGTGTGTGTGTGTGTGTGTGTGTGTGTGTGTGTGTGTCTGCCTGTGTATATAAGGGATCGCTCTACTTGGCCTGGAGGGTGTGTGTGTGTGTGTGTGTGTGTGTGTGTGTGTGTGTCTGCCTGTGTATATAAGGGATCATTCTACCTGGCCTGGAGGGGGTGTGTGTGTGTGTGTGTGTATGTCTGCCTGTGTATATAAGGGATCGCTCTACCTGGCCTGGAGGGTGTGTGTGTGTGTGTGTGTGTGTGTGTGTGTGTGTGTGTGTGTTTGCCTGTGTATATAAGGGATTGCTGTACCTGGCCTGGAGGGTGTGTGTGTGTGTTTTTGCCTGAGTATATAAGGGATAGTTCTACCTGGCCTGGAGAGAGTGGGAGGGCAGGACTTTCCTTTGGCATTTTTCAGAGTGTGTGGGAGAAAAGCATGAACTGTGGGAAGAGCTGGGCATGCCACCTTTGCTCTGTGACCAGAAGGGTGTCTGCGTCTGCCAGCTCTGTGTGCCGAGGCAGTGAAGGGGTTCCATACTTGCTAAGGTTTTCGAGAGTTCTGTCTCCCAGACCCTGTGCTAATCGCATTGCTGGATTGTCTCACTAAACCTCACCTCCAGCCCATGGACTAGGAATGATTATGATCCCTGCTGTAGTGGAACGGCTCAGAGAGGATAGGACATTGGCCCAAGGCCCCCCAGCTTGGATGTGCTCGAGCTGGGATTTAGATAGTCTGGTGCCAATGCTTATCCTCTTGTCTTTTTTATTTTTTTGAGATGGAGTCTTGCTCTGTTGCCCAGGCTGGAGTGCAGTAGTGCCATCTTGGCTCACTGCAACCTCTGCCTCCCGGGTTCAAGTGATTCTTCTGCCTCAGCCTCTCAAGTAGCTTGGATTACAGGCACCTGCCACCACACCTGGCTAATTTTTTTGTATTTTTAGTAGAGACGGGGTTTCGCCATGTTTGTCAGGCTGGTCTCGAACCCCTGATCTCAGGTGATCCTCCCACCTCGGCCTCCCAAAGTGCTGGGATTACAGGTGAGAGCCACCACACCCGGCTGTGTACCCTTGTCTTTAACGCACACTCCATGGTGTATATTTATCCATCCAGGGAGCCAGTGTTTGCTGAGCACCCACTAATTGACTAATATATGCAAAGCCCTTGGAAAAGTGCCTGGCACACAATAGCAGTATGCTAAGTGTTACATATTATTATTATCATCATCATTATTATTTACTATGCTCCAGACATTGATCCTGTGTAGGCACTGGGAATTCAGAAGGGAGCAAAACAGACCAAAACCCCTCCCAAAGGAAAAGCTTGCTTTTGAGTTAGGGGAATTAACAACAAAATTAATGAGTAAAACATACAGTATGCCAGGGATAAGGGCTAGAGAGAAAATGAAGCAGAGAAGCAGGCGATTGGGGGTGCTGGCTGGTTAGGGCTGCAGTTTAAACTGGGATGGTCAGGGAAGGCCTTCTTGGCTTTTTAGCCCTAGCCTGAAGGAGGTGAGAGAATGAGGCATGTGGATACCTGGGGAGGTGCATCCCAGGTGAATCGGCAGCTCCCTGATTTGATCTTGTTGCATTGGGTTGCCCTGCAGAAAGACCATGTCACTAAACTGTCCCTCCTGCTCAGGATGACGGTCCCCTGGGCTTCCTCCTCAGCATGAAGCTTCAGGCTGCTCTGTCTCCAGCCCCTGCCCCTGGCCAGCCCATGCAGCCGTCTGCCTCTCTGGCATTGGGAGTCCCATTCCTCAAACTTCTGGAAGCTGTCATGGTGCCCCAGTGTTTCTAGTGCACAAGCAGGGGCTGCCCCCCAGATACAGTGGGTGTGGCTTTTTTTTTTTTTTTAGATGGAGTCTTACTCTGTCACCCAGGCTGAAATGCAATGCCACAATCTCTGCTCACTGTAACCTCCGCCTCCCAGGTTCAAGTGATTCTTGTGCCTCAGCCTCCTGAGTAGCTGGGATTACAGGCACACACCACCACGCCTGGCTGATTTTTTGTATTTTTAGTAGAGACGGGGTGTCACCATGTTGGCTAGGCTGGTCTCGAACTCCTGACCTCAGATGATCCGCCTGCCTTGGCATCCCAAAGTGCTGGGATTACAGGCGTGAGCCACCCACCTGGCCAGATGTGGCTTTTTTCCTCCCTTCTAATGAAGATGACCCTGGCCTTGAGTGACAGAGTCTGGACAAGATGTTAAGGGGCATGTTTTTTGGCAGAGTGCACACCCACATGGGCAGATTTGCCTTGGGTGTGAGTCATCGATAGGTTCTAGGGAAGCCAATTCTGGAAAAGCTGCAGACAGGCCCCGTAAAGATATGGGAGGGGGACCGGGCACAGTGGCTCACCCCTGTAATCCCAGCACTTTGGGAGGCCGAGGTGGGCAGATCACCTGAGGTCAGGAGTTCGAGACCTGCTTGGCCAACATGGTGAAACCCTGTCTCCACTAAAAATACAAAAATCAGCCGGGCCTTGTCGCACACACCTGTAATCCCAGCTACTGTAATCCCAGCTACTTGTCGCACACACCTGTAATCCCAGAGGCAGGAGAATTGCTTGAACCCAGGAAGCGGAGGTTGCAGTGAGCCGAGATTGCGCCACTGCACTCCAGCGTGGGCAATAGAGCAAGACTTCGTCTCAAAAAAAATAATAATAAAAATAAAAATAAAAAAAGAAATGGCAGGGGGAGTGGGAGGAGACCAGGGGGAGGAAGAAAGTGGAACGGGGTTGGGGGTGGTGGAGAAACAGGCAGCTGTCAGTTCCAGTCTCCAACCTGGGAAGGATATGGGGTAGGAACAGGCTCCGTAGGAGCAGGGTCCCTGCCCCTCAGTGTCCTCCTCCTAGCTCTGCTTCAATTCTCTCTCACCTGCATTATCTACGTACCAAGCGCAGGAATGCCATGTTCTCAATTTTACCATATTCGTGTGCCACCTGGACCATTACTGATTTTGTATTTCTATTTAAACTGAGTCACCTAAAAATTTCAAAAAATAGGCCGAGTGCAGTGGCTCATACTTGTAATCCCGGCACTTTAGGAGGCCAGTGTGGGAGGATCACTTGAGGCCCAGAGTTCAAGACTAGCCTGGGCAACTTGGGGAGACCCAGTCTCTACAAAAAAATACAAAAACTAGCCAAGCATGGTGGTGTACGTCTGTAGTCCTAGCTACTCAGGAGGCTGAGGTGGGAGGATCACTTGAGGCCTGGAAGGTCGAGGCTGCAGTGAGGAGAAATTGAGCCACTGCACTCCAGCCTGGGTGACAGAGAACCTGTGTTAAAAAGAAAAAGAAAATTAAAAAAATAATAATTTAAAAGAGACACAGCGGAGTGCATTGGTTCATGCCTATAATCCCAGAACTTTGGGAGGCTGAGGCAGGAGGATGGCTTGAGGCTAGGAGTTCAAGACCAGCCTGGGCAACATAGCAAGACCCCATCTCTACAAAAAATTAGCCAGGCATGGTGGCACACACTTGTAATGCCAGCTACATAGGAGACTGGGTTGGGAACATCACCTGAGCCCAGGAGTTCTAGGCTGCAGTGAGATATGATAGTGCCACTGCACTCCAGCCTAGGCAACATAGTGAGATCCAATTTCTACAAACAAAATAAAAATAAATAGCCAGGTATGGTGGCATGCACCTGTAGTACCAGTTACTCAGGTGGCTGAGGCAGAAGGATCACTTGAGCCCGGGAGTTTAAGGTTGCAGTGAGCCATGATCATGCCATTGCACTCCAGCCTGGGCAACAGAGAGAGAACTTGTCTCTAAAAATAAAATTAAAAATGAAAATAAAAGAGAAACTTCAGGTCTCTTCAATAAATGCAAAACCATCAGCACTTGCTGTAAGCAGAGGGTAGCTAGAAAATAAATATAAGGGAAGCAGAGCCAACCATTCAAATGCAGTCTGAGCCTGTGGCCTGCAGAAACTGCTCAATGCTGAAGCTGCTCTTTGTGAACCATGCAAGATGGCCAAGGGCTAGAGAGACAAAGATAGGCTGGCACCACGTGGGGCCTCATGCCTGGAAATGGTCAGCAGGTTTGAAAGAGAATTGACAAGGAGGTAACTGTCTCATTTCTCTTATCTAAAAACCAGGGGATGCAGGCAGGGCGTGGTGGCTCATGCCTGTAATCCCAGCACTTTGGGAGGCCGAGATAGGCGGATCACTCGAGGCCGGGAGTTCGAGACCAGCCTGGCCAACATGGCAAAACCCTGTCTCTACTAACAAAAATAAATAAATAAATACAAAAATCAGCCAGATGTGGTAGCACATGCCTGTGTCCCAGCTACTCAGGAGGCTGAGGCAGGAGAATCACTTGACCCTGGGAGGCGGAGGTTGCAGTGAGCCGAGATCACTCCACTGCATTCCAGCCTGGGTAACACAGCAAGACTCTGTCTCAAAAAAAAAAATGATAAATAAAAATAAAAGCCAGGGAATGTTGCTAGAACCTTCTGCATAGGATTGGTTTGGTTCTATAATGAGATGATTCATGTAAGAGTCTTGGCGCAGGACCTGGCCTGGAGTAAACTCTTGATAAATGGTTGTGTGTGCCTGTGCCCTTGTTCCTCTGCTTACACAGGAATTCCAGGAGAACTGACATGGTGCCTTTTTTTGTGGCCCTGTCCCCCACCCATGTGCTGTACATCAAAGGCATTTAATAAATATTTTTAACAGGAGGTGGGAGGGACTTGAGTTCTGTGATGCTGACAGTGACCATTTGTCTCACTTGTAGCCAGTACTCGTATGTGCTCAACAAGTGATTGTTGTGTAAAAAAGCAAACAACAGAGTGTAAAGTCCAGCAGAATGTCCACTCCACAAGGACAGGGTTTTCCAGCTGTTGTGGTTACTCGGATCCACTGCCTAGAACAGTGCTTGGCACTAAGTAGGTGCTCAACGAACATTTGTTGCACTGACATATGAATCAATGACTCTGTGGATGAATGAATGAATGAAGAAAAGATTGAGCTTATGAATGAGTATTAGCTCTTCCTTTCCCAGACCCAGGAGACAGGCCTTTTGTAAAGTTTCAGGTCCCCATCACAGGCTGACTGAGCCCTAAGCATGGTGACCAGGAAATGGAGAAAGTGAACAAAGAAAGAGACAAGGTGGGCTCAGGTCTCTGGCCTGAGGCATCTCTAGATTTCCCTAGCAACAGCACCTACTGGTGGAGGGGAGCATCCTGGGAGCTGCCCTGGATGGGCTCAGGGTGGGGCCAGGAAGGCGCGTACCACAGGTGGCTGCTGCTTTTTTTTTTTTTTTTTGAGACAGGGTCCCACTCTGTCACCCAGGCTGGGGTGCAGTGGCGTCATCACAGCTCACTGCAGCCTCGACATCCCAGGCTTAAGCGATCCTCCTGCCTCAGCCTCCTGAGTAGCTGGGACCGCCGGTGTGCACCACCACGCCCGGCTTATTTTTTTTTAAATTTTTTGTAGAGACAGGGTCTCACCATGCTACCCAAGCTGGTCGAATTCCTGGACTCAAGCAATCTGCCTGCCTCAGCCTCCCAAAGTGCTGGGACCACAGTTGTCAGCCACCGCGCCCAGCCCACTGGCAGCTTCTTATCACCCGCTGAACCCTCAGTAATGTCCCGTCCACCCCAGCAATAGGCTCTTCAAGTAGGGACGCCTAGATGGTAGGGGCTGTTTTCCATGACAGGGCAAACACTGGGCAAAGTGGCACCAAGGAGCATTTTTCATCTATATAAGGCTTTATTTTCTTCTGCGCTGGGCTGAAGTGGTGCATTCTAAGGGTTGTACATCCCACCCACTGCCCCCACAAAGGGGAGGTTTCTGAAGAAAATCCCCAGGGCTTCCAAGAGAGGTGTTGCCGCATTGAGTGTTTATATGCCACTCACATTCTGGGCACAGAACATTCTTATGGGATAATGTTTAACCAGCGTGTGGGCTGAGTTGCTGTGGCTCACAGAGGACCAGGTGAAGGGCTGGCCTCCTTCCTAGGTGGGCTCTGGAGGAGGCTGGGCCTCCTTGCCCTCCCATAACCCAGCTTCTCGTCTTGACTCCACCAGTAGGAAACAGGCATCCTTTTGTCCTCTTTAGGGAGCAAACTGCTATCTATTTTTCCTGGATTTTTTCTTAAGCTAATACAGAAGCCAGGACTTTGATTCTTTGAAAAAAAAAATTCTGTTTTAAGCAATTTCTTGGTGCCCATAGGTTATGGGCCCAACCTCATTCAGTCATTCCTTGCATATTAAGATGTGTGAATGTTTTACAGCTTATGAGAAAGGAAAAAAAGCAAAGTGACTGTAAAATCCTTGAAGGCAGGGACTGGGTGTTATACTTGCAATCCCACCTCATTCAGGAGCAATTTACTGTGTAATCAGTTTTCCCCTATCTTAAAATCCGAGATGGGCAGGATTCTATAATTTGTAGGGCAGGTTGTTCCCAAATTTGAGTGTGCACAAGAGTCACTGGGGGGAAGCTGGTTAAAAATCTAGATTTCCAGATCCCACTGTGATTCATTCATTCAATTGATGTTTATTGAGCTACTACCATAAGTAGGGTTTCCAGATTTAGCAAAGACAAATACAGGATGTCCATTTAAACTTGAATGTCAGATCAACAAATTTTTTTTTTTTTTTGAGACAGAGTCTTACTCTGTTGGCCAGGCTAGAATGCAGTACAGTGTTGTGATCATAGCTGAGTGCGACCTCGACCTTCTGGGCTCAAGCAATCCTTCCTCAGCCTCCCAAGTAGCTGGGATTACAGATGTGCACTATATGCCTGGCCAGTTTTTCTTTTTTTTCTGTAGAGATGGGGTCTCACTATATTGCCCAGGCTGGTCTCAAACTCCTTGGCTCAAGCGATCCTCCCACCTCAGTGCCCCGCAAAGTGCTGGAATTACAGGCACTAAGACACTATGGCCAGCCAACAAATTATTATATTTTTTAAATTTTATTTAGTTTTTGAGACAGAGTTTCACTCTTGTTGCCCAGTCTTGCAGTCCAGTGCAATGGTGTGATCTTGGCTCCCTGCAACCTCCGCCTCCCAGGTTCAAGCGATTTTCCTGTCTCAGCCTCCCAGTAGCTGGAATTACAGGTGCTTGCCACCATGTCTGGCCAATTTTTGTATTTTTAGCAGAGATGGGATTTTACCATGTTGGCCAGGCTGGTTTTGAACTCCTCTCCTCAGGTGATCTGCCTGCTTTGGCCTCCCAAAGTGCTGGGATTACAGGCGTGAGCCACTGTGCCTGGCCAAATTATTATTATATAGGATCTTGCTCTGCTGCCCAGGCTGGAGTGCAGTGGTGCATCACGGCTCACTGCAGCCTTCACCTCCTGGGGTCAGGCAGTCCTCCCACCTCAGCCTCCTGAGTAGCTGGGACCACAGGTGCAAACCACCACACCTGACTAATTTTTTTGTATTTTTTGTAGAGATGGGTTTTCACTATGTTGCCCAGGCTGGTCTCGAACTCCTGGGCTCAAGCAATCCTCCCACCTCAGCCTCTCAAAGTGTTTAGGATTATAGGTGTGAGCCATTGTGCCTGACCTACAAATCATGTTTTAACATCAGTATGTCTCATGCAATAACTGGGGGGGCTTGCCTCCTTGCATTCATGCTACTATAACCAAGTACCACCATAGGCTAGGTGGTTTGTAAACATCAAAATTTATTTCTCACAGTTCTGGAGGCTAAAAGTCCAAGGTCAGGGTGCCAGCATGATCGGGTTCTGGTGAGGGCCCTCTTCCGGGTTGTAGACAGCCTTTGTATTTCTTCACCTGGCAGAAAGAGAGTAAAGTAGCCTCTTCTTATAAAGGCACTAATCCCATTCATGAGAGCTCCACCTCATCACCTAATCGCCTCTCAGAGGCCCCACCTCCAGCACACTGGGACAGATTAAGCTTTCAATATAGGAATTTTGGGGGAACACAGACATTCAGGCAGTCCATTACAGAACATACACGAGAAAGTGCTTTGTTGTTTATATGAAATTCAAATTTAACTGGGAGTCCTATAGTTTAACTGGTAACCCTAATGCTGCACCAAACACTGTTCTAGGCGATAGGAGAACAGTGTGAACAAAACACAGCCCCTGATTTCTGATAGCTTATGTTATAGTCAGGAAGCCATTTCCTGGTGCCCCCATAGGGTCTGGAGACAAACTGATTCATGCAGACAAATAGATCCAGGAAGAAAGGGGGAAGCCAGGTGAGGGGTGCAGTGATGGAGGTGGCTGTCCGTTTTGAATAGAGTAGACAGGGAAGCTCTTTCTTTGGAGGTGACATTTAAGCAAGGACCTGGAGAGGTGAGATTTGGATGCAGTAAGTGTGTAGGGCTCAAGGATCTGCATAGATAATAAGCCATTCTGGAAGAATCCGATGTGGGGATCTGCGAACGCCACTTTGAGAAAAATGACTTTAGGGTTTCAAGCCTCATGTCCACCTCTGATGATGCACTTAGCTGTTTACAGCTCCTCTCTGGGCCTCAGTTGACTTCATATGTGCAATGGGAATAGTAGTCACTGACTCACTTTCTCACAGGGCAGTTGTGGGTATCAAATGACGTAAAAGATGGGAAAGGACTTTGTAAACTGAAAAACGCTCAGCAGGGTCTCGACTAGTGCCATCCATTAGAAATACAGTGCAAGCCCCTTGTGTAACTTTAAAGTGTCTAGTAGCTGCTTGAAAAAGCGAAAAATGTGAAATTGATTTTATGTTATTTTATTTATTTTTTGAGGCAGAGTTTTGCTCTTGTTGCCCAGTCTGGAGTGCGATGGTGCGACCTCGGTTCACTGCAACCTCCTCCTCCCGGGTTCAAGCAATTCTCCTGCCTCAGCCTCCCGCGTAGTTGGGATTACAGGCGCCTGCCACCACATCTGGCTAATTTTTTTTCTATTTTTAGTAGAGACGGGGGTCTCACTATGTGGCCCAGGCTGGTCTGGAACTTCTGACCTCAGGTGATCCACCTGTCTTGGCCTCCCAAAGTGCTGGTAAAACAGGCGTGAGCCACCCCGCCCGGCGTGAAATTGATTTTAATAATATGTTTTATGTAATGCATAATACTTTGATAATAATATACCAAAGTGTTATTTTTACATGTTGTCAATATAAAAATTATTGCAGAGATATTTTATAACATTTTTCTTGTGCTAAGTCTTCAAAATCTGGTGCATGTTACGTGCTTACTTACGGCTCATCTCAATTTGCACTAGCCACATTCAAGGGCTTAACAGCCATATGTGGCCCTCGGCCTCATGTTGGACAGCACAGGCTATAGCATGAATAGTATGTGAAGAGCTGGCCTCATTGTTTTAAAACACAGTGTATTAGTGGAAATTTTGAGGTATAATCATACAGTAAATTTTTTTATATTTATATTTTACTTTTTTTTTTTTTAAGAGACGGAGTCTCGCTCTGTCGCCCAGCCTGCAGTGCAATGGTGCCATCACAGCTCACTAGAGCCTCAAACTCATAGGCTCAAGCCATCCTCTCACCTCAGCCTTCTGACTAGCTAGGACTATAGACATCAGCTACCAGGCCCAGAAAATTTTTTTTTTTTTTAGAGATGGGGTCTCACTGTGTTGCCCAGGCTGGTCTCAAACTCCTGGCGTCAAGTGATTCTCCTGCCTCGGCATCCCAAAGTGCTGGGATTACAGGCATGAGCCACCATGCCCAGCCTTTGTTTTATTTTTTAAATTGACACAGTAATTGTGCGTATGTTTTGACGCACACCATGTGTAGTGATCAGGGTAACTTGCATTTCCGTCATCTCAAACATCATTTCTTTGTGTTGGGAACATCCACTATCCGCCTTCTAGCTATTTGGAACTTATGTTTCAGTCATCCTACAGTGGCATAAAACACTGGAACTTATTCCTCCCACCTCGCTGTAACTTTGTATCCTTTAAGAACTCACTCTCTATCCCCCACCCTTTCCCTTCCCCTTCCCAGCCTGTAGTATCCTCTGTTCTACTGTTTACTTCTATGAGATCAACACTTTAGCTTCTGCATATGAGTGAGAGCATGTGGTGTTTAACTTTCTGCCCCTGGTTTACTTCTAAGGTGGAATATTGAACAGTAAAGTGAAACAGACCAGTGACACAACAATGTGAATGATTCTTACAATAGGCTAAGTAAAAGAAGCCAGACTAAGGGCAACAGATCAACAGATGATCACCATCAGAAAGATAGTTCCCAAGAAGAGGGGGCATTCCACACCACAGGGGTCCACAGGGGGAGCACTGGGGTGGCTCAGGAAGGAGGGAGGGAGGGGGAGAAACGTGGGCAGGAGCCTTTGTTATGGTTTCCATGGGAAGGACAGGGTGGGGCAGGGTAAGAGGCTTAGGAATGGCTAATGAGGATCATTTCAGTGGGCTCTGGGGGAGAGGGACTGTCCCTAGTTGAATAGTACCTGGCCTGGGGTGATTAGAGCAGGTGTACTGTGGCCTGGTGGACAGTGAATGCCCAGTAAAGGAGGTGGTTGGACTATGGGCTCTAGGTTGGTTGCTTTGCATTTGAAGAGTGTGCTCCAGGGTGACTTGTCTGCTTATCGCTAGGTTATCACTGGCTAACCCTGGGAGGGCTAGTGCCTCTAGGGTCAGCAAGGCCTCAGATATCAAAGCTCTAGAACACAAAAGATAAGACATGTGTCATGTACTCATACTGCAAGAGATTTGGCCAGGGGCACGGCACAGCGATCCAGATTGGTTTGGGTGAATATCAGTAGCTCTGTCATGTCTCAGCCCTGCCAGCCTGCGGCCAGCCCCTTAGCTTTTAACAGGAAGAGAGATTTCAAGGAATTGCCTGAACTGAGCTTCTTCAGAGCTTGTCGCTCTCTGCGACTGTTCTTTGGAGCTAGTCTCGTGCTAGAAGTTGTGAAGGCTTTGCCTAATTCCAGTTGAGATGTTCAAGGGACAGGATCCCTTTCTCCTCCTTTCATGTGATTATTTATTTATTAGACAGTGTCTCACTCTGTCACCCAGGCTGGGGTGCAGTGGCGTGATCTCAGTTCACTGCAGCCTCAACCTCTCATGCTCAGGTGATGCTCCTGCCTCAGCCTCCCTTGTAGCTGGGACTACAGGCGCGCATCACCATGCCTGGCTAATTTTGTCTATTTTTCGTGGAGACAAGGTCTCACTATGTTGCCCCAGTCTGGTCTCAAACTCCTGGACTCAAGTGATCCTCCCACCTCATCCTCCCAAAGTGCTGCAATTATAGGCATGAGCTACCACGCCAGGCCTCTATGTGATATTACTGCCCAACTCCAAACATGGTAGGGTCTGGGGAATTTAGGGGTTTCTAGTGCCTGCTTATAATCACCTAAGTGTATTGGGAGATGAGGAGTGGTATTTTCCTCTCCCTTGGAAATACCAGGCCCCTCTTGGCTGTAACGTCTCAGTGGCTGGTGCTTGGGGACCATGGGAGGAGAGTGTGGGGATAGGAGCCTCTTTCGGTTAATATCATCTCTGATGCTCACCCCTCAGGCCCCACCACAACCTGCCTGTCCACCTGTACCACCTGGGCTAATCCACATGCTTCTCTGAAGACTTGCTCTTCAAAGAGACAAGCACAATGCAAATTAAAACCATAATATACCACTACATGTTCATGAGAATGGCTGAAATTAAAAAGACTGACCACACTAAGTGTTGACGAAGGTGGGGAGCAACTGGCAGTCGTGAATACTGCTGGTGGGAATGAAAACAAGAAACCTGGGGGAAAACTTTGACAGTTTCTAAAAAAGTGAAACATTGACCTATTCTATGATCCAGCTATTCCACTCCTAGGCATTTACCCAAAAGAAATAAAGTATACATCTCCCCAAAGACTCAGATACAAATATTCATAGCAGCTCTTATTTGTAATAGCCCCAAAGTGGAAACAACCCACATGTCCATGAACAGGTGGCTAGATGAAAATTGTGGTCTAGCTATATGGTGGAATATTGTGCAATGAAATGAAACAGATCATTGATACACACAACAACATGAATAATTCTCAAAATAATTATGCTGAGTGAAGAAGCCAGAACCCCCTCCCTCCAAAAACAAATATATATATACTGTCAGATTCTGATGCTAGAAAGGCAAACTAATGCACCGTGACAGAAGTGTTTATCTATGATCAGTGGTTGCCTAGGGTAGGCGGAGGCAGGAGAGATGGATTGTAAAGCGGTATACAGAAACCTTTGGGAGTGATGGATTCATTCACTATCTTGATTATGGTGATGATTTCATGGGTATATACATAAGTCAAACCTCAGCTAATTGTAAACATTAAACGTGTAATTTATTGTATATCAACTATGCCTCAACAAAGCTGTAAAGCTTAAAAAAATCTATTTTTTAAAAAGTCACGTACAGACCAGTCATGGCGGCTCACATGCCTGTATTCTCAGTGCTTCAAGAGGTTGAGGCGGCAGGATCACTTTAGGTCAGGAGTTTGAGACCAGCCTGGGCAACA
Organism: Homo sapiens; assembly: GCF_000001405.40. Lineage (NCBI taxonomy): Eukaryota > Metazoa > Chordata > Mammalia > Primates > Hominidae > Homo > Homo sapiens. Next base: position 10,640,314 of record NC_000016.10, on the reverse strand, counting down.
GAAAGTTAGCTGAGTGTGGTGGCAGGCACCTGTAGTCCCAGCTACTGAGGAAGCTGAGGTGAGAGGATCACTGGAGCCCGGGAGGCAGAGGTTGCAGTGAGCCATGATCCTGCCACTGCTCTTCAATCTGAGCAACAGAGACCCTGTCACACGGAGGAGGAGGAGGGGAAGAAAGGGGGAGGAGGAAGGGGGGAGGAGGAAGACGGGAGGAGGGGAGAGGGAAGGAAGGAAGGAGAAGAAGGAGAAAGAAAAAGGAGGAGGAGGAGGAAGAGAAAGAAGGAGAAGGGGAAGAGAAAGACTGAGGAGGAGGAAGAGGAGGAAGAAAAAGAAGAAAGAAGAAGCATGCATAAGCTTTAGGGGTGGGCTGGTGGGAGATCAGACTGTGAGGCAGTGCCAGCCTCCAGTCCCAAGGCAGATCTGGGAGCAGGCACTAGGATGCAGATGCAGAGGGGACACAGAAGGGGACAGGTGGGCCTGGACCCTCCCCAGGAGTGGCTCACACTCTGATTGGGGGACCCAACCTACCCTGCTGTGAACCAGTCTGTCTGAGGTGTGTTAGTGGAGACACAAACCTTTGCTTATGCCAGAGATGTGATTTGTTTCAATTGGGAGGATGGGATGAGGCTTCTTGGAAACAATGGTATTTCAATGTATTGGTGTCTTATTTGAAAAATAGACTGTGAGCACTGGAATAGCTGACCTCTGATGAGCACTTAGTATGTGCTAGGGACTCTTGGAAAGCTGCACATGCAGTATTCCATTTTTTTCTTGTCACACACTTGATGGGAGGGCACTTTTATCACCTCCATTTAAGGACATGGATGCCCAAGGTCTTATAGGTATAGGTCTTTTAGGTATAGTGGTGATACCAAGATTTGGCCCCTGGTGGTCTAATTTCCAATTCAGCACTCCTATTATTCCCAATCTGTCTCTGGTGTGTGAGTGTGTGGATGGAGAATATATTGGAATGTACAACTGTTTGGGTTTTTTGTTTTTTGTTTTTTGGAGATAGGGTTTTTGTTTTTTGGACTCCAGGCTGGAGTGCAGTGGTGCGATCATAGCTCACTGCAACCTTGAACTCCTGGGCTCAAACAGTTCTCCATCCTCAGCCTCCCAAGTAGCTGGGACTACAAACGTGCACCACCATGCCTGGCTAACTTTTAAAATTATTTTGTAGAGATAAGGTCTTGCTCTGTTGGCCAGGCTGGTCTCAAACTCCTGGGCTCAAGTGATTCCACCACTTTGGCCTCCCAAAATGTTGGGATTACAGGTGTGAGCCACTGCACCCAAACTTGAGTATGATTTGAAGGTGCCTTTGGGACCCTTATGTTGTAAATCATTGTCACTTATCACTAGTCTAAAATGGAAAAGGTAGACGGTATTGAACAAATGTTGAATTAATTACCCCCATCACTTGCAGATAGTACTTTTTGTTTTACATCATAGTCTTGTCTGTCTCTTTCCCCAGACTTCCATGGTTTTGATGATGAATCTTTCAAGTAAGGCTTCACTGGTTGTTTCTTTGAATTATCCTCTTCATTAATTATGGTGAACAGGGTAGAAATGGTCAAAGATGTTGACTCACTGTGGTCTTGTATAAGGTAGCAGTCACATTCACAAAGCAGATGCCCTTGTATGGAACAGCAGGTGCATCTCTAGCAGGTGACCCCATGAAGATGTTCCTGGTGGAGCTGATGAATAGCTTCTTTAGGTGGTATGGAGTGTCTGGGCAAATGAAATCGAACTCTTCATGATCATGAGTTGCACTGGCACATCCTTCTGATCATTGAAGGCCATCATGGCAGGACATCACTGCCTCATTTCTAGGCTTCTCAGGGACTGAGCACATGCAACCTCACCATTGTGTCCTGCTGAGTCTGGGAAGGGGTGTCAAGACAGCCTGTCCTCAAAGGGCCTTGTCGCAGAAGAGGGACACCGTGACCAGCAGAACTGCTCACAGGTCAAGGGCCACTGGGTGACAATAGGGTAGAGAGTGGATGTTTCAGTCACGGTCAGGTGACATCGTTTAGTGCCAGTGTCTCAGTTCCGGGTGTTTGTGGTTGGCCAAGTGCAAGGACAGCTTCCTTCTGGAATAAATGCATAGGCTTTTGAGCCCATTCTTTGTTCATTCTCTCGTTCTTTTATTTTTTGTTGTGGAAAGTTTCAAACACACAGAAGTAGAGAGAATCATATAAAAGACTCCCACCAGGTGCTGTGGGTCACACCTGTAATCCCAGCACTTTGGGAGGTTGAGGCATGATGGTTGCTTGAGCCCAGGAGTTTGAGACCAGTCTGAGCAACATAGCAAGCCCCAATCTCTTGAAAAAAATTAAACAATTAGCCAGGTGTGGTGGTGTGTGACTGTAATCCCTGTTACTTGCCAGGCTGAGGCGGGAAGATCATTTGAGCCCTGGAGGTCGAGGCTGTGGTAAGCTGCGATTGCGCAACTGCACTCCAGCCTGAGTGTCAGAGCAAGACCCTGTCTCAAAAAAATGAAATAAATGAAAGACTTTCATGTACCCAACACAAATGTTGACATTTCACCACTCGCGTCTTGTATTTGACTTTTTCTGATTTTCATTGTATTTTCTGTTGAGGCATCACAGTCAGTAAAGCTTACAGCTTGATGGATTTTGAAGATGAATTTTCATCTATGTTTATATCTGTGAAACCTTCAGATCAAGATGTAGAACATTCTCAGACCTTAGCAGGCTCTTGCCTGCCCCTCCCTGAGATCTGCACTTTCATAAATTGTAGGGTACAATGGTGACATCATATTGGGAAAAATATCTTGACAGATAAAAAGTTTTGTCTTCCTTCTTGCCTTCCTTTCTCCCTCCCTTCCTCTCCCCTCTCCCCTCCTCCTTCCTCCTCCCCTCCCTCCCTTCTTGCATTCTTATATCCTTCCCTTCTTCCTTCTTTATTCACTGATCTAGTTATTAAGAGGGTAAACTCTGGATTTTTTTTTTTTTTAAAGCGGGCTGGGTGTGGTGGCTCATGCGTGTAATCCCAGCACTTTGGGAGGCCGAGGCAGGTGGATCCCTTGAGGTCAGGAGTTTGAGACAAGCCTGGCCAACATGGCGAAACCCCATCTGTACTAAAAATACAAAAATCAATCCTGGGTAACACGGTGAAACCCCGTCTCTACTAAAAATATAAAAAAAAATTAGCCAGGCATGGTGGCAGGCACCTGTAATCCCAGCTACTCTGGAGGCTGAGGCAGGAGAATGGCGTGAACCCCGGAGGCGGAGTTTGCAGTGAGCCGAAATCGCACCACTGCACGCCAGCCCTGGTGACAGAGCGAGACTCCGTCAAAAAAAAAAAAAAAAAATCAGCCAGGTGAGGCAGCAGGTGCCTGTAATCCCAGCTACTTGGGAGACTGAGGCAGGAGAATCACTTGAACTTGGGGGGCGGAGTTTGCAGTGAGCCCAGATCACAGCACTGCACTCCAGCCTGGGCGACAGAGCGAGACTCCCTGTCAAAATAATAATAATAATAATAATGGAAAATACATACAGATCCAGAGTTTACTTTCTTAGTAATTAAGAAGGTAATTACTAAGAAGGTAAACTCTGAGTCTGTTTGAATACACACACACACACACACACACACACACACACACACGTATGTATGTATATATGAAAAAACCCAGATGAAGTGAAACTGGCTTAGAGATTGGCTTAGAGATTATTTCAGATTAACAGTCTCTGTCAATCTGAAAGGCCTGCCTTCCTCCTTCCCTTCCTCTCCCTCTTCTTCTCCCTCACTCCCTTACTTTGCTTTCTTCCTGCTGAGCACTGATTGGCAACTCTAATGGCTATTGGAGGTTCAGAACAAAACCAACCATGATACTGGCCCGTCTTCCATGTCCACAGTGCCCCGGTGACAAGAGGATACCTGAAGCGGCTTCTCAGGGTTTCTAACCCTTTTTTTTTTTTTGAGACAAAGTCTCGCTCTTGTCCCCCAGGCTGGAGTGCGGTGGCACAATCTCAGCTCACTGCAACCTCCGCCTCCCGGGTTCAAGCGATTCTCCTGCCTCGGTCCCCCGAGTAGCTGGGATTACAGGCGCCTGCCACCACGCCCGGCTAATTTTTGTTTTTTTAGTAGAGACGGGGTTTCACCACGTTGGCCAGGCTGATCTAGAACCCCTGACCTCAGGTGATCCACCCATCTCGGCCTCCCAAAGTGCTGGGATTACAGGCATGAGCCACCGCGCCCAGCCTCAAGGTTTCTTAGGAAGGGTGAGCTTCCTGCCCTAAAGGTGCTCAAGGCCGGGGAAGGAGTATCTTAAGTGCCTGGCTGGAGGCTGACCTAGCTGACTTGCTCCCCCCAGGCCCCCAGTCAGAGGAGGTCAGAAGGGCCTGGTGGGTGGTGACACCTGTGTGTTCCCTCGCAGACGCTGCAGGAGATCTTCCAGGCCGAGAACACCATCATGCTGCTGGAAAGGTCCATCATGGCCAAGGAGGGCCCGCTGAAGGTGGCCCAGACAAGGCTGGAGTGCCGGACCCGGCGCCCCAACATGGAGCTGTGCAGGGACATCCCGCAGTTGAAGTAAGTGAGGGAGGCCAGAGGAGGCAGGAGAACCCCTGGGAATCCAGGAACGGGAAGGGGTGAGTCTCAGGAGCTTCTAGGTGCACTGGGTCTGAAAAATGGACCCTCCTTCAATCAGGACATCCAGTCCCACAACTCAGTAGAGTGCAGGGTGTGGGTGGAGTTCTGAGATGCAGCTCGGGCTGTACCACTGCGTGGCTTCCTCATCACTGGGAGCCCCACCCTGTGCACTGTGGTCTTCTCACTTGCCTAAACTAGGGGTGGTTTTGTAACTCTGTTGTGCTCTAGAAACCCTCTTGTTTCACTTGAAAGCCAAGGCAATGAATGGTCGCCTCCCAGGTGGTGGCTTTACCTTCTCTCTCCAGGCTTCCATGAAAGAGGCACCCATTCCTCACTCATTTCCCACCTCCCTTTTTGTAAAGTTCTTACCATGAAGCCCTGGAAGAGCCTCATGAGCTCCTGGCTGGTGGATCCCACCCATCCTGCTGTGCTAAAGAGGCTGGTGTCTGTTGACGAAGGGCTTTCTCACAGGACAGGGGTCAAAAGCTCATGCCAGCCCAGAAAGGAGGTTTGTGGGGGGTGGGGGGTGGGGATTGTAATAGGATGATGGCCAGGCCAAGAAGGAACAGGTCATCAGATATGGGGATTATTTCCCATGAACGTGCTGTATGACTTGGGGCAAACCACTTGGCCACTCTGTTCTCCCCATGCTAGGGGCATTATCTTAGTTGTCTATTGCTGTGTAATAAAGTACCCCAAAAGGTAGTGACTTGAAAGAACCACATTTGTTATCTCAGTTTCCGTGGGTTAGGAATTGGGCTAGGTTCCTTGCTATGTTGTACATGTCAGGGTCTTCCGCAGGTTGCAATCAAGCTGTCAGCTGGGGCTGTGGTCTTATCTCAAGGCTGGACTGGGGAAGGTTCCACATCCAAGCTCACTCCCATGCTTGTTGGTAGAACTCAGTTCTTTGCTGGCTGTTGGCTGGCAGCCACCCTCATTCACCCATGGGTCTCTCCAGCATGGTGGCTTGCTTCAACAAAGCATGCAAACCAGAAGGACAATGACAGTACCAGCCACAAGGATGTCACAGTCTTTTGTAACCTAACCATGGAAGTGACAGTCCATCACTCTTTCTGCATGCTCTTCTTTAGAAGCATCTCTAGGTCCACACTCAAGGATGTGATGCCAGGAGGACCCCACATCATTGAGGGTCATCCTTGGAGCATCCTCCTATGGGCACTAACAGGGTTTCCGGTGGAGGGGGAAGAGACTGAGTCTGGCCCCATTTCAGCTGCTCATTTGCTCCATAAACCTTATTCTGCATTCACTGTGCCCAGGGCTGTGCTCACCGGGTTTCATAGCAGTACTTCTTTTGACAAGATACTGAGTTGATATCCCCCAAGAGAAAAAGATTGAAAGGACCATCCTCAGGCTTCCTTGGGCATATTATTTCAGCCCTAGCCTACAGCAAGGGAAGTTCACCCTGATGGCTAACTGCAATCCCTTGAACTTCTTTTGAGTTCTTTGCCCTTTAGTCTCACTCCTAGGGGAGTTGGGAAGTCAGTTACTCCTACTGTTGTCAAATGGGAAGATAAATTGAGGTCCAGAGAGGTTGAAAAAGCTGTCCCAGTCACACAGCACTAAGCCAGGGCTTCACTGGGCAGGGAGCACAGGTCTTGGTCCAGCGATGGACCCTGCTCCCTCCATCCTGGTGTGGAGACCCCACTGCTAGATGTGAAAAGATGTCAAGAAGAGAGCTATCAGTTAGGAGAAGGAGGATAGATAATCAAGAAAAAGTGTTGGGTGGTGCCCAAGCGATGATTTTTGCACAGCCTCAGTTACCGCCTGAGTAACCATTTAGGAAATGGAAAAAGCAGGTTATGTGTTGGGGTGGGGTGGAGGGGCAGGCAAATTGATCCAAGGCTTTGAACTTGAGGGTCTGGGGTCCCTCCCACTTTGGAAGGCCGAGGCAGGAGGATCACTTGAGGCCAGGAGTTTGAGACCAGCCTGGACAACACAGCAAGACACTATCTCTAAAAAATAAAATACAAAACTTAGCCAGGCATCGTGACATGTACCTGTAGTCCCAGCTACTCAGGAGGCTGAGGCAGAAGGATTGCTTAAGCCCAGGAGTTGGAGGCTGCAGTGAGCTATGATTGCGCCATTGCACTCCATCCTGGGCAACAGAGCAACACCCAGCAGACCTGCTGCTGGCTTGCTAGGTCTTCAGCCCTGGAAGTGAGATGGATAGGGTCTAGGTCCTGGGTGCAGGAGAGTGGGGGCTGGGCTCTGCTGACCTCTCTTCCCTCTGCCCCTGCTTCTTCGATGCTCAGGCTGAACCCCAGTACCTCCTGAAGTGGAGGGCTCAGGTGATCCCTTTGCCTCCCCAACGAGAGTTTTTTTTTAATTGAGTCTTGCTCTGTTGCCCAGGCTGGAGTGCAGTGGCACGATCTTGGCTCACTGCAACCTCCACCTCCCGGGTTCAAGAGATTCTCCTGCCTCAGCCTCCCGAGTAGCTGGGATTACACTCGCCTGCCACCATGCTCGGCTAATTTTTGTATTGTTAGTAGAGTCAGGGTTTCACCATGTTGGTCAGGCTGGTCTCAAACTCCTAACCTCAAGTGATCCAGCCACCTTGGCCTCCCAAAGTGCTGGGATTACAGGCATGAGCCACAGTGGCGGCCCCGCCAGGGGACTTCTACAGAACAGGGCTTCTGGGGGAGTTGCCTGGAGGACCTACTGCTTTGGGGCAAGCTCTCTGCCTTCCCGTTTCCCGTTCAACAGTCATACCACTGAGGAGGACAGACAGAAAGCAAGGAGGTGGAGCATGTTTGGTTCAGGAGCCGGGCCGTGTGTGTGTGTGTGTGTGTGTGTGTGTGTGTGTGTGTGTGTGTCTGCATCTGTGTATGTTGTGTTTTGGTTTGTATGCATGGCTGTCTTCGGAATTGAGCAGATGATAGGATTCAGGCTGTCTCCCTTCTCCAGTGGCTAAATTGTCCCATCTGTGCATGATCTTCCTTGTCCCCGTCCTCTCCATTCCTGCCTTTGGGCCATCTTTTTCCTTTTCCTCCTATAAGTGGTCTCTCTTCTCCTGACCTACTCCAATCACTAGGGTCCCATCCATGCCTATCCCCCAGAAAGAAAGTCCATTTAAAATTGAACTTTAAAGGCTAGGTGTGGTGGTTCAGACCTGTAACCCCAGCACTTTGGGAGGCTGAGGTGGGAGGATCACATGAGGCCAGGAGTTCGAGATGAGCCTGGACAACATAGCAAGACCCCATCTCTACAAAAAATACAAAAATTAGCCAGGCATGGTGGCATGCCTATAGTCCAAGCTACTTAGGAGGCTAAAGCAGGAAGATTGCTTAAGCACAGAAGTTGGAGGCTGCAGTGAGCTATAATCGTGCCACTGTACTCCATCCTGGGGAACAATGCAACACCCTGTCAAAAAAAAAACCATAAACTGAATTTTAATGAAAATTAAATAAAGTTAAAAATTCAATTCCTTATTCACAATAACCACATTTCAAGGGCTCAGTATCCACATGTGGCTAGGGTTCACCATATCAGACAACATAGCACAGAATATCTCCCTTGCTCTAGAAAGTTCTATTGGACAGAGCTGGTGGAAGTTTCCAGGCTGCTTCTGTCACTTCTCTTTGCTTCTCTCTAGCCCAGGCTTCCCATGGGGAAGTTCACCCAGCTTCATGTCCTCTGGTCCTGAGCACAGTTTCACTGTCTCTTCTCCCCAGAGGTGGGACCCGCAGCACAGTCCCACAACCAAGCCACCATCACAGCTCACCTTGCCGCATTCATTTCCCAGGGCTGCTATCACAAATTACTACAAACTGGGTGGCTACAGACAACAGAAGTTTATTCCCTCACAGCTTTGGGGGCCAGAAGTCCCAAATCAAGGTTGCTGTTCCTGGAGGCTCTGAGAGAGGCTCTGTTCCCTTCCACTCTCCCAGCTCCGGAGGGCTGTCAGCAATCCTTGGCGTCCCTCAGCTTGTAGCCGCATCGCTCCCATCTCTGCCTTCGTCTCCACATGGCCTTCTCTCCTGCATGTCTCCATGTCTCAAACCTCCCTCTCCTTTCTCTTATCAGGAGATCAGTCATTGGATTTAGGTGTCACCCTAAATCCAGGATGATCTCATCTTAAGATCCTAAACTTCATTACAGCTGCAAAGACCCTATTTCCTAATAACATTACACGCACCAGGGCTTAGGACTTGAACATATCTTTCTGAGGAACACCACCCGATCCGCTCCATGTGGATTCACAATAACCTCCTAACCTTTCTCCTGCCTCTACTCTTGCCCCCTTCCAATCTCATCTTACACAGCAGCCTGGAGGTTATCCCGAAACTCGAGTCAGCATGCCATTCCCCTGTTTCAACCCTCCCCCGCCCCCACCCCATGGCTTCCCACAGCACTGAGAACAAACCCAAGCCCTTTAATTTTGCATGTGCTTTTCTCTCTCTCTCTCTCTCTTTTTTTTTTTTTTTTTTGAGATGGAGTCTTGCTCTGTTGTCCAGGCTGGAGTGTAATGGTATGATCTCATCACACTGCGACCTCTGCCTCCCGGGTTCAAGCAATTCTCCTGCCTCAGCCTCCCGAGTATCTGGGATTACAGGCACCTGCCACCACACTTCGCTAATTTTTGTGTGTGTGTGTGTGTGTATATATATATATATGGACATAGATATAGATATATTTTTAGTAGGGACTGCGTTTCACCATGTTGGCCAGGCTGGTCTCAAACTCTCTACCTCAAGTGATCTGCCACTTCAGCCTCCCAAAGTGCTGGGATGACAGGCTGCAACCTCTGCCTCCTGGGTCAGCCTCCCAAATAGCTGTGATTACAGGTGTGCACCATGACACCTGGCTAATTTTTTTCTATTTTTAGTGGAGACGGCATTTTGCCACCATGTTGACCAGGCTGGTCTCGAACCCCTGACCTCAAGTGATCTGCCCGCCTCAGCCTCCCAAAGTGCTGGGATTACAAGTGTGAGTCACCACGCCTAGCCAAAATTTAAGTTTTAAATTAATACAGCTAAAATTCAGGTTCTCAATTGCATGGCCACATTCAAGTGTTCATTAGCCCCATGGGGCTGGTGGGTACCATATTTGATGGTGCAGATATAGATCTTTCCATTTTTGCAGAAAGTTCTACTCCACGGCACTGCTGCAACATACTTTCCCTCTTGGCCTTCAACATGTCCAGCTAAGTCTTATCTTTCTTCTCTGCTCAAAGTCCTCTCCTGGGAGGCGGAGGGAGGAGGATCACTTAAGCCCAGGAGTTTGAGACCAACCTGGAGGCAAAAAAATAAACCCCATCTCTATAAAAACTTTTTTTTTTAATTAGCCAGGTGTGGTGGTGCCTGCCTGTAGCCTCAGCTATTTGGGAGGCTGAGACAGGAGGATCTCTTGAACCCAGAGGTTTGAGGCTGCAGTAAGCTATGGTGGCACCACTACACTCCAGCCTAGGTGACAGAGGGAGATCTGGTCTAAAAAAAAAAAAATTAAAATCAGCTGGGTGCGGTGGCTCATGCCTGTAATCTCAGCATTTTGGGAGGCTGAGTTGTGCAGATTGCTTGAGCCCGGGAGTTTGAGACCAGCCTGGGCAACATGGTGAAACCCTGTCTCTACAAAACATTAAAATTAGCCTAGTGCAGTTTTGCACGCCTGTAGACCCAGGTACTTGGGAGGCTGAGGCTGGAGGAACGCTTAAGCCAAGGAAGTTGAGGCTGCAGTGAGCTTTGACTGCACCACTGCACTCTGGCCTAGACAGAGTGAGACTCTGTCTCAAAAAGAAAAAAGAAAAAAAGTCCTCCCCTCGGAAAGTTCTAGATAAGCAAAGCCTCAGAAGGAGAGGGGTGAGGAAGTAGTACGGGGCAGCCCAGTCCCAGCTGATCCTGCAAGGGGCGCCAGACCTTGAAGTGCATCACAGAGATGTCTGCACCAGAGGCCCTTTGTACCTGAGTCAGCCAAGCCATTGTCTGTGGCCGCTGGCAGGGACTATCCTCCCAGGTGAGATAGCTCAGATTGGCTGAGCAACTTAATTGCCTGGAGAACTGCGGACCTGTGAGCCATTAGCAGCCAACACTCACTCGTAGCAGCTGGGGATGGTGCCCTGGCCAGTAAGGAAGACCTGAGTGAGGCTCTTATCTAGACAAGGCTGGCCCTGTTATCCTGTTTATTAAAAAATTATAGGGCCAGGCGTGGTGGCTCATGCCTGTAATCCCAGCACTTTGGGAGGCTGAGACTGGCGGATTGCCTGAGCTTAGGAGTTCGAGACCAGCCTGAGCAACATGGTGAAACACTGTCTCTACTAAAACATGAAAAATTAGCTGGGTGTGGCGGCACGTGCCTGTAATCCCAGCTACTTGGGACGCTGAGGCAAGAGAATTGCTTGAACCCGGGAGGCAGAGGTTGCCGTGAGCCGAGATTGCACCACTGCACTCCAGCCTGGATGACAGGGCGAGACTCCATCTCAAAAAAAAAAAAAAATTGTGATAAAATACATGTAACACAAAATTTACCATCAGTGACATCTGGTACATTCACGATGTTGTGCAACCCTCACCACTCTCTAGTTCTGTGATGTTTTCATCAACCCAAAAGGAAACCCCGTACCCATTAAGCAATCTTCTACATTCTCCCCACCGCCTGACCTCTGGAAGCCACCAGTTAACTTTCTGTCCGTATGGCTTTGCCTCTTCTGGACATTTCCTGTGCATGCAGTCACGCAATATTTGTCCTTTTGTGTCTGGCTTCCTTTATTTAGCATCATGTTTTTCAAGGTTCATTCATGTTGTTGCAGGTATTAGTATTTCATTCCTTTTTTTTTTTTTTTTTGAGACAGAGTTTCGCTCAGGCTCCCAGGCTGGAGTGCAATGATGTGATCTCAGCTCACTGCAACCTCTGACTCCCGGGTTCAAGAGCTTCTCCCACCTCAGCCTCTCGAGTAGCTGGGATTACAGGCACCCACCATCATGCCTGGCTAACTTTTTGTATTTTCAGTAGAGATGGGGTTTCACCATGTTGGCCAGGCTGGTCCTGAACTCCTGACCTCAGGTGATCCACCTGTCTCAGCCTCCCAAAGTGCTGGGATTTCAGGCGTGAGCCACCATACCCAGCTGTATTTCATTCCTTTTTATTATAGCTGAATAATCTCCCATTCTGTGGCTCGATTACATTGTGCTTATCCACTCATCCATCCATCCACAGACATTTGAGCTGCTTCCACCTTTTGGTTATCGTGAATAGGGCTGCCGTGAACATTCATGTACATATTTTGGTTTGAACGCCTGTTTTCTGTTCTTTTGGGTATATACCCGGGAGCGGAACTGCTGGACTGTGTGGTAAGTCTATGTCTAACTTATCGAGGAATCTCCAGATTGGTCTCCTATCCTGTTTTACCATCCTGTCTTATTTCTTCCTTTGTGTACATTACCCTTGACAGTTCTCTTGTGTATTTACTTGTCTACCTGTTCTGCCTCTGCCTTCCCCTGGAGGGCCGAGCCTTGCCTGTCTTGCTTGCTGCTGTCTCTCAGTGCCAGGCACAGTTCCCAGTGCACAGTGAGTGCATCTACCTTGAACCGAATAACCTGTGCTAGGTCGGGCACCATAGCTCATGCTTGTAATCCCGGCACTTTGGGAGGCCAAGGCAAGTGGATCAACTGAGGTCAGGAGTTCTTGACCAGCTTGACCAGCATGGTGAAACCCTGCCTCTAATAAAAAAAAAAATACAAAAATTAGCTGGGTGTTGTGGTGCATGCCCGTAATCCCAGCTACTCGGGAGGCTGAGGCAGAATTACTTGAACCCGGGAGGCAGAGGTTGCAGTGAGCCGAGATTGTGCCACTGCACTCCAGCCTGGGTGACAGAGTGAGACTCTGTCTCAAAAAATAAACAAATAAAAATAAATGAATAACCTGTGCCTTCTCCTCTGCCCTCACCCCAGGCTGGTGAACGAGGTGTTCACCATCGACGACACCCTGCAGACCCTCAAGCTGCGGCTGCGGGAGACACAGGACACGCTGCAGCTGCTGGTCATGACCAAGTGCCGGCTGGAGCACGAGCTCGCCATCAAGGCCAACACCCTCTGCATCGACAAGGAGAAGTGCATGGGCATGCGTAAGACCTTCCCCTGCACCCCGCGCCTGGTGGGCCACACCTGAGCACCGCCCTGGCGCCTCATTCCGCGCTGGCGTAAAATTGGAAAAGGCTGAGAAACAAAGTAAAACAGTATTTTGTTTGAAAGGGCCGACTTTCTTTTTTTCTTATCTGTTTCTTCTCTGCCTGCCTTTCTTTCTTTCTTTCTTTTTCTTTCTTTTCTTGCTTTCTTTTTCTTTCTTTCTCTTTCTTTCTTTCCTTTCTTTTCTCTCTCTCTCTCTATCACCTGCTTGTCACCTTAGGGGCACAGTGTAAACCATGGTGTTTTAAGATTAGACTTGGCAGCTCAAAGTCTAGAGCCCAGCTCTGTCACTTAGGAGCTGTGTGGCCTCGAACAAGCTTCTAACCTGTGGTCCTCATCTATGGAATGAGGGTAGTCCGAGGTGCAGGGGACTGTCAGCAGTGTGGGGCAGAGAAAAAAACAAAAACAAAAATAACCAGGATTTGCAATCAGAAGTTCTAGATTTGAATGCCAGCCTTGGTAGATGGAGTATTTATTTATTTATTTGAGATGGAGTTTTGCTCTGTCACCCAGGCTGGAGTGCAATGGTGCAATCTTGGCTCACTGCAACCTCCACCTCCGGGGTTCAAGCGGTTTCCCTGCCTCACTAGCTGGGATGACATGCACCTGCCACCACGCCTGGCTAATTTTTGTATTTTTAGTAGAGAGATAGGTTTTCACCATGTTGACCAGGCTGATCTCAAACTCCTGACCTCAGGCGATCCACCCATCTCTGCCTCCCAAAGTGCTGGGACTACAGGCATGAGCCACTGTGTCTGGCTGTTGGAGTGTTTTAGAAATACCTATGGGAGGCCAGGTGTGGTGGCTCACGCCTGTAATCCCAGCAGTTTGGGAGGCCGAGGTGGGCGGATCACGAGGTCAGGAGATCGAGACCATCCTGGCTAACACGGTGAAACCCCATCTGTACTAAAAATACAAAATATTAGCCGGGTGTGGTGGCAGGTGTCTGTAGTCCCAGTTACTTGGGAGGCTGAGGCAGGAGAATGGAGTGAACCTGGGAGGCAAAGCTTGCAGTGAGCCGAGATTGTGCCATTGCACTCCAGCCTGGGCAACAGAGCGAAACTCCGTCTTAAAAAAAAAAAAAAAAAAAAGAGAGAAATAGCTATGGGAGGCCAGGTGCGGTGGCTCATGCCTGTAATCCCAGCACTTTGGGAGGCCGAGGTGGGTGGATCACTTGAGGCCAGGAGTTCTAGACCACCCTGGCCAAGGTGGGGAAACCACATCTCTACTAAAAATCCAAAAATTTGCCAGGTGTGTTGGTGCAAACCTGTAATCCCAGCTACTGGGGAGGCTAAGGTGGGAGAATTGCTTGAACCTGGGAGACGGAGGTTTCAGTGAGGCAAGATTATGCCACTGCACTCCTCAAAAAGTAGTTACACATAAAACTGCCCTATGACTCAGCAATTTCACTCCTAGATGTTTACCCAAGAGAAGTGAAAACGATCCTCAAATACTCATACACGAATGTTCAGAGCAGCACTGATCACATTAGTCAAAGGGTGGAATGACCCAAATGTCTATCCGTGGATGGATGGGAAAACGAAATGTGCTGAATCCGTACAACGGAGTCTGATTCAGCCATAAAACGGAATGAAGCACTGATCCATGGTACAACGTGGATGAACCTTGAAAACAGGATGCTAAGTGAAAAAAGTCAGACACAAATCCCACATAGTGTATGATTCCATTTATATGAAATGTCCAGAATAGGCAAATCCAAAGAAATAGATGTGATTGCTGGGAGAAGGTAATGGGCGTGACTGCTTAGTGTGTGCAGGGTTTTCCTTTGGAGTGATGAAGATGTTTTGGAACTAGAGAGAGTTGGTTGCACAACATTGTGAGTCCACTAAATGACATAGAATTGTTGCACTCCAGCCAGGCTGCAGTGCAATGGTGCGATCTTGGCTCACTGCAACCTCCGCCTCCTAGGTTCAAGCATTTCTCCTGCCTCAGCCTCCCAAGTAGCTGGGACTACAGGTGCCCGCCACCACGCCTGACTAACTTTTTGTATTTTTAGTAGAGACAGGGTTTCACTGTGTTAGCCAGGATGGTCTCGATCTCTTGACCTCAAGATCCGCTTGCCTCGGCCTCCCAAAATGCTAGATTACAGCCATGAGCCACTGCACCCAGCCAGGCCTCTGTTTCTTAATATACCTCTTCTGTAGGGGATTTCACTCCTTCCCCTCTTTTTTTTTTTTTTTTCTTCTTTTTTGAGATGGAGTTTCATTCTTGTCACCCAGGCTGGAGTGCAATGGCATAATCTCGGCTCACTGCAACCTTTGCCTCCCTGGGTTCAAGCGATTCTCCTGCCTCAGCCTCCCGAGTAGCTGGAACTGCAGGCGCACACCACTGTGCCAAGCTAATTTTTTGTATTTTTTAGCAGAGACAGGGTTTCACCATGTTGGCCAGGCTGGTCTCGAACTCCTGATCTCAGGCGATCTGCCCACCCCGGCCTCCTAAAGTGCTGGGATTACAGGCATGAGCCCAGCGTGCCTTCCCCTCCTTTTAATCCCATTCATCCCCCCACTGACTCCCAAACTTCTGGCTTCTAAATCCAGGCTCCTGAACTCAGCTCCTGACGACATTTCTAGCTTTACTCGCCCAGCTCCAGGCCACGCTCTGTTCCTCCCTCAGTAAATGCCCCACCAGCCGATCCTCAACCTTGAACTCATCCTTGATTCCTCTCTTTCTCCCACACCCCACATTTAATTCATCAGCAAGTCAGGTGCATACTACCTTCCTAATCTTTCCTGAAATTGGCCACTGCTCGCCTTCTCTTCTGTTACCATCTGAGGTAAGCACCTATTATGTCTCCTGGGCAACGTGGGCAACAGGTACAGTGGGGAATGCAGATGAGTCAACTTGGACTGTGACCCCCCCAGGCGCTTACAGGTGCTACGAGGAGTCACAGGGCCTATACACCACCAGATGCAGCTACATTTGGGCAGACGGGGGCCAGTGATCTTTCAGGAAAAATCAAGTTTGAAGTCAGGCACTTGAGTTGGGAAGGTCCCTGCACTTCAGTGAGCCTCAGTCACCTTGTCTGTATATAATGGTTCCCCCACCGTGAGGATGTCTAGGAAAACCTCAGCATTATTGGGACAGAATGCTTGAGCCCATCTGAGCACCAAAATATGGGTAGAAAAAAATAATAGATCTCCAACACGTTTTAAGCTATTATTGAAATGTTCGTGGATGCCATTGGGTTCAACCAATACATTATTGAATTGATACTGGCCTTCTGTTGTTATAGATTTTCTTTGACAAATCCTGAAAATATAAAGAAGGAGGCCACCTAATCTCATGTGGAGAGAGATTAGGTGGCCTCCTTCTGTCTTAATCTCTCCTCTTCTGTCATTATTTAAAAGAGGTGGTGGGATGACACCATGGTCAAGAGCAGAACCCTCCCTCCCTCCCTTCCTTCTTTCCTTCCTTCCTTCCTTCCTTTCTTTGTTCTTGAGACAGGGTTTTGCCATGTTGCGTAAGCTCCTCTTGAACTCCTGGCCTCAAGAGATCCTCCCGCCTCAGTCTCCCAAAGCACTGGGATGTCAGGTGCTAGCCACTGATCCTGGCATGAGCAGAACTTAACAACTAGATCTAATTTGACTCCACTCCTCACTAGCTGTGTTGCCCTGGGAAAGTCACTGAGTCACTGATCTCAGTTTCCCTATCTGTCAGAGGGGGCCAATATTCATTTCTCCCATTCATGGGTGACTGTGAGGACTAAGTTTGGATGATAGGACTAATACCTCCCATATCTAAGGGGTATTCAGTAATATATTAAGAATAACAGCTCATATTTATTGAGGATTTGCTCTGTGCCAGGCAATTTTAAAAGTACCATCTCATTTTAATTATCACTGAGCCCTGAAACATGGAAATGGAAATTAAGGCACAGAGAGGTTAAGAAACTTACCCATAGCCACACAGTCTCCTTATCTATATAATGGTCCCCCTAAGTGAGGATTTGCAAATAATAAATGACTGATACAGGATTTAAGTCCACTTATGAGAATCCAGGGTCTGAACTACTACTGACCACAGCTTCCCAAATAAAGAAAAAACTATTGTTTAGGGTGGACCCACAGACCAAAAAGGGTCAGGCAAAGGCCAAGCCCCACAGGGGCATCTAAAAGAGCAGAGGACCCCACAGTCTTGCTCTCAGAGGGGCTGATTTGATTAAACGTGTCTCCATTCTCTGGAGAAGAGAGTAATGATAACAATAACAATTGTAGGCCAAGGTGGGAGGATTGCTTGAGGCCAGGACTTCGAGACCAGCCTGGACAACATAGCAAGACCCCATCTCTACAAAAAAAATTCACTGGGCACGGTGGTGTGCACCTGTGGTCCCAGTTAGTTGGGAGGCTGAGGCAGGAGAATCACTTGAGTCCAGGAGTTCAAGGCTGCAATGAGCCAGGTTGGTGCCACTGCACTCCAGCCTGGAAGACTGAGCAAGACCCTATTTCTAAAACAACAACAAACAAAACAACAACAACAACTGGTGCTAACAGCTTGAATGCTTGGGAGATAGACGCCAAGTGCTCTATCTAATCCCCGTGCTCAACCCCGCTTTACAGATAAGGAAACTGAGGCACAGCGAGTCTAGGTCCCTTGCCCACAGTTACACAGCTAGGATGGGTTGGCCCTGGCCTTCAGCGCTTATGCACCCACCACCCAGGTGGCCCCCCACTGGTGCTTCTGCCCCCGCTTCTCTACTCCCAGCCAGTGTCAGTGACAAGGCACTGCCTGGGAGGGAGGCGGCTGCATTTTTTGCCTGGTCCAGAAATGTCAGTGCGTCACTGTCACACAAAGTCCTGGCTGTTGGCTCCTGTGATTCCCAAGGCACTCTAAACAAGTGTCCCTGCTCCCAGGGTGAGGGGTGGGGGGCGGAGCAGGAATGGGAGACAGGTTTAAAGCACACAATTAAAATTCCTAAGGGGCGATATGGAGTCTTATTCCACATGCAGAACATTCTTGGTCTCCATATGGCACAGGGGGCTGGGCTATAAGCCTCTTGCCGCACCTTCTCCCATCCCATGTGACCCCAGACTAGCTCCCCGGTGGAATTCTCTGTGTCTCCGAGACAGCTGGCCCCTCCCTCCCCACCCCCACCCAGCAAGGCTGCTTGGGATTCCTGGCGCTCCTCCGGGGGCAGGCACGGGTGTGGGCACCCATGGGCCGCAGAACCCTGGACAGCCTGAGTTGGGGATATCCGAGGGGCTGCTGGCCCAGGCCCCATGCCTGGTAGGTCAGCACCTGGCAGTGTGTGTGTGTGTGTGCTGGGAGTGGGTGTCTGCAGCCGCCCCTGCTGGGCCCTGGGTTGTTGGTGGTCTCGGAAGATAAGGGAGACCCATCAGCTGAGGGTGTGAATGAGAGAGACCTGCCTTCCCCAGGGGTGTGGGCCTCCTCTCCTGATAAGGGGCTGCCTTTAGGAGCTGAGAGCAGATAAGAGGCTGTCCTTATCCACGAACTGAACGGCAGATCAGGGAGGACCAGGGCGAGGCAAGGCAGGCAGGACACTGGGAGTGCAAAATCTAAGAAGTCTTCACTTTGGGTCACTTCAAGTTTTTTTTTTTTTTCTTTTCTTACTTTATTTTTATTTTTTGAGACAGGGTTTTACTGTGTCCCCCAGGCTGGAGTGTAGTGGCGTGATCTCAGCTCACTGCAACCTCTGCCTCCCAGGTTCAAGCCATTCTCATGCCTCAGCCTCCCAAGTATCTGGGACTACAGGCCCATGCTACCACACCCGGCTAATTTTTGTATTCTTTGTAGAGACAGGGTTTCACCATGTTGCCTAGGCTGGTCTTTGAACTCCTGAGATCAAGTGATCCACCTGCCTCGGACTCCCAAAGTGCTGGGATTACAGGTGTGAGCCACTGAGCCTGGCCTTTTTTTTTTTTTTTTTTTTTTTCCCAGACAGGGTCTCACTGTGTCACCCAGGCTAGAGTGCAGTGGTGTGATCATGGCTCACTGCAGCCTCCAACTCCTGGATTCAAGCAATTCCCTGCTCTCAGCCTCCAGAGTAGCTGGGACTACAGGGCTACAGGCACACACCACCCTATCCAACTAATTTTGTTTATTTCTTGTAGAGACACGGTCTCACTGTGTTGCCTAAGCTGGTCTGCAACTCCTGGCCTCAAGCGATCCTCCTAAAGAGCCTCCCGAAGTGCTGGGATTACAGGTGTGAGCCATGATGCCTGGCCTCACTTCACTCTTGATTATCTGGGGGAAGGCACTGGGGAGCAACTGCCCAAGGGTACATGGTCTCCGGTTGGCAATGAAAATGTTTTAGAACTAGATAGAGCTGATGAACATTGTGAATTCACTGTGAATACTCCTGAATGCTTTAAAATAGTTTCTATTTCATCTTGATTTTTTTGTTTGTTTGTTTGTTTTTTGTTGAGACAGAGTCTCTCTCTGTCGCCCAGGCTGGAGTGCAGTGGTGCGATCTCAGCTCACTGCAACCTCCGCCTCCCAGGTTCAAGCGATTCCCCTGCCTCAGCCTCCTGATTACAGGCGCCCGCCACCATGCCCAGCTAATTTTTGTATTTTTGGTAGAGACGGGGTTTCACCATGTTAGTCAGACTGGTCTCGAACTTCTTGGCCTCGTGATCTGCCTGCCTCGGCCTCCCAAAGTGCTGGGATTCCAGGCGTGAGCCACCGCGCCCGGCCTTCACCTTGATTTTTTAAGAAAGAGAAAGGGTCAGTTATGGCTGGTGCAGCCCATTCTCTTCCTTCCTCCAACCTTATTCTTGAACCTTTCTAAGGAAATTTCTGCATGGAAATTTCCATTAGATACAAGAAAACTTAGTGATTAAAAATTTGGAAAATATCTTGAAAATTTATGTAATAAATCAATCTATATACACATAAGGAGGACCTGCTCTCATGGCCCTTCAACTATAGGGTCTGCATTGGCACAAACCCATGGACCTCATCACATTTTACGCCTCCCTTGGCTCACCTTAGTCCCGACTCAGGCCCCTGTCACCTCTTAAGGGTGCTCTGTGCTTTTGCATCCTGTCACCCTATGTCTGTCCCAGCACAGATGACAGCTTTTCACCCTTTTTATGGGTCAGCGCTTGAGTTTAAAGCACCCACTCTTAGTCTGAAGCCCCTCTGCCTGGATTTAAATCCGAGTTCTTCAGCTCCCCCTGTGGGTGCCTCTGCCACTCACTCACACGCTCCAAGCCTTGGTTTTCTCATCTGTAAAATGGGGCCAATGACAATAGTCTCTACTCATAAGGGCTTACTTAGCAAGGGTTATTTGAATGTATATGAGGTCGGGGCCACAGAGACTGGCACACAGCAGGCTCTCACTA
Organism: Homo sapiens; assembly: GCF_000001405.40. Taxonomy (NCBI): domain Eukaryota; kingdom Metazoa; phylum Chordata; class Mammalia; order Primates; family Hominidae; genus Homo; species Homo sapiens. The sequence continues at coordinate 10,620,243 of NC_000016.10, read as the reverse complement.
GCTGGTCCTGCTGGCCTAGGAGCTGTTAGGGACACCCTGCTTCAAAACGGAGAGCTACCTGGCAGGTGGGAGACCCTGCAGGGGCCTTGCCCACCTAGGACTCGCTGACTTGCACTCAGATTTAGCAAGACAGTGGTGCCTGCTGGGTGAAGGGGGCTTCTCACTCACCGCTGCCTCTGGAATAAGAGAAGGATGAGGAGAGAGATTGAGGACCCCAGGAAGCTGGGGAAGAGAGTAAATGACCTTTGGAATGGAAGGATGCAGAACACGCTGTTGGGATATGACACCCTCCCTGTCGCACCTCTCCATACTGGTTTCTCAGAAATCCCAGTGGACTTGATTTTTTTCCAGAAATGGAATAGGGAGCAGTATCATCAGTTTGCAGGGCAGGGTTCATTCTGTCCCTAACCCCCATCTGTCTTCCCTGGATTCCAGCAATTTGGTTTAGGAGCATTAAATCTAATAAAAGAGGAGATAACGAGGCTGGGTGGGGGAAAGTCTGGCTGCTGCGGAGGTGGGGAGATCGCAGATCAAGAATTATGGTAGGCGTCAGGGGCGGCGCCATGACGGTTGCATGCAAATGAAGCCACTGCAGCCCCGCCCTTTGACGCGCACCACACCCGTCACACCCCTGCGCAGACCTCGGGCATCTGGCCAGCTCTGTTCCAACCCAGCCCAGCCCACCGTGGGCACTGCCCACCTGCTCCCCCCACTGCCACTGCGTCCTACCCACCAGCTTCTGCGGGATTGAGAAGCCGCTGGGGATCCCCCTGCTCCCCGTTTCCTCCTCAAGACTTTGGAGCATATGAGGTGGTGGTAGGAGCGCGGGGCTGAGTCAGGTGCAGGGATGAGGACTCTGCCCGAGGAGCCGCATGCCTGCTCCTCTGAGCTCCCTGCGGCCCATCAGTTAGCGTCTTGGCAGGTGACCCCTTCTGGGCTGGAGGAGGTGGGTGGAATGTGTGTCGGGGGATGGGGGGTAGACCTGACATCACCTTCTGGAGAGCAAAGGGGTTTTTGGCAGTAGGACCAACAGGTTCCCTAGGGGGTGCCCACCCACCGCTGGGTCTGGGGGGATGCTGAGGCAGACACAGCCGGTGGGAGATGCCAAAACCCAGTCTACAGCTTTCTGTCTGCCAAGACAAGGAGAGGAGCGGAGCTGGGGCCTCCAGGCCACTTGGGCTTCCCCTCCTCCCTCTGCCAAGGCCTGCAGAAGCCGGGCTAGCCAGGGCCCGATAGGAAGAGGGAATTGGGAGAGAAGCCTGATTCTGCCAGAACCTGTCACGGGGCCTGTATGGCTCAGTACAGGCATCTGCTGAATGAGAAACCTTTTCAAAACAACGATCACAGCAGGCCTCTTGCACAAAACCCTCCCAGGGCTCCCCAGGGCTCCTAGGACACCCCATCTGCGGCTTCAACTCACTGCCACTTCTCCAGCTCCCCATTACCCCCGAGCTGCACTTTCCCACATCAGGGTCTTCGCGCGTGCTGTTCCCTCCTCCCTGAACATTGGTCCGTGTCCCTCCCTTCTTCCCCCAGTTCACAGCCTTGTGCTTGAGGTCACAGCTGTCAGTCAGTTTCCCAGGAAAGCCTTACTGGATCTCGCTGATGGGTCCTGTCAGCTTCTTTTTTTCCCCAGTCCAGTAGATTTCCTTTCCTTAGAATGTAGTTTCCCAAACTGCCTTGAAAATAGAGTCATGTGAAATATATATGTTTTAAAAATACAGATTGCTTGACCCTTTCCTATCCCTAGAGTCAGAAGCTCGGAGAGAGGGAGATGGGTGATGTTGAACCACCACCACGGGCTGGCAGCAGAGGGACGCCCCTACCCTAGGTTCTAAGCGCCAGGAAGTGGGCACCACCATTTCTTTATCGTTGCAACCCCACCTCCAGCACAGTGTCTGGCATGGGATCTGGCTCAAGACATTTTTATTAAGTGGATGGATGGCTATAGAATGAATGAAATTAGTCACAGTAACTAACTGTGATTCAATTCTGAGCATACTGTACTTCTTACCCGGCCTACGCAAGACTAGCCCACAAGAAGAATGCCAAGGTGGATGATGTGGGCGCTGGGAATCAGAGCTGAGAGAGAGTGAACAGGATGTTAATAAAACCCAAATGGGGTCCAGGATTGAGGCGAGTATGGGAAGAGGACACAAGTACCCACCCTGATGTAGCTGGACCCACCTCCTGCTGGGAGGGCATCTCTCCCCAAAGTCAGGTGGAGGCAGAGAATCGGTTACACCTGTTGGGGAACTGATGACCCAGACAGGACAGGGTAACAATGACAGCAATGAAGATGTGCCTTTTGGGCATCGGGATATTGCTAGGCAACTGCTTTGAGCATTTTGCACTTCAGGTCATGCATTCTAGTAGCTGCACCTGCTCCCTTGCTCCCTCTCCCTCTCCAGATCCTGCCATGCACCGCTTTCCTCTCTTTTCCCTCCCCTTCCAGTTCCTCCAAGTGTTAAACTTGGAATTGAAGTATTCCTTTCACCACGGTATGTCCTGGATTTCAAACAGCTCCTCTCTCCCTGCCAATCTCTCCATCGGAGCCCCTCTCCGTCTGTATTTGTTAATTTCAGGTTCTGTGAACATCGCCTCTGCTCTGGAGGTCAGGTGTGGTGGTGGGGCTCCTCCATCTGCTGTGAGAGTGTAGGGGTGAAGGGAGGAGGGACTGGGGGTAGCAGAAGGAGCCAGCCTCTTTCCCCAGCTCTCCTGCCTCTTGGCTTCCTACCCTGCAGCCAGGCCAGCACCCACAAGAGGCTGCAGCCTGCATTTCAGGATTTCTAGCTTGGCAGGGCGCCTGAGGGGGCAGGAAATGGAAAGAGAGGGCGGGAGGAGCCACAGGCTTTCCCAGTGCCCTGCCCAGGCTGGGATGAACAGTATCTTTGAGATCAAAAACCAACTGGCCCACACCCTGCAGAGCTGGCCTTGTCCCTGCCCCTTGATGGGAGGGGAGGGCTGAATCTGCAAAGTAGGAGGAGTGGGAGGTAGGGGCGCTAGGGAGTGGGTGGCCCCTGCTGTCACTGGGCCCAGGGGTTACTGTCAGGCCCCACCCCCGGGAGACAGAAAGGAGGCATTTCAGAGCTGGGTGGGCTGTGCTGACACTGAACGCTTGTTTGTCTGCCGCCCACACTCTCTGGGAATCGCCTGTGTGGCCAGGCACCCCAGGCGGAGGTTGCCGCTAACAGGAGGCCTGTGCCCATCGGCTCCCCCTCCCCAGAGGGGCAGCTCTGAGAGTGCCCCAAAGGACAAGGGACTGGGATTCTCAGTGGTGACCTTTGGGGCAGGACAGGGAGAGACCAGGGTAAGCCAGAGCCCTGGACTTTGCCAGGCCTCGTGAACAAAGCACCCAAAAAGTTTTAATAAAAGGCTCTGAAGACTCTGCCAACCTCCACCTCCGCCCCCCCCAGGAGAGTGTGGCCAACTGGGTGACTTGAGGGTGAAGGGTGAGAGCGTTGGACAGGCCAGGACTCGCTCCTGCTGCTGCGGGCTCCCTGGAGCAGGCGTCCCGGGAAATCAAAAATCCTCAGCCCACTCCTGAGTGCATTTCACAGAAGCAGTCTGAGCTCTGCCCTTCCTTTCTTGAAGACTGGCCTCCAGCTCACATGGGGCCCAGAAAGGAGCCCCCAGCTCCCCGGAAATCCTGGATCCAGGATTTCACAAGACAGCGAGCATTAGGGCTCCACAGAGCATTTGCTGAAGTTCTTTTTTTTTTTTTTTTTCTCAAAATGTGCGCCTTGGCTGGGATTCCCTGGGGGCAGAGAGGTGAGATGTGTTCACAGCCAGGAGGTCACAGCCCTCCTGACTCAGGTAGGGTGGAACAGACTGGGTAGGTGGCATCTTGGATTCTGACTTTGCTCTCTTAATCTATGGTCTTATTTACGGCTGGCTTCATGGACATTCACCTGTACAATCACACAGAAGTGCCATCTTAAAATTCCTTGTAATATTGAACAAGGAACTCTGTGTTTTCATTTTGCGCTGAGCCCTGAAAATTATGTAGCCGATCCTGGTCTTAAAACACAAGGGGCCGGGTGCAGTGGCTCACACCAGTAATCCCAGCACTTTGGGAGGTCAAGGCAGGTGGATCACCTGAGGTCAGGAGTTCGAAACCAGACTGACCGATATGGTAAAACCCTGTCTCCACTAACAATACAAAAGTTAGCTGGGCGTGGTGGCATGCACCTGTTGTCCCAGCTACTTGGGAGGCTGAGACAGGAGAATCACTTGAACCCGGGAGTTGGAGGTTGCAGTGAGTCGAGATCGCGCCACTGCACTCCCACCTGGGTGACAGAGTGAGACTCCGTCTTAAAAAACAAAACAAAACCTCAAGGAAAAATTAGTGGCTCTAAAATTCCTATTTAGGAGAAGCTTTGAAGTAAAAGGCTCATTAGGAGTGAGATCTAGGCAATTTATTCTGAAGCTGCACTTGGATAATAATGATAACAATAACAAAAGCAGCATATTCTTATAGCACTTATTAGGTACCAGTCACTCTTCTAAATGCTTTATGTGGGGCCAGCTGCGGTGGCTCAAACCTGTAATCCCAGCACTATGGGAGGCTGAGGGGGGCAGATACTTGAGGTCAAGAGTTAGAGACCAGCTTGGCCAACATGGTGAAAAACCCCATCTCTACTAAAAATACAAAAATTAGCCAGATGTGGTGGTGGGTGCCCATAATCCCAGCTACTCTGAGGCTGAGGCAGGAGAATCGCTTGAATCCAGGAGGTGGAGGTTGCAGTGAGCCGAGATTGTGCCACTGCACTCCAGCCTGGGCAACAGAGTGAGATTCCTTCTCAAATAAATAAATGCTTTATATGAGTTAGCCCATTTAATCTCCTTCCTTAGCATATCAATTATACTATTTTTCATCAGAACTACTACTATTCCGATTTTATAGAAAAGGAAACTGAGGCTTATTAAAACTAAAGAAGTGGCCAGGTGTGGTGTTTCATGCCTGTAATCTCAGCACTTTGGGAGACTGAGATGGGAGGATTACTCGAGTCCAGGAGTTTGAGACCAGCCTGGACAGCAGAGTGAGACCCTGTCTCTACAAAAAATCAAAAAATTATCCAGGCATGATGGCGTGCACCTGTGCACCTGTAGTCTCAGCTACTTAGGAGGCTGAGGCAGAACGACTGCTTGAGCCCAGGAGGCCAAGGTTGCAGTGAGCTGTGATTGCACTGCTGCACTCCAGCCTTGGGTGACAAAGCAAGACACTGCCTCAAAAAAAGAAAGAAAGAGAGGAAGGGAGGAAGGGAGGGAGGAAGGAAGGAAGGGAGGGAAGGAGGGAGGGAGGGATGGAAGGAGGAAGGAAGGAAGGAGGGAAGGAAGGAAGGAAGGAAAGAAGGAAAGAAGGAAAGAAGGAAGGAGGAAAGGAGTTAAAGAAGTGGCCCAATAAATCCTGGGCAGTTTGGCTCCACCACCCTTCACCCTCTGCTAGCACTCCTGTTTGTATTTAAAGTGGGTTTCTTGTGGACAACACATAGTTAGGTCTTGATTTTTCTAATCCATTCTGAGGTCTCTGTCTTTAATTGGTGTATTTAGACCATTCACATTTAAAGTGATTGTTGATGTAGTTGGATTAATACCTACCACATTTGTAACTACTTTGCATTCAGTACACTTGTTTTTACTTTTAAAAAATCTTCTCTTTTTCTACCTTCTCTGGTTTTGAGTGTTTTATGTGATTCCATATTCTCTCCTTTCTTAGCATATCAATTATACTTCTTTTAAGCAACTTTTTGGTGGTTGACCTAGAGGTTTTGTAATATACATTTACAAGTAATCTGAGTCCACTTTCTTGTTTGTTTTGTTTTGTGGGTTTTTTTTTTTTTTTTTCCAGGCTGGAGTGCAGTGGCACAATCTCAGCTCACTGCAACCTCTGCCTCTGGGGTTCAAGTGATCCTCCCACCTCAGCCTCCCGCAGGAGGAGTAGCAGGATTACAGGTGCTCGCCACCACACCCAGCTAATTTTTGTAATTTTAGTAGAAACTGGGTTTTACCCTGTTGGCCAGGCTGGTCTTGAACTCCTGACCTCAAGTGATCCTCCTGCCTCAGCCTCCCAAAGTGCTGGGATTACAGGTATGAGCCACCGCACCTAGCCCCTGAGTTCACTTTCAAATAACGCTCTAGGGCTTCACTGAGTATCTGCAATTCCTCCCTCCCCTCCTTTATAATGTTGCTGCCATTCATTTCACTTCTGCAAACGCTGTCATCAACCATAACCACCTAACACATTGTTCCTGTTATTGTTGGTTTACTGCAGTTACTCATGTCTTGAATCCTCACAACAATCTTACAAGGTAGAGACAGTCCTCAGCCTCATGTCACAGGGGTCTATGGAGCCACAGGAAGTTTCTGCAAGTCACTGGGTCACAGTCAGCGAGTGGCAGGGCTAAGCTTTGAACTCAGGCATCCCTCACACTGCAGGCAAGCAGCCTGCTTTTGTTTAGTTGAAGTGCTACCTGTCTTCCAACACAGCAAACTTTACTAAAGAGAGTTTTTATTCCTCTGCCGTTTTTATTTTGAGGCAGAGTCTCACTCTGTCACCCAGGCTGGAGCGCAGTGGCGCAGTCTCTGCTCACTGCAACCTCCACCTCCCAGGTTCAAGCAATTTTCCTGCCTCAGCCTCCTGAGTAGCTGGGATTACAGACACCTGCCACCATACCCAGCTAATTATTATTATTATTATTATTATTATTATTATTATTATTGTAGGTATGGTGTTTCACCAAGTTGGCCAGGCTGGTCTCAAACTCCTCACCTCACGTGATCTGCCCACCTCGGCGTCCCAAAGTGCTGGGATTACAGGCATGAGCCACTGCACCTGGCCTAAAGAGAGTTTTAATTTCCATTTTCTATGGCGTTTTCACTTAGTATTGTTCTGCTTAGCATATTATTATTATGGGGCCTTTGTAGGGGCTGATGGAGATGGAGGGGGCAACCAAAAAAATTGAGGTTCTGACCTCATCCACTGACTCCTCCCAAATCACATCCTGAGGTCCTGAGGGCTCAACCAAAAAAATTGGGGTTCTGACCTCATCCACTGACTCCTCCCAAATCACATCCTGATGTCCTGAGGGCTCAAGAGTGAGAGGGAGGGGCTCACCGTGCCCACCTTGTGGCATGAGGCATCAAGGGCTGGGGCATCCCCGTGTAGAAACATAGCCATCTGTTCTCTCAGGTCAACACTCTGGGTCTGCAGTCTGGCCTGCAAACCCTTCTCTAGAAAGTCTGATCTCTGGATTCTCAGGCTGTCCCCTGGTGACCCAGGGATTGGCTGTGGGTCTTTGGCAAGAGGCCAGAAGGGGCATTCCAGGGACCCTCCCTGCAGTAGCTGAGCAAGGCAGCACCGCTCCTGGAGATGGGCAGAAAGGAATCACTTTCTGTTTGTAAACAGCATCCACATGCTGCTGGCATCCTTCCTTCCTCCTGGCCTTCCTGAACTCTGCTCTTTTTGGCAGAGAGAAGCAATGTGGACAAGGTCCTGGGGCAGGAGCGGGCATGAGTGTCCTACCCAACCTCGCTGGGCTGATTTTCTAGGCTAGTGGGATCCCCCTGAAAAGGCATCTGGAATCCGACCTGAATTTCTTTTTTCTTTTCTTTTTTTTCTTTTTCTTTTTCTTTTTTTTTTTGAAACAGAGTCTCACTCTGTCGCCCAGGCTGGAGTGCAGTGGCACAATCTTGGCTCACTGCAACCTGCAACCCTGGGTTCAAACAATTCTCCTGCCTCAGCCTCCTGAGTAGCTGGGATTAAAGGCACACGTCACCATACCCGGCTAATTTTCGTGTTTTTAGTGGAGATGGGGTTTTGCCACGTTGGCCAGGCTGATCTCAAACTCCTGACCTCCAGTGATCTGCCCACCTTGGCCTCTCAAAGTGCTGGGATTACAGGTGTGAGCCACCATGCCCAGCCTCAGATCTGCATTTTTGGGGCAGACACAAATCTAGCTGATCTTTGAGAGGGAAGCCTAGATAGGGCAGAGGCAATCTGGACTCCCCAGATGCCTACAGAGCTGGGGCTGTGGGGCACCCAGTGTCAGGCTAAGAGGGCAGCTGCATTGTGGTAGGCAGCATTTTGATTGAACAGCATCTGTTCTTTCTGTCGACAGCATCCTCATTTCCCCTTGAGTATCTACGCTTCCGCCTTTCTCAAGTGATTCTTCCCCTCTGCTCCTGAGGGAGACGGGGGATCAGACGTGGCCAATCAGCAGATTCTCTTCTCCCATTGGTTCTATGTTGGTCTAGGCTGTCCAGTGGGAGTCAGTCCTAGGACTCTTTTGCTGAGACCATTAGAGAAGAGGAAATCTCCTTTTGCTGAGTTTGTTGAGCTGATCAGATGCAACCCTGGAGCTGCTAGAGTCTTGCTTCTCTGCTGACAAAGAGAACGTAGACCCTAAAGATGATTTTTTATTTTTATTTATTTATTTTTTAATTAATTAATTGTTGTTTGTTTGTTTGTTTGTTTAAGATGGAGTCTGGCTCTCTCACCCAGGCTGGAGTGCAATGACACAATTTTGGCTCACTGCAACCTCTGCCTCCTGGGGCTCAAGCGATTCTCCTGCCTCAGCCTCCCAAGTAGCTGGGACTACAGGTGCACGCTGCCATGCCTGACTAATTATTGTATTTTTAGTAGAGATGGGGTTTCACCATGTTGGCCAGGCTGGTCTCGAACTCCTGACCTCAGGTGATCTGCCCACCTCGGCCTCCCAAAGTACTGGGATTACAGGAGTGAGCCACCATGCCCAGCCCTAAAACTGATATTTTAAATGGCATTGTAAATGAGTGGGGAAAGAATGGATTATTCACAAAATAGAACAACTGGTTACACATTTGGAGGGGGTGGAAATTAAGTTGGACCCCTTCCTTGTATCACAAAACAATTCCAGTTAGATGAAGGAAGTATTAAAAAGTGGACACAGTGAAAGAAAATGCAGGATAATGCTTTTTCATACACATGAGAGTGGGCAAGACTTTCCTTAGCATGCCACAAAGTCCAGAAGCTACAAATGGAAAATATTTGCAGATTGACTTCCTGAAAACAGAAACCTGTATAGCCAAAGATAGCACAGAAAAAGTTGAAAGGCCAACAATGACTGGGAGAAAAGGTTTACAACATTGCAACAAAGGTAAATACTCCTAATTACAGAAATAACTGAATTGAACATCAATAGGACAAAAGGAAATACCGCTTATGCTCAAATTGGGCAAAGGACGTGAGCTCCAAAGTTACAGAAAAATAGTCAGATCGTTGTTCACTCCTAGGAACACTGATCAAAAGAAGCATCTGGGGGAAGGGATTAGAAGTGATGTCACGCACAGAACTGTTGAAGGAATGGAGAATATTTAGCATGGAAGGAAACGGGTTAGCGCAACACCTTCCAATAAAAAGATAATGTCAGGGGCCGGGCGTGGTGGCTCACGTCTGTAATCCTAGCACTTTGAGAGGCCAAGGCAGACAGATTGCTTGAGCCCAGGATTTCGAGACCAGCCTGGGAAACATAGCAAAACCCTATCTCTAAACAAAACAAAATAAAACAAAAATTAGCTGGGTGTGGTGGTGCATACCTGTTGTCCCAGCTACTCTAGAGGCTGAGGCGGAAGGATCGCTTGAGCCCTGGGGGTTGAAGCTGTAGTGGGCTGTGACCACACCACTGCAATCCAGCCTGGGCGACAGAGCAAGACTGTCTCAAAAAAACCAAAACAAACAAACAAACAACAACCAAATAGCTAGTATATAGAAAAGGAGTTAAGCCTGCTAAGCACAGTGGACAAAAAGACAGATCAACAGGTAAAAATAGCAGGGAGTTAGATTTTAATTCAACACAAGAAAAAACTATAATTTACGTTTGTACTATCCAAAACAGTAGCCATCAGCCCCAAGTGACCACTGAGCACTGATCTAGCTAGTCTGATTGAGAAGTGGTGACATGTAAAATACACACCAGATTTCTAAGATTTAGTACAATACATATGAATGTAAAACAATGTAAAACATTCCATTAAATTTCTAACTTTTTTTTTTTAGACTGAGTCTCGCTCTGTCACCCAGGCTGGAGTGCAGTGGCATGATCTCAGCTCAATGAAACCTCCACCCCCCACGTTCAAGCAATTCTCCTGCCTCAGCATCCTGAGTAGCTGGGATTACAGGCATATGCTACCACGCCCAGCTAATTTTTGTATCTTTAGTAAAGATAGGGTTTCACAACATTGGTCAGGCTGGTCTCGAACTCCTGACCTCAGGTGATCCCCTCATCTTGGCCTCCCAAAGTGCTCAGATGACAGGTGTAAGCCACCGTGCCTGGCCTAAATTTCTGAATATTGAATACATGTTGAAATGATCGTATTTTAGATCTATTGGGAAAAAGAAAATATTAAAATTAATTTGACTTGTTTCTTTTTACTTTTTAAATATACTTTAAAAAGTAATGTTAACATGTTTACATTATATTTCTGTTGGGTAGCACTGATTAAAACCTCTGTTACAATGGGATAGAATGGTTTGTGGAGTAGTGAGTTCCCTGTCCTGAGAGCGTTTCAAGCCGAGGTTGGATGATTGGGAAGTAGGGACAGCACGTGATGACATCAGAGTTGAGAACCCGTAGATTTCTTCAGCTCCTGGGTCTCCTCGATGTGTAGGGGCTTCTGGGACTACAGCTAAGTGCATAGCTAGAGAGCAGCTCATCGTCTTCCTGGAAGTGGCCTAGAAAGCAGCTCTCATTCCACACAGCAGGAGTCATCTCTTCTTAACAATAATCCAGCATGAACTACTGTTGGTTCAGGGGGCAAGGATTGGCAGAATGAGAACCGGACCCTGCCTGCCTTCTGTGCCCTTGTGGCTTAGCCCAGCTCCAGGGTCAGCTCCATGAGGCCCCCATTTTCTCCTGCTCCCAGATAGTGTGCAGAGGGAGGACCCCTCATGGCTCTCTGCTCAGCTGCACGTCCTGGGCAGAGCTCCCACACGAGGGAAGCTCTTGGCTGCCTGGGTGTGGAGAGGCCCTTTAGAGTAAGTAGCGTAGCAGATGCAAAGCTGGAAACGCTACTTCCCACTCCCTGCTGGCCAGACTGTTTCCTCCTTGCAATCTTTGTCTCATCAAGCAAGGATCAAGCCAGCACCCCAAGAGTGGGCTGACCAGGCCCTGATGCAAGCTGTGCAACCGAGAACCAGCATGCATTTTGGTTAATAATAGAAACCCACGAGCGGCATGATGGTGTGGCCAAGGCTCGGAGCCTGGAAGCTCTATTCTGGCCCTGGTGTTCCCCCTTTACAGTGAGACTTTGAGAAAGTCCCTTCTCTTCTGCTCATTCATCAGACAAGGGAGGGGGACACCAAGTGGGCTTCCCAGCTCTGAAATCCTAGGATTGTTTGATGCATCAATATCAGCTCCTCATAGCTCTCGTCTGTGGCATTCTCTTATTTCTCGTTGCTAAGTTTATCTGTCCCAACCAGATGAATGAAGATGATGACAGCAATAACAATATCTGCAGCTAGTATTTGTCAATTGCAGCTCTGTTTTATGTGCATTTGACTTATTCAGTCTTCCCGACCACTTTATGAGGTAGAGACCATTATTATCTCTGTTTTATGAAGGCAGAAATGAAGAACTATCAATTCCTTATGTAAGTTTGCTATGGCTGCCATAACACAGCACCTCAGACTGGGTGGCTTAAACCAGTGGTCCTCAACCTTTTTGGTACCAGGAACTGGTTTCATGGAGGCAATTTTTCCACAGATGGGGGTTGGGGGACGGTTTGGGGATGATTCGAGTGCATTCCGTTTATCGTGCACCTTATTTCTATTATCATTACATTGTAATATATAGTGACGTAATTATACAACTCACCATAAGGTAGAATTAATGCGAGCCCTGAGCTTGTTTTCCTGCAACTAGATGGTCCCATCTGGGGGCGATGGGGGACAGTGACAGATCATCAGGCATTGGATTCTCATAAGGAGCACGCAACCTAGATCCCTCAAATGTGTGGTTTACAGTAGGGTTCACGCTCTGATAATAATTTTTTTTATTTTTTATTTTTTATTTTTATTTTTTTGAGACAGAGTCTTGCTCTGTCACCCAGACTGGAGTGCAGTGGGTGATCTCGGCTCACTATAATCTCCACCTCCCAGGTTCAAGTGATTCTCCCACCTCAGCCTCCCAAGTAGCTGGAATTACAGGCACCCACCACCACTCCCAGCTAATTTTTGTATTTTTAATAGAGACGGGGTTTTGCTGTGTTCGTCAGGCTGGCCTTTAACTCCTGACCTCAGGTGATCTGCCTGCCTTGACCTCCCAAAGTGCTGGGATTACAGGTGTGAGCCACCAGGCCCGGCCAGCTCCTATAAGAATTTAATGCTGCTGCTGATCTGACAGGAGGTGGAGCTCAGGTGGTAATGGAAGTGATGAGGAGTGGCTGTAAATACAGATGAAGCTTTGCTTGCCTGCCCATCACTCACCTCCTGCTGTGTGGCCCAGTTCCTAACTGGTTCCCTGGGGAGTTGGAGACCCTGGCTTAAACCACAGAAATGTATTTTCTCACAGTTCTGGAGGCCAGAAGTCCAAGATCAAGGTGTCAGCAGGGATGGTTCCTTCTCTCCTTAGCTAGTTGATGGCCTTCTTCTCCCTGTGTCTATACATTGTCTTCCCCTTGTACATGTCTGTGTCCAGATTTCCTCTTCTCATAAGGACACTGGTCATATTGGGTTACAGCCCACTTGAGTGGCCTTACTTTAACTTACCTCTTTAAAGACACTATCTCCAAATACAGTCACATTCTGAGTTACTGGGGTCAGGACTTCAGCATATGCATCTTGGGAGTGATATAATTCACCCCATAATACCTCCCTAAGGTAGGGAGAGCCTCCTCCTTCCCCCGCACCCCTTGCAGAACTGGGTGGGCGTACAATAGAGATCCTTAGATGATCTTTGGTAAAAATAAAGTTTGAGTGGGGGGGCAGGGGAGGACCTAAGGTTAAGGGGTCCTCCTCAGGGTTCCCAGGTCCACCTCATAGTATGCAGCTGGGGGCTCAGACCCCTCTCTGCCCTTTTGTGGTGCTGCCAGCCTCGATGAGGGAAATGGTTAAGTGAACAGAAATGTCCTCCTCATCCTGGAAGAGCATGACCCCACTGAGGAGTCAGGAGGCTTCCTGGAGGCAGTTTCATAGGAGGACAGGAATCCAGCAAGGCGAGAGAGCTTTCTGAGCAGAAGGAATAGGTGATGGGCATGAGAGAGTGTGTTCTGTGAAAGGGGCTCCAGGCAGCATCAAGTTCAAAGCTGGGAAGAAGGTGGCAGCCAGCAGGGGAAACCAGGAAGGTCTTGAATGCTAAGGAATGTGCTTAGGAGCTAGGGATGCTGTCAAGCATGGGAGTGCAGCCTGGGGATTTATCGTGAGCAGGAGCTTTGTGATGCAGTGTGGGGGTTGCCCCCGGTGGGTGGGTTAGCTGCCAGAGCCCAAGCTATTACCCGCTTGCTCTCTCTTCCCTGCCATGCTGCTAATTCACTCACATCCCTTTCTTCGCCTTCCTCTGGGAAGCCGGGGGCCCTCTCTCATCTGTTGTTCAGCCAAGATCCTGAGCCATTCAGCTTCCCAACCATTGGTCTTGAACAATCACTTCGCAAACATGATTTGGAGGCACGGTGCTCAGGAGGCTACGTCCCAAACACACCAAAACCAGTATGTAATCTCTGTCTTTACAAAGACTGTGTGTGCCTTCTTGGGACCCCCACTTACTGGTGGGGGTGGGTCAGGAGGAAGGGTCTCCTCTGGCTGAGTCTCCATAGGCAGGGAGAGAACCCAAGAATGCAGTAGGAAGCCTGCAGGAGGCTCAGAGTGGGCTAAATTGAGAACATCCTGTAACACAGAACTTCCCCCCTTTAAGCTGCTTTGGCTAACAATAATAATAATAACAGCCAATACATACTGAGCACTTATTTTGTATAAGTGAGTTACAAAAGTAATTCATTTAATCTTCATAGCAACCCTGTGCAGTAGGAACTATTATCTCTCTTTTACAAATGCAGAAACTGAGGCATGAAGCCGCTAAGCCGCTTTCCGAAAGTCACTGGTTGAACTACTCAAATAAAGGATAATGGGAGTCTTTTGCTGAGATAGAAGATGAAATCTATCTACAGCTTGGAGATAGTTACACCATCAGTTTTTGGCCAGTTGTTTCATAAAAATTAGTGCAAACTGGCATCTTCAGTTTTTCCACACAAAGCTTAAAAATTAGATGCTACTGTTTAAATTGAGATATTTGGGTAGGGAATTGTTTCTCACATCTGTAATCCCAGTCCATTGGGAGGCTGCAGAGGGAGGATTCGCTTGAGGTCAGGAGTTTGAGGCCAGCCTGGGCAACACAGCAAGACTCCATCTCTACAAAAAATTAGCTAGTCATGGTGGCGTGCACCTGTAGTTGCAGCTACTTGAGAGGCTGAGGTGGGAGTATCACTTGAGCCCGGGGGTTTGAGGCTGCAGTGAGCTGTGATTGCACCACTGCACTCCAGCCTGGGTTACAGAGCAGGGAGCAGGACCCTGTTTCTGGAAAAATTAATACATTAAAATAAATTGAGTTTTTTTTTGTTTTTGTTTTTGGTTTTTTTTTTGAGACATTAGAGTTTCACTCTGTCACCCAGGCTGGAGTGCAATGGCGCAATCTCAGCTCACCGCAACCTCAGCCTCCCGGGTTCAAGCGATTCTCCTGCCTCAGCTACCGAGTAGCTGGGACTACAGGTGCATGCTACCACGCCCAGCTAATTTTCTTATTTTTAGTAGAGACGGGGTTTCACCGTGTTAGCCAGGATGGTCTCGATCTCCTGACCTCATGATCCACCCATCTCGGCCTCCCAAAGTGCTGGGATTACAGGCGTGAGCCACCGCACCCAGCCTTATTTTTAGTAGAGATGGGGTTTCACCATGTTGGCCAGGCTGGTCTCGAATTCCTGACCTCAGGTGATCCACCTGCCTCAGCCTCCCAAAGTGCTGGGATTACAGGCGTGAGCCACCGGCCTCTTACTGTATTTCTATTGAGCTCACTTCTACATTAATGAGTACAGACTCACAGTATGGGCAAATGGAGAAATCTCCAGTTAAAGAAAGGTGGTTCAGAGATGATGGGCAGGCAGAAATAGGAGAAAGGCCCCCAGCACACCACTCTACAGGTGAGAAAACGTAGGCACAGAGAGGTTGAGTAACTTGCCCAAGCAACACAGCTAGAAATGGTGGAGGTAAGATTTGAATCCAAGCTGCCTGGATACAGAGTTGACATCTATTGGTTGGGAAGGGTTTGGACAATCCCTGACCCATAGATTGGGGACAGTGTCTCAATTGCTTCCTTTGCCAAAGGCCCATGAGCTCCTTGCGCAAAATTTCCTAACTGAAATCCTCATCACCTTGTTTTTCTTTTTCTTTCTTTTTTTTTCTTTTTTTTTTTTTTTTTTGAGATGGTGTCTTGCTCTGTTGCCAAGGCTAGAGTGCAGTGGCGCAATCTCAGCTCACTGCAACCTCTGCCTCCCGGATTCAAGCAATTCTCCCACCTCAGCCTCCAGAGTAGCTGGGATTACAGGCACATGCCACCATGCCTGGCTAATTTTTGTATTTTTAGTGGAGACGGGGTTTCATCATGTTGGCCAGGGTGTTCTCAAACTCCTGACCTCAAGTGATCCACCCGCCTCAGCTTCCCAAAATGCTGGAATTTCAGGCATGAGCCACCACGACCGGTTGTCGCCACCTTTAAATTACACATCACAGTTACAATTATGTTTAAATTACAATTAAACATCACAGCGAGGAAAAGATGGGCAATTCATCTTTATTTGCCTACAGAACCCAAGTCTGAAAAGTATCACTGGCACTCCTTCCCACAATCCTGTCTTTGCTGTTCATAACAAGATTAATTAAAAGGAAACTGCATTCATCTCCCGGGGCTGCTGTAACCAGTTACCACAACCTAGGAGGCTTAAAACAACCAATATGCGTCCTCTCACTGTTCGGAGGCCGGTAGTCCAACATCAAGGTGTTGGCAGGGCTGGTTCCTGCAGGAAGGGCTGGGGGAGAATCTGATCCCAGCTCCTGGCGTTTGCCAGCAATCCTTGGCTTATAGCTGCATCCCTCCAACCTCTGCCTCCATCGTCACGAGGTCTTCTCTCCTGTGTGTTTGTGTCCAAATTTCCCTTGTCTTATAAGGACACTAATCATTGGATTGGGGCCCACCTTAATCCAGTATGACTTCTTCTTAATTACTAACCGTATCTGCAAAGACCCCTATTTCCAAATAAGGTAATTTCCTGAAGTTCCAAGTATATGTGAGTTTTGGGAGGACACCATTCAACCAAGTACAGAGACCTACTTGAGTGTGACACTGAAGGTCTTCTCCAAGGCGACCCGTTGTGGTGAATAAGAGGCAAATGGAAACGGGCCATGTCTTGGGCACCACCAGTGGACAAGGGTTGGCACTGATTCTCTCAGTGACTGATGGGTCACTCTCAGGATGCCTGGGAGGCCAGACATGCCCCAGAGTGGCTGTGTGGGGGCATGTCTCCGTATACAGAAAGTTGGGATACTAAGGGAAGATGTCAGTTCTGGGGTTGCAAGGCAGTGGATTCTAAGATCCGCCCGGTCAAGCTCACCATGGCTGCCCCAGGGAAGTGGCCAAGAATATAAGAGCCACATGCAAGATCTGGCTGTGTCACTAACTAGCAGGGACCTAGAAATCCCAGGTCTACTCCAGTGAGGTATTTCTGGGACTGGGGATGTGTCCCTGTGTTAGGAGCCTCAATGCTTCTCGGTCTCCACTGAACTTCCCAAGGGGAAAGGGGCTGCTCCCAGCTGCAGAGCCCCGGCTGCCATAGCATCTCCTGTAGCAAACAGGTCTTGTTTCAGATCCTGCACTCAGAGAATGGAGCTCTTTGACATATGGGTCAGATGTCCTGGTTTTATTTCGGGGAGGTGAGTGACTGACCCTGGGACCTCGTGCAACCCTGGGGTTCTCGTGCTTCTTAAAGGAGAGGGAAGGCTCAGAAAAGCAACTTGCCTGCAAGTGAGGCTGTGTTCTGGGACACAGGCAGAGGACACCGTCCCCAAACCATAAAGCGGGGCACCCCAGATACAAGGAAGATATTCAAAGAGCTGGGCTGGCTTCCTCTTGACTTCCCACCAAGCCTGTAGGAGGGTTTGATCTTCACAACACCATCACGAGGCAGATATTATTATTGTCCCTATGACTTTGTTAAGGGTCTTGGTTGCAAATAACAGAATTTTAGCTAATTTAAGCAGCAAAGGCTTTTTAAGAGTAGGCAGCTCTTTGCATTCAGGGTGAGGAGACAGAAAACTGGGTCTGGGTGGTAGGTAGCGAGAGAGAACACCCAACCACTCTACGGGGGATGCTTTAGCAAATGTGCAACTGCTTCTTCAGACACAAGAGTTTAGCCATTGATGTCCCCAAAGATCCAGTTATTCCTGCCACCATGTTCACCAAAGAAAAGATAGTGCTTGAGCTAGTGATCTCTCTCTCCATGGAAGTCCTGTATGATTGTACCCGATTGATGATCAAACGGGTTGGAGAATTGAATTCTGACTTCTACATTAATGAGTACAGACTCACACTATGGGCAAATGTAGAAATCTCCAGTTACAGAAAGGGGATTCCAAGATGATAGGCAGCCAGAAATTGAAGAAATGCCCCCAACATGCCACTCTACCGTGAGAAAACAGTCACAGAGAGGTTGAGTAACTTGCCCAGGCAACATAGCTAGAAATGGTGGAGGGGAGATTTGAATCCAAGCCATCTAGTTACAGAGCTGAGATCTATGAGTCGGAGAGGGTTTGGACAGGTGGAGGTGGGAGGTGGAGGGACTCTGATCAAAGGCATAGGAGGAGGGGCAGCTCCTTGCAGAAGGAGCCACTGCTCCCCATATCCTGCCAAATAAAAGGGCAAGGAGGGAGGGGCTGGAAGGCGTGGGTAGAGGTATGAGGCCCTGTGGAACTCCTGCTGGCTGCCACCCATCTGCTTATGCAATTCCAGGACCCAGAGTGACAATGTGCCTGGATTGGGGTTTGTAACATAGGGGACCTGAAGGGAGCTGGGGGGCCCAGGTGTGGCCTGCTCCCATCTCTCAGCCTTGTGTCCCCCGCCAGCCCCCAGAAGGCCTGTGGGAACTGGATGTTCTCCCAGTCATATTGACATTGACGGTAAACAGAGACATTCCAAACCTGCAGGAATTGGAACAATGCAGCCAGGGCCTGAAGGCTACTGAGGTGACCCTGGGGAAGGCCAATGGGCTGGGGCTCCCTCCAGGCCAGCTGAGGAGGACCCTGCATGTGCTTAGCAAATACTCTAAGTGCCTACTGTGTGCAACACGGGGGTGAGGCATTCCTGGGACCCCACCCAGATATCGAGGGGGCTGGGTCAGCCCACTCTTGATGGAGTGGAGTTTCGATGTCACTCTCCTCTCGGCTCCTTGAGGGCCAGGGAGGGGCAGGGTGGGGCAATCTGAGATGCCAGCTCCCTGAATGCTGGGCTGGGATGGTATCACCACCCCACCCCTGTCAACAGCCTGACGTCTGGCAGATGGAAGCCAGCTGTCCCCAGGCTGGGTGCAGAGAGTTGCAAGGTCCTCTGACACTGCCTTCATGTCATGAGCACGCATTCCTCCTGGACTGGAATCTGCACTAGAAGGTACGAGGCAAACATCTCGAGAGGAGTTTAATGACTCCGGGCCAAAGTGGCATGGTGATGACAAGTACGGAGTGGGGCAAAACTGCTCCCTCCCCCAAAGAAGTTTCCCCTGAACTGTGAGAAGGACCAGGAGGCATGGACGGAGCTGGAGGAGTTCCCCACTCCTACCTGCCTGTCTCCTGTGGTTTGAGGACAGAGGAGATTCCTTTTCCTACTTCCCAGCCCTGACTCTTTACTGCTGGGGGACACAGGCTTGCGCGTCAGGTCCCCGCCTCACCAGCTGCCCTTCATCCCTCCAACGCCCAGCCTCTGGGCGGGTGTCAGGGCCCTTGTAGCTGCCAACACCCACCCACCCATCCTGGGCCTTGGCATATCCAGATCTGTACAGCTCAAAGTGTGGCCTGCAAGCCGTTCACAAACAGTTATCTGTTCCCCAAGAGCTGAGTGCAGTTCCCAGAGTAAGGGTTTGGAAACCTACATAGCAATTAGCCATTGCTGCGACATGTAGGCACAGGGGGATTTTTATAGTAAATTGTGAAAGTATTGGTGTGTGATGAATCAGCAACTGAAAACAGATGCACAGACTGGTCCTTCACCACAAATCATTTGAAAAACACTGAGCTAAGGGACCTGCGGGAAGAGAGCAGGGAGTTTCTCCTGGCAGCTGTCGGGATCACCCTGCCTCACCTCCTTCCCTCCATGTCTCTGAGCTCAGACCCTCCAGGAACTTCCAGGGGACCTGCCAGGGCTTCTCTGAAAGGCACGGAGTGCGCACAGCCTGGCTGAAGTCTGGAGGACCCAGGAATCCTTCAGCGGATCCCAGGATCCTGGGGTGGGATGCATAAGGCAGCTGGCTCAGGGTCAACTCTTTGCCCCGGGCCCCTCCCCTCCCTCTCAACCCAACCCTCTCCCTGCTGCCCCCTCACTAGTCCCACAGATCTGGCTGGTGCACTGCGTTAGGCTCCAGATGGACAAGGTCCCTGTCTTTCTGGGTTTGGGTTCTTGTGGCTATGGGTTGGGGGTGAGTGCAGACAATGAACACATGAGTAAATGAAGCAGATGATTTCAGGTGGCGCTGTGGGGAAATACAACAGGATGATGCAAAAAGGGATCAAGGAAGGTGGGCTTGGTGGGGTGCAGTATATCACGTGTGGACTGGGGTCAGGGAAAGTCTCTGGGACTTTTGAATAAAGGAAGGGAGTGAGTGGGCAAAGCTGTCTTTTTAAGAGCCTCAGAAGGTGGGTCACGCCTTTGTTGGGGAGACTGGGTGCAGTAACCTTGCTGCATTTGCCTGTACTTACCTGGCCACAGGAGGGGACCATGGGCCACCCACCAGAAAGGGTGGCGGGGTTTTTTTTGTTTGTTTGTTTTGAGATGGAGTCTCATTCTGTCGCCCAGGCTGGAGTGCAGTGGTGCAATCTCAGCTCACTGCAGTTCAACCCCCTGGGCTCAAGCAATCCTCCCATCCTCAGCCTCCTGAAAGGCTAGAGCTATAAGTGTGTGCCAACATGCCCTACTAATTCTTGTACTTTTTTGTAGAGATGGGGCTTTGCCATGTTGCCCAGGCTGCTCTCGAATTCCAGGACTCAAGCGATCTGCCCAACTCGGGATTCCAGGCATGAACCACTGCACCTGGCCATACTCTGCTTCTATAAGGTTTATGTGCTTAGATTAGGCCCACATGGATAAGTTCCTTTTGAGGAACTGAAACTCAACCAATAAATCCCTTTTGCTAAGTAAGGTAATAAAGGTAATATAGTCACAGGAGCGACAGCTCGGTATATTCTCAGGTCCACCCATCCTCAAAGGGAGAATTACAGAAGGGTGAGGTTCACGAGGGCTGATGGTTACGATCACAGCAGGCAGTAGGCCCCTAGACCTCCTGCATTAGGGCTGTGCTAGCCTGGGGGGTCTAGAGTGTTGGGTTTGAACTCCACTAGCTGCTGTGTGACCCTGGACAAGTTGCCACCTTCCTCTGGGCCTCAGTTTCCCTATCTGTACACCTACGAGACTGGACTCACAGAGCTTCCCCACCTTGCCTGCCCTTGGGAATCACCTGTGAGAGCTCTTCAAAAATATAGTGCCCAGACCCCATCCTCAGGGATCCTAGCTTAATTGGCCTGGGGTGCAGCTCAGATGTGAGTTCATAATAACATCTACCCAGGTGATTTGCGACAATCCGTCAAGGCGGGGAACTGCAGGATTGGAATTGGAAAGGCTTTAAAGCAGTGGCTGTCAACCTTGGCTGCATGTTAGGATTCCCCGGGGAAATCTTTTTTTTTTTTTTTTTTAAAGACCAGTGCCAGGGCCCCACCCCAGTACCTGACTGAATTGGTCAGAGGTGGGGTGTTGGCAGCAGCATCTTTTAAAAGTTCCCCAGGTGTTACCAGGGTGCAGCCAGGTGATTATAATTCCCAACTTCCAACCCTCTTCCTCATCATGGGGTGAGATGGGGACAAGAAAATGCCAGAATGAAGGAGGAAGTAGAGACAGGGAGAGTAAAGTGTCATGGGTCAGCCCCAAAGACCCCTCTGTGGAACTGTCATCTTCCTCTGGATCCCCCCAAGGCATTGAGAGGAGCTCGCTCTTGGACAGGACTTTAAACCCATCAACACCTCTGTGCTCTGCTCTTTGAAACGAGGGCTTATTATGCCCCCACTTCCCAGGACTGAGGATTAAAAGTGATCATGCCCCTTCACTTGAGGTGAGGAGTTCGAGACCAGCCTGGCCAACATGGTGAAACCCCGTCTCTATTAAAAATACAAAAATTAGCCAGGGGTGGTGGCAAGTGCCTGTAATCCCAGCTACTCAGGAGGCCGAGACAGGAGAATCGCTTGAACCTGGGAGGCGGCGGTTGCAGTGATCCGAGATGGCACCACTGCACTCCAGCCTGGGTGACAAGAGCAAAACTCCATCTCAAAAAAAAAAAAAAAGTGATTATGCCCCTGAATGCTTAGCGCATTGCCCCAAGAATGGCATTACAAGAAAACTCTTGGAAGCTCCTTGGGGCAAGGCAGAGGGTGCCAAACGGAATCTGATCTCCACAGCCCCGGGAAAGGCCACCGAACGTCTCAGCCACTGAAATCTCAGCTCCAGCGCTCCCAGCTCAGCCCTGGAAACCAGGCTCCAGCCCTATTTTAAGCGTGGCCACTGCTCATTCTGCACCATTTCCTTCCAAACAAACGGCTTCCCTTTGGGGAGGTTATCGGTGTGCAGCCCAGGGTGGGCAGGGCCGGATTTCTGCCCTGGGCACTCCCCGGAGGTTGGAAAGAGGCCAGAGCCAGGGCCCTAGCAGGGCTGCTGGAACAAGACTGATTCCTGGCTGGGTGCAGTGGTTCACGCCTGTAATCCCAGCACCTTGGGAGGCTTAGGCAGGTGGATCACTTGAGGTCAGGAGTTCAAGACCTGCCTGGCCAATGTGGTGAAACCCTGTCTCTACTAAAAACATAAAAATTAGCCTAGTGTGGTGACGGGTGCCCGTAATCCCAGGTACTCAGGAGGCTGAGGCAGGAGAATCGCTTGAGCCCAGGAGGCGAAGGTTGCAGTGAGCTGAGATTGCACCACTGCACTCCAGCCTGGGCGACAGAGCAAGACTCCGTCTCATAAAAAAAAAAAAAGGATTGATCCTGGAGCAGGTTCCAGGCAGGGACACACCTCCAGTTCTCTGCCCAGGGCACCCCAGGTTGTATGGAGTTATCCTCTTTCATTCGTGGAGTGATGAAGCCTCACAAGCAGGGACCACCTGCAGGTTGTGAGCAGTGCTCTTTGATGAGGTGCCCCAGGTGCCTGGCTAAGTGCTCTGTAGGGACCCAAGGATATGTCTCACCATTTCTCAACAGCCTCATGACTGGTCTCTCCTTTTCTAATCTTGTCCCCTCCAATCCATTTCTCCCACAGTAGCCAGAAAACATGAATTGGCTCATTCACTCCACTGCTTCAGCTGTTCACAGGCTTCCACCATCCTTAGGATCAAATTCAAATTCCTACCATGGTCAAGGAGAGCTGCTTAATGTGGCCCCTGCCTGCCTCTCTGGTTTCTCCTTATCTCTCATTCCCCCAACTCATTCCAGCCATAGCAACTTCCTCCTTTCCATCACACGCACGTGACTCTTCCCTACCCCAGGGACTTTGCACCTGCTGTTTATGTCCTCTACAAGAAGTTTTTGTTCCATGGCTGGTTACTCTTCTAGTCTAACTGTCACCCTTCAGAGAGATCTTCCCAGATCACTGCCTCAACAGCGCCCTCACCACTCTCTCTCTGTCACCCTGTTTCATTTCTTCCTAGCACTTGTCATACTGAAAGTGTCTTGTTTTCTTGCTTATTGACTGATTGATTTTTCCCCCCATGGTCTATCTCTACCCCTAGAGAGGGTGGGGACCTTGTCTGGCCTGTTCACTGTGAGTGCCTGGGCCTGGCAAATGCCCAAAAGGTGTTAGTTGAATGAAGGAACAAAAGAAATTCACAAAGAGTTTCAAAGCATGAAGTGTGTGCAAGTCATTGTAGGGGCTTACAAATTACACATCACCACTCTGAAGGTAATATACCCGAAGGGTTATTCTAAGTGCTTTGCGTATTCGAACTCAACCTTTCCGCAGTCCTAGGAGGTAGGGAGTAGTAGTAGTAGTAGTCCCATTTTACAGATGAGAAAATGAAGGCACGGAGAGGTTAAATGACTGTGTAATGTCACACAGTCAGTCAAACCCAGGCATAGCCAGCTCCATAAGCTGTAGTATGTCTATGGGGAAACATGACGTGTGATGCAAACTTCTTAGCTGGGTTGCACAAGGAAAAGAAAAACCATCTCCTTACATTGTGGCCACACCCACATGGGTGAAATGAAGCTGCTGAAGGTGGGAGCGGGGGACAAGGAATTCCTTCAGGAATCCTAAAAGAAGCAGCAGAATTCCATGGTGGGTAAATCAGAAGCACAAAGTTCTAGGACCCATGGCTTCTCACCACGCCAGACTGTTTCCCCATCTCCAAAGTGCAACAGTGACACGATGGTCCTGGGCATTTCTCTCAGTTTTATGATTCTATTAAGTGACAAATGGGTGCCACCCAGTATCCCAGAAACTCCTGGGGTGGGTAGGAAATGGTGGCGAGTGGGGCTCAGACAGCAGAGAAAGGCATCAAAATCTAGGTCGGAAGTGGGAGTCAGGTGGAAAGGAGCGCACAGCTGTGGCTTCTGTTTGCCCAGTGCCCAGTCCTCCTTTCTCTGCTAGCTGCATGCATTCCCTTTTGGGAACTACCCTTTGGCCATGCTGTACAGATCTGGGGGATGGGGGTGTCTAATAAGGGGTTCTGGCTTCCCCATGGCCATGGGGGTGGACATATAACCCAAGCTAAGCCGATCAGATCCTCTCTCCAAATAGGAGTCCCAGCCCCAGGGAACCAGGGGTGGGGGAGGAAGGTGGTACCCACTTCTAGGCTCCTCCCAAGTCATGCAAGATCTTGTATCTCCTGTGGCTGGGGAGGCTCTTGCTGCACGCAGAATCCTCAGAGGGCTCCCCACAGGCTCCCGCCCCAGCCTTTCCCTCTGACCTCATTCCTGCCACTTTCCCCATCGTGCGCCATGTTTCAGCAACACGGTCACTGATTATGCCTCAGACAGGGCAAGCTCCTAGTCACCCCAGGGCACTTGGACTTGCTGCTTCCTCGCTCAGAACATTCAGCGGCAGACCTTCCTTCTCACGGTGGTTCTTTCTGGTTGTTTCAGCCTTTATCCGCGGTGTCCTCAGGCCCTGCCCTGCCCCTGTGGTCAGTGTCTACCACGTCCTCCAGCTATATTTTCCTCAGGGCACATATCGTGAGCTGAGGTTGCTTGGCTGCCTTATATGTTGATTTGCTTTTGTCGGCCTCCCGTTTGGTGTAAGCCCCTTCTCTGAGTGTTGCGCCTCCTCCTACCTTCCTGGGCCAGGCAGAGCCCCTGGAACTTGGCCAGCGTTTCAAAAAAATGATATTTGAGGCTGAGCACTGTGGCTTATGCCTGTAATCTCAGCACTTTGGGAGGCCGAGGCAGGTGGATCACTTGAGACCAGGAGTTTGAGACCAGCGTGGCCAACATGGTGAAACCCCATCTCTACTAAAAATACAAAAATTAGCCGGGCATGGTGGTGGCAGGCTCCTGTAGTCTCAGCTACTCAGGAGGCTGAGGCAGGAGAATCACTTGAACCTGGGAGGCAAAGGTTGTAGTGAGCCGAGATGGCACCATTGCACTCCAGCCTGGGCAACAGAGTGAGACTCTGTCTCAAAAAAATAAAAATACAAAATTTTAAAATACAAAATTTAAAAATATTTGAATAAAAGAATAAATTAATTAAGGGGGCAGTGGAGTGTGTGTAATGCCAAGTAATCCTCTATAGAATACTTCAGAGAGTTACAATGAGGGAATTCTTTGTCCTGTTTTCAAATGGGAAAACTGAGGCCAGGCAAGAGACAAGGAAGTCATATCAGAACGCCAACCTGGCCTTCCATCCCCTTGGGAAGAACTTCTCCAACCTCCCTCCATACAGGAATACTTGGGCTTCAGAATCACTTCCCACAAAGGGGAGCCCGGCACCCAGGGCCAGGGAATCCCCAGCAGTGATCTTCCCTGAGCTTCCAGGAAACGATCTGTTTCTCTTCTTTGTGAGACACACAAAGCGTTCTCATGGAGGAGGGGCATGTGCACGGAGGAGCCCTTGAACACCTGGACCTGGGGCACCTGGGAGGTGGGAGGATGGGAGGAACCCAGCAGCCGAGGACAGGTGGCAGACAAGCTGGGTCATGCTGTGCGCCCGTCCAAACGGATCCGCCTGGCATGTGGGTGGTGTGGCCCAACTGGTTGGGTGAGTGTAGGGTGTGGGCTGGTGAGGGTGCCAGCCAGTGAACTGTGACACTCCTGCCCTGCAGATGGGGAGGCACCTGGTCTCCCTTCCTCAGAACAGCCCCAGTCTGCACTGACTCTGGGTTTGAGACCATCAACTGAAAGGACCCAGAGGTTCCCTGGCATCCTTCCAGGAACGAGGATGTGCTGGGCACAAGGTCACTTGAGTCAGGCTTCCTGAGAGCATCTCACCTCCTGGTGGAGGGAAAGGAGGAAGTATTCCGGGGCTGGAAATGAAATGGAGATTGGGTCAAGATAAATGCATGAAGAGGCCACTAAGGAGAGAAAGCTTGAGGGGGACACAAGACAGTTGAGTGTGGTCATTAAGAATTTGGAGATCCTTGGATATTCCAATTATCCTGATTTGATTATATGAATGTATCAAATTATTACATGTACCCTAAAAATATGTATATCTAATATATCACTAAAAATAAATACATGAACTTAAATGAAAAAAATAATTTTGGCCATGCATGGTGGCTCAAGCCTGTATTCCCAGCACTTTGGGAGGCCAAGGTGGGAGGATCACTTGAGCCCAGGAGTTCAAGACCAGTCTGGGCAACATAGTGAGACCCTGTCTCTAAAAATAGTAGCAATAATAATATTTTTTTTTAAAAGAATTTGGAGGCCGGGCACGGTGGCTCATGCCTGTAATCCCAGAACTTTGGGAGGCCAAGGCAGGCGGATCACCTGAGGTCAGGAGTTCGAGAACAGCCTCACCAACATGGCAAAACCCCGTCTCTACTAAAAATACAAAAAAAAAAAAAAATATTAGCTGGGTGTGGTGGCACATGCCTGTAATCTCAGCTACTCAGGAGGCCGAGACAGGGAAATCACTTGAACCCAGGAGGTGGAGGTTGCAGTGAGTTGAGATCACGCCATTGCATTCCAGCCTGGACAATAAGAGCGAAACTATGTTTCAAAAAAAAAATTTGGAGTTCCGCAGAGCTTTGAGTCTTGGCTCTTGCCACCTACTTAGTTAACCTGTCTGAGCCTCTGCTCCCTCATCTGTAAAACAGGGGTCACAGCACCTACTTTCTAGTGTGGTGAGGATTAGATGAAGCCAGGGCACGTAAAAAGTGTTCGGCACTTAGGTGTTCAATAAGGTGGGAGTAAGGAAGAGAAGCTTAGATGGGCGATACTGAGGACAGTCTGGTGTCTGTCATCACTTGCTATGTCTCCTTTCTCTATCCCCTAAGTTTTACTTTCCCTTCCTAGAAAATGCTGGGATGGGCCCCACCTCTCTGGACTCTTTCCACTCCATATTCTGTTCTGTCACTTCGCAAAGCTGGTTGCTCGTGCTCTAGCTAAGGTGCTAACAGTTGATGTGTAGCTAATGGGATAATGACTGACAATGGATTCACGGGGCTTCCCATCTAAGAATTTTACCCAGTGACACCTCGAGAAGCCAAAGGAACATTCTCTGCAGAGTCTGGCACAGAGAAGGGGATACGAGAGGGTGATTTGGGTTGAAGGGCGCTTCCTTGGCCCTCCTATGTCTGCTAAGTGTCCTCAGACCCAGCCCCAGTTTATTAAATGGATAGGCACTGGATACAACTGCAAAGAGGAAAGACAGGAATTAAAGCCCTTAGAACGTTTCTGGGGGGATCCCTTAACATCCCTTTTGGGGGATGCAAAAGGGCAGGATCGATAGATGTGCCATGAAAGGTCTGGGGGCTGCACGTGGGGAAGAGGCCCCAAGATTCACTCTCTACTTCTCTGTGTTATTGTCCTTGATTTCCTAGATTTATGCTGGAACAGAGTTCTGAATTTGGTCATCCCAATACCACCTTCACAGTTACTGCCTTTTCAGTACCTCCTACCTATATTATTATTTCAGAGTTTGTTCAATTGCAGCCTGTGGGCCAAATATGATCCCAAGTCTGCCTTTGTAAATAAAGTTTTATTGGAACACAGCCAGGCCCACCCATTTATAGTTGAGATGAATGGCCTGCAAAGTTAAAAATATTTGCTATCTGGCCCTTTACAGAAAAAGTTTCGTGACCTTTGATTTTACTTCATTTAAAAAAAATCAACTTATGTTTTTGACTTAAATTTATTTCAAAATGAATTTTTTTTTACCACTACCATAAACAGAAAATCACAATCTCAAGCCTGAATGGAAGGAAATTAGAAAAACAGAGCCAAAGCAAAACAATGATTTTCAATTCTACCTGGAGGCTGTTGCCTAACCAAACTTCTGAGTTGAGGCCTGTGTGCTCTTTCTTTAGGAGAGATATTATTCTTTCATTCATTCCACAGGTATTTGTTGAGCACCTGCTATGTGCCATGGCCCCCTTAACCCCCCCTCCTTTAGGTCTGATTTATACATTCTGTTCCCCACAATATTTCATCTGAACAAAAAGATAAAAGATTCTGATTCTTAAAAGGTTGAGACCAGGTATGGTGGCTCACATCTGTAATCCCAGCACTTTGGGAGGCCAAGATGGGAGGATCACTTGGGCCCAGGAATTTGAGACCAGTCTGGGCAACAAAGTGAGACCCCATCTCTTTAAAAAAAAAAATGGTTGAAACCAACCAAATTAGGGGAAAATCCACTGGACCAGGAGCTTGGTTTTCTTGTTGTTTTCTTGACCAACATCTTGTGTTGTCTCCTGACCTGCCATGTGCCCTTGAGCAAGTCAAGTCCTCTCTGAGCTTGTTCCTTCCACATCAGATTTTCCAACTCCCCTGGACATACAGTCGCCTAGTGCTCC
The DNA here is from genome assembly GCF_000001405.40 of Homo sapiens. Lineage (NCBI taxonomy): Eukaryota > Metazoa > Chordata > Mammalia > Primates > Hominidae > Homo > Homo sapiens. The sequence goes on along the minus strand of NC_000016.10, from coordinate 10,591,977 downwards.
ACCCCTTACTTCTAAAAATGATAATTCTCAGTCCCTTCCCCTGGAGATTCTGATTCAGTGGGTTTGGATGATGGACCCAGTGATGTAAATTTTTAACAAACACTCCCCTCCCGCCCAATCCACCCCCGCCCGGGGGATCACCTCCATTGTATTAGGTTGGGAAAAAGTCTTTGTGGTTCCCTCCGTCATTTCTCCAGCTTCCCAGTATTTTTTCAGCTCTGAGCACCCCGTCCCACCTGATGCCTCCTCTCTCTGGTTAGGGGAGTCTGGAGTGCTGCCACGGGAGGGGGTGACCATGTGGAGACTTATGCTGTAGGCTCCTGTCATGCCATAGGAACTGGCTGGTTGGAGAGGTGATTAGTACCCTTGGGAGGGGGAACATTTAGAAACCATTTCAGGAAAAACAGAACAAAACATCTCCTTCCCTAATCTTTAGCCAAAGGCTGATTTGCCAGTTTTCTGGCCACAAAACCTCGGATCCACCCTAGAAGAAGGAGGCCCTAGAATAACAGTTTCCAAGCACTAGGACTGGTGTCTAACAGGCTTTTACAATCCTGGAGCAAGGAATGAGCCCGGGCATCCTCAGCCTCCATGCTTCAGCACCAGGCTGAATAGGGCTGGGTTGAAGAGGATCCCATGGGCGCGGATGGACGGGATGAACTTATAACCGTGTATGGTCAGCGCTAGCTGCTTCTCCAGGAATCTTACAATCTGAGCTCTGACATTTGAGGTTCTAATTCACTTGCATGATCCAGGACAAGACCTGGGCATCCATTCTAGAATCTTCCAACTCCTTCAAGGACCACCCACTTTCCATGCTTAAAAGACACGTCTTCAGAGAGGCCTTCCCTGGCCCTGGCTGTCCTTGGTCTTTCCCCTCCTTTTAACTCTGTGTCTATTCTGTCTGCCACAAATCCCTCTCCAAGTCACAAATCCCTCTCCAAGTCTGCTGTTTGTCTTACGACCTTTTTTTTTTGAGATGGAGTTTCACTCTTGTTGCCCAGGCTAGAGTGCAGTGGCATGATCTTGTCTCACTGCAACCTCCACCTCCCGGGTTCAAGCGATTCTCCTGCCTCAGCCTCCCGAGTAGTTGGGATTGCAGGCATGCGCCACCACGCCTGGCTAATTTTGTACTTTTAGTAGAGATGGGGTTTCTCCATGTTGGTCAGGCTGGTCTTGAACTCCCGACCTCATATGAGCTGCCCGCCTCGGCCTCCCAAAGTGCTGGGATTACAGGCATGAGCCACCGCATCCGGCCACAACTTTTTTCATACTTTATCACTTGGATCTTTTTTTCCTTCTTGAATTTCAGCTGCTACAACTTGTAATGGAATGTTTGTTTGCTTGGGTATTTATTAATATCTCATAGCCCCCTCACTAGTCTGTTCCCTTCACTGAGTCAGGGACTATGTCATTTTCATTTGTCACTGTGCCCCAGCACTGGGACAGAGTCTGGCCCTTGGGAAGCCCTCAAAAAATAGTTGTGGGATGAAGGAATAAGTACAGCAGCACTTCTCAAACTTTAACACGCAGGTGACTCACCTAGAGATTTTGTGAAAATATAGATTCTGAGCCACCAAGGCTGGGTGGGACCTCAGAGTCTGCATTTTTCACAAGTTCCCAGGGACGCTGATGCTGCTGGTCCATGGACCACACTTTAAGTAGCAATGTCCTAGATAAAGTCTGTCCTCATCAGTCAGCCACCCCACCATCTATGTCTCCCTCCCATTGCTCAATGCCTGGGGAGAGGTTTCAAGCTTTTCAGAAGCAAGGAAAGGGCTACTGAAACCTAAGAAAGGATTAATAAAGAAGTAGGAGAAATTGCAAGGAGCACAGAATCAAAAATGCTCTGGAAGCTTAGGTGAGGACAGCACACACACTAGATTTTCAAAAGCATCACATCCCTACACTATCCACTTTGTCTGGTCCTGGAGGCTGAGCAAACATGGTCCCACCTTGTCTGCCCAGAATCACTCCCAGGAGGGAGAGTGGCTGTTCCGGGGCTGGAAATGTTAACCCTTATCTTACCAGCTCATCGTCATTCTCAATGCCAAGTTGACCATGCATATTCCAGCAGTTTACACACTTAGGCTGGTTATTCTGGTGCTGTTTGTGCCATGGTGCCTTGGTGGCAAAATCCGACACCTACCCTAGCCAAGGATTCACACAAAGCCCTCTCTAGTAACAGAGAGATGCAACTGAAGGTCAAGGTAGTTCAATTGAGCCAGTGATGCTCTCCTATGGGCCACCTCTGTGGGAATATAAGGCAGCTCTCCATCAGCCAAGAATACCTTTCTCAATAGGATGTCAGCTCACCATCGTGCCTAGGGTGTCGGGGGCTCCAGCGTTAAATCTGATACTCACTTACTATGACTGCATTTGCTGAAAGGATTAAAGCGGTGTTTCTTGAAATGTGGTCCATTCATCACCTATGTCAGAATCACTTTGCAGGGGAGGGAGGCTTGTTAAATACGCAGATCCCTGGGCTTTCACCCCAGATCTACTGTACCAGCACCTTAAGAAGTGGGGTCTAGAAATTTACATAGTTACTATGTTCCTCGGTGACTCATAGGTGCATTCATCTTTCAAATCTCTGGGCTCATGTATTTGCTTCCTCCTCCATCTGTGTAGTTTGTATTCCTTTTGTGTCAGCTCTATTGTGTCTGTGTCTTTGATGGTAAGCTGCCCTAAGCTTCCCTTTGGAAGCCAGACGGGTAAATACATGAAGCTTCATTTGTGACCAGGCATCCTCGGGAACCGCCCCTGCCCCCTGCTCTCTGGCCAACTACTCCATCATCAAAGTGCAGCTCACATAGAAGCTGCCCAGTGAATTATTCCTTATTACCTGAGTTAGACCATCCTATCCCCAGAGTTCAGTGTGTCCCCAGCACTTTAAGAAACATCTGCACCATCAGACACTCCAAGGCACCGAGCCAAACCCTTCACATATGGCCCCCAGAGAATTGTCCATTTCATCCGACCCCCAGACTCTTCAGTCCTATAAATAACATGATTTTCTCTAGACATCTCCCCAAAAGAACCTCGGAATCCCCTTTGGATTATTCTTCTCCTAGACCCAGCATCATTCTGCAGTATGAATGAAATCTTGAATTTCAAGTTACTATCATTTCTCATCTTGTTATTTCTCCACCTGAGTCCACACTTTCCCTCCCCAAATTTCTTCACAGAGCAGTCAATCAGATCATGTTGCTACTGACTTAAAACCTTCAGCTGGGCACAGTGGCTCACCCCTGTAATCCCAGCACTTTGGGAGGCTGAGGCGGGCAGATAATTTGAGGTCAGGAGTTCGAAACCAGCCTGGCCAACATGGAGAAACCCCGTCTCTACTAAAAATACAAAAATTAGCCAGGTGTGGCAGCAGGCACCTGTAATCCCAGCTACTCGGGAGGCTGAGGCAGGAGAATCACTTGAACCCAAAAGGTGGAGGTTGCAGTGAGCTGAGATCAAGTCACTGCACTCCTGCCTGGGTGACAGAGTGAGACTCCATCTCAAAAAAAGGGGGAAAAAAAAAAGAAAAATCCTTCAATGGTGTTCCATTGCTCCTAGAACAAATTCCCCAGCCTTACCATAGCCCTACCATCTTTCAAGCCTCATCCTCACTCTGGCCTTTCTAGCTGCAACGGCTTCTTTCAGGCCCTCCTGCCTTTCATGTTCCCATCCACGAGGCCTTTGCACGAGCTGCCACCTCCACTCGGTGCTGTCTCCCATTGCTTTCTGCGAAGCAACTCCTACTTACCATTTGGATCTCCGGCCTAAGCTCCAGCACCCTTCCTCAGGGAAGCCCTCTTGATATCTCTGCTTGGGTCAATCCCCTTATGCTAGATTTGCAGAGCACTGGGTTTCTCTTCCTTCATAGCACACTGTCATGCTGATACATTCACATTTAGTTGAGGGATTACTTAGTTGATTATAGTTAGGGCAATTGCACACCCTTGTCGCCCTGGGATAGTTCTAGGTATGCTTACTGTCCCACTGCAATTACTAATAGCACCCTTTTCACTCTCAGAAGTGTCCTACTTTGGATGATACATGTTGTGGCCATCCTAATAGTAGTGCATCCCACCAGACTGTAAACTTCATGAGGCATTGAGCTGTATTTGTTTCTGCTCATCATTGTAGTCCCCGTGCCTGGCTCAGTGCCAATAAGTAGGTGCTCAGTAAGTAGGTCCTCCAGAGAACCAGGCTGAGCATGCATGGTCTTTTATGATCTGGCCTTGGAAGCCACATACTTGCTTGCACCATATACTGTTGATTGACTGGACACCAATCAATGGGTCCAAAGCTCTCAATGGGCTGTCACAGAATTTGCAGACATTTTTAAAAACCACCACACATCCCCCAAGGATGTGCCTTTCATTCGTTAACTCATTCATCAAATATTTATTGGTTCTCATGCCCCTTCCTTTTGTATAATTTGTGCCCTGCACAAGGATTCCCAGCCTGGAGATTAGAGGGTGAAATGCAGCCTACAGACTCTTCACCAAACCATATGCCTGGCTTGGGGTTGTGTCTGCCTAGAGGAAGGGGCATTTTTTTCCGTTTGCACCAAGGTGCTATCTATTTGTCAAGCTATCTGCCCTGAGAGGTTACTATTTTCTAAATCACTGGCTCAGAAGAGGCATCTTTTTCTAATTTTCATATAGGCACTGTAAAGATTAGTGGGGCTGGGTGCAGTGGCTTGCACCTGTAATCCCAGCACTTTGGGAGGCCGAGGCAGGAGGATCATTTGAGCCCAGGAGTTCGAGACCAGCCTGGGCAAAATAGTGAGACTTCATCTCTGCATAAAATAAGAAAATTAGCCGAACATGGTGGCACACAGCTGTAGTCCCAGCTACTCAGGTGGCTGAGGCAGGAGGATCACTTGAGCCCAGGAATTTGAGGCTGTGGTGAGCTACGATCTCACCACTGCATTCCAGCCTGAGCCACAGAGCGAGACCTCCATTTCTAAATAAAATAAAATAAAAATTAAATTAAAATTTAAAAGACTAATAGGAACACTGGTTGTTCACCCACTGTGTGAAGACATTGGTGGAAAAGCCACGGGTAAGATAGATGAAACCTCTGCTCTCGGTAAGCTTGTGTTCTATTGGGGAATGAAGACAATAAGCAAGAAAGCACACACTTGAAAAAATACAAATCTAATTACAGATTGGAAACAGCATTATGGAAGAAAAGCCCCTCACGTGAGCATCTCCACTGTGCTGGTTGCTGAAGGCAGAGGCTGGAGTCTGGAGGCTGAGGCTGCCTTATCTTGGACCCCCACCTCTCAGAGGACATCAAACAACGGAGGAACGAACAAGAGCAAACAGACATAGCCTGTGTCCAAGAGGATTTTAATCCCACATTACGAGGGAATTCCAGAATGTCAACATATAAGGCCTTTAAAATCAAGAATCTCATTCATCCAGAATAGTTTACGTACCTTCCTGCCAGGAGGAGAGAATGGGGAGGAATTCCTAGGCCTCCTCCCGCCACATCATTCTTTGAATTTTGAACTGCTGGACCATGCATGGGGCAGTAGGGTAGAAATGGAAGGCATCCTCACTTCCCCAGATCCAAAGATTTGTAAGGATGCGAGAGTCTGGCCAGAGTCCTAAGGTTGAAGTTGCCTGCGGCGGGGTAGGCAACTGAGGTCACTTGGATTAGGAAGATATTTCCATGGTTTTATAGACTAAGAGACACCTCACAAAAAGATACCCAGCAATCTTGCAAAGAAAAATAAAACACATTTCGGTATGAAGAAGGATAATGAGCAGAACTGACCAGGGTTGGTTAGTGAGTTCCACGAGATCAAGGGGTTTTGGGGACAAGTTGGTTCACTCACTGCTATATTCCCAAAGTCTCCAATAATGTCTGGCACATGGGAGATTCAAAATATGTATACATTGAGTGAATAATTGGAAAAAATCACCTTTTTGGCAGAAGGGAAATAATTTTTTTGTAAAATTAAAAAAAATATATTTAGAAAAGTACAAGGATGGCGCAGTGGCTCATGCATGTAATCCTAGCACTTTGAGAGGCTGAGATGTGGGGACTGCCTGAGCTCAGGAGTTCGAGACCAGCCTGAACAACATAGTGAAATCCCGTCTCTAACAAAAATGTAAAAATTAGCCAGGTGTGGTGGCAGGTGCCTGTAATCCCAGCTACTCGGGAGGCTGAGGCACAAGAATTGCTTGAACCTGGGAGGTGGAGGTTGCAGTGACCTGGGATCATGCCACTGTCTCCAGCCTGGGCAAACGAGTGGGATTCTGTGTAAGAAAGAAAAGAAAAGAAAAGTACAAGGATGCTCTCATAGACTGAGGGATCGCTTTTATGACTGTACTTGGGATCCTGGGAAAATCACAGCCCACTCCTGGGACATTATTAACAACAGAAACATCTTTTTTTCTTCTTCTTTGCAAAACTTTTTAGTGCCAAACTGTTCTTTTCAGAAGACAGGCCAAGAGAGCTGGCCTCCATCCTCCTTGCCACTCTGGGGACACCTGGGGACTTTCTTCTGTGACTTGCCAAGAACATCCCATGAGCCACGCTGGGTTCCAGACGTTTGGGTAGTAATGACTCTGGTGGTGGAGCACAACCCCCACCCCCTGCTTCCTGTTATCCTTTCTAACCGTATTTCAGGGAAATTCAAATCTGGGAGAGCTCTGAAGCTCCATTCCTGTGGTGCCAAACCTCCTGATGAAAACAGAACCAGAGTCAAGCAGCCAGATGTTTCTATAATGGGAAAAACCAGGGCACAGCCACTTACCTTTGTTCTACTCACAGACATTTGCATTCATTTCATGTGATGGCTTTAGGAGACACGAAACAGCCTAAAACAGCATGGTTTGGGGCTGTTTCTCCAGAAGTTTGGAAATTCTGTGGTTGTTGCCTTTGGTGCTTAGTCAAACCTTTGTCATAAGTCAAACGGACACTATTTGTACTGTTCATTCTTATTGCATTTGCAGGATGTTTTATGACAGCAGTTTGTAGGTGTTTCTGTGACAGAAATCAGAGACAAAAGGAAGCAGGAAAGGTCAGACTCAAAAGGTATGGCTTTACCCCCTGACTCACGGTGAGAAGCTATGAGACCCAGAGCTCTGAGCTTTAAGTCGGACGATACTAGGGCTTGAAATCATTATCCCCATCCTTTTCCCAACCCAGTCTGTGGAGGTGGGCGGCAGGGAGGAAATGGCCTCAAGAAAGCATGTTTCTCAGGTCCCACTCTAAGGAATTCAGATTTCCTGACTCTTCATACAGTAAGGACTTGGGGGCTACCCAACCATCTGACTCACACCAAGATGGCAGCCTGCTGAGCCACACTTAGAAGTGCCTTTGTGGCTGGGCGCGCTGGCTCACACCTATAACCCCAGTACTTTGGGAGGCCGAGGTGGGTGGATCACCTGAGGTCAGGAGTTCGAGACCAGCCCGGCCAACATGGTGAAACCCCCGTCTCTACTAAAAATACAAAAATTAGCCAGGCATGGTGGTAGGTGCCTGTAATCCCAGTTACTCGGGAGGCTGAGGCAGGAGAATTGCTTGAACCTAGGAGGCTGAGGTTGCAGTGAGCCGAGACTGTGCCACTGCACTCCAGCCTGGGCGAGAGAGCAAGACTCTGTCTCAAAAAAAAGGAAAAAAAAAAAGAAGCAAGTCATTAGGTGCAGCCCACTCTCAAGGGGAGAGAATTACACAAAGGCATGAATACCAGGAGGCAGGCGCATGGGGGTCATCTTAGCAGCCTATGAACAGTTTGTTTTCAGCGGAAGCAGCCACTGAATGGAAGTTAGTAAAACCCCTGGCATCTGTTAAGATTCAGCTAACCCACCAACTAAAAGTGGGTTATGATGGTTGAATCACATTCATATTCAATCTATTCCCATCAGGAGTTTGTGGCTATTTGAAAAAATCTCCATCCTTCTTAACAAGAGTCCACGTTGTCTTCTCCATGACCTATGCTGCTACAACGTTGAGTTCTGTTCGGCTTTCTTAAGGTTGGGGATCAGATTTGCACCCAGGCATGGGCACCCCTAGTCATTCCTTCTAAGAACAAGAAAGAGTGAACAGGATCCAGGTACAAGAGACTGCAGAACCCTAAAATGTTCAAGCCAGGAAAGACACATGAGAGATCACTGCATAATCAATTATCTTCTATCCCACCCTGAACCAAGCCCCCATCCTCGATGACTTTCCATACCTTCAAATGCCTTCCTTACAGTTCTTTCTCTCTCTCCATATAGACCAGCTACTGCTGTGAAACAAACAACCATGAGCTGCAGTGGCATGCAACAATTAGCATGCATTTCTCATTTACATGTCTGTGGCTTGACTGGAGTAGCTCTGTGTCTCTGACAGAAGTTCTGTAGGTCCTCTAGGGTAGCTCTATTTCACATGTCTTTCATTTTCTGGGACCACTAAGCTGCCAGAGGTATACTATGCTCATGGAAATGGCAAAAGAGAGAGAGGGCAAATCCTACCACCCAGGCACCCTTCCGTTCTTTGTGTGTGTCATCTTTGCTAATATCTCATTGGCCAAAGCAAGTCACATGGCCAAGCTCAAGATCAAATTGAGGAATATATTCCTCTCATCACGAGGCTATGGCCAGGGTCGGGATGTATACTACTAGTATAAGGGGCTGAAGGACTGGGACCAGAATTCCATCAAACACACTCTTACTTTCCCCCACACCAAGTTCATTATCGAAACACCAGAAGCAGGAATACAAGCAGGTATGACGCAGGTTTCTGTCTCCCATCTTCCTAGAGGGACAGGAGTATATTTAAAGACAGAAAACAAAGAATAGCAAGTAGCAGGTGAATGGGACAGACAGGTTGGGCTCTGGAGAGGGTTTAGAAACAAGGCAGAGGAGCAATTGTCCTGTTTTTTTTTCTGCGTCTTGGAGAGGGATCTTGGGGGTCTGGACGGGTTCTTTCCAGTTGGGACACACCCCACCAGCTGGTGGCTTGGGAGACAGTACAGGGAGGAGGCATCTCCTGGCTCTGAATCAGAGTGAGAACATGACTGTCTTTTCCAATGATCTTGCAATAGTTCTGATAACAGAAGAAAGACTTCTCTGTGTTAGCATGCTTTTAACATCTTACTGATCACCCCCACTGTTTTTTTAAGAGACAGGGTCTTGCTATGTTGCCTAGGCTGCCTCGGAACTCTCAGGCTCAAGCGATCCTCCAACCTCAGCCTCCCGAGCAGCTGGGATTACAGGTAAGCACCACCGCACCTGGCTCCCTTTTAATAGACGCTAAACCTCAGACTCATGGACTCTTTCAGGCAACAGTATCTGGCTACAATTTACTAACACTGTTTTATTTCAATAGTGTTTATATTCATAAGTTTGTCTTCTACTTTTGGCAGATGGCACTGGTTTCCTGTTTACCATAGCAATATAGGGCTTTCTTTTTCAAATAAACATATTAAAATCAACGGAGTTAATTTAAAGAAAACAATTAAGTGAATACCAGTTCAGGTGGAAGGTGGATATGGCAAAATTTAGAGCTTGAGTGTGGTTAGCATTTGGTAAATAGTGATAGGGTGGAAAGAGGAGAATGGGGTTTGCTGCAGTGAGTCTGGGTTCAAATCCAAACTTTATCAACTGCATAGAGACTTTGGGTAAGTTACTGGTGTAGCTTCTCTGAGCCTTAGTTTCTTCATGGATAAAATGAGGGTAACTTGTTTTGCAGGGCTGCCGTGTTCTATTGAAGGTTATGTTTGTAAAGTAACCGGCACACACTAAGCCCTCAGCAAATGCAGAAACCTGCCTGCTCCATCCCCTACCTGGCCTTTCCATTCTGGGAGACTCTGGAGTTTTCTCTGTCCTCCACATGGCCATAGGCAGGTAGGTGGGCCCTTCCTGGTCCTCCTCTATAGCAACCAGACCTCACCCTCCTCCCCTTTTATGGAGGAAGAGGACTCAGTTCATATTAGTGCCTTCCTGTCCCCTCTCCAGCTCCAAACACACACACACACACACACACACACACACACACACACACACACAATTATCTTGGGGGATGGGAGTCTTGGTTAACTGTAGAATTAAAGGAGATTTGGCAGGTCAGACCCTAGGCCAACTTGGGAAGCTCAAGGCCTGGGGGAGGGGGTGGCCCTTTAGAGGGGATCTCAAATCCCCCAAGGATCTCTAATTTAGAGCCAACAAGGCCCTCTCGTGACAGAGCTCCTCAGCAGGACTAAAAAAAGATGCTCAACAGAAAATACAAACATGGAGTCCAACCAGAGCACAGGATTGCACAATAAATTAACATTTCTTAAAAGGGTTTCTCATTCTCTTGTCAGTAGCACAAGTCAATTGCCTTGTATTCTGGGGTATGTGCAAGTAACATGAACTTGTTAAATTAAAAGTTTAAAATATACTGTTATATGTTGTGACCCTGTTTTGGAATTTCTTCAATTTGTAAAAATACACTGACTCCCACTCCCTCCTTCCACACACACACGATGGGGCTCAGGCGCCTCTGGTCTCCTCCCCCATCCTCCCAAGAGCCCCTAGAGCAGATCAGCCCTCCCAGTTTCCAGATGGGGAAACTGAGGCTGGAAAGAAAGGCAGTTCCTTTGATGTCATTTCCAGGGACACTAAATACCAGGACTGTGGGTTGAAAGGCTGTGGGGAGTGCTTTGTGTGAGTGTGTGTGTGTGTGTGTGTGTGTGTGTGTGTGTACTGGTCGGGTGGGGGGAGTGAACGGGGGGTCCTGGAAGAGTCTGAAGACTGGTTGCTGGGCATCTCGCACCAAGGCCAGGACTCCAGGTGAGATGATAAAAATAACAATGGCTGACGTCTATGGAGCAGGTACCATGAGCCAAACATTGTGGACGTATTACCACCTTCCGACCTATAATCACTCCCATTCCCAGAAGAGGAAACTGAGACAGGGGAGATTATGGACGAGCTCAGGAAGTTCATAAAAGGCCAGAGAAGGGGTTCTAGAGCAGGGAGCCCGGATTCCAAAACTCCTTAGGGAAGAGGAAGAAAAGGGGAGAAGAGGAGAGGAAAGAGAATGAGAGGGATGTGGAAACCTGCAGAGAAGGGAAGACCCTTGCTCCCGGGAGCCTCCCTTTCTCCCTTTTCCCCCGGGCCCGTGCCACCGGCTCCGCCCCAAAGCTGGCCACAGAGCCGCAGGGAGGCGGGCGGGAACGGTGGTGCGGGGGCGCCAGGGCGCTCCCGGCCTCGGCCTTTCCCTCCAGGGCCCCCTCCTTTCGCCGGCGGCCCCTCCCACTCGGCTCTCCCGGCTCCTGGCGTCACGGCCCGGGAGGCGGGATCGGGGAAGGAGGGGCCCCGCCGCCTAGAGGGTGGAGGGAGGGCGCGCAGTCCCAGCCCAGAGCTTCAAAACAGCCCGGCGGCCTCGCCTCGCACCCCCAGCCAGTCCGTCGATCCAGCTGCCAGCGCAGCCGCCAGCGCCGGGTGAGTTGTGGGCGCACCCAGGGCGCGGGGCGACATCGGGGGGGCCCCGGGATCGTGTACGCCCGGGCAGCAGGGACGCGACCCCTCCACTTACTGGACCGGGAGCAGCCCCCGGAATTGGTGACAGTAACGGGAGGGCCGAGGTGCCACCCATGCCGCCGACCTCTGGTCTGCGCCACGCTCGCTCCGGCCCCAGAATTCCACTTCGCCATCCCGGGACAGCTTCCCACGCCTTTTGAGCCGAAGCAGGCGGGAAAAGTTTGGGGAGGAGTCAGGGCGCCTCCCCTCGCCCCGCCGGACTTACACCCGGGGCTCTTGGAGTCCAGGGAGATCCCCAGGTCGCGTGAGGGATTCCCGGGCAGCGTCCCCAGACTCGCCTCGCGGGCAGGACTGGTGCGCCAGGCCGGGCCAGCGGGTCCTCCTGGGCTGCGTACCCCTCTAGGCCCCCGCCGCTGCTCCGTCGCGCCCCCGAGCGGCGAGGAGCGACTTCTTGGGGGTCAGGAACGGTGGAGGAGCCGGGAGGCGCTGCTGGGATGACACCTCTCTCCCTGCCAACTCTAGAAGGGCTTGGGGGGCTTTAAAGAGGCGAGACCGCACCCATGTGTTCCAGAGGTAGGAGAGGCTGCAGCTCGTAGTGTGTATTCTACGCCCTCCCCAAATCCAGAGATCTGAGCACGCTCCAGGGAGGTCTTTTAGGTGAAGATGTGGGGCTGGACATGGGGACTCCGAAGACACCACAGGGCAAAGCTCTCCCTCCAGGCCAGCTTCAGTTTTGGGGAAGGGAGCACTGCCCCTCCCAAGCTTTGAGGGTGTGTGTGTGTGTGTGTGTGTGTGTGTGTGCACCTTGATCTTATAATTCAGCTGTGTCTAAGTAAGGGGCTTGGAGAGGGACTTAAGAAGCCTCCAGTTCAAATACAGTGTGATTCCACTTTTATGAGACACCTAGAATAGGCAAATTTTATAGACAGAAAGTAGAATGATGGTTGCCAGGGCCTGGGGGTACCTGGGAACCGGGAGTTACTGTTTAATGGGACAGAGTTTTTCTTGGGGAGGATGAAAAAGTTTTGGGTATACATAGTGGCAATGGTTACACAGTATCGTGAAGGTATTTAATGCCACTGAGTTGTATGCTTATCATCGGTTAAAATGATGATTATGATGTTATGCATATTTTATCATAAAAATTTTTTAAAAGCCGCCTTTAGCCACCTCTGCACTCCAGTCTGAATCAGAGAGAAATCTAAGAACCGACACATTATTGCTGGGCACCTCTTCCTGGAATTCGGCCTTCAGTTAAGAAAGCTTAAAGAGGACGAGGAAGGGACGGGGTCCTGGTTTCCCAGGAGTCACACAAGGGGAAGGATGGCGACCTGAGCTGCTGGAGGTTTGCAGTTGGCTGGTGCTCGCCCTCCATCTCCGTTTCTCCCTGGGAGCCTCACCCCTGAGCTGTTTCCAGCACGCTCTCCTGTTGCAAGTGGGGAAACAGGCTAGAGATCTAAGTCGGTTTGCTCAAGGCCACTGAGCTGGTAAATGCAAAGAACTAGACCTTGAACCTCCATCTGCCTCCCAAGCCCTCCCCTTCTTTCCACCTGGAGATGCCCTGCTGGTTTGCAGGGAATGAGGGGAGACCCTTCTGGGGAAAACAGGGCGTGGATGCCCACGGGGGCCTTGGCAAATGCCAAGACTACAGCCCAGGGAGAGGCGTGGAGGTGGCAGGAAGGTGCAGAACCTGTTTTCCCACTGAGGGTTTTTGGATCTCACCACCTCCATCCCATGGGGAGCCAGGGAGTCGAGTAGGAGGCAGAGGGCTGGCCACATAGCCTGGAGCCTCCTCTGCCCCTCAAGTGGAGAGATTGAGGTGCGCCTGAAATCCAGAGAATGTGTTTGTGTTGGAAACCACGGAGTCGACCAGCTGAGTGGGTGAGGGCAGGGCCAGGCGGAAGCGTCCCTGTGAGGAGGGTGAGGCTTGGGGCTGACACTGCCCCACCTCGGGCTGGAGGAGGGGGTGCACCCGCTCTGGCTGGCACCACCCCAGATTAGGGTCTAGCTAATGAGGGGCTAAAAGGGCTTGGTGGCGTTTTATTGTGGCTATGGAGCACATCCATTTAGCAAACCGCCCCCGCTTCTCCACCCTCACCCCAGTAATGGCACTTAAATCCTTTCTTCCTGGAACGGAAGTGAATGTTTCACCTCAGTATCTTTTCTCTGCCTCTCACATAATATCTTCGTAGTAGGAGCTAAAACCACATGCATATGTGCACAGACTCCCCAATTTCCCGCAACAGGTAATTAACAGGGAGGATCAACCAGCCCATTTTTCACCCTAGGCATAGAGTGACACTCTCCTGCCCTCGCCTCTGCTATACAGCCTTCCAGGTCAGTGAGGGCACAGCAAAGGCCACTTCTTTGTCATAGTAAACTCCGCCAGACGGGACCAGGAAGGGAAGTCTGTCGAGATGAAAATATATAAATGTCCTTCCAGGCCAGATGGGCTGGCGCTGGACTGCTGGCTGCTTGGCGAGGTTTGTTTGGGAAGCAGATGTCCAGCCTCCCTCCTTTTGCCGGGAGGGGGGGGTCAGATAATTGTGTGTGGGGGGGTGGGGGGGACAACATGTGGCTGCTTCCCAGCTCTGTGGCCAAGTGGGGACTCTGACGCGGGCTACAGGGGCTAAGGTGGGGACAGGGCAGGGCTCTCCAGCCACGGGAGTTCCAGAGGGGAGGCGGTGACGTTACTTACCCAAAGGTGGGGTGGGGCCCAGGCACTGGGATTAAGGGAGCAGATCTCTCCCAGAGGAGAGAGTTAAAGGCCAGCCTCGGGATGCCTGTGCAGGAGGGGTGTGTGTGTGTGTCCGGGTGTCTCAGGAGGGCAGGTGATTGGCAGCAGCAGCTGGAATGAAGGAAGAGGGCAGTTGGCATCATAGAAGGGATGGAGGCCTGACTCTTGGACGATGGCCTCAGCATGTGCAGGGAAGGAATGGGGATTGGTGTGGTGGTGACAGGCAGAGCAGTCTCCCCTTCTCACCCCAGGAGTGGTGAAGCCTGGCTCCCTGCAGAAGTTAGCCAAAGAATGCAATTTCAGCAGCACTGTGGCAGGAATCAGATGCATCTGGCTCTTGTTAGGGACAGGCCAGGGGGGAGTCTAAAAATATCAGAGGCAGAGCTGCCACCCAGCGAGAGAGTGCCGGGCTGGTAACCTGACACCTGAGCAGAGGCTGGTGGTGGTGATGAGGGCACCTGTCCTGCACGGCTCCAGAGGTACTCATGCTCCTTCAGGTGCCTGAAAGGGTGAGAGCTCACTGCATTCGGGACAGCCCTGGGCTAAGATTGGAGAATTTCAGGGCATAAGGACCTTAGAAGTCCCAGTATGACACTGACAGCTAGGGACACTCAGAGAGGTGGAGTGACTTGCCCAGGTCACACAGCAATTTGGCAGCCGACCCAGGACTAGATCTAGGCCACAGCTGAGGGGAGTTCAGTGGGATTCCAGGCCCAGGTCCCCAGGGCCTGGGACCCTTATAGCACGTGTCATCTGTCCAGGAGGCTGGATTTCCGTGCTCCCGTGCTGATGGGACAATGGTGAGCAAGAGCTCCGCTCAGGCAGTAGGTCACTTCCCACTGAGCACTGGGTCGCTCCCGGGCAAAGCTGTTGAACCCTGGGAATGCTGGCCCATCTTGGGGCGGGATATAGGGAGGAAGGAGGCTGGAGGAGAACTGGCCAAATGAGTCCCTCCCTCCTTCCCGTGCAGAGACACTGTTGGTTTTGTTCATGCAGTATCTCCGGTGCTTAATGAGTAGCTGCTAAAGTGAATAATTGAATTCCTGGGGCCCTCATCTTCCTTGGCAAGCTGGGCTTCTGTTGATCTAAAAGGGACTGAGGATGAAGAAGAGACTTCTCCGGTTCCTGCTCTTTAGGGACAGGCTAGATGACATCAGCTTCTAGAAGCTTCCTGGAACTCTGGGTCCAGAGCTGAGGGAGGGGTCACCAGGGTGATATTTGACACCATGATTGTCCTGAGAAATCTAGGATGCAAAATCGCCATCACCATGCAGGATATACAGACAGACAAGCCAAGCGTCTCAGTGCAGACCGCTCATAGTCTTAAGATCAAGCAAGTTTTTCCCAATAGCAAAGTCGTGCACTTTGAAGATTTCTCTTTTGATGACCTGATCACAAACTTCTCTGAACTGTCTTTCCTCAAAATGCAATGAATTTAAGAAATTTGCAGTGAATAAATAAGAACCAAAGTTTTTTTGTTGATCTTATGAATGTTTTCCAAAATGTGTTACCACTGGTGGCACACAAGATAATTCTCAAAGGCCCATGGCATAAAAACAGAAAAGAATAATTATGTCTTCTTCTTGATTGGTATTGGGGGAAAAAATGTAAGTAGCACACAAACCCATGGTTTCACAGATACTTCTGCTTGGGTTGAAACAAAAGTTGATCCTGTAAACTTTAAAACATTTTAAGATACTCAAAGAATTTAGTTAATAAGCACAGTGGTCCTTGCTTTTGGCAAAAATCTGAGTACTAGAGTGCCTGCTTTTGGGGAGATGGCTTTATAAGAGGGCCTGGGATGGACGTGTCACACTTTTTGGAAACATGACTCATCCTGAAATATCTGAGAGCTTCCAGACCAAGCCCTTCTTTTGCAAAGAGGCCCCTATGTTCAGCTTCAGACCGAGACCTGCAACTTAGCTTCCAGGGGAGTCCCTTCATCTTTAATGAGGGTCATGATTCCACTCTGATGACCTTTGCCAGCTGTCTGTGGATCAGAAGAGATGATATATTGATGCACATGGAAGTGGCTTGATTTGTTTGTGGTTTGCTTGAACCAAAGGAAGGCTGAGGGAGAGGCTGGCTTCCTCACTTTAATCTTGATGGGTTATTATTAAGCAACTCTGTGCAGTGAGCTGCTGCAGGCTTTGGCAATACAGTGGGGAATTTTCCTGTCTTCAGAGGAGGTTATCATCTAGCGATGGGGGTGACAAGTCCAAGAATGCAAGCTCCTCACGCCTGTAATCCCAGAACTTTGGGAGGCCGAGGTAGGTGGATCACGAGGTCAGGAGATCGAGACCATCCTGGCTAACACAATGAAGCCCTGTCTCTACTAAAATTACAAAAAAATTAGCCCGGTGTGGTGGCGGGCGCCTGTAGTCCCAGCTACTTGGGAGGCTGAGGCAGGAAAATGGCGTGAACCCGGGAGGCGGAGCTTGCAGTGAGCCAAGATCACGCCACTGCACTCCAGCCTGGGCGACGGAGCGAGACTCTGTCTCAAAAAAAAAAAAAAAAAAAAAAAAAAAAAAAAAAGAATGCAAGCTCCAGGACCAAGGCCACCAGATGTGGTTTCAGGGAAGCCCACCATATGTGGTGTGCAAAGGTTTCCTTAAGCCTGTAGTGTTGGAGATGGGCTTGGGAGGATATTTCAAATTCCCCAAGCAGTGATGGTTTCAGAAAGTTCAGGCAACAAGGAACAGTGAGAGAGTAGGCAGAGGTTAGCTGGATGTGGTGGCACATACCTGTATTCCCAGCTACTCAGGAGGCTGAGGCGGGAGGATTGCTTGAGCCCAGGGCTTCGAGGCTGCCACTTCAAGTCTGCTGCCACTTTGAGGATGCAGTGAGCTATGATTGTTCCACGTACTCCAGCCTGGGAGACAGAGTGAAACCCATCTCTTAAATTAAGAGAAATACATATATGGGCCGGGCACGGTGGCTCACGCCTATAATCCCAGCACTTTGGGAGGCTGAGGTGGGTGGATGGTGAGGTCAGGAGATCGAGACCATCCTGGCTAACATGGTGAAACCCTGTCTCTACTAAAAATACAAAAAATTAGCCGGCATGGTGGCACACACCTGTAGTCCCAGCTACTTGGGAGGCTGAGGCAGGAGAATGGTGTGAACCCAGAGCTTGCAGTGAGCCGAGATTGTGCCATTGCACTGCAGCCTGGGTGACAGAGCGAGACTCCATCTCAAAAAAAAAAATGTATAATTTTTAAAAAGAAAAGGCAGAGATTGCGAGCAGGGACCCTGCTGGAGGAGCAGTGGGTGCATGGTTTGTCTTCAGTGCTGAGTGTATGAAGGGAGGGAGATGGAGCAGGGAGGGATGAGGGGGGGCCACAGTGTGAAGTGGGCTTCCCTTCCACATCCCCAAGAACCTGGCTAAGGAGGCAGGCGTGAGGATGCTCACGGAGCATTATTGGAATAGAATATCCAATGATAGGTGAGAAATAGAGAAAAGGAAAAGTGGAAGCAACCTAAATATCCATCAGCCATTTTGCAGAGTATTTTACTGCAGTTAAAAAGAACAAGGGGCCGGGCGCAGTAGCTCACGCCTCTAATCCCAGCACTTTGGGAGGCCAAGGCAGGCAGATCACTTGAGTTCAGGAGTTCAAGATCAGCCTGGCCAATATAGTGAAACCCCATCTCTACCAAAAATACAAAAATTAGTTGGGCTTGGTGGTGTGCACCTGTAATCCCAGCTACTTGGGAGGCTGAGGCACAAGAATCGCTTGAACCCAGGAGATGGGGGTGGCAGTGAGCCGAGATCATGCCACTGCACTCCAGCCTGGGTGACAGAGCAAGACTCTGTCTCAAAAAAAAAAAAAAAAAAAAAAAAAGGTTTATCCATTGTACCCATATGGAAAGAGCTTTATGGCATTACTGAGTTTAAAAAAAGAACAACCAGGAGAAGTATATGTGGAAAAGTGTATTATTCATATAAACATAAACAGAAATTCTTGTTGTATTTTCTGTGGCCTCACATGTTTATACGAGGAACAATGTCTGGAAGGAGACATCGGAGTAGGTCCATGTGGTTGTCTCTGATGGGGTGGTAGGGAAGGAACTGGATTGAAAGGATACAATCTTATCTCAAGCCTTATCTGTAACCAAGAGAGTATCTTCAGGAATTACTGACTTCAATAATAATGCCCTCATTTTCCCTGAGCTTGGTAAGCAATGGAGGTTGTGCAGGTGTGAGGATGGGGAGAGATGATGCCTTTGGCTGTGGGGGGTCAGAGACTCCATGGATGGACCAGTTAGGGACTGTTTTGAAAATCCAGAGACAAGGAAATGATGACCAGTGTGAGCAGGTGTCATCCAGTCCACATGGAGCATCCCCCTTGGAACATCACATTGCAGATGCCAATGAACATAATGTGTTTCCAGTCTGGATGCTGTTCATGGGGGTTAACCGTGGCCAGGTGTGGTGGCTCAGGCCTGTAATTTTAGAATTTTGGGAGGGTTAGGCAGGAGGATTGCTTGAGCACAGGAGTTTTGAGACCAGCCTGGGCAACATAATGAGACCCTGTCTCTACAAAAAAATAGCAAAATTAGCCAGGCATGGTGACACACACCTGTAGCCCCAGCTGCTCTGAAGGCTGAGGTGGGAGGATCGCTTGAGTCCAGGAGTTTGAGGCTGCAGTGAGCTGAGATTGTGCCACTGCACCCTAGCCTGGGTGACAGAGCAAGACCCCATCTCTTAAAATAAAAACAAAAAAAGCCAAAATAAACCCATGCTGACCACTCCCTTTCACTGTGAAGTGAGGGTTCTGTTTCTCTCATAGAACTGATGGAGGAGATGCTTTGGGGTCCCAGTTGTCTTATAGTGGACATTTGTCTTTGGAATGGGGATGGGAGCTTCTCTAACTCATCACAGTTTTCCAGCCTTGAGGTCCTCATCCGTCCCAGAATGAGTGCTTAGTAACTGTGGCATGAATAACATGGTGTCTGCTGAGGGGTGACAGGTGCATTCTGAAGACAGTAGGCAGATGCCAGTGGGATCAGAGAATTGGATTGCGGGGTGCTACAGGTGGGCTGTGTACAGACATGTGGAGGGTCGAGGAGGTGCTATTTGGAAACTAACTCCCAGGCTGTGACATTTATTCTGGAGATAATCCTTAATACCTGAACTTGGGAGTTCTGTGACAGGTCATCTATCCTGATTTATTCCTCACGTGTTCATTCTAATATTTATTGGCCGCTTACTATGTGCCGGGTAGTGAACAAAGATGGACTCGGCCCCTGTAATGGAATTTATCTAGCAGTGGATGGAAGATCATCTGTGGGAGGGTCAAGAGAAACCTAAATCTTTTTTTTTTTTGAGACAGGATCTCGCTGGGTCACCCAGGCTGGAGTGTAGTGGTGCAGTCACAGCTCACGGCAGCCGCGAACACCTGGGCTCAAGTGATCCTCTGTCCTCAGCCTCCTGAGTAGCTGGGACCACAGGTGCACCCAGCTAATTTTTAAATTTTTTGTAGAGACTGGGGTCTTGCTTTGTCACCCAGGCAGCTCTCGAATTCCTGGCCTCAAGTGATCCTCCCTCCTCAGCCTCCCAAAGTGCTGGGATTACAGGCATGAACCACTGTGCCCAGCTGCAACCTAAATCTTTTAAGGGTCTTTGCCCTTGTCTGTCTAGGGTACAGAAGAAAAATGAAAAATTCCCTCTTTCTCCTGCTCCCTCATTGACTTTTTTGAATATATTTAGATCATCAGGTGATATGATGTTTTGAGTAAAATGTGGCCAGGGAGCCTTGAGTCCTCTCTCTTATTAATGTGGAAAGTGCCTTGAAATTCAGATGGATGGTCATGAGCCCTAAAGCCCAGGGCCTAGAGCCCAGGAGAGGCTGACAGCAGTGGACCAGGCTGGTGTTTGAGCCAACAGTGGTGGCCTCTCAGTATACACCACTACCGCCCATCACTGGCTTACAGTGGAAGCCTGGAGCAGTCCTCTGTCTCTTCATGCAAACCTTCAGTCCTTCTGGAATCCATCCCCTCTCTTCATCTCAGTGGCTTCTATCTTGGTCCAGACCGCTGCCATCTTTTGCCTTGACAATTGCACAAGCTCCATGACCTGTATCCCTGCAGCCACTATGGCCTTGCAGTCCGTTTCCCATACGTATCCAGAAGGATCTGATAGAGACACAAAGCTGACCAAGTCACTCTTCCCCTGCCCCACTTAAAATTCTTCAGTAGTTTCAACTGCTCCTAAGCAAAAACCAGGCCTTACATGATCTGACTCAGAGGTCCTTGGCTGACTGACCTTCCGAATCTCCTGGGGAATCTGGATAGAATGCTGATTTCCTGTCCCCACCTGAAAGTAATGATATCAGAATCTCTGGAGGCAGGGGCCAGGGCACAGGGGTTTAAGGTGCCCCCAGTGTGGTTGGTGGTGAGACGTACTGGTCTAACCCCTTCTCTGGACTCATCACTCTCCCCTGTTGCTTTCTCCTCTAGCCCACTCTTTTTTCTTAGTTCCTGCAACTCTTTTTTTTTTTTTTTTTTTTTTTTTTTTGAGACGGAGTCTTGCTCTGTCACCAGGCTGGAGTGCAGTGGCGCGATCTCAGCTCACTGCAGCCGCCGACTCCCTGGTTCAAGCGATTCTCCTGCCTAAGCCTCCAAAGTAGCTGGGACTACAGGTGCACACCACCACGCCCAGCTAATTTTTGTATTTTTAGTAGAGGCAGGGTTTCACCGTGTTGGCCAGGCTGGTTTCTATCTCTTGACCTCATGATCCACCCGCCTCAGCCTCCCAAAGTGCTGGGATTACAGGCATGAGCCACCGGCCCCTGCCAGTTCCTGCAACTCTTAATCCTCTCTCACCACTGCTTCTACCTGCTCTTTCCCTCGCCCTTCTTCTTCTTCCACATTGCCTTCCTCTTTCTGTCCAGCTAATTCTTTATCCTTTAAGACCTTTAAGACTCATACCAGGCCAGGCATGGTGGCTCATGCCTATAATCCCAGCACTTTGGAAGGCCGAGGCAGGAGGATCGCTTCAGGCCAGGAGTTTGAGACCAGCCTGGGCAACATAGTGAGACCCCATCTCTACAAAAAAATAAAATAAAAATTAGCCAGCCAGATGTGGTAGCTCATGCCTGTAATCCCAGCACTTTGGGAGGCCGAGGTGGGTGGATCACTTGAAGTTAGGAGTTCGAGACCAGCCTGGCCAATGTAAAGAAACCCTGTTTCTACTAAAAATACAAAAATTAGCCAGGTGTGGTGGCACATGCCTGTAGTCCCAGCTACTTGGGAGGCTGAGGCAGGAGAATTGCTTGAATTCAAGAGGCAGACGTGACGGTGAGTTGAGATCACGCCACTGCATTCAAGCTCTGGGTGACGGGGCAAGACTCTGTCTCAAAAAATAAAATAAAATAAACATTAGCTGGGTGTGGTGGTGTGCACCTGTCGTCCTAGGTACTCCAGAGGCTAAGGTGGGAGGATTGCTTGAGGCTAGGAATTCAAGGCTACAGTGAGCTGTGATTGCACCACTGCACTCCAGCCTGGGTGACAGAGTGAGACTCTGTCTTTAAAAAAAAAAAAAAAAAAGCCACCATTTTTTCAGGGACACTTTCTAGCCCTAAGTTAAGTCAGGTTTTCTCCTCTGCCATTAGTTCTGATGGTATTTGTTTAAGCCCAGCAAGAGCTGGCAGGCACAGGGACCATCGCTTCCTATCTGATAGTTCACCAGGGCACCCCGGTAACCATCGCGATGTATCCCCAGTGTCTCAGCAGACCCAGGGGAGGAGTGGGAGAAGGGAGGCTTGGGTGAGCATTGAAGGGGAGGCTGCAAGGGCAGGGGGTTTGGAAGCCCTGAGAAGTCACTAGGGTCAGGGCGGCTGCTCCCTCTCCCTCCTGCAGTTGGCTCTGTCTGGAGCCACATCAGGCCCGAGTGGCATGATCAGCATCCGTTTATACCAGTGTGACATGGGGTCACATTCTTCCCAGACCAGAGCCTGAGAGAGGCTTAATCATCGACACACCCAGAGTGGGGTCTGCATGCACGCAGGCATTTGGAAATGACTCCTGTAGCATACAGGCGATGTTAAAGACTGTATTATGCTCGTGTTCATTTCAGTGTATTACTTAAATGTCCCTTGGCAAGTGATGCTGATTTTCCATTTACAGCGTAATGCATGTTTAAAAATGAATCGGGCTGGGTGTGGTGGCTCATGCCTGTAAACTCAGCACTTTGGGAGGTTGAGGTGAGAGGATCACTTGAGCCCAGGAGTTCAAGACTAGTTCAAGGAACATAGGGAGACCCCCATCTGTACAAAAAATAAAAAAATTACCCAGGTATGGTGGCATGCACCTGTAGGAGGCTGAGGCAAAAGGATCACCTGAGCCCAGGAGGTCAAGGCTGCAGCAAGCTGTGATCATGCCACTGCATTCCAGCCTGGGCAGCAGAGCGAGACCCTGTTTTAAAAACAAAAAACAAAACAGAATAAATATTTTAAAAATGAATCAATTTAAGCTTAATGTGTTTTAAGGAAAACTGTTGAATAGTGAGTAGAACAGGTGGTGCACCCACAGAAATGATCACAGTGGTGTGATTGACACTGAGGGCCTACCCAGGTCCCATTTGCTGGATCATGTACTCATCACCTCCAGCTGTCATGAGTGCAGGCTTCGAATGAATTTCTTCTTGGTTTCACCCAAGAGTATACCTTAGAAAATTCCTAGCACAGCTGGGCGCGGTGGCTCACGCCTGTAATCCCAACCCTTTGGGAGGCCAAGGTGGGTGGATCACCTGAGGTCAGGAGTTCTAGACCAGCCTGGCCAACATGGCGAAACCCCATCTCTACTAAAAATACAAAAAATTAGCCTGGCGTGGTGGCAGGCGCATGTAATCCCAGCTACTCAGGAGGCTGAGGCAGAAGAATTGCTTGAACCCGGGAGGCAGAGGTTGCAGTGAGCCGACATTGCGCCACTGTACTCCAGCTTGGGTGACACGAGTGAAATTCCATCTCAAAAAAAAAAAAAAAAAAAAAAAGAAAATCCTAGCACAAGAATCCACACCCCTCCCTTTGCTTCTAGGTAACTGGACCTAAGGCAGTGATGCTCAGGGAATGCAGCTTTAATCCGACCGTCCTCTTGGTCTCTGTCGGAGGAACTGTGGGCCCAGTGAGCAGGTGCCACTTGCCCCAGGTTACCCTGTGACACCCTGGCAGGGCCAGTTGGAGGAAACAAAAGATAAAGATGTACCAACGACTTTTCTTCAATCACTGGTGTGTTAGTGGGACAGGATTTGCCACTCTAGCAGCAGGGTCTTGGTGTTGGGAAAATAAGTCTGTTCTTTTTCCCAGGAGGCATCGTGAAAAAAGCATTTAGTTCTCTCTCTGGAACCAAGCAATCTGAGAGGCACCTGTGAATACACATGTAAATATATAATAATACATAAATATATACATATATAAAATACATATATTGGTGTATATGCTATACTTGACCTCAATTCACCAGGAACGTGAGGCAGCTGGTGCTTTGAATGTTTTCATTTAAGGACCAAGGGAAGTGGTTTGCAAACCTTGCTGTTTATTGGAATCACTGGGCATCTTTTAGCACCTATTGGTGGGGGCTGTCCCCAGAGGTTCTGATTTAATTGGTTTAGAGTAAAGCCCCAATGGTGTGCCCTTCTACTTCCTGCAGCCTGATTTTTCTGCAGCCCTGGTATTGCTGTAAATTGATCATGGCTAAGCCTTTGCTGTGTTTTCTGTGTCTGTCTTCCTTTATTCTATAGCTCTGGGCTTCCTGAGGCAAGACGGTGGTGAAGGGTATGAGTGTTCCACTCCCAGCTCTGCCACTTACTGGGGGTGTGACCTTTGACAAGCTACCTAACCTCGCTACCCCTCCGTTTTCTCATCTATAAAATGGGGATTGCAGTGAACCCAAGCAGACAATATTCTGGTGGAGACTATCTCCAATGCCTCAATTCTTCCATTTCCCCCTTGCTTTAGTGGTATTTCATGCTGCTCACAGCGGGAGTCCATGTACAACCCTGGGAGGATGTGAATCAAGGAGAGCTTTGGTTTGCTGTATGAGGGTGTTACGGCCCTGGCAGTCCTCTTTGGGGAAACCCGAGTCTCTCCACTTTGCCTTTTCCTCAGGGGGTCTTAGGGCTCCTAGAGAACCAGTGTCCCATCCTGCTAAAGCCCCACCTTGGACTTGACCCTCCACACCTGGCCTTACCTTGAGCTTCCTGGCCCTCCCTGGGCTGTGGAACGAATGCCTGGCTCACCCACCTTGGTGTGTTCCAGAGCCTGGTCTAAGCCCCTGCTCCCCCTGCCCCAAGCATCCTCATTGTGTTTTTACCACAGTTTGCAAGCAGATCATGAGCCATGGAATTATTCATGCTCCCTGCCCTCAGAGGAGTCAGAGAGCTGGAGGCCATGGGGCTGCCAAGGGGAAGAGAATGCTATATTGTCATCTCAAGGCTTGAGGCTTCTTGGCGAGACCTGGAGTGGGGAGGAAAACACTCTTGAAAACAGCATCCCTCACTCCACTGATAATGACTTAATATCTGCTGTGGACCAGGCACTGTGCTGGGCACGGGGACAGAGCAGTGATGAGACCGACATAAATCCCTGCCCGCTGGGAGCTTCCATTCCAGACAGCAAGACAGAAAAAAGAAGTGCACAGCGATACATAAGAAAATGGCAGATAATGTTTAGTGCTTCAAGAGCTGAAGGCAGGCAGATCACGTAGACTAGAAAAGTTGGGGAGGCTTCTCTGCTGACTTAGGAGTTGGGGCTGAATGAAGAGAAGAAGTCAATTACACCAAGATCTAAGAACATTCCAGAAAGAGGGATACGCACATGCAAAGGTCCACTACTCTGAGGGGTGGGAGGTGAGCTTGGTTTGTTGGGGACAAAGAAGGGGCACTGGTTTGAGGCATGAAACCAACCTGACAGTTTTTTTTTAGCTCTCTGTGAGGGCCGCCACCTTGTGGTCCATGTCTTTCTGTCCTCCCACAGTGCCTGCAAAGAGCCTCGCATGCTCTGTGTACTCAGCGAACACACTGATGGACAGGTAGTCACCTGTGAAAATGGTGACACACACGCCCCACCTCTTGGGGCATTCAGAGAAGTGGAGAACTGACTTCGTGGTTGGAGACCACTGAAGACAGAACTGGAATCAGTGGAAGAGAGATCCCTGTTTAATGCTGTTTTCTGCACAGTGGGATTCATGATGCTGGGGTGATTTTAGATAGCTCTGTCATCACATGACATTAAATCACTGGTGGGAAAGCGATTCCCTTTTCAGTTCTCTTTCAGTTCTTCTGATTTCATCAAGGGGGGAGTCTTAGCTGAGGCTAAGGTGTTTAGTGCCTCTTTAACTCTAGTTTCCCCTCTTTAACTTAGAGCAGGTCTGCAGCTTAGTTCCTATGGCAGGCAACAGCCTTGAACCAGAATTTGTGAACTTTAGGGGCAGGGGGTATTTGTTTTCACAATTAATTTCTATTTATGGCAAATGATGCTGATTTTCCATTCCCAGGGATCCAAAAGATTTCTTTTTAAAATACATTTATTTATGTTAGAAAGTGGGTTAAGGACAATTATGAAGGAAAATCTTTCAGCTGTACTCGAGAAGGTGGTAGACAAATGACTGAAGTTTGGGAACCCTTGTTCTGAAGCTTAGGGTCCGGTAATCAGATGTGGTCTTGGCAATGGTGAGGTCCCCAGTCCCGGGGCATGTTCAGATGGAAACTGGATGCTAGAAAAATAATCCAGGCAGAGGCTGGGGGTGGTGTGTTCTCATGGTCACACCAGCGCCTTTCAGCTGAGACTGCATGAGTGCGTGATTCTCTTTGTGTTGAGTCAGTTTCCCAGTTGCACAGCCGCACAATGTCATTGAGCAGATGCAATATCATCAGAAGCACTCCAGTGGGACAGGCAAGGGGTTGGGAGATTGTCTTTCTTTCCAGCATGGCCACCTCATAGCCCCCTAGGCATGCTAGTAGGGAAATGTTACTGTGGGATTCCAAGTGCATCGGAATGGGTTCCCATGGTGCTGGCTCAGCATCTGCCCTAGTGCTAAATTTTTCATGGTGATACCACTTCCTGTTGGATCCCTCCCCACCTCAAGTCCCTGGTTAAGGGGCTCAACCTTCCAGCTCTCAGGTTGGTGAGTCCATATGGGCTGGGTACCCTGAGAGAGTGATGCTATATTAGGGTTCTGCAGAGAAACCAAAGGGGTGCATATATATTTAGAGAGAGAGTTTGTTTTAGGGAATTTGCTCATGGGATTATGGAGGCTGGCAAGTTCAAAATCTGCAGGGCGGGCCAGCAGGCTTGGAGACCCATGGATGAGCTGATGATGTAGTTCAAGTCTGAAGGTCATTTGCTGGCAGAATTCCTTCTTGTTCCGAGGAAGTCAGCCTTTTGTTCTACCAGGCCTTCAACTGATTGGATGAGGCATAGCCCGTTAGGGAGGGCAATCTGCTTGACTCAGAGTCCACTGATTCAAATGTGAATCTCATCCCAAAGCACCTTCACAGAAACATTGTGACCCAGACAAGTTGACGCATTAAGTGAACTATCTGAGATGCTTTCGTTGGACCAGACACATAGCATTAAGTAACATAGAATCCTTTTCAAATCACTCCCTTTTAAATTCTCTTTCACCTCTTCAAAGAGGAAATCTCAGTTTTGTGCGAATATGACTTTAAAACTTCCCAAACATGAGTGACATCCTGTTTTAGCAAAGAAATAGAAACCCAGTCTTGGACTTGGAGCTTTTGAGCAGCAAGAGCTTGGAGCTGGAATTTAATAACAATGTTTTGTTTTCATTGTGTTTATTTTTTCCAGCACCTTCTATTTATGGCAGGTGATGCTGACTTTCCATCTCATTTGCGATATAAGGTTGCCTTTTATAAAAATATAAGTTTAAAAAGTGAGTAAGCTAAACAGGAATGGCAGATTTGGGGAAATGTCGACATAAGCGTTGCTGGGACAGTGCCTGAAATGTCTCCTACTTGTCCACATGCCCCGAGCTGCCTGTTTGCATTTCCTTCCCTCCTGGAGGCTGCCCTGGTGGTTTATTTCCATTTGGTGGCTTCCTTTCTGAGAATGGTGGTGGTGGATGGGAGGAGAGAACACTGGCTTTCTGGGGAAGAAAAAGGCCTGGGGGTATCTATTCTATGACAGATTCCTTGACTACGATGCTGGTGATGATTGATAATGAGGTAGGAGGTGGGACTGGGAGGTAGGGCCCACATATCAGACCACCAAACTAGCTAAAATAGGGACAGGGCAGAATTACCTTTTTTTTTTTTTTTTTTTTTGAGACAGAGTCTCACTCTGTCGCTGAGGCTGGAGTGCAGTGGCGCAATCTCAGCTCACTGCAACCTCCACCTCCCAGGTTCAAGCAATTCTCCTGCCTCAGCCTCCCAAGTAGCTGGGATTACAGGTGCCTGCCACCACACCCAGCTAATTTTTATATTTTTAGCAGAGACAGGGTTTCACCATGTTGGCCAGGCTGGTCTTGAACTTCTGACCTCAGGTGATCCACCCACCTCGACCTACCAAAATGTTGGGATTACAGGCGTGAGCCACTGTGCCTGGCCAGAATTACCTTTCCATAAGACATGTCCACACAGAAGTGACTGCACCTTTCCATGGCAACTGCCTGATGCCTCACTTTTCCTAGAAATTTATGCATAACCCACTCCCTAATTTGCATATACTTAAAAGTGGTGAACTACCTCCAGGCATACTGCCTATGGGGTAGCCCTGCTCCCCAAGGAGCAGTCCCTCTGCTGCTGTTGTACATTGCCACTTCAAGAAAAGTTGCTAACACCACTGGTTCACCCTTGAATTCTTTCCTGGGTGAAGCCAAGAACCCTCCTGGGTGAAGCCCCAATTTGGGGGCTCGCCTGCCCTGTGTCAGTAACACTTCATAGCATTTGCTACATGCCAGATGCTGTTCTAACTACT
Organism: Homo sapiens; assembly: GCF_000001405.40. Lineage (NCBI taxonomy): Eukaryota > Metazoa > Chordata > Mammalia > Primates > Hominidae > Homo > Homo sapiens. Next base: position 10,563,838 of record NC_000016.10, on the reverse strand, counting down.
TTCACTTCATTATCTCCCAACAGTCCAAGGGGTAGGGATACCAATGTCATCCCCACTTTAGAGTGGAGAAATAGGGACACTGAGTGGTTGCTAGTCTACAGTCCAGTCAGTCTGGCTCAAGTCTGTGCTCTTACCTCATTTCACTCAAATTACTTCCTGCTCATCTTCTACCCTGTGACCCCTTCCTATGTTAACTTCCACGTTAACCAGGTGGGGTCCTGGTTTCCTAGTCTTGAGACTCCTTGGGCCTGGCTGAGTTGTCGACAGTGATGTACAGTCTTTAACTCGCCAGCAAAGATCCATCTATAAAAATGATAGGTCTTGTCACTTATGAAAGAGGAAAAAGTAGCTGGGTGCAGTGGATCATGCCTATAATCCCAGCACTTTGGGAGACCAAGGCAGGTGGATCATTTGAGGTCAGGAGTTTGAGAACAGCCTGGCCAACATGGTGAAACCCCATCTCTACTGAAAATACAAAAATTAGCTGGATGTGGTGGTGCATGCCTGTAGTTCCAGCTACTTGGGAGACTGAGGCAGGAGAATCACTTGAATGCAGGAGACAGAGGTTGCAGTGAGCTGAGATCGTGCCACTGCACTCCAGCCTGGGTGACAGAGTGAGACTCCATCTCAAAATAATAATAATAATAATAATAAAGAGGAAATGCTGTTAAACCAAGAGTGACTGATGGGCCTGGGGATTACTTGAAAGTCACCAAGACAAGGTGCTCTGTGAAGGAAAGAATATTCCTAAACTAATGGGTGTGAGGCTGGGGAACACCCTGCATTTGACACCTGCCTCACCCCGAGCAACGTAATCCACATCAACCTCACTCTCATGCTGACATGCTGTGTGCCTGTAGGTATATCATTAACCCTCTCTGGGCTGCAGTGTGGTTTTACTGGGTAGCATAATTATAGGAGCTCCTTGGATGACAGCAGCCAGCAGTGAGCTCTTTAATTGACAGGGTCAGGCAGCAGTCATTGGCAGGATGGCAGTTATTAGCTGCTCTGTGAAAGCTGCACAAACTAGCAAACATTTAACAAGTATTTGCTGAGCAACCTTGGGCACTGGGGAAGGTCAGTGAGTCATAGTTTCTGTACTTGAGGAACTCTAAATCTAATACAGCAGTATCTCCACTGTATCAGTTAGCTCTTGCTGGGTAACAAACCACCCCAGAATGTAATGGCTTAAAATAGAAAACACTGATTTTGTTCATGATTCTATAGATGGGGAATTTGGGCTGAGCTCAGCTGGGTGGTTTTTCTGATTTCAGCTGGGCTCATTCATGTGTCTGTGGTCAGCTAGTGGGTCAGCTGGGGGCTGGCTGGTCTAGGGTGTCCTTCACTGGTAAACCTTGTCTGTCTTCCAAGTGGCATCTTATCTTCCAGCAAGCCAGCCTGGGCTTGTTCACACAGTTACTGGGCAGAGAGATAGAGATAGAGAGAGAGAGATAGATAGAGAGAGAGAGAGAGAGAGAGAGAGAGAGAGAGAGAGAGAGAGAACATGCATGAGGCTTCTTGAGGCTTTGGCCCAGAATTGGCACAATGTCACACTTCTGCCACCTTTTATTGATAAAAAAATCACAAGGCCAGCTGGGCATCAGCAGGTGGAGAAATAGATTGGATTGTACCTCTTGATGGGAGGATTTGATCTGCTAAAATTTTGTTTAATTTTTTTTTCACTCATGCACATGTGGGATATTGGTCTGTCTTTCCTTTCTTGTGTAATGTCTTTGTCTGGTTTTGGAATCAAGGCAATGCTGGCCTCACAGAATGAGGTGGGGTGTCCCCTTCTCTTCAATTTCCTGGAACAGTTTGTTTAGAATTGGTATTATTCTTCCTTAAGTGTTTGGCAGAATTCACCCATGAAGCCATCTGGGCCTGGAGTTTCCTCCATGAGAAGAGACTCCAGGCCCTGGATAAACCCTTTTTTTTCTCCTTTTATTGCCAGATTTTAAATAAAAGTCTAGCTTCATTTTTCACTTGTTATTAGCCCTTTAGCTCCTTGAAATCTGGCTTCTTTAGTCATTCATTCAACACATATTCACTGAGCACCATCTATAAGGAAGACGTGTTCTAAGTGCTGTGAATACTGTCCTGCAAAAACATGCCAGGCACCTGACACTGTAGCAGGCAGATATGTAATATCCAAGTAAACAACTACAAGGCAACATCAGGCCCTGAGAGATGCTGCAGGAAGAAAAATGAAGGGCTTTAGTTCACTTCCCTAAAACTGTGGTTGCCAATTCGGCCAATGAGCTAATTCTCCCTCCTTGTCCCATTTTTCTAGTCTTTTCTCTCCTGGCTTCTGGGTCCCATCATGTGCTCTTGGTTGCCCTCCCACCTCTGTGCCCACTCCTCCGTCTCCTTCCCTGGCCTTCTCTCTTCCATCCTTTCTTCTCCCTTAATGCTTTCTCCCTGAGCAGGATTTCTCATCTACCAGTGGCTTTGTCTGCCACCTGTGTACCCATGACACCAGGATTCCTGGTTCTAGCCCGTTTTCTCCTGAGTGACAGTCCTGACTATATTTCCAACTACCTGAATGCATTTCTACCATGTCACCAATTTCTAAAACCAAATGAACTGTTTCCCTCATCCTTCAAACATGCTACTTCTGCTTCCTGTCCCAGTGCAGATCACGGCACTAGAATCATGTGCCCTCTTCCCCAGCCCATCATCAAGTCCTGTTGCTTCTGCTTCTGGAAGCTCTCTTGGCTCCCTCCCTTCTGTCCACCCCTCTGTTCCCAACTCATTTGAGACCCTCATCATTTCTCAACAGGGCTGCTCCAATAGCTTCCCCACGTTTGCCTCCTGCTACTCCATCCTTCTGACTGTGGAATGGTTTTCTTCTAGAAGCAGATCATGCCTTTTCTGCTTACAAAGCTTCCCCAGCCCCCTTGGCCTCCAGGATAACATTTGCTCTCCTTTGTGTGGTCTCCAAGGCCCTTAAGCTTCTTGGTCAGTGGAGAGTCCTGGTCCATCTTGGGGCCCAGCCCGGAACGTGCTCTCCTAAGTGTGCCACTCTGCACTGTGGGGCGTCCCGAACTCCTTGCCTGTGACACCCTCTCCCCACCACTCCGCCCATCCTTAGAGACCCAGCTCAGGTGTCGCTTCTTCCATGAAGCTTCTGATGCTGCTCCCACCCCAACACAGGGCCAATCACACCACAAGTGTCTCCCATCACGTCATATCCGTCCGTTTACACACCCTTGCCCTTTAGGGACCCGGCAGCCCCAGGGCACACAGAGCATGCCTTACTCATGCCCAGTACATAGCAGGTGCTCAATAAATGCTGGCTGAATAACTGCTTCATTTTTAAAGAACGGGCAAGGGGACAGTGATCGGAAGCCTGGGATTAGAGCCCTGGCTCTGCCACCTGCAAATTGGATGATGTGAACAAACTCCTTAACTTTGATTTCTCACCCACAAAGTGGATCACAGTCCTTGCCTGTCCTTCTGACAGGACTGTCCCCTCACTGACAGGTACTACCCTGCGTGCGGCGGTGGGAAGAGCTGTGAGCCTGGAGGACTCGGGGATGACCTGTGTTCTCTGCTTCCGTTGTCCCCAGTGTGCTTTGCAAAGCATGTTCCCAGGATGTGGGACCTGGAGGAATAACTTAGCAGTGGCCAGCATCTGAAGCTATGTGTGTGAGCCTAGGACTTTTGCTAGATCCCTGATCAGCTCTTAAAGTAACAGGACCCCAAAAGGGAAGGGAAATTCAGATTTAAGTGGGCTAGATAATGGTTTCTCTGGTGCCACGCTGCTTGGGTTCAGATGCCAGCTCCAGCTTTTACTAGCTGTGTGACATTGGGGAAGTTGTCTAACCTCTCTGGGCCTTATTTTCTTTACCTGTAAAACAAGGCTGCTGGGCACGGTGGCTCACGCCTGTAATCCCAGGACTTTGGGAGGCTGAGGCAGGCAGATCACATGAGGTCAGGAGTTCAAGACCAGCCTGGCCAACATGGTGACACTCCGTCTTTACTAAAAATACAAAAACTAGCCAGGCATGGTGGCAGGTGCCTGTAATCCCAGCTACTTGGGAGGTTGAGGCAGGAGAATTGCTTGAACCTGGAAGATGGAGGTTACAGTGAGCTGAGATCGCACCATGGCACTCTAGCCTGGGCAACACAGCGAGACTCTGTCTCAAAAAAATAAAAATAAAGCAAGGCTAATTTAAAAACCTTCATCAGAGTTGGTGAGTAATGAATAAATTAATCCAGGCAAAAGGGCTTGGAACAGTGCCTGGGACACACTAGACAACTAATGTTGGCTATCATTATTGTTGAAATTGTGGTTGTTATTATTCCAAGAGATTGGAAGACCCAGGGCTGCACAGACAGAATGATCCTCAGTGGCTTCTGCCCTGGGGCACTGCCAAATTCCAGTGTCCCGCCTGTTGCCATTTCCGGAGAGAGCCAAATGCTGACTTTGTGCCCAGAGCTCCAGCCACAGTGAGCATGGAGCTGGGCGGCCCAGGGTAAATGGGCTTCTTTCTTCCCCATGGCATCTCAGACGCCTGAATACTCCTGGCTGGCTGGTGTCCAGATACTAGGGCAGGAGGCTGGGCTGACCTCTGCCTTCCTGAAAACAGAGGCCAAAGCCACCGTCCCCTCGGAGTGCTCTGGGCAGTGGGAGGGGCCTGGGTTCTGGCCAGCCTGAGGTTGAACCACCAGCCCCGGAGCAGGCCTGGGAGTCCTTGCAGGGTGGCCTGGGTGACTGCTCACCAGCCCGGCCCTCCCCAGGGTTCTGGGCCAGAGCCTCCCTGGCCGTTGGAGCGGGAGCTGTGGGTGGAACACTTCTGAATTGGGAGATTGCCTCGGACCTCCAGACGCCGAACATCTCAGGTCTGTATTGAAAGGTTCCACACCTCGGGATTGTCCTCTTGCCTACAGTTCCGGGAAAAGGCTCCAACTCAGACTGGGAATCGGCTGTGGTTTAAATAGTAGGAAGAACTCCCGAGGGCGGGAATGGAGTTGGGCGGACGGAGCGGTCATCTTAACAGCACGTTCTCTCTCCGCGGGAAGCCAGCTGGGCTCTCTGACTCTTGTTCCCTGGCACGTAAAGGAGCATGTGCCAAAGTGACTTCCTTTGGCAACAGCAAGCAGGGGATGGGGCTCACGGGTGGAGATTCGTGGTTATTATGAAGAAGAGGACAGCAGTGGACCCTTACTCTGTCCGTGGGCAGATCCCACAGACTTTTATTTATCCACGAGAACCTCATGGTGACTTTCCACGAGCAACAGCAAACCAAATGTTGCTTCTGGAAGAGGGAGGGCCAGTGAGCCTCCAGAAGGTTGTTTGTGTTTCTCCACACCCAGAGCTAGACGTGCGACACACACACACACACACACACACACACTTTAAGCAAACATTGGACTAAGGCATAGCTGGACGGCACCTCTACTTAGGAAACAGCGAGGAGATGTCAATTCTCTTTGTTATCTGGGGTCAGGATGGACATTTCTGGGAGCACTATCCTTCTTCCTGTCAAACTGTAGAACTTGAAACTCCAGCTGGGCACCCTGGCTCATGCCTGTGATCCCAGCACTTTGGGAGGCCAAGGTGGGAGGATGGCTTGAGGCCAGGAGTTTGAGACCAGCCTGGGCAACACAGCAAGACTCCATTTCTTCAAAAAATAAAATTAGACGGGCATGGTGGTGCACAGCTGTAGTCCCAGCTACTGGGGAGGCTGAGGCAGGAGGATCGCTTGAGCCCAAAAGTTCGAGGTTGCCGTGAGCAATGTTTGAGCCACTGCACTCCAGCCTGGGCAACAGAGAGAGATCCTGTTTAAAAAAAAAAAAAAAAACTTGAAACTCACTGAGCCACAAATGTTCCACTTTGTGTGCAGAATTTCCATAACGCCACCCACAGTTCCCAGTGTCTCACCCCTTTCTCCTCCCTCTTGTTCCTCCTCCACAGCCCCACTCTCTCCAGTTCTGATGCCCGGAGGTTTCTTGTTGCTGCTTGAAAAACCCATTTGCTGTTCTTCTACCCTGGTTATGGGTTCTTTTTCCTTTAAAAAGAAACTTATGTCTGAAGTTGTAATTTCCTGTGTTCTATATTATTTTATGTGATTATTTTTATGGGTATTTCACAGAATGGGGAGTATTCAGGCCTTGAATCTGAAGACAGCTCACCATGGTATCTACAATGCATCAAATCAAGGTTGGGGCATCCAGGCCATTTAGTGTACACAGTGAGATCCACCTCACTGAGTTTCTGGATACTCAGAAAAAGTGATTCATTTAGAAGTTAATTTTGAAAAGAGAATTGAACCCATTCTACCACATGTGCTTAGTTCCTTTTAGATACCAAGGAAAAACTTTATCCATAATCCAAACCAGTCTCAAAGTTAGATCAAAAAAGACAGCAAGCGCTTCAGCTTGGCCAGTGAGCTAACAGGATGAAAAATGCAGCCAACCCTATGCAGCCTAAAGCATGGGGTTTTTTTGTTTGTTTTCTGGGTTTTTTTTTTTTTTTTGAGATGGAGTCTCACTCTGTCACCCAGGCTGGAGTGCAGTGGTGGGATCTCGGCTCAATGCAACCTCCACCTACCGGGTTCAGGCGATTCTCATGCCTCAGCCTCCCAAGTAGCTGGGACGATAGGCATCTGCCACCGTGCCTGGATAATATTTGTATTTTTAGTAGAGACAGCGTTTTGCCATGTTGGCCAGGCTAGTCTCGAACTCCTGGCCTCAAGCGATCTGCCCGCCTCAGCCTCCCAAAGTGCTGGGATTATAGCCATGAGCCACTGCACCCAGCCTAAAGCACGATTCTTTTTTAGGCCCTCTCTTAATTAGCCCAGTCATCCCTCAACCTTAGCGAATGGGCCAGTGCAGAGAGAGGTTGCCTTCACAGATTCCCCCTGCCTGGTACAAAGCTCAGTGGACACAAAGATGATTTGATACTGCCTTGTGCCCTCTCTGCTGATCTTAATTAGGTTGCTGCATGGTTTTCACCAGGCCCTAAGCATGTGAGAGGAAAGAGAGTCGTATAAAAATGCCCTGTATTTGGAACTGGAAAACTAGTGAGTTCCAGTCCTGTGAATTTTGGCAAATCACCCAGAACCATTAGGACCCTTGGTTTCTCATCTGTAAAATGGGGATAAAGATACCTTGCTCTGCCAGCATCATAAGATTGACATGAAAATCCTGTGCAGCATGTGCTGTGTAAGCTGAAGCTTGACCTTTAGTCATGAGGAGTCTCGTTTTCATGTGGCATGACCCCTGTGGGCACCCCTTCCCCAGGGATCTGCCTTATTGCCTACTTATCTTGGGGTTATGTTGAACCCCTCTGTCCTGCCCACAGTTAGAAGTGAATTTGCTGTCTTCCCTGAAAAGTGCCACACATGGATTGCTTGTCCTACTTGTCCTGTGACAGCAGCAGTTGCTGAGGCTGCACCTGGCAGGCAGCAGGGAAAGGCAGAGTCAGGAGAGAGACTGGCTGGAGAATGTGCACTGCAAAGAATCAGGCCAACCGCAGGCTTGTAACCAAAACCATACATTTGTTGCGTTTGGGGTTCTGCAACAGAAGACTTGAAATGATTTTAAAAAAAATTGGAAGGAACTGAAGCAATATGGAAAATAGATGGAACCACAGACAAGAAGGAAGGAAAGATGGAGGGAAGAAAAGAAGGAAGGAAACTGGAAATGCTAGGGGAAAAGGAGTTTTTCAAGGAAAAGTGCAATCATAGTACACTATTTGGCTCTGTAGAGTACAATATTTATATAGCAATCATGTAAATGACAATTATTGATCTAAATGTAGACTGTATTGAGATGATGGAAGGAAGGAGATGGGGTGCAAATGATGGTGAAAAAGAGACACTTTTCCCTAAGCAGGAAGTTAATAATTAAGTTAACCAAGAAATAGAAGTGCATGAGTATTGTTTGGAAATATGGAGAAGGGAAGAAGAGTAGAAACAGCTGAAAAGATTAAAAGTGATTGCTTTGGCGAGGTGTCATGGCTCATGCCTATAATCCCAGCACTTTGGGAGGCCGAGGCAGGCAGATCACCCGAGATTGGGAGTTCAAGACCAGCCTGACTAACATGGAGAAACCCCATCTCTACTAAAAATACAGAATTAGCCAGGCGTGGTGGCGCATGCCTGTAATCCCAGCTACTTGGGAGGCTGAGGCATGAGAATTGCCTGGACTCAGGAGGCAGAGGTTGTGGTGAGCCGAGATCGCTCCATTGTACTCCAGCCTGGGAAAAAAAACAAAACTCCATCTCAAAAAAAAAGAAAAAAAAAGTGACTGCTTCCAGGTTGTAGGACAGGGGTATGACAGAAGACTGTTTTACACCATATACCTTTTGGTTCTGTTATCTTCTTTTAAAAATCATCATTTTATGTAGATCAAAACATTTTTAAAAGAGAAGTTCTGCAAATCATAGGACTTTGATTTCTATACAGAAACTTGAACACTTCATCTAGTGCAGTCTCCTACCTTCAGGTGGGTAAGCGCCCAAACTCAGGTGGCCTTTTAGAATGTTCTGCTTGGCCCCTAAAGAAATTGAAGAAGGAAAAAAGCAGTTTGCATTCCACAGCGAAAGTTATGCTTCAAAGTGGCAGAGGCTTTTGGGGAACATCACTGACTCCTGAAAGATTGTCGTGGGCATTCTGAGGAGTATCCCACTGAGATAGGGTGATTGGAGGAGTAGCCAGGAGACCCTGGTCTAGTCCTGACCTTGTTCCTGCTTTGCTGTGAGATGGAGCAAGTCTTGGCCCTCCTTCGTTTCTGTTAATACCTCTGGACAATAGGGCTTTGAGTTTTCCAAGGGCCTTTACAGCTCTACATTTCTAGAACTGGACAATGATAGCAAATAGCTGTCAGAGGGGGAGAGACAATAAACAACTGAACGAATAAGATGCTTTCAGACCATGCAATCCTCCAAAGAAAATAAACTAGGGGGATGGGCTAGATTATGCTGGAGGGGGCGTGGTTACTTTACACGGTATGCTCAGGGGTGCTTTTCTGGGGAGATGATGTTTGAATTAAGACCTAGACAATGCCAGAGAGCCAGCTGAGGGTGAAACGGAGAGACCGCTCCAGGGAACCGTGTTCAGGGGAACCGAGACAAGACTAGTTCCCCTAAAGCAGCAGAGCACTGAAGCCTGCAGGCACAAGGGCAGGCATAGGGGTTGGGGTGTGGTGGGGGAAGGAGATGGATCTGTATTTACTGTTACATTTTTCGAAGGGAAAATAACTTTTTGTGAATGGCAAGGATTAATTCTGATGCCACCCTGGGCTTGGTGGACCAGTCTTCATCCAACACACAGCCCCGGGAACTGTTTGTTTGTTCTTTCGTATCATCAGAGAGGGCAGGATGCAACATGGGTGTATGTAGTGGCAAGGAGACAGCACCACTTGGAAAAGCCCTGGGGAAGCTGGTCTCTAGGGACCAGAATTATATTTCTTGGGGGCAACTTATGTCAGGAGCCAAAGACATAACATCAAGGCTTCTCCACCCACTCACATAAATGCTTAAGAGTTGATCCAGTGCTTGGTCGGGCACGGTGGCTCACGCCTGTAATCCTAGCACTCTGGGAGGCCAAGGCTGGTGGATCACCTGAGGTTAGGAGGTCGAGACCAGCCTGGCCAACATAGTGAAACCCTGTCTTTACTAAAAATACAAAAATTAGCTGGGCATGGTGGCCCATGCCTGTAATCCCAGCTACTCAGGAGGCTGAGGCAGGAGAATCGCTTGAACTCGGGAGGTGGAGGTTGCAGTGAGCCGATATCACGTCACTGCACTCCAGCCTGGGTGACAGAGCGAGACTCCGTCTCAAAAAAAAAAAAAAGAAAGAAAGAAAAAAAAGGTTTTGATACTGTCTGAAGACCCTCTGAAGATCAGGGCTGACACAGTATGAACAGTGTCCAGTATACATGGCAGTAAGTTAAATTGTTTAAATCACAAAAATAAATGCACATACTCTTTGCTTCAACGCCTTCACTATTAGGAATCTATCTTTAAATATATCAATGCAATGTGTGCAAAGAAATAAGTGGAAGGTTGCTCGTTGGCAGTGCCGTATGGAGCCGCAGAAAGTCCGGAAGCGACCTAAATGGCTACCAATAGGGAACCAGTTAAGTAAATTGTGGTGTAGCCGCACAACAAAACACCAGGCAGCCCAAGGAATGAGGTGGATTCGTAGGCACAGGGAAAGAATGTTCTCTGAGGGATATTATTAGAAAAGCTAGGTTGGAGGATGCGGCTTAGACTTGTGGCCAAAGGAGCTTGCTGGAGCTCCCAGCTCCACACTCTTGTCCCCTACTAGCCTTCGGCCCCTCCAGCCAAAGAAAGTTGACTGGGGCTCGGTGGGAGCAGCCATGCCCAGGAGAAGGTGCCGGGAAGGGCAAAGCACTGCACCGGGGCCTGAATAAATGCACTCCACCAATCCAGAAAGCGGACAGTGGCGTTTCCTCCAATCAGGTGTGAAGAGATGAGTGAGGGGCGGGACGAGGCAGAGAGTGTTACTCTGGTACGGCTACCGCCACACGGAAACGTGGAGTGAAGAATAAGTGTTCTCGCAATCAATATCTCTGGAAGGAGGCACAGGAAACTGAGAAGCGTGGTTGCCTCTAAGAGGGCAGTGGCTGACTGGCGTCGGGAATAGTGGCGCAGAAGGGAGACTTATTTTGGTATAGAGATGCAGGAGTAAAGGGTTATTTTTATTCCCTCTTAAACATTCGGGGGATTTCCGCTACTTGTGAATAACTTCCTCCAAAGCCTCGGGTGAAGTCACCAGCAATGTCCTGGGTTCACAAGTCCTAAAATTGAGCTACCGCATTTTGGTTTTTACTGGAGATCTGAATTCCAGATGTCATAGGAGACCTTTACTTCTCTGTTGTTTTTCGGAGTGCCTAATGGTTGAAACCAACCTCTAACTGCCATTTCCTTTACATGTACTAGAAACCTTACTTGACTTCTCTTGAAAACGTATCCCTTTCTCTGTAGAAGCTTGTTCCTGATGTCTGAAATGTCCATCTGAAACCATTCCCAGAGCTTAAAGCAGTACTTCCCAGACATCAGCATTTGACAACCACCCTGAGGATTTCTACTGACACTGAGGACCACCTGTCCTTTTACTTACATAACATTTTCCCTAAATTGTTCACTTTTAAAGCTTCAATAACTTGGTTTTAAAATACTTTATATCACTGCTATACGTGGTGTTTCTTCCTTATAAAAAGAAAGAACGTTAAAAATAAATACAATAAACTCAGAATGATGCTATTAAATTCTAGCTACAAATACATTTTAACCAAAGATCTGTTTTCTCTTTTTGTCAAAAAGAAATTAGCAAGTATTGGAGACTGACTAGCACCAAACTGGGTCTTTTCCTTGGTGAACTCAGTAGGATTGGAATGGGAACTTTTTCACCATGTGGTTCAATGTTGCTTAATGCCCTATCAATGCACTGTCCAAAATCATGCCTTATAACATTTTAATTCCATCCTTTGGGAAAGAATGGGTTAAAACCTTTTTTCTTTTTAATTATTATTTTCTAGAAAGTTTTAGTTACATGTCCATATGCATTTGTGTCATCCCAGCTGGACAACATATGAAGCTATTATCACCCTGGAGTTAATGGCCCTGGTGAAGTTGGCATTTGGGCATTCCTGCTGATGTTAAAGTAACAGGGCATTCAGCGTGGTACATGAGCCCTTTTTCCCCCCAGGGTCAGAAATGCATCTATTAAAAAAAAAAAAAAAAGGGAATGCATCATTTTGGAGGCAGCAGCATATGGTGGCAGCTAAGAATGACGCAGGCCTAAACAAAGGGGAATTTGTCTTTTTTGAAAGAATTAGAAGAATCTCCAAGCTGGTTCATTGGGTCCTTCTAATTGGTGATGCACAGAATCACAGCCAGGACCTCTCAGACTGAGTTCTGCAGCCATACAGCTCCTGGCTCATTGTTAGTGTGTCCTGGGTCTCAAGGAGTGGACCCTGTATGAGCCCATGAGCCTTGATCCATTCCGTGGGGGGATAATGGGGATGAGAATGAGCATGGTTGGAGAGGAGAGCTGGCAGTGAAAAGGTGGAGGGTTTGTGCAGTCAGTGCATGTCCACTAGAGGAGGGGGAATAGTTGGTACCAGAAAAAGGCCTTTTAAAATGATCCTATTTTGCTCTGGGGATGGTGGCTCACGTCTGTAATCCCAGCACTTCGGGAGACCAAGGCAGGCAGATCACATGAGGTCAAGGGTTTGAGACCAGCCTGGCAAACACAGTGAAACTCTGTCTCTACTAAAAATGCAAAAATTAGCCAGGCGTAGTAGCACGTGCCTGTAGTCCCAGCTACTGGGGAGGCTGAGGCAGGAGAATCGCTTGAACCCGGGAGGCAGAGGTTGCAGTGAGCCGAGATTGTGCCACTGCACTCCAGCCTGGGCAACGGAGCAAGACTCTGTCTCAAAAACAAACAAACGAAAATCCTATTTCAGAAATATCAGTGAATGCTTAAACTCTGAGTGAAAGTTTCTTGAGAGAGGATCTTTACATTATCTCAAAATACCTTCCCACACATGCCACATCATGGATGGACCTTTGAAACACTGTGCTAAATGAAAGAAGACAGACACAAAAGGCCACACTATTGTATGATTCCAACGATATGAAATATCTAAAATAGACAAATCCATAGAAACAGAAAGTATATTATTTGTTGCTGGGGGTTGGGGGAAGGGAGAATAGGGAATAACTGCTTAGTGAGTACACAATTTACTTTGGGGGTGATGAAACGTTCTAGAACTGGATAGTGGTGATGGATATACAATATTGGGAATGTAATGTGTCTCATTTACACTAATAGTAAATGTTATGTGTATTTTATCAAATATCACTTCTACAATTTTTTTTTTTTTGAGATGGAATCTCTCTCTGTCACCCAGGCTGGAGTGCAGTGGCGCGTTCTTGGCTCAGTGCAACCTCTGCCTTCTGGGTTCAAGTGATTCTCCTGCCTCAGCCTCCTGAGTACCTGGAATTACAGGTGCCCACCACCACGCCCGGCTAATTTTTGTGTTTTTAGTAGAGACAGGGTTTCACTACGTTGGCCAGGCTGGTCTCGAACTCCAGACCTCAGGTGATCCACCCACCTCGGCCTCCCAAAGTGCCGGGATTACAAGCATGAGGCACCATGCCCAGCCTTACAAAGTATTTTTTAATGACAAAGGGGAAATGTACAGTGAAAGAATCTGGCAGAACACAACCCAGTGATCAAAGTTAGCATCACCAATGATGGGACAAACTGGCATACTGCACCTCCTGGTGGGATCCATTGAGGACACATGGCTCATATGCCATTCCTGCTTAAAAAATATAATCTGGATCGAATCATCAGGAAACATCGAACACAAATTTGAGGGACATTCTACAAAATAAGTGGTCAATATTCTTAAATAATATCAATGTTATGAAAAACAAAGACAGACCTGAGGAAGTATTCCAGATTAAAGGGGACTAAAGAGACCTGAAACGAAAATGCAGTGTATCAGCTTGGATTGGATCCTGGGGCAGGAAAAAGAAAGCCATGTAGAACATTATTGGGTTAATTGGGGAAATTTGACTATGGACTGTAGATATGATAGTTATATTGTATCACGTTAAATTTCTCCATTGTGATCATCATAGTGTGGTTATGTAAGAAAATGTGCAACCAGGTGCGGTGGCTCACGCCTGTAATCCCAGCACTTTGGGAGGCCGAGGCAGGCGGATCACCTGAGGTCAGGAGTTCGAGACCAGCCTGGCCAACATAGTGAAACCCTGTCTGTACTAAAAATACAAAAATTAGCTGGGCGTGGTGACACGTGCCTGTAGTCCCAGCTACTCAGGAGGCTGAGGCAGGAGAATCACTTGAACCTGGGAGGCAGAGGATGCAGTGGGCTGAGATCGCACCACTGTACTCCAGCCTGGGCAACAGAGTGAGACTCTGTCTCAAAAAAAAAAAAAAAAAAAAGAAAAAGAAAAAAAAAGAAAAGAAAAGAAAAGAAAGAAAATGTCCTTGGTTTTTCAGAAATACACACTAAAGCACTTAGTTGTATGGTTTAGGCAACTTACTCTCAAGTGGTTCAGAAAAAGAGAGACAGTGTATGTGTGTGTGTGTGTGTGTGAGTGTGTGTGTGTGCGTGCATTAATCCATTTAAAACTGGGGCTACAATTTCATCCCAGTGAACAGAAGGTCTGATTCGCACTGTACTTCAAAACATGAAACTACAAATTAATTTTTTTCCAAAAAAATGTAGTAACTATCTCGTCACAAATTATTGGAATAAAAGAAGAATGAACCAAGTGTTGATATTAGGAGGCTGCATCTTCCAACCAGATCATTTGATGTGACATCTTCCCTTGACATTTGAGTTTTGTTGACCAAGATGATGGTTATAAAATACTCAAAGATTTTATCAATTTTTCCCAGTGTGACTTTTAATTGTTTGATAGTTAAAGCATTCTTTTGAATGCTTTTTCCTCATTTATTGGGAACTTCTCCAGCTCAGACAAGTCCTCATGTATTCATGCCCTCAGTGGCTTTTCATCTGATCTCCCATGACATTTTTATCAACTTTGGACAACTGTAGTTCTGTTGTAAGACTTCCAATTTCACTTTGCAATTGCTTCCTCTTGTATGTCACTCAAACTGTCCTGCCAAAGTAAAGCATTACCCTGAAATCTCAGTGGTTTAACATCCAGAGGTTTATTAATTCCCCAATCATAATATCTGTCCAAGGTGTGAGGCTTCAACCTACTATGGCTGCACCATCCCCAGCTACCTCCTTAGGGAGAGGGAGCATGGAGAACTCATACCTGCTCTCTTCTGCATCAGCCCGGAAATGGCCATGTCATGCAGTTCTGGCCCATTGGTTTGAATTAGTCACAAGTACCTGCTGCCCTCTTCATCAGCCTGGAAATGGCCATGTCATGAAGTTCTGGCCTATTAGTAATGAGTTCCCCATCTAGCTGCAAGGGAGTCCAGGAAATATAGTCTTCCTGTGTGATCAGAGAGGGGAAAATGAAATGGCAGCTGTCTGCCACTTGTTGTATTTTTTTGGGGTCCAGTGTTGTTCAAATGGGAATATATATTAAGAAGAATGGTGTCTGAGTGGGTATTTATTTTATTTTATTTTATTTTATTTTTATTTTTATTTCTTTGAGATGTGGTCTTGCTGTGTCACCCAGGCTAGTGTGCAGTGATGAGATCATGGTTTATTGCAGCCTCCACCTCCTGGGCTCAAGCAATCCTTCTGTCTTAGTTTACCAAGTAGGTGGGACCACAGGCACCTGCCATAACACTAGGCTAGTTTTCCAAATGTTTTGTAGAGATGGAGTTTTGCTCTGTTGCCCAAGCTGGTCTCAAACTCCTGGGCTTAATTAACATCCTCTTGCCTTGGCCTCCCAAAATGGTGAGATTACAGGCGTGAGCCACCATGCCCAGCTGGGGATTAATTTTATAAATGGTCAGATCGTTAGGAAATATTTCTGTATTGTGATCACTTTTGCTTTGTTATGAAGTAGGGGCTCTGATCAGGAATCGTCAGAAAATGAGCTTCTGAGCATGGGGAATCAGGAACAGCATCTTAGCACACACAGAGCCACTCCTTCCTGCCCAAGAGACGTGATGCTTTTCTCAATTAGGGATTCTAATGGGTCCTCACCCTCCTCCTCCACAAGGAATATTTGTCGTCTGGATGCAACAGCAGACAGCCCCTCTCATGCCAGACTTTTGTCCAGTAAAGTCTCCAGGCGAGTAAAGATGGGGAGCACTGTTTTTGCTTTTCTAAGACCCCATGAAATGTTGCCTTTTCTTTTTAACAGACAGAGCCTTGCTTTGTTGCCCAGGCTGGAGTGCAGTGGCGCAATTATGGCTCACTGCGTCCTCAACCTCCCAGTCTCAAGCAATCTTCCTGCCTCAGCCTCCTAAGTAGCTGGGACTGCAGGTATGACGACCACGCCCAGCTAATTTTCTTTTATTGTTTTTATAGACAGTGTCTTACTATGTTGCCTGGGCTGGTCTCAATCTCCTGGGCTCAAGTGATCTTCCCACCTTCTCCCAAAGTTCCAGGATTATAGGCATGAGCCACCACGCCCAGCTAAAAGGTGTTTATTTTTTATTGTAATTTTGTTTTGTCATTGACAGATTTTGAATTTCTCTTTCTTACCCTCTTCAGCACATCCCGCTCTGGGCTTTAAACGTGACCCCTCGCCTCGACTCGCCCTGCCCTGTGAAAATGTTGGTGCTTCTTGCTTTCATCATCGCCTTCCACATCACCTCTGCAGCCTTGCTGTTCATTGCCACCGTCGACAATGTAAGTTTCCTTTCCTGCCACTCACGCAGAAACCTGGGTCCTGCAGTCAATAGAAGTGGGTTGTATTGGTCTGTTCTCATGCTGCTGATAAAGGCATACCAGAGACTAGGTAATTTATAAGGAAAATGAGGTCTAATGGACTCACAATTCCACATGTCTGGGAGGCCTCTGCAGAAGGCAAAGGAGGAGCAAAGCCACATCTTACATGGTGGCAGGCAAGAGAGCGTGTGCAGGGGAACTGCCCTTTATAAAACCGTCAGATCTCGTGAGACTTATTCACTACCACAAGAACAGTATGGGATAAACTTGCTCCCATGATTCAGTTACCTCCCACCGGGTCCCTCCCACGACATGTGGGAATTATGGGAATACAATACGAGATTTGGGTGGGGACACAGCCGAACCATATCACAGGTTGAGAACCCTGCCAAAGTTCTCAATGTTGAACCTGCCAAGGTTCAACCACGATTCGGGGTTGTCCTCCCTGCGAAGGCACACACATCTTCTGACCCAAGGGCTGAGGACTCTTGGCCTAAATGTGAAGGTTCAGGCCGTCCCATGTTCAGGTTTTGGTGGCAGGTCCTGGCAGGCAGGGACGTTTGTCCTCCCATCTGTGATTCTTTCATAGAGCCTGGCTCTAGGAAGCCCTTTGAGGATGTTGTGTGACTTCAGCTTTCCTCTAGATCAGAGTTCTCAACCTTGCCACTATTGTCATTTTGGGCTGGATAATCCTTTGTTGTAGGGGCCTCCCTGTGCATTGTAGGAAGTTCAGCAACGTGTCTGGCCTTATCTGCTAGATGCAGTAGCTCCCCCACCCCTGGTTATGACAATCCAAAATATCTTCAGACATTGTTAAATGTCCCATGGAGAACAAAATCACCCTCTGTTGAGGACCGCTGCCCTAGATCTTCCAGGTGACCCATCCCAGGTGACCTCTGCCCCCAACCCCTGACACCTCCTTATCAACCAGGGTCCCTTGTTGCTAGCCCACCCGGCCATGTCCTCCCCAGCAGAGCTCATGCATGGAACTTTCCAGACTCTACCTATGCCCCTATGAAAAATTTAATGTTTCCCTTTAGTATCCAGCTTGCAGCCATATGGCAGGAATGTATTGGATAAATAACCTCTTGGCATAGATTAATATCCCTCCAAACAGGGAGTGACATCAGGGAAGCTTCTTAACAGCCTATACACTGTTCCAAAGACCTGGCTTCCATCCTGCTCATTTTAGACTGCAGAGATAATTAAAGGGCAGAAACATTGCTCAGAAAGCCAAAAAGTACACCATACGAGTGGCCACCAACTCTGCCTACATATACGGCTCCCGTTGATGGATCATCATGACAATAGTAACATAAACTATAATGCCTGTCACTTAGCGATCACTGTGGCCCTTTTATGCATGTCATCTCATGTGATCCCCACCCCAGCTGTACCAGGTAGGGCACCGACATCTCCTTGCACCGGGTTACAGGTGAAGGAACTGCGCCTCAGGGCCATTCGGGCACTTGGCAGAGTTTACAGTGCAGTAAGCAGCAGAGCCAGGATTTGAGCCATTCCAGAGGCTCCTGGTCCTAGAGCCTGTCAGGGGAGATGAGCACAATAATCGCATTTGGGTTCTGGAGCTTCTTGCTGAGCTGCTGTGAGTGGCCTGGGCAGGGACCACATTGCTGCTATGGATTATAGCAGTGGTCCCCAACGTTTTTGGCACCAGGAACCGGTTTCATGGAAGACAATTTTTCTACAGACTGGGGAGGGGGCATTGCAGGGGGATGGTTTCAGAATGATTCAAGTGCATTACATTTATTGTGCACTTTATTATTATTACATTTTAATATATAATGAAATAATTATATAACTCGTCATAATGTGGAATCAGTGGGAGCCCTGAGCTTGTTGTTCTGGACTAGACGGTCCCATCTGGGGGTGATGGGAGACAGTGACAGATCATCAGGCATTAGAGTCTCATAAGGAGCGTGCAGCCTAGATCCCTGGCATGCACAGTTCACAAGGTTGACACTCCTATAAGAATCTAATGCCCCTGGTGACCTGACAGGAGGCAGAGCTCAGGCAGTAATGTGAGTGATGGGGAGCAGCTGTAAATACAGATGAAGCTGCCTTCACTGGCTGCTCACCTCCTGCTGCGTGGCCTGGTTCCTAACAGGCTACAGACAGGTACCAGTCCATGGCCCATGGGTTGGGGAGTCCTAGATTATAGTATTTGGACCCACCATTCCAGGAGCTCACTGTGAAATAAATGGGACCGAATGTTCTTTTAGAATCTCCTTTTTCTATTTCTTCCCATCTAGTCCTTTGGGATCCTGAAAAGGTCCCAGACTTAGTGAAAAGGATAGACAGACATTAGGGGCAGGAAAACCATCAGCCTTAGTGAATCGTATCCAGCACCCCCAGGGTATATTATCATGGCACATACTAAGAAGATGCAGATGGACTTTTTGTCCATCGGTGAGTCTGAGGGTATTCATTATGTATTTGGAATTGTGCTTGGCAACTGGAAAGTAGAAGGAAGGCCATCTTGGGCAGTGGGGGAAGGGCAGCAGCCACCAAAGCACACAGGGAAATGAATGCTTTTGGCTGAAGACAGGAGAATCTTGTCTGGTCATCCCATCCATTGCAATGTTTGTTTGTTTGTTTGTGACAGGGTCTCTCTCTGTCACCCAGGCTGGAGTGTAGTGTTGCGATCATGGCTCACTGCAGCCTCTACTGCCCAGGCTCAAGCGATCCTCCCACCTCAGACTCCTGAGTAGCTGGGACTACAGTCACACACCACCATGCCTGACTAATTTTTTGTATTTTTTTGTAGAGATGGGTTGCCCCGGCTGGTCTCAAACTCCTGGGCTCAAGCAATCCTCCCACCTCGGCCTCCCAAAGTGCTGAAATTATAGGCATGAGCCACTGTGCCCACCCCTGACTGCTATTACTTCCAGCAACTCAGCCTCATCTTTTCTCCCATACTCTCTGAGGGCCTGGACCACCTCTTATCCTTTGGGAGAAAGTAGCAGGGCATCACCTGGAGCCGGTTAGAAATGCAGAATCCTGGCCAGGCGTGGTGGCTCACGCCTGTAATCCCAGCACTTTGGGAGGCCAAGGCAGGTGGATCACCTGAGGTCAGAAGTTTGAGACTAGTCTGACCAACATGGCGAAACCCTGTCTCTACTAAAAATACAAAAATGAGCCAGGTGTGCTGGTGCATGCCTCTAAATCCCAGCTACTCGTGAGACTGAGGCAGGAGAATTGCTTGAACCCAGTATGGGAGGGTTGCAGTGAGCCAAGATCATGCATCGCACTCCAGCCTGGGCAACAAGAGTGAAACTCTGTCTCAAAAAAAACAAAAAAAGGAAAAAAAAAAAGAAATGTAGAATCCCGGCTGAGCGCAGTGGCTCATGCTTGTAATCCCAGCACTGTGGGAGGCTGAGGTGGGCGGATCACCTGAGGTCAGGAGTTCAAGACTAGCCTGACAACATAGTAAACACTGACTCTACAAAAAATACAAAAAGTAGGCGTGGTGATGTGCACCTGTAGTCCCAGATACTCAGGAGGCTGAGGTGGGAGGATTGCTCGAGCCCAAGAGATGGAGGCTGCAGTGAGCCAAGACTGTGCCACTGCCCTCCAGCCTGGATGACAGAGCAAGACCCTGTCTCAAAAAAATAAATAAATAGAAAAGAAAGAAATGCAGAATCCCAGTCCCCACCCCAGACCTCCTGAGTCAGTCTGCATTAGAATAAGCTCCTCAGGCAATTCTCACATGTGTTGCAGTTTGAGAATCCTGGAAGCCCACCATGCCTCGTGCCTAATTAGCAGTCAGTGTTTGCATCATGAACGGACGGCCTTTCTCTCTATTTCCATTTTGTGTTACAGGCCTGGTGGGTAGGAGATGAGTTTTTTGCAGATGTCTGGAGAATATGTACCAACAACACGAATTGCACAGTCATCAATGACAGCTTTCAAGGTAAGTGTGAATGAAGGAAGCTGACTGAGAAGCACTGAGGGAGGAAGGAACGGTCAGGAGTGAGGCTTCGGGTTCCCCGACTCCGTACCCTCTCCTCCACTCACTGCATACTCCGGTGGGCCTGGCCGCGTTTGCTCAGTGTGTGCTGGAGCGGAGGACAGCACAAGCTGGAGATGCCAGGGGTGTGGAGAAGCCGGAGGCTGGAGGGAGACCAACTCCAGCTAAGTTGGACCTCATGCCTTCTCTTCTCTGCCTCTTGGCACAGCCGAGTTTCCCGTTCTCATCCTTTCTCCAGCTTCAGCTCTCATCTAGAATTTTCTCTTCCCTTCTTTTTTTATCCAAGCCTTGCCTCTAAATGGGCTCAGAGACCATAATTTACTCTCCAGTCACTTTTCCCTGTCCAGCAGTAAGAAATCCGAGATCTGGCGGGGCTCAGTGGCTCATGCCT
This sequence comes from Homo sapiens, assembly GCF_000001405.40. NCBI lineage: Eukaryota > Metazoa > Chordata > Mammalia > Primates > Hominidae > Homo > Homo sapiens. The sequence goes on along the minus strand of NC_000016.10, from coordinate 10,543,121 downwards.
GTAATCCCAGCACTTTGGGAAGCAGAGGCGGATGGATCACTTGAGGTCAGGAGTTTGAGACCAGCCTGGTCAATATGGCGAAACCCCATCTCTACTAAAAATACAAAAATTAGCTGGGCGTGGTGGTGCACGCCTGTAATCCCAGCCACTGAGGAGGCTGAAGCAAGAGAATTGCTTGAATCCAGGAGGCGGAGGTTGCGGTGAGCCGAGATCACGCCACTGCGCTCCACCCTGGGTGACAGAGTGAGACCCTGTCTCAAAAACAAACAAAAATCCAAGATCTGGCTTCCGTTCCTAGACAAGCTGTGTAGCCTTGCATTGGGCATGTCAATTTCAACATCCTCAGCTGTAGAACAGAAGTAATAATGATGCCTTTGCTGTGCCCACCTCTTCAATGAGCTAAAATACATGAAAAGGCTTTAAAATACAGAAAATCCCATTCAAAAACATGCTAACCACTGTTTTTCATTATGAAGTGAATGGTTCTGTTTTTCCTCATAGAACTGATGAAATAGATACTTTGGGATCCCAGTTGCCTGATAAAATACAGTATACCCGGTTAAATTAGAGATTTCAGATAAACAATAAGTACTGTTTTTTAGTATGACTATGGCCCAAATATTAATATAACATGGGACATACTTATGCTAAAAAATATTTGGTTTTGTTGGTGGGGGGGGAGGGTTTAGTTTTTTGGTTTTTGTTTGTTTGTTTGTTTGTTTTTGAGACAGGGTCTCACTCTGTCACCCAGGCTGGAGTGCAGTGGTGCAGTCACGACTCACTGCAGCCTTGACCTCCCGGGCTCAAGTGATCCTCCCATCTCAGCCTCTCAAGTAGCTGGGACTACAGGCACTCACCACCATGCCCAGCTAATTTTCGTAATTTTTGTAGAGATGGAGTTTCACCATGTTGCCCAGGCTGGTCTCGAACTCCTGGGCTCCAGAGATCTGCCCACCTCAGCCTAAAGGAGGAGGAGGAGCCACCATGCCTCTCCTAAAATTTATTTGTTGTCCATCGGATATTCATGTACTGGGCATCCTGTCTTTGTGTTTGTTTTGGTTTGTTTGCCAAATCTGACAATCCTATTAGGGAGCAAAGGAGCCTACTCCCTGGGTCCCAGATTCTCACCACACTCAGTAACAATATCCATATTCATCATAAAAGCAGCAAAAATACCAGTAGAAGGCACCATTTACTTAAAGTTTACTGTGAGGCATGGGTCTAAGTCCTTTACATAGGTGATCTCATAGCCCCATCAGGCAGGGACCATAGGCCCCATTTTAAGATGGGGAAACTGAGGCAGAGAGCAGTTAAGTTACCCAAGGCCGCATAGCCAGGAGCGAATGATGGCGGCAGGATTCCAGTCTAGGTGTGACCAGCTCTAAAGCCAGTACCCTTAACCACGGAACACCATCGGTGCTCCCTTCCATCTCGTCTGTTATTCTGTCATGCTAACCTCTGGCCCTGGGAACAGCCCTCCTTCCCTGAGCTCTGCAAGCCCCAGCTGTCGCCAGTGTGCAAGGCCAGCTGGGAGGGCTTGCTGTGCTCTGTGGCTGTTTTTCTGAATCCTCCACATGGGATTATTCACTTATTTTTCTTTAAAACAGGGGTTGGCGAACCGCTGGCCAAATTCAGTCCAAGGCCTGTTTTTGTTTGGCCGGGGAGCTAAGAACAGTTTTTACATTTTTAAAAGTTGTTTACACACACACACACACCCCTAAAAACAAAACAAAAAGAACATTCAACAAGAGACCATATGGTTCACAAAACCTAAAATATTCACTGTCTGTCCCTCTACTGAAAAAGTTTGCCAACTTTTTTTACTTTAAAAAGTTTACTTTTAAAATAGCCCACTTTTCTGTACATAAATCTACTGTATTTAGTGGAGACAGGGTCTTGCTGTGTTGCCCAGGCTGGTTTTTCACGCCTGGCTTCAAGTGATCCTCCCACCTTGGCCTCCCAAAGTGCTGGGGTTTTTAGGCATGAGCCTCTGCACTCACCCATAAATCTATTTTCTTTTTTTTTTTTCCGTTTGAATCAGGGTCTCGCTTTGTCACTCTGGCTGGAGTGCAGTGGTGCAATCACAGCTCACTGTAACCTCTGCCCCCCAGGTTCGAGTGATCCTCCCACCTCAGCCTCCCCAGTAGCTGGGATTATGGGTGTGTGCCACCACACCTGGCTAATTTTTGTATTTTCTGTAGAGACAGGGTTTTACCATGTTGCCCATGCTGGTCTTGAACTCCTGAGCTCAAGCGATTCTCCCACTTCACCCACTGTGGCCTCCCAAACCATAAGTCTATGTTAAAGAGAATGTCACATCCCTCCCATGAGTGTTATCACTCGTATAAACTAGTATCACTTGCCATAAAAGAAGGGAAGCTTTCTGAAAATACTAGATGGAAAGCCCAATGATGTTATCAAAGTCTGGGCAGACACACTTCCCTCCTGAAGCCTCTAAGCCTGTTTCTGGTCCTTTTCATGTTAAAAAACAAACAACCCCAAACACCCAGATATTAGTGGGTGTTTTTAAAGCACAAAAGCAGCTGGTGGAGAACTCCTCCTTGAGGTCCTTAGAGAAATCTATTTATTTATTTGTTTATTTATTTATTTATTTTTGAGACAGAGTCTCGCTCTGTCACCCAGGCTGGAGTGCAGTGGCGCAATCTCTGCTCGCTGCAGTCCCCGCCTTCTGGGTTCAAGCCATCCTCCTGCCTCAAACTCCCAAGTAGCTGGGATTACAGGTGTGTGCCACCACACCCAGCTAATTTTTGTATTTTTAGTAGAGACAGGGTTTTGCCATATTGGCCAGGCTGGTCTCAAACTCCTGACCTCAGGTGATCCACCTGCCTCTGCCTCCCATAGTGCTGGGATTACAGGCGTGAGTCACCATGCCCAGCCCTTAGAGGAATTTAAACTGAGCAAAGTGAGCATCCCTCTCATTCCGTGAATTTGTGTAGTTTCCCGTCCTCACTGGGTTCCACATACACCCATCTCAGGGGCTGCCTGGCAGGCACATCCTGCACCCCCTCCCAGCTTTGAGAAACCCTGTTCTAGGAACATCTATTCATCCTTTCCCCCAAAGCCATGTTTTCCCCATTTGCCCCATCATGGGTCACTTGTTGCTGAAAATACAGATTCCTGGTGCCCACTCCAGGACAATGGTAGCAGAATCTCCAGGGGGAGAGGCCTAAGAATCTGTATTTTTAATAAGCAATCCCAGGTGATCCCTGGGATTGGGCAGATTTGGGAAGTACTGCTGTAAGCCAGAGGGTCACCACTTGGGCTCCATATTGGAATTCCCTCGGTGGCTTTACGAAGCCCTCGTGCCCGCTCTCAATGCCCGACGTTCTGATTTATTTCATCTCAGTAGAGCCTGCTGGGTTTTCTTTTTCTTTTTCTTTTTTTAATGGAGTTATAATTTACAAACAAGGAAACGCAGGCTTCTTAAGGGCTCAGTTTGGTGGGTTTTGACAATTGTATAAACACCCACGTAACCACCATCCAAAAGAAGACAGAGAACATTGCCAACTCTCCAGAAAGTTCCTCGGGCCCCCTTCCACACAGTTGCTACCGCTTTCTGCCCCGAGGGCAACCACTTCTGACTTCTGTCACTATAACTCACTTCCACCTGTTCCTGGGCCTCATGGGAATGGGGTCATGTGGTGTGTGTCATAGTGGGGGAGCCGGTCTGACTCCTTTCGCTCCCCATAAGGAATTGGGGGAAAGGCTAGATGCTCTCCAAGCAACCGTAATCTGTAGCCAGAATGGATTAAATCCACAGCTCTAGACGTTTCATTAAGTACTTACCAATTATGTTCACTCCAGTGAGTTTTCAGGCAAAACTGCAAAATTGAAGGAAAAAAAAGACAGAAAGAAAAAGAAAAGGAAGGTGTGTCCTTAGATTTTCTGTGCAGCGTGGACGCTGTCCCCTCACGTTATCTTTTGGCCTCATCCTGGTGGTAACATTCAGCATTCAGCTCTTACACAGGACTCCCACCTTGCCTGCACCCTCCAAACCCCCTTATGTAGATGAGTTTACTCTACCTTCCTAGCCCGATGAGGAAGGAGCTATTAGTATCCCCATTTTAGAGTTCAAGACCACCGTGAGCAACATAGCGAGACTCCATCCCTACAAAAATTTTTTAAAAATTAGCCAGACATGCCTGTAGTCCCAGCTACACAGGAGGCTGAGGCAGGAGGATCACTTGGGCCCAAGAGTTCAAGGCTGCAGTGAGCTACGGTTGTGCCACTACACTCCAGCCTGGTTGTCAGAGTGAGACCCTGTCTCAAAAAATATATCTATATCCCCATTTTACAGGTGAGGAAACTGAGGCCCACGAAGGTAACCCATGTGCAGGATGCCTTCCCTATGGCCACATAGCTTTCTACACATTAGCCTCACTGTGACCTGCCCCCATGTGACACCCTCCACCCTAGGCCTCCCTTCTCCACTGAAACTTCTCTGTACTGAGCCCCAAACCTTCATACCCCAGTCTCTGTTAAGGCTGACCTGAAAAGAAAGGAGCTTTCCTCCTCTTTGTAAGTAGTGACCGTGAAGATCAGCCTCCGATACCTACAGGCTAGTGTGGAGTCCACAGAGCACCTCACAAGGTCACAGTCCCATGAGCCCTGAGTCCATGGGAATCCCTCTCTAAAATGGAGACCCCCAAGGCCCCATCCTGATTTCTTGAGTCACAATCTACCACGTTGGAACCTGAGGTTTGTCCTTCAAAAGATTCCCCTGTCCATGAGCCAAGCATGTGGGGTCTGTGACCCAGACCAGGAAGAATGCAGAGCAGGTGGTTCTTGCCTCGTCTTCCAGATAAGGGGTCGAGGATTGTCCAGTCAAATGGACACTGGAGGTGAGGGGCAGGGGGTCTGGAAGACGCCTTGGCTGCCCTTGTGCTCAGACCATGTAGACGACCGCCTGAACCCCTTCCTGTTTGCCTCCTGTCACACCTACTCTGGAGCTGCTGCGGTCGCTGTGTACCCCACAGTGCCGGCTGGCCAAGGTCCTCAGTCCTGCGCCCCTGCCCTTTTCCCGCAGAGTACTCCACGCTGCAGGCGGTCCAGGCCACCATGATCCTCTCCACCATTCTCTGCTGCATCGCCTTCTTCATCTTCGTGCTCCAGCTCTTCCGCCTGAAGCAGGGAGAGAGGTTTGTCCTAACCTCCATCATCCAGCTAATGTCATGTAAGTACATCAACGGGCTTCCCTAACAAGGGGCTTTCTGGAATAAGCACTCCCTTCCCAGCCGCCAGGAGGGAAGCCAGGAGGAGGGAGAATTTGGAAAGGAGAAATTGGCAGCCGCGCGGTGCTGTGTGCCGGTGTGTGTTTGCGTGTGTGTGTGTGTGTGTGTGGGCGCATGCATGCTGTACCACAGTGGGACGTTTATATTTGGGAGTTTGGATTGAGTTGGGAGTCCAGGGAAGGCATCCTGGAGACATGAAGCCAGAGGATCTGGAGGGTGAGTAGGAGTCGCTGTCGACAGTGTTGTGTCTCAATAGAGAGAGGAGGGAACAGTGTCCTGGGTAGAGGGAACAGCATGACGGAAGCCCTGTGACAGGAGGGACGGAGAGCTGCCCAGTGGGGCTGGAGTGCAGTGGGAAGTGAACCAGCAGGGCAGGCAGGGCCACGCCCCATGGAGTCTTGCAGGCCATAGAAAGGATTTGGGGTCTTTGTTCTAAGCTGATGGGAAGCCATCAACAGGTTTCAAGCTGGTGGGTGACAGAGGTGCCCACGTTGCACCAGGCCTGTGCTGGCTGCAGGGGCTCAAGAGATGAACAAGGCACAGCCTCAGTCCTGGAGGAACTTGGAGGAAGCAGAGGTCTCAGAGCATTTTTTTCTACTTAGGAATTTTAGCAAGGCTTAAGTCAGATCAGAAGTCAGAAGCCACACCATGATCATTTGTTGTTTCTCAGTGACGATTTAAAGCTTTCTGATGACAAAATACAGAAGTCCCTTCTAGGGTGCTTTCCAATCAGGAGTTGACGAGTGGCTTGATGAAGGCAAGAAATCTGGGTGTGGGAGCCAACTTAGGCTGCTTGGCCCTAACCACTCTAACTACCACCTCCTTCCAGCCCTCCACCTCCCGGGCCAGGGTCAAGTCCAAACCTGCCATGCCCTCAGGATGACCCTGAGATGTGTCATCAGTGCAGTGCAGTGACAACTTGTTCTAGTTTGCCTGGGACCATCCTCTGGTTTAAAACTGAAAGTCCCGGTCAGGTGCAGGAGCACTTTGGGAGGCCCATGCAGGAGGACTGCTTGAGCCCAGGAGTTCAAGACCAGCCTGGGCAACATAGTGAGACCTCCTCTATACAAAAAGAAAAAAAATTAGCCAAGCATGGCAGAGCACACCTGTAGTCCCAGCTACTTGGGAGGCTGGAGTGGAAGATCATTTGAGCCTGAGAGGTAAAGGCTGCAGTGAGCTGTGGGGTGCTGTACCACTTGTATTAGTCCATTCTCAAGCTGCTAATAAAGACATACCCGAGACTGGGTAATTTGTAAAGGAAAGAGGCTTAATGGACTTACAGTTCCACATGGCTGGGGAGGCCTCACAGTCATGGCGGAAGACAAAGGAAGAACAAAAGGGCTTACATGGCAGCGGGAAAGAGAGCGTGTGCAGGGGAACTCCCATTTATAAAACCATCATATCTTGTGAGACTTACTCACTACCACAAGAACAGTATGGGGGAACCGCCCCCATGATTCAATGATCTCCACCTAGCCCCGTCCTTGACATGTGGGGATTATTACAATTCAAGGTGAGATTGGGGTGGGGACACAGCCAAACCATAGCACCACTGTACTCCAGCCCGAGGGATACAGTGAGACTCTTCCTTGAAAAAATAATAAGATAAATAGAGTAGAATAAAATACAATATAAAATAAAAACACTGAAAGTCCCGCATCCTAGGAAACCCCAGTCCAGGGCAAAGTGGGGTGGTTGGTCACACTCAGCGTCCCCTCCCCTTGGGGCACTTTTACTGGACAGCCAGGTACCACCCCTTCTAGGTACAGGTGGAGAATGAGAGTGTTTTCAAGTGCAAAAGACTCCGGAGGGTCACTTGATCTTGAGAACCCCCCAAGTCCACCACAGTCCTTCCGGGGACCTTTCTAAAGTGCAGACTCCCAAGGCCCCAGCCTGCCCTCTTGAATCAGCATCTGCTGGGTTAGAGCCTGGGGATTTGTACTCCTGTCCCTGAGCCAAGCGTTGGAGAGCAACAAGCCAGAACAAATGAGGCCTAAAGGGAGAATGCGTTCTTCCCAAGGACCCTGGGCGAGGTAGTCAGGAGGTGTCTGATCCCCCTCCTTTACTGTCTCTGTATCTGCCAGTTAGAGGCGTGGACCCCCCACCCTCACCGACCCCATTAAAGGCAATTGAATCCTGTCATTTAACTTGGGGTGGGGGGACTTGGGTGGTTACTCTGTTGCCCGGGCTGAAGTACAGTGGCGTGATCATGGCTCACTGCAGCCTCGGCCTCCAGGGCTCAAGCAATGCTCCCACCTCAGCCTCCCAAGGAACTGGGACTACAGACATGTGCCATTATGCCTGGCTAATTTTTGTAGAGATGGGGTTTCACTATGTTGTGCAGGCTGGTCTCGCAATCTGCCAGCGTCAGCCTCTCAAAGTGTTGGGATTCCGAGCATGAGCCACCGCACCCAGCTTCTGAAGTTTATTTTCTGTTATTGTCTATGTTTGTCTGTTGATCTGTAAGCCTGCTTAGTCAAAATTGATTACCCTAATATATGTATTTAGGAATTTTATATATATAAATTTTCACATATATGAAAATTCCCCCGTATTTTAATATGAAAGTCACGTCTTCCCATTTTCCTTGCATAGCATCCCATTCTCCCCAACTCCTGTGGCCATTTTCTGGTCCAAAGACCTGGCCCTCCCTGTTCTGCTTCAAACTGCAGAGTGTTTAATGCTGTATCAGGCAGGGATCTTTAGACGCAAGCAGCAGATACTCTAACTCATGTGAGAGATGGGATTCTGGGGGTAGCCTGCAAGAATCAAAGGAAAAGCTGAAAAACCAGGTCTTGGAAAGAAGATCCAGGCACCAGCAACTGATAGGCAGCGGCTCCAGGGAGGTGCTGTCAGAATCAAGGAACCCTGACAGGGTCACTGTTTAGACTCAGGTTTCCAGGAGTGAGAGTCTGATTGGCGGAGATTGTCTACGCGCTTGGCCCCTGGCCAGAGAATGTCTGAGCATCTTGAAGGATAGTCCCACCAAAACTGCCTGGCCAGGAGAGAGATAGGTCCCCCAAGGAAAACCACAGAACCTAAGCTCATCTTAGCTCTAATGTCTGTAAATATTGGGACAGCAAGTATTTCTTTTTTTATTTTTTGAGATAGGGTTTCGCTCTGTCGCCCAAGCTGGAGTGCAGGGGTGCGACCTTGGCTCGCTGCAACCTCCGCCTTCCGGGTTCAGGCGATTCTCCTGCCGCAGCCTCCCAAGTAGCTGGGACTACAGGTGTGCACCATCACACCCAGCTAATTTTTGTGTTTTTAGTAGAGGTGAGGTTTTGCTATGTTGGCCAGGCTGGTCTCGAGCTCCTGGGTGCAAGTGATCTGCCCGCTTCAACCTCCCAAAGTGGTGGGATTACAGGCATGATCCAACGCACCCAGCCAAGGACCACAAGTACTAAAATTAGGGTGCTTTTGGCCTTATGTGAGAGAAAATCGAATTAACTGTGATTTCAGCCACAAAGATAGTTACTATTTTTACATAACAAGTACTCTGGAGGTAGAAAAGTTTCTAGAGCTGATTTAGCAGCGTCTGCGTCAAGCACTTCCGCTCATTCCATCCTTCTATTCTGTCATCTTTAGTGTTGGTGTTGACCTCTTCGTGGCTCCAAAAAGTTTGCTGCAACTCCAGATATTTCATCCTGCCCCGACAATATTTAAAGCAGTCAGCAAGAGAAAGGAGAGCAATTTAAAAAAGCTTTCTCCTCCCTCATCGCTCTCTTTTCAGGCAGTCATATTTTTCTTTTTTTTTTTGAGAGGAAGTTTTTGCTGTTGTGCGGGCTGGAGTGCAGTGGTGCGATCTCGGCTCACTGCAACCTCTGCCTCGTGAGTTAAAGCGATTCTCCTGCCTCAGCCTCCCTAGTAGCTGGGATTACAGGCACCTACCACCACACCCGGCTAATTTTTTGTATTTTTAGTAGGGACGGGGTTTCACCATGTTGGCCAGGCTGGTCTGGAACTACTGACCTCAGGTGACCCACCTACCTTGGCCTCACAAAGTGCTGGGATTACAGGCATGAGTCACCGTGTCCGGCCCAGGGAGTCATATTTTTCACTGAAGGTTTTCTGTGGTCAGAACTGGGATACATACTGACCCATCAGCTATAACAAGTAAACAGGAACCAGATTGCCAAGAAGAAGGTTGGCAAACTATGGCCCATAGGTCAAATCTGGCCTGCCACATGTTTTTGTAAATAAAATCTTATTGTAACACTGCCACTATTATTCATTTTTGTATTGTCTATAGGTGGTGTCATGCTACTGTGGCAGACTTGTGTGACCATGGCCCACAGAAAACCTAAACTGCTTACTGTCTGGCCCTTTACAGGGTACGTCTGTGGACCTCTGGCTTAGACCAATTATGTTCACCCTCTGGGTTGGTGATGTGGCTGCCCAAACAAAACTGGGTTTAGTTAGCAAGAATGGGAAGCAAAATAGCTACAGGGTAGGTGACAATATCCTTCCACAAAATATCAGTTGTAATTTTTCCAATAGACTAAAATAAATACCTATTAATAATAAGAGCTTAAGGCTGCACGCGGTGGCTCACGTCTGTAATCCCAGCACTTTGGGAGGCCGAGGCAGGAGGATTGCTTGAGCTCAGGAGTTCAAGACCAGCCTGGGTGACATGGCAAAATCTTGTCTCTACAACAAAATAATAATAAACAAAGAATAAAAGCTGAAGTTTGTCTTCAACTCTGGCCGTATGCCCCTGGGCTACCCAGGGTGCACTGTGGTCCATGATTTATTGAAAATTCACCTTTCTTCCTGACAGGTCTGTGTGTCATGATTGCGGCCTCCATTTATACAGACAGGCGTGAAGACATTCACGACAAAAACGCGAAATTCTATCCCGTGACCAGAGAAGGCAGCTACGGCTACTCCTACATCCTGGCGTGGGTGGCCTTCGCCTGCACCTTCATCAGCGGCATGATGTACCTGATACTGAGGAAGCGCAAATAGAGTTCCGGAGCTGGGTTGCTTCTGCTGCAGTACAGAATCCACATTCAGATAACCATTTTGTATATAATCATTATTTTTTGAGGTTTTTCTAGCAAACGTATTGTTTCCTTTAAAAGCCAAAAAAAAAAAAAAAAAAAAAAAAAAAAGAAAAAAGAAAAAAAAAATCCAAAAGAGAGAAGAGTTTTTGCATTCTTGAGATCAGAGAATAGACTATGAAGGCTGGTATTCAGAACTGCTGCCCACTCAAAAGTCTCAACAAGACACAAGCAAAAATCCAGCAATGCTCAAATCCAAAAGCACTCGGCAGGACATTTCTTAACCATGGGGCTGTGATGGGAGGAGAGGAGAGGCTGGGAAAGCCGGGTCTCTGGGGACGTGCTTCCTATGGGTTTCAGCTGGCCCAAGCCCCTCCCGAATCTCTCTGCTAGTGGTGGGTGGAAGAGGGTGAGGTGGGGTATAGGAGAAGAATGACAGCTTCCTGAGAGGTTTCACCCAAGTTCCAAGTGAGAAGCAGGTGTAGTCCCTGGCATTCTGTCTGTATCCAAACCAGAGCCCAGCCATCCCTCCGGTATCGGGGTGGGTCAGAAAAAGTCTCACCTCAATTTGCCGACAGTGTCACCTGCTTGCCTTAGGAATGGTCATCCTTAACCTGCGTGCCAGATTTAGACTCGTCTTTAGGCAAAACCTACAGCGCCCCCCCCCTCACCCCAGACCTACAGAATCAGAGTCTTCAAGGGATGGGGCCAGGGAATCTGCATTTCTAACGCGCTCCCTGGGCAACGCTTCAGATGCGTTGAAGTTGGGGACCACGGTGCCTGGGCCAGGTCAGCAGAGCTGCCTCGTAAATGCTGGGGTATCGTCATGTGGAGATGGGGAGGTGAATGCAACCCCCACAGCAGGCCAAAACCTTGGCCTCCATCGCCACAGCTGTCTACATCTAGGGCCCCAAAACTCCATTCCTGAGCCATGTGAACTCATAGACACCTTCAGGGTGTGGGGTACAGCCTCCTTCCCATCTTATCCCAGAAGGCCTCTCCCTTCTTGTCCAGCCCTTCATGCTACACCTGGCTGGCCTCTCACCCCTATTTCTAGAGCCTCAGAGGACCCATCCACCATTCATTCATTCATTCATTCATTCATTCATTCATTCATTCATCAACATAAATCATAACTTGCATGCATGTGCCAGGCACAGGGGATACCCTCTAGAGACAATCTCCTCCTAGGGCTCATGGCCTAGTGGAGGAGACAGATTAAAACTTAATTAGAAAAACTGGCTGGGTACAGTGGCTCATGCTTGTAATCCCAGCACTTTGGGAGGCTGAGGCGGGTGGATCACCTGAGGTCAGGAGTTCAAGACCAGCCTGGCCAAAATGGTAAAACCTGTCTCTACTAAAAATACAAAAATGAGCTGGGCGTGGTGGTGCATGCCTGTAATCCCAGCTATCAGGTGGCTGAGGCAGGAGAATCACTTGAAATGGGAGGTGGAGGTTGCAGTGAGCCGAGACCGTGCCACTGCACTCCAGCCTGGGTGACAGAGTGAGACTCCATCTCAAAAAAAGAAAAAAAAGAAAAGAAACTAATTACACACTGTGATGGAGGCTGCAAAGAACACCACTAAGAATTCAAAATCAGCTGGGTGCGGTGGCTCACACCTGTAATCCCAGCACTTTGGGAGGCTGAGGCAGGTGGATCACAAGGTCAGGAGTTCAAGACCAGCCTGGCCAACATGGTGAAACCCCGTCTCTACCGAAAATACAACAAAATTAGCCCGGTGTGGTGGCAGGTGCCTGTAATCCCAGCTACTTAGGAGGCTGAGGCAGGAGAATCGCTTGAAACTGGGAGGCGGAGGTCGCAGTGAGCCGAGATTCACCACTGCACTCCAGCCCAGGCGACAGTCTGAGACTCCGTCTCAAAAATAAAACGATTCAAAATCGAGGCCTGTGGCATGGTAGGGAGGCTGCTTTACGCGTGCCTATTATTAAATGCTCCTGGAGGCATTTAGGTATTTAGATCAGTCTAAATATAGCTCCATTCAGTTCGTGCAGATGACAGTTATTGGGCAGTACCTGTCTGTGTAACACCCAGAAAACATGTCTGTGGAGGGGCCCATGGTCCCGACAGTAAATGCGGTGAGAGGGTCCCATAGAGCTGGAGTTTTCAAGCTTTAGGGGTTCCCGTGCTGCTTGGGACAGGCTGATTCAGAGGGTCTGGGTGAATGATTTCCAGGTGATTTTAAGACTGTGCTGAGAAATAGGGCTTTTGGGGCCTTGTCCTTCAGGATCAAAGCATGATGCTGTGTGGCAATGCAGACCACCCAGGAACCATCCCAGGAGATAAGCTCTTTGCACCTCATTGTCTTTTTCTGCTTATGTTGGAGCAGGATGCTGGGGGCTGTCCTGGGATGGGGTGTGGGACCTCGTGCTATTTAAATACTTTTGCACTTGACCTTCTGCTGAGTGGAGTGGTGGTTTGCCATCAGCTCAGTTCCAGTGGAGCTGAAGAGACATCTGGTTTGAGTAGTTTTAGGGCCACCATGGATATCTCTTCAATGCAGGATTGGCTCTTTCCATCTGCTCTTTCATTCATTTGTTTTTGACAGATAGTATTAAATGTTTACCATGTTCCAGGCACTGTGTGAGGCTCTGAAAATACAGGGGTGAGCAAATCCAGATATCCTCCCTGCCATCATGAAGTTTGGAGTCTATGAGATAGGACCCCCTCCCTATGGAGAAGCCACCAATGCAGTACAGGGTGACCTGGGGCCAGAGACAGGACAAATGTCACCTCCTGCCTCCATGAGATACTCTCACTAGTCATATTGTGGGCAAGAATGTGGCTTACACCCCTAGGGTTAACAGGATGCTACCCAAGCTCATGGAGGAAGTTGAATCTTAAGTTCCCTTGAAACTTTCTACCTTGGTGGCTTTTCTATAATTTTCTTTTTTCTTTTTCTTTTTTTTTTTTTTTTTTGAGACTGAGTTTTGCTCTTGTTGCCCAGGCTGGAGTGCAGTGGCACCATCTTGGCTCACCGCAACCTCTGCCTCCTGGGTTCAAGTGATTCTCCTGCCTCAGCCTCCCGAGTAGCTGGGATTACAGGCATGTCCCACCATGCCCAGCTAATTTTTGTATTTTTAGTAGAGATGGGGTTTCTCCATGTTGGTCAGGCTGGTTTCGAACTCCCAACCTCAGGTGATCCGCCCACCTCAGCCTTCCAAAGTGCTGGGATTACAGGCATGAGCCACTGCGTCTGGCCTTCTATAATTTTCTGGTAGTCACGATGGAAACAAACAAAACACCTTAGAACCAGAGATCGACCCCCTCAAGCAATACATCAATTCCCTTCACAAGAAACGTCGGGGCTACATGAGTATCTGTGTTGAATGCGGTCTGAAATGATCCTATGGATTTTCCCGGCTGGTTGCCACTGCTGTACAACATTCAGTGCCCACATCCACCTGTGCCATTAAGCTTTTTTGAGACATGAGAGATGCCTCTTCCCTGCTGTATGACATGCATTTGGGAAGTTGGAAAGAAATGACAAAATCAGGGAGAAAACATCCAAGCTTCTTACCTGTAGATAGAATCAGCCCTCACTTGGTGCTTATTACCAGTTATTCAAGAACAATAACAACAACAAAATTAGTAGACATCCAAGAAGCACATATTAGGACCAAAGATAGCATCAACTGTATTTGAAGGAACTGTAGTTTGCGCATTTTATGACATTTTTATAAAGTACTGTAATTCTTTCATTGAGGGGCTATGTGATGGAGACAGACTAACTCATTTTGTTATTTGCATTAAAATTATTTTGGGTCTCTGTTCAAATGAGTTTGGAGAATGCTTGACTTGTTGGTCTGTGTGAATGTGTATATATATATACCTGAATACAGGAACATCGGAGACCTATTCACTCCCACACACTCTGCTATAGTTTGCGTGCTTTTGTGGACACCCCTCATGAACAGGCTGGCGCTCTAGGACGCTCTGTGTTCACTGATGATGAAGAAACCTAGAACTCCAAGCCTGTTTGTAAACACACTAAACACAGTGGCCTAGATAGAAACTGTATCGTAGTTTAAAATCTGCCTCGCGGGATGTTACTAAACTCGCTAATAGTTTAAAGGTTACTTACAATAGAGCAAGTTGGACAATTTTGTGGTGTTGGGGAAATGTTAGGGCAAGGCCTAGAGGTTCATTTTGAATCTTGGTTTGTGACTTTAGGGTAGTTAGAAACTTTCTACTTAATGTACCTTTAAAATAGTCCATTTTCTATGTTTTGTATAATCTGAAACTGTACATGGAAAATAAAGTTTAAAACCAGATTGCCCAGAGCAAGACTCTAATGTTCCCAACGGTGATGACATCTAGGGCAGAATGCTGCCATTTTGAGGGGCAGGGGGTCAGCTGATTTCTCATCAAGATAATAATGTATGGTTTTTACACTAAGCAACTGATAAATGGACAATTTATCACTGGACAATCTCCCTCTGCTTCTTTAATGGGGCCAGCTTTGCAGCCCTGCAGCCTGGGTAGTCGCACACATTTCCATGCATCCAAGGCCCCCATGCTTGGGAGAATGATCTGCTAGTGCCATTTTAAATTATTTTATATGTATTTCTTGTAGAGACAGAGTCTCGCTGTGTTGCCTACACTGGTCTAGAACTCCTGGCCTCAAGCGATCCTCCTGCCTCGGCCTGCCAAACTGCTGGAATTGCAGGTGTGAGCCACTCACTGTGTCCGGCATAAAGTAGAACATTCTTACAAGAAATAAATATTTCGTAGTCATGGAGAAGAACGCTCCTAAAATGTATGTATCCGTTCATTCATCCATCCATTCATTCATTCTTTTATGGGGCGGGGGGTCTGTTGCTTATGCTGGTTTTGAACTCCTGGGCTCATGTGATCCTCCCACCTTGGCTCCCAAAAGCATTGAGATTGCAGGTGGGAGCCACTGCGCCCGGCTTTAAAGTTCTTCGTATTTGAACAAGCAGCCCCATATTTTCACTTCTCAGGGATCCCCACAAATGACTGATCCTGTTTGTTTTTTAACCTTCCTGTTCATTGTTACTAGATCATGTTCTTTCATTTCATTTGTATTTAATAAAGACCTCTGCTTTAAAGGATGAGGTCATGATGGAATGAGACTATCTTCTACCACATATTCTGCTGAAAACTGAAAAATTCAGACAGAGAAGGAGAGAGAGAGAGACAGACAGATCCCTTTAGCTTCTATCTAAGGAATGCCAAAGGTAGCAAAAGCTATCTTTGTATCTTGAGAACACTCATTTCCATACTGTCACACAGGGTTTACAAACTAAAATCTTCAGAGGCTACTGTCTGCCTTCTTTGTGTTTCTAGATTGGATTTTTTTTTTTGTCCATATGGCTGGGGGATGGTGATCACCCCAGAACACTCAATTTCATATTTCTTCCATTCAGGAAATCAGCCTCTCATTCATTCATTCACCAAATATTTGCGTAGCTGTAATGGTACAAGCATTGTGCTAGGTGTTATGGTGACATCCTGTGCCTTTGTCTCCATTACATACTATGAACTTTTGGAAGGACATGATTGAACCTTTACCACCCATTACCAGGCCATAAGGAGCCCCAGCTGGACACAACTGAGATCACAACACATCACCCATCGCCCTGGAGTGGGAGCCGCCTTAATGAACTCAGTCCCTGCCTTGATCTAGATAATATTAGTCTCAGTTTCAAGTTTCCAGGGCTAGATTCTGATGGGTCTGTCTTGGGTAACACACTCACTCATCATTGCCCCAGTACTTGGCTGGAGTCAGGAGTGAGATCAAATTATGCAAACATGCGGGTCGCGGTGCAGTGGCTGATGCCTGTAATCCCAGCACTTTGGGAAGTGAAGGCGGAAGGATCACTTGATGCCAGGAGTCTGAGATCAGCCTGGGCAGCACAGCGAGACCCCATCTCTATAAAAACTACAAAATTAGCTAGGCATGGTGGTGTGCTCCTGTAGTCCCAGCTTCTCAGGAGGCTGAGGTGGAGAATCGCTTGAGCTTGGGAGGTCCAGGCCGCAGTGAGCTGTGATGACGCCGCTGCACTCTAGCCTGGTGACAGAAACTCTGCTTCAAGAAATAAAAATTCTTGTACATTCGTGAAACGAACTAACCCCTTCCCAAGAGGGATCTAACCTGAGGTCTCAACCGGCTTCCACTTCCAGCTCCCACTCCAGGGCGATGGGTGATGTGCTGCATCTCAGTCGGGTCCAGTTGGGGCTCCTTATGGCCTGGTAATGGGTGGCTAAAGGTTCAATCATGTCCTCTCAAAAGCCCCTAGTATGTAATGGAGACAAAGGCACAGGATGTCACCATGAATTGTCCCCTTGGAAAAGGGACAGGCAGAGAACCAATGTCCAGCGGCCACAGGTTCATTATTGGTCACAAATAGCAGGAAGCCCCTTCCCTGGCGGGAGGGAGATTGGTGGCTGCTCAATCCGTTGCTCTTGGTCCTGCTTAGTGGAACCATCTCCCTCATCCACTGTCCCCTGTGGTCAGATTTAAGATGGGTAGTGTGGAGCAGGCCCTTTCTTTCTTTCTTTCTTTCTTTTTTTTGAGACGGAGTCTCACTGTCTCCCAGGCTGGAGTGCAGTGCCGCGATCTCGGCTCACTGCAAGCTCCGCCCCCCCGGGTTCACGCCATTCTCCTGCCTCAGCCTCCCGAGTAGCTGGGACTACAGGCGGCCGCCACCACGCCTGGCTAATTTTTTTTTTTTTTGTATTTTTAGTGGAGATGGTGTTTCAACGTGTTCGCCAGGATGGTCTTGATCTCCTGACCTCGTGATCCGCCCGCCTCTGCCTCCCAAAGTGCTAGGATTACAGGCGTGAGCCACCGCGCCCGGCCAAATGAAGCGTCCATTGACCGGGAACTTTCTTTCTTCCTCTGGGTGTGAGGCCTAGTGTCTCAGAGGTAATTTTCAGCGTTGTATAGTTACAGGCTCTTCTCAGTCACAGATGGGGTTCCTTTGGCCATGCAAGATCTTGTCTCGACCCAATTTCTTCAAGTTTTTTTTTCAAAGCACAAAACATTTATTATCACAGAGATTTTGACAGTCAGGAATCCAGTAGTGGCTTATCTAGGTAGTTCTGCCTATGGCTTTTATGTGATGGGCCTAATAATTTGAGCCTCAGAATTCCTGGCCCCATGCCTCTGAGCTTTACTGCAGCCTTGAGGCAATACCTGCAAAGCCCTTCTAATCTGAGCTATCTCTCTATGCCTGTCCCTCTGTCTGATGAAAAATGCTAAAGGATCTAACATATCTTTTGCTGGAATCCCATACATCTTATCTTCTGCTTAGCTTTTTGCCGCCACACTATTGATCCTTCATTTATAGCAGGGCTTAGCAGATTATTTGCTTTTATATGGTTTACAAGCTGAGAATTTGTGTTCTTAAAAAGTTGTGAAAATAGTTGGGCACGGTGACTCATACCAGTAATCCCAGCACTTTGGGAGAGTGAGACGGGAGGATCGCTTGAGCCCAGGAGTTTGAGACCAGCCTGGGCCACATAGCAAGACACTGTTTCTACCAAAAAAAAAAAAAAAAAAAAAAATGCTGTGAATGGTGGCGCAGGCCTGTGGTCCCAGCTACTTGAAAGGCTTAGACAGGAAGATTGCTTGAGCTTGGGAGATGAAGGCTGCAGTGAGCCGTGATCTTGCTGCTGTACTCCAGCCTGGGCAACAGAGTGAGACTCTGTTTCATCAAAAAGGAAAAAAATGTTTTAGGCCGGGGCAAGTGGCCCACACCTCTAATCCCAGCATTTTGGGAGGCCGAGGTGGGTGGGTCACTTGAGGTCAGGAGTTTGAAACCAGCCTGGCCAACATGGTGAAACCTCATCTCTACTAAAAATACAAAAATTAGTCAGGTGTGGTGGCAGGTGCCTGTAATCCCAGCTACTTGGGAGGCTGAGGCAGGAGAATCGTTTGAACCAGGGAGGTGGAGGTTGCAGTGAGCTGAGATCACACCACTGCACTCCAGCCTGGGCAACAGAGCAACACTCCGCCTTTAAAAAAAAAAAATTGTAAAATAATGCAAAGAAGAATATACAACAGACTTTATTTGGACTGGGCGTGGTGGCTCATGCCTGTAATCTCTGCACTCTGGGAGGCCCAGGTGGGTGAATCACCTGAGGTCAGGAGTTTGAGACTAGCCTGGCCAACATGATGAAATCCCATCTCTACTAAAAATACAAAAAACTAGCCAGGTGTGGCGGCGGGCGCCTGTAATCCCAGCTAGTAGGGAGGCTGAGGCAGGAGAATTGCTTGAACCTGGGAGGCAGAGGTTGCAGTGAGCCGAGATAGCGCCACTGCACTCCAGCCTGGGTGACAAGAGCGAAACTCTGTCTCAAAAAAAAAAAAACCTCACGTGGCCTGCAACGCCTGAAATATGTACTATCGGCACTTCATAGAGAAAGTTTGTCAACTCCTGGTCTTGCACTTGACTTGTCTATTTCTATAACTCTCTAAATCTTTGGATTCTCCATCACTGTAGATTGCAGGCTTCAGGCAGAAGGAATCTTAGCAAAGCTGCATTTTCTTCCATTTTGCCATTGGACCATGTTTGACCCAAGATTTACTTTTTCTTTTTGGATCTTACTGAAGGCTCTAAGAAGTTGAACTTGCCAACATCCTGATATATTTCTACAGTTTCTCCTGATACTACAACATCCACAGGTTCATGGTTGGTGTAAAATAGGCGGCAGTTTGAACCAGGCTTCAACTATGGCCTGTGGGCCACATCCAGCCCACCACCTGATTTTGTAAATTAAATTTTATTGGGACACAGCCACACCCACTCATTTACATAGTGTTCATGGACGCTTTCCAGAGTAGAGTTGGGTAGTTCCAATAGAGACCATTTAGACCACAAAATCTGAAATATTTACTATCTGGCTCTTTGCAGAAAAAGTTTGTCAAACCAAATGTTTTGCCATAGCGTGACAAGAGTAACAGCTTCCCAGCCTGAATAACAGTATCTCCACTGCCCTCTGACCTGACACTGCCATTCAGCTAATTCCACGTGAGAGTGTCTGTTGCTTGCAGCACTAACACAAGCTACCAAACTTAGTATTAGTCAAGGTTCTTAGTTGCAAGCAATAGTGACTCTGGCTGATTTAAACAGAAAAGAAATTTACTAAAGGGAAAGCTAGTAGTGCCCAGGCTTGAAAGCATGTGCCAAATCCCCCCTAGTTGCCTCAGATCGTTCCACAGAACAATTTGGTAAGAAAACCACTGCTGTCAGGGCCGGGCACAGTGGCTCACGCCTGTAATCCCAGCACTTTGGGAGACCAAGGTGGGCGGATCACCAGGTCAAGAGATCGAGACCATCCTGGCCAACATGGTGAAACCCCGTCTCTACTAAAAATACAAAAATTAGCTGGACATGGGTGTGCACGCCTGTACTCCCAGCTACTTTTGAAGCTGAGGCAACAGAATCGCTTGAACCCGGGAGGCGGAGGTTGCAGTGAGCTGAGATGGCACTACTGTACTCCAGCCTGATGGCAGAGTGAGACTCTGTCTCAAAAAACAAAAAACAAACAAAAAAAGAAAACCACCGCCATCACCACAAGATGGTATGGTTTGCAGCCAATATTTGCACCTGTGCTATCCCTCCTTCTGTGGATTGGGAGCCTGGCATGGTGCCTCTGACTGGTGAAGCCTGGATCACATGACCATGTCCTGGCTGCAGGGAAGGCTGGGAAATGATGAGCAGCCATCTTCAGTTTACATCATGGTGGTTAGTTCTGCAACCCACCAAGACTCAGAAGGAAAGGAATTCCCCAACGTAGGAAGGAAGTTCAGATGTTGGGCAAACAAAATATCAAATGTCTACTAAATCCTATCAGAAGCCCAGTTCCCTGTCTACCCACAGCTAATTTCAAACTATATTCATCCATATCACACCTACATATTCTTTGCTATATTATGTACAGTCTGCACTGTTGTTACATACTTAGCTTTTTTTTTTTTTTTTTTTTGAGACAAGGTCTCACTCTGTCACCCAAGCTGGAGTGCGGTGACAAAATCATAGCTCACTGCAGCTTCAACCTCCTGGGCTCAAGCAATCTTCCCATCTAAGCCTCCCAAGTAGCAGGGACCATGGGCGTGCACCACCACACCAGGCTAATTTTTTATTTTTATTTTTGTAGAGATAGGGTCTTGCTATGTTTCCCAGGCAATCTGGAATTCCTGGGCTCAAGCGATCTTCCACCTTGGTCTCGCAAAGTTTGTTTCCTGTTTTTTTTTTTTTTTGAGACGGAGCCTCACTCTGTCGCTCAGGCTGGAGTGCAGTGGCATGATCTTGGCTAATTGCAACCTTCACCTCCCAGGTTCAAGCAATTCTCCTGCCTGAGTCTCCTGAGTAGCTGGGATTACAGGCATGTGCCATCACCTCCAGCTAATTTTTTTTTTTTTTTTTTTTTTTTTGAGACAGAGTCTTACTGTCGCCTAGGCTGGAGTGCAGCAGCGTGATCTCGGCTCACTGCAACCTCTGCCTCCCAGGTTCAAGCGATTCTCCTGCCTCAGCCTCCTGAGTAGCTGAGATTATAGGCACCCCCCACCACTTCCAGCTAATTTTCATATTTTTAGTAGAGACAGGGTTTCACAAAGTTGGTCAGGCTGGTCTCGAACTCCTGACCTCATGATCTGGCTGCCTCGGCCTCCCAAAGTGCTGAGATTACAGGCGTGAGCCACCACACCCAACCCACCCCCAGCTAATTTTTGTATTTTTAGTAGAAACGGGGTTTCACCATGTTGGCCAGGGTGGTTTCAAACACCTGACCTGAAATGATCTGCCCATCTCAGCCTCCCAAAATGTTGGGATTACAGGCATGAGCCACCACGCCCAGACCCAAAGTGTTTTACATGTCAAGATGTGGAATGAATCTCTACTCCTCCCTCAAAACATGTATCTCAAAAATTTCCTGCTTCCAATGCATTTGCTTCATGGCCAGGGGAAGCCAAGCGTCCAGAAAGTGGAAGAGCGGGTACTACTACCACCCCCTAGTGGTGGCATGTGACAACACGGTATAGCAATAAAACATT
Source organism: Homo sapiens (assembly GCF_000001405.40). Classification (NCBI taxonomy): domain Eukaryota; kingdom Metazoa; phylum Chordata; class Mammalia; order Primates; family Hominidae; genus Homo; species Homo sapiens. Next base: position 10,521,827 of record NC_000016.10, on the reverse strand, counting down.
GAAGCAAAGATACCAATTGCACATCCAACTTAGCCAAACCCAACGCAGTTGATAAAAGCTGATGTGTACAAATCCTGATTAATTTAGAATTAAATCTGTTACTGCTAGAACATGGCTATGTACCTACTTTCATTTATCTCAATTTATTAATATATAGCCATGGGATTAGCCATGTGATTTTTGTGCTTTTGTTAGTAGTATATTACTACATTGAGACAGATTTACAGTTTGCAACGGAATGTCAGTGTAGAATTGACTATACTTGCATGAGAAAAAGAATATATTTTCAGTACAAACCTATTATGAACTCTTTATTCATTCATTAATTATTTATTTTTGAGACAGGGTCCTGCTCTGTCACCCAAGCTGGAGTGCAGTAGTGAGATCTCAGCTCACTGCAACCTTTGCCTCCTGGGCTCAAATGATCCTCCCACCTCAGCTCCCGAGTAGGTGGGAGGATCACAGGCACATGCCACGACGCCGGGCTAATTTTTGTATTTTTTGTAGAGACAGGATTTCGCCATGTTGCCCAGGCTGGTCTTGAACTTCTGGGCTCAAGTGATGCCCCTGTCTCAGACTCCCAAAGTGCTGGGATTACAGGCATGAGCTACCGCACCCAGCCTTGAACTCATTTTAAATAGGTGTATTATGAAAAGTCTCTGTGAGTGTTTTCTTTCAAAAGTTTCTTTCTTTGTAAAGTTTTTCTTGTAAGAACTCCATATTGTATACCTGTAGGGCAGAGTTTTGCAGCATCAGTACAATTGACATTTGGGCTGCAGAATTATTGGTGGGGACTGTCCCGTACACTGTAGGATGTGTGGCAGCATCCCTGGCCTCTACCCACTAGATGTCAACAGTGCACCCCACCCCCCACCACTGCTGTGACAACCAAAGATGTCTCCAGACATTGCCAAATGCCCTCTACAAGGGGTAGGGACAAAATTGCCTCCAAGGGAGAGCCACTGCTGTTGGGTCCTATATACACCAGGAAATACGGTGATTGGCAACCATGATGGTGGGGCTACTTGGGGGCTGTTGGAAATTGCCAGCGAAGGTGGTTGGCCTAGAGTAGCTCACACCCATTTGGAAGGAAAGCCAATGACAGTCTCCCCCACCAGGGCCCTTGTTGTCTCTCTGAACACACAGGAGAACAGCACGGGATGTTCCCCATCCCAAAGCTGAAACGGCACATTTGCTCAATATTTGTCATCAGCTAAAACAAACAGACCAGAGGAACCAGGAAGAAACGGCTTCTCTGTGTTTGTAGAAGGACAATAGTTAATTTCACCAGGGTCTTGAACACATGTAAGAGAAGAGAGGTGTTACTTCACCTTGGCACAGGGTTACTTTAAAGCACAGATTTTTTATGCTTATTTTTTATTTTTTTGGCCAGGAAGGGAAGTTCAATTGCTGTGGTCTGCCATTGTCCTATCCAGAAAGAAATGATGGCAAGCCAGATGTGGTGGCTTATGCTTGTAAGCCTGGCACTTTGCGGGACTGAGGTAGGAGGATTACCTGAGCTCAGGAGTTCAAGACCAGCTTGGGCAATGTAGTGTGACCTTGTCTCTACAAAAAATTTTAAAAATTAGCTAGGTGAGGTGGCACACTTGTCGCCCCAACTACTCAGCAGGCTGAGGTGGGAGGATCGCTTGAGCCCAGGAGATTGAGGCTGAAGTGAGCTGTGACTGTGCCACTGCACTCCAGCAAGAGAGGAAGACACTGTCTCAGAAAGGAAAGGAGGCTGGGTGCGGTGGCCTGCAATCCCAGCACTTTGGGAGCCAAGGCAGGCAGATCACTTGAGGTCAGGAGTATGAGACCAGCCTAACTGACATGGTAAAACCCTGTCTCTACTAAAAATACAAAAAAATTAGCCAGGCATGGTGGCGTGTGCCTATAGTCCCAGCTACTTGGAGGCTGAGGCAGGGGAATCATTTTAACCCGGGAGGCGGAGGTTGCAGTGAGCTGAGATCATGGCATTACACTCCAGCTTGGGTGACAGAGTGAGACTCCATCTGAAAAAAACAAAAAAAAAAAGGGGGGGAAGGGAAGGGGAAGGGAGGGGAGGGGAGGACAAGGGAGGGGAAGAGAAGGGAAGGGAAGGGAGGGGAGGGCAGGAGAAGGAAGGGGAAGAGAAGGGAGAGGAGGGGAGGGGAGGGGAAGGAAGGGGAAGAGAAGGGGAAGAGAAGGGGAAGGAAGGGGAAGGAAGAGGAAGGAAGGGGAAGGAAGGGGGAGAGAAGGGGAAGGAAGGGGAAGAGAAGGGAGGGGAGGGGAGGGGAAGGGAGGGGAGGGGAGGGGAAGGGGAAAGGAAGAAAGGGGAAGGGGAAGGGAAGAGAGGGGAAGGGAAGAGAGGGGAAGGGGAAGGGAAGGTAAGGGAGGGGAGGGGAGGGAGGGGAAGGGGAAGGGGAACGGGAAGGGAGGGGAAGGGAGGGGAGGGGAGGGGGAGGGAGAGGAGGGAGGGGAGGGGGAGGGGGGGAGGGAGAGGAGGGAGGGGAGGGGGAGGGAGAGGAGGGAGGGGAGGGGAAGGGAGGGAATGGAGGGGAGGGAAGCGAGGGGAGCCTTTGGGAGGCTGAGGTGGGAGGGTTGCTTGAGGCCAGGAGTTCGAGACCAGCCTGGGCAACATAGGGAGGCCCCATCTCTACAAAAGTTTTAAAATTGGCTGAGTGTGGTGGTGTGCACTTGTAGTTCCAGCTACTCAGAAGGCTGAGGCAAGGGGATCCCTTGAGCCCAGGAGTTTGAGGCTGCAGTGAGCTGAGACCATGCCGCTGAACTCCATCCAGACTGGACAACAGAATGGGACTCTATCTCAAGGAAGGAAGGGAGGGAGGGAGGGAAGGAGGAAGGAAGGAAGGGGGAGGGAGGGAGAGAGGAATCAAGGGAGGGAGGGAGAAATGGAAGGAAAGAAGAGAGGGAGGGAGGGAGGGAAGGAGGGATGAAGAGAGGAAGGAAGGAAGAAAGGGAGGAAGGAAGAGAGGGAGGGAGGGAGGAAGAGAGGTAGGAAGGAAGGGAGGAAGGAAGGAAAAGAAAAAGACAGTGTCACCTGAAACATGGTTAGAGAAGTGCTGAAGCCGCTAAAGTGGGGAGGCTGCAAACAGCAGGACTGAATCAGAAGGGTCATCTAGAGCAGGCGGTGGCTGATCTTGTCATCGGGAGACGAGAGGAGTCGGGGAAGAGCAGGAAGGTGTGCAGTCAGCACGTGGAGCAGCTGCTGGCTTATCCTGTAGGTTTTCCTATGGGATGAACGTGAGGCAGGTTGCTGGGAGTTCCAAGCAGGATTAGGAGCCTTCAGTCTGAACTGCAGACATCCCAACCTCAAGAGTTGCCTCCAGGCCAGGCATGGTGGCTCACACCTGTAATCCTGGCACTTTGGGAGGCTGAGGCGGGCAAATCACCAGAGGTCAGGAGTTCGAGACCAGCCTGGCCAAGATGGTGAAACCCCATCTCTACTAAAAACACAAAAATTAGCCAGATATGGTGGCAGGCGCCTGTAATCCCAGCTACTCGGAGGCTGAGGCAGGAGAATCCCTTGAAACCAGGAGGCAGAGTTTGCAGTGAGCCGAGATTGCACCACTGCACTCCAGCCTGGGTGACACAGTGACTCTGTCTCAAAACAAAACAAAACAAAACAAAACAAAACAAAACAAAACAAGAATATTCACACACAAAAAACAGTTGCCTCCACTCAATGGCAAGGTGGGACTTGCAGGCTCCGCCTCCCTGCCCCATGTGTGAGTTGACCCAGTAACCAGAGCACCTGCTAAAGGACAGGCGACTCCGCCCTCTATGCTCCAGCCTCATCTGCTGAGCTCGTTCCCTGGCAGAGGAAGCAGAGAGCCAGAGGGTGATATGGGGCAAGTGCCCACTTAGCAGATTTAGCCAGCAGGTCAACTAATTTTAAGTTTCACTTGGCTTTCTGTCTCGTTGTACTTGAAAAAAGTCTTTATAATTTGCTGGCTGGGAAAATAGTTGCTTAAAGAATGGTTTATGGATGCTCTGCCTTAGAATCCATGGGGAACATCTTGAGATTGCAGATTCCTGGGCTGCGCACCAGACTTGCTGAGTCAGAACCTCAAGGGCTGGGGCCCTGGGATCTGCCATTTTGACAGGCTCTCCAGGGATTTGGATTGAGGGACGTTGGCGATTGCAATTGGGAATACTTTGTGGGATGCTTGATTCCGTAAACTAGGCCAATTAGCTCAGTTTAGGAGGTGGTTATGACCCAGAGCATCGGAGCTTCCTCCTTACCTGTCAGTTCTCTTCTTTCCCTCTCTAAGCACAATAAACACAGTGGCCCTGAGAGGTGTCTTGAAAATATAATAACAGGCCAGGCGCGGTGGCTCACACGTGTAATCCCAGCACTTTGCGAAGCCAAGGCGGGCGGATCACTTAAGGTCAGGAGTTCAAGACCAGCCTGGCCAACACGGCAAAACCCCGTCTCTACCAAAAATACAAAAATTAGCTAGGTGTGGTGGCAGGCGCCTGTAGTCGCAGCTACTTGGGAGGCTGAGACAGGAGAATTGTTTGAACCCAGGAGGCGGGGGTTGCAGTGAGCCAAGATCACACCACTGCACTCCACCCTGGGTGACAGAGGCTGACTCTGTCTCAAAATAAAAAAAAAAAAGAAGAAAAAAAGAAACATCTGAGACTGGGTAATTTATAAAGAAAAGAGGTTTAAGGCCGGGCACGGTGGCTGACGCCTGTAATCCCACCACTTTGGGAGGCTGAGGCAGGCAGATCACAAGATCAGAAGTTTGAGACCAGCCTGACCAATATGGTGAAACCCTGTCTCTACTAAAAATACAAAAACTAGCCAGGTATGGTGGCAGGCACCTGTAGTCCCAGCTACTCGGCAGGCTGAGGTAGGAGAATCTCTTCAACTCAGGAGGCGGAGGTTGCAGTGAGCCATCATTGCTCCACTGCACTCTAGCCTGGGCAACAGAGAGAGACTCTGTCTCAAAAAAAAAAAAAAAAAAAAAAAAAGGAGGTTTAATTGGCTCATGGTTCTTCAGGCTTTATGGGAAGCATGATGCTGACATGTGCTCAGCTTCTGGGGAGGCCTCAGGAAGCTTACAGTCATGGTGGAAGGCAAAGGGGAAGGAGGCATGTCACATGGCCAGGGCAGGAGCAAGGGTGGGGGCGCCACACATTTTTATTTTATTTATTTATTTTTGAGACAGAATTTCACTCTTTTTGCCCAGGCTGGAGTGCAATGGCGTGATCTCGGCTCACTGCAACCTCCACCTCCCAGGTTCAAGTGATTCTCCTGCCTCAGCCTCCTGAGTAGCTGGGATTACAGGCAGGTGCCAACACCCCCAGCTAATTTTGTATTTTTAGTAGAGACGGGGTTTCACCATGTTGGCCAGGCTGGTCTCCTACTCCTGACCTCAGGTGATCTGCTCCCTCGGCCTCCCAAAGTGCTGGGATTACAGGCGTGAGCCACTACGCCCAGACACCACACAGTTTTAAATGACCAGATCTCATAAGAACTCACTATCACAAGGACAGCACCAAGTGGATGGCACTGAACCATTCATGAGAAACCACCTCCATGATCCAATCACCTCCAACCAGGCCCTACCTCCAACACTGGGGAGGAAAATTCAATGTGAGATTTGGGTGGGGACAAATATACAAACTACATCAACACCCCGAATTCTTTCTGGAGAGCTCTCTCTGCCTCCCTGTGGGCAATGTCTTGTAGAGGTCAATCAAAGTGACTTGTAGCATATGACCCAAGCCAGGCCAATCAACTTCCTCTTTCGGAGCCTCTCCTGGGCTCCCCAGTGGGATGCCACAAGGATGGAAACCCAGTTGATCTTGATTCCTCCAGCGCCTGTCTCCTATGAAGTCTCCCCTTCAGCCTCTTCTCTGATATTCTCCTTGCTGTGTGTTGAGCCTTCTCTAGCCCAGAGCAAGATTCTGGGGGTTACCCCATGTGCTTCCCCCAGCCCCTCTCCTGATTAAGTTCTGGTGCTCTCAGCAACTCTGAGTTTTCTGAAGGTTTTCTCTCCTTTTTTTTTTTTTTTTTGAGATGGAGTCTCACTCTGTCACCCAGGCTGGAGTACAGTGGCACAACCTCGGCTCACTGCAACCTCTGCCTCCTGGGTTCAAACGATTCTTGTGCCTCAGCCTCCCTAGTAGCTGGGACTACAGGTGCATATCACCACGCCCGGCTAATTTTTTTTTTGTATTTTTAGGAGAGACGGGGTTTCACCATGTTGGCCAGGCTGGTCTCAAACTCCTGACCTCAAGTGATCCTCCCGCCTCCGCCTTTCAAAGGCTGGGATTACAGGTGTGAGCCACCACACCTGGCTGAAGATTTTCTCTCTTATTCCATGACTGCATCCTGCTGCAATGCTCTGGAAACCTTCGTCCTGTTTTATATTTTCAAAGGGAGCAGAAAAGAGTTGAGGTTTCCTATGTGATTTATTTGGCCACATTCAACTTAGTCCATCAGATAAGCTTTGTTATCGTTGACTACATAGACTGCATGGCTTCTATGGTTTCATTGAGATTTGAACACTTTTCACTTGTGTTGGATTTTCAGCTTAAACTAATTTATTTTAATTGACGTCATTCAATTCCAATTTTATAAAAGGATGAACGCACGACGGAAAAGAGTAGGGAACATTTTGCTTGATGAGAAAATCCGCCAGCAAGGATGTTGGGCTCTAAGCAGAACTGAAGCTCTGGAATTAAGAACACAGCCAAGGAAGAGCTCTGGACTCTGAGTTTAAAGAAGCTGACTGACTTGTAAGGCAATTCCAGGTAAGATTGGTGAATCAAGTTAAGAATCAAAAGCAACTGAGATCAACGTGGAGGCCTGGAAGGTAAGGGCCATATTTTACCTAGATACTAGCTTAGAGACTTGCTACATTGGCACTGTATTTTAAGTATGTTATTTAGTAGTATTGTGAAATCAACTGGTTTCAACATTGAAAAGGATAAAAATAGCTTATGAAAACAAAACGGTTTTTTTTTTTTTTAAAGGATAAGGTGCATGTTTAATTTCAATTGCAGAAATGAAGGGAAGAGGCACTCCTGCCACCTGGTGGGCATTTATCCAAATTGTTTGTTCAGGTCTTTTAGGGGTGAAATTCGGGTTGTTGAATCTAGGTTGAACACACAAACATTCCAGCCCCAGCAGCAGTTGGGTCTTATTTCCTTCCCCTTGACCTGGGATCTGTACCTTTCTGTTTCCAATTAAGGCCTTTATAAATGAAAGCAACCTGGTTTGGCCAGATAAAAGTTCATGTCTCCTTGCCCGTGTCCTTGTGAACTGTATGACACTGCTCTCTGGAAATCTCGTGTGTGTACTTTTCACTTGTTAACCTCCTGTGTCCCCCACTACAAGGTCAGCTGCAAGAAGGCAGGGATTCTGTCTGGTCTTGCTATTCATGATAGTGCCTGGTACACTGTCTGGCATATTGGTCGATAGTTCCCTGATGAATGAAAATTTAACAAATAGGTGAAAACAGAGTTTTGGGTTGCCTGAGTGGCATGTTCCAAACCTTTACCATATGGTAAACCTCTTAGTTCAACTGCTAATAATTTCTTCTGTGTCTTGGGTTACAATCAACCTACCCAAGTTTGGCCTCTATCTTGCTGCAAGAAATAACTCCTGCCCATAGCTGTACCAGATTAGATTTATACAGAACCCAGTAGCCTGAAAGAAGACCTCCAATCCTACTACTTAACTATCCCAAATATCTCTCTGCTTGCTACTCATGGGTCCCAATTTGCAAGCAAGTGGTAGGTGAGTGTCCCTGGCTCATGGGACATTTTTTTTTTTTTCGTAAGGAGATAAGGGGTAGATAAGTAGAATTAGCCCAGTGGGAAATGATTTCAAGCTGCGGATTGATGATTAGGGTAATTTGTGGGTAGTCCAGAGAATGCCCCATGATCCTAAAGAATTACCATCATGCGTTGTTGCGATAGTGGTCAGATGAGTTTGAATTGATCATTGGCTGTGATTAGGGAGTCTCCTGTGCTGACCCATGTCCTCCCTTCAGAGGCATCTGGAACATCAATCCTGCAGATTATTCAGCTCATTAGGAATTCCCCGTGGAAGCTCAATACTTTCCTGAATCTGAATAGTTAAACCTCTGTGTTGCAAAAATCAAATACCATCTGGCTTTTGTGTTGTCTTGGCTAAATCCAGTCAATCCCAGCTTCTTCAATGGCATTTATGATATTCTGTTCCCACAAATCCAGAGAATCATAACTGGGTTAGAAACAGTTTTATTTAATCTTGGGTGTAGAAAGATTGTTTTCATAGATCAGACAGCATTTACCTCCATCAGAGTAAGAAAAAAGAATGTCCAGGTGTGTCCTTGCCCCAGTGATCACAGCATCTGTTGATATGTTCCTTGATATCAGTATATAGATCAAACTTACTGTCATCTTTAAAGAAGTTTACTTCATTCAAGTGCGGTGGCTCATGCCTGTAAAACCAGCACTTTGGGAAGCTGAAGTGGATGGATCACTTGAGGTCAGGAGTTCGACACTAGCCTGGCCAACATGGTAAAACCCTGTCTCTACTGAAAAAGTACAAAAATTAGCCAGGCATGGTGGCATGTGCCTGTAGTCCCAGCTACTCAGGAGCCTGAGGCATGAGAATCGCTCGAACCTGGGAGGTGGCGGTTGCAGTGAGCCAAGATCGTGCCACTGCATTCCAGCCTGGGCGACAGAGTGAGACTCCATCTGAAAAAAATAAATAAATAACTTAATGGCATTGACAAATGGTTGCCCACCCCACAAACCACCCACATACCCTAGTATCAAAATTATGGGAAATTGTTTCTTTCAAAGAGACTTCAGAAAAATATTGTATCCTGGTATAGAATGGATGGTTATTTCATTGTTTATATGAAAGGGCCTTGCTTGTTGACCAGTATTTGTATTTTAATTAATTTTTGTCCTTTCCCACTATCTAAGTAGCAAATCTGTCATAACTCCTGTGGTTACTGTCTTTTTAGACTTTGCCTGTGTGTTTGGATGTTTGGATTCCAGTAGAGAGGGTTCTTCCCCCGACACAGTCCCACCACTCGTAGTTCAATTGCAGGAGAGGAAAAACTTCATTTATCCTGTTAGATTCTGTGACTGGAGTCTGTAAGTTAAACTGACAACAGGTAGATGAACAGGAGGAAAGACATACAAATTTTAATATTTTTACATGCATGGGGCTTCACATAAAAGGAGCAAAAATGCAAAGCAGTGGTTAGACTTGGGGGCTTATATACCATTTTCCTTTTTTTTTTTTTTGAGATGGAGTCTTACCCTGTCACCCAGGCTGGAGTGCAATGGCATGATCTTGGTTCACTGCAACCTCCGCCTTCTGGATTCAAGCAATTCTCCTGCCTCTGCCTCCCAAGTAGCTGGAACTACAGGCACAAGCCACCACGCCTGGCTAATTTTTTGTATTTTTAGTAGAGACTGAGTTTTACCATGTTGGCCAGGCTGGTCTCGAACTCCTGACCTCAGGTGATCTGCCTGCCTTGGCCTCCCAAAGTGCTGGGATTAGAGGCATGAGCCACTGTGCATGATCAAAAAAAGCAATTTTTAAAAAAAAATTACCCAGGAGTGGTGGTGTGTGCCTGTAGTTGCAGATACTCAGGAGGCTGAAGTGGGGGGATCTCTTGAGCCCAAGAGTTGGAGGCTGCAGTGAGCCATGATTGTGTCACTGCACTCTAGCCTAGGTGACAGAGAATCTGAGAAAGAGAGAGGGAGGGAGGGAGAGTTTGGGTTCCTAGGGCTGGTAAGTTGTGGAAAGATGACTAGGAAGTGGTGGGTAAGGGTTGTTTAGTAATGTTTGTCATGCCAACTCATCTCTGTGCCAGTCACCCTGCCTTGGTATAGAGAAACATCTTTACATGGGGAATTTCCCTGCTTTTAGGCAGAAAGGGAGTGGGTAGAGAGCTCTTTTTGTCTGCAGTTTCTCAGTTGCCCTCAGCTCAAAATAATCCTTATGCCGAAGTGGCCTCTTCTGGGGTAATGTATTCTGATCCCCTTCAACACCAATAGAAAATCAAGGTAGATACACACCCCTCCTCCCAAAGTCTCAAGAGGGTGAAAGGCAGGAACTGCAAGGATTATATTTGTCTTCCTTATACGGCTCTTTCTCTGTCTCTTTTTTTTTTTGAGATGGACTCTTGCTGTATCGCCTAGGCTGGAGTGCTCACTGCAACCTCTGCCTCCTAGGTTCAAGTAATTCTCCTGCCTCAGGCTCCTTACAGGCAACCGCCAGCACACCCAGCTAATTTTTGAATTTTTAGTAGAGACAGGGTTTCACCATGTTGGCCAGGCTGGTCTCACACTCCTGACCTCAAATGATCCACCCGCCTCCACCTCCCAAAGTGTTGGGATTACAGGCATGAGCCACCGCACCCGTCCTCTTTTTTCTCTCTACGTTCAGTTCAGTTCTTCCAGTCTGTCATCCTGGATTTGTGGTCATGGGTAATATGTAAGATCGTTAGTCTGTCTCTGCTTTTGCAACCTTGACTGCCATCTGACAATTCAGGATAAGGCCTCTCTGCTTTCATGATGCTGGGCACATCTGATTGAGGTAAGAGCTCTTGACGGGATTGATGGAGGGCTTTGCAGCTTCGTTATTGATGGGTAAAATGTCTCCCAGCAAATGTGGGTGTCTAAGAGTATGCAGGGGAACCCACCTCCATGGCATGTGGGGTGAGGGCCTGGTATCATTTCTTTGAACAAACCATGGCTCCCAGTGGAGAGGGAATGTATTAGTCAGGCTAGGGCTGCTATAACAAATTACTATAAATGGCCAAGCGTGGTGGCTCATGCCTGTAATCCCAGCACTTTGGGAGGCTGAGGTGGGTGGTTGACTTGAGGTCAGGAATTCGAGACCAGCCTGGCCAACATGGCAAAACCCCGCCTCTACTAAAAATACAAAAATTAGCCAAGCATGGTGGCACACACCTGTAATTTCAGTTACTCGGGAGGCTGAGGCAGGAGAATCACTTGAACCCGGGAGGCAGAGGTTGGAGTGAGCCGAGATCGCACCACTGTACTCTAGCCTGGGCAACAGAGTGAGACTCTATCTCAAAAAAAAAAAAAAATACTATAAACTTGGTGACTTAACACAACAGAAATTATTTTTCTTGCCATTCTGGAGGCTGAAGTGTCCACAGGACTATGCCCCCTCTGGAGGCCCTCATGGAGAACTCATCCTTGCTTCTTCTAGCTCCTGGTGGCTCCAGGCATTCCCTGGCTTTTGGCTGCATTGTTCCAATCTCCACCTCTGTCTTCACATTGCATTTCTTCTCTCTCTCATCTCTGTGTGTCTCTTATCAGGACACTTGTCATTTAATTTGGGCTGAGATCATCCAAGATGATCTCATCTGGAGATTCTTAATCACATCTGCGAAGATCCCCTCCCCTCCCCTTCCTCCCCTTCCCTCCCTTCCCCTCTCCTTCCCTCCCCTCCCCTCCCCTCTTCTTTTTTAAGACAGAGTCTCACTCTGTCGCCCAGGCTGGAGTACAGTGTGGTATGATCATAGCTCATGGAGCCTCAATCTCCTGGACTTAGGTGATCCTCCCAACTCAGCCTCCTGAGTAGCTGGGACTACAGGTGTGGGCCACCATGCCTGGCTAATTTTTATTTTTTTTTTAGAAATGGAGTCTCGCTATATTGCTGGTCTCAAACTCCTGGGCACAAGCAATCCTCCTGCCTTGGCCTCCCAAAATGCTGTGATTACAGCAGGCATGAGCCACCGTGCCTGGCCGATCCTTTTTTCCAAATAAGGTCACATTCACAGATTCTAGGATGAAGACATCTCTTGGGGTGGGGGACCCAGTTCAACCAGCTGCACACGGGATGTAGATAAATGCTGGAAGGGCCCAGAGGACGCCTCTTGATGATGGAGTAGGGTTTCTCTTTCTTCATTAGCAAGGGAACTACACATATTTGTAGAGCAGTGCCCCTTAAAAATCATCGTTTATATTTTCAGTTCCTGTCTCAGCAACCAGATGAAGTATTGAGTGGAGTCCCTTCCATCCACATTAATCTGTTGATGGGAGTGGTGTGTTCCTTCAACATTACCACCAGGTGGCAGCCAAGAACTTAGAGTCAGGCGGGCTCATGCTTGCTGCCTGACCCAAGTACATGGTCTTAGCTCCTGAATTGAGATCCAAGTTTGCAAATAACGACAGAGGATGCCAAATCACCTTTGCTCTGGCCTATTCAGTAACATGTCACTTAATAGGGAGAATTACCGGATCAGTCCACCAGCCAGCCTAGTGTGGCAATAACTTACCCCAACTGTTTAAGCATTTACATAGCACTACCTGTTTTTTGTTTGTTTGTTTGTTTTATTTTTGAGAGGGAGTTACGCTCTTGTTACCACGGCTGGAGTGCAATGGTGCGATCTCGGCTCACTGCAACCTCCACCTCCTGGGTTCAAGTGATTCTCCTGCCTCAGCCTCCGGAGTAGCTGGGATTACAGGTATGTGCCACCACGCCCAGGTAATTTTGCATTTTTTAGTAGAGATGGGGTTTCTCCATGTTGGTCAGGCTGGTCTCGAACTCCCAATCTCAGGTGATCCACCCACTTCGGCCTCCCAAAGTGCTGGGATTACAGGCATGAGCCACCGTGCCCGGCATACACACCTGTTAATTTTGCCTGTTTTGCATTTCTTTCCTTACTTTGGGGTAGTTGGGAATGTTAATCACTTTAGCCCCTTCCCTAGCACAATTATTGTTTCAAAGATTGGCATATTAAGTCATTCCAGTGGGAGCATCACAAAGAAAATCTGATATTCTTTTCTTTCTGTGAATCAACCTGTATCTTTCCTGCAAGTTATTCCCCCGACACACTTGCTTGCTGTCACAGGACCTTCACTGATGGGATCTGCATTTTGTTAACAGTTTAAGGTGGTCAACTCTAGCACAGGCCAGGCCAAAAGTCAAAAATTCTTCATTACTGAATGAATATCCTAGGTAGATTATACAAGGATGTCCTTATACTACCAAAGAATGTTCTTTTATAATATAAAAGGATGTCCTTATTCAGATGTCCCTAGACCAATTACTTTAACTTTTGGAATGTCCAAATACAGCCAAAATCGACCCCTGAATTGTTTCTAAAACTGAGATCTTTTATTAAAATAGCAAAAGGAAGAAGTGATAGGTTCCATGAGGCCTATAGTTACAGAGATTTATTATTGAATTTGTTCAAAACATTTTTGTGTTTTAAATATTTCCCAGATGATTCTGATATGTGACCAGGGTTGAGGACCAGCATTTCTCTATGAGAGCTAGATCAGGTGTGAATTTCAGAATTAGAGGTGATTAATTTGACTGTTATCTCTTTCTCTCTCTACTTTTTGTGCCTGGAATACTTAGTTAAAACTTATTAAGCACGGTGGCTCACACCTGTAATCCCAGCACTCAGGGGAGGCGGAGGCAAGCAGATCACTTGAGGTCAGGAGTTCAAGAGGAGCCTGGACAACATGGTGAAACCCCGACTCCACTAAAAAAATACAAAAATTAGCCAGGTTTGGTGGTGTGTGTGCCTGTAGTCCCAGCTACTCGGGAGGCTAAGGCAGGATCACCTGAACCTGGGAGGCGGAGATTGCAGTGAGCCGAGATCGCACCACTGCACTCCAGCCTGGGTGACAGACTGAGACTCCATCTTAAAAAATAAATTAATTAAATAAAACCAATTAATCTCAGGAGACCTGATTCTCTCTTGCTGAGATGGGTAGAGAGAAATCCTTTGGCAACTAAACCTGTTACTCTAGCATTGTCTCTGTTTTCCAAAAATCCTGCTTAAGCTTTACTTATCTGTATTTAATGTGAACCTATCCCCCCTTATTGTTCTTCTGTGCCACCTCATCTTAAAGTCTATACATTGATAGGTTCTGCATTGAGTTCTTGCACTTCTCTAAGGAAAGAGAGCAAGAGAATTGTGGAAGTTTGGAAGAAGTGAGGGTAAAGAGACTGGATATCTTTCCAAGTTAAAGCAGTTTGGAGCCAAGGCTGATGGTAAAGAGAATATTGCAGAATTTGTTAAATATCCATTAATGAGTAGAATCTGGCAATTCCTGGAACCATAGTTCGAGATTGAGGGTGGAATAAAGATATATCAGATACACCCACAATCAGAGAATTTAACACCTATAGCCCCTCATTGAAAGAAAAAGTGTGGGATGCAAGAAAAATGGTGAATACAGAAATATGATAAAAATGCCAGTAAATTAAACAATTATTGACTGGAAACAGCCGTAATGAGCTCTTTTTGCTTTTAAAAGATGGGTCTAAACTTATTGATAAAAATAACAAATAGGCTGGGTGCAGTGGCTCACACCTGTAATCCCAGCACTTTGGGAGGCTGAGGCGGGTGGATTACCTGAGGTCAAGAGTTCGAGACCAGCCTGACCAACATGGTAAAATCCCGTCTCTACTAAATACAAAAAATTAGCTGGGCATGGTGACACATGCCTGTAATCCAAGCTGTGCAGGAGGCTGAGGCAGGAGAATTGCTTGAACCCGGGAGGCAGAGGTTGCAGTGAGCCAAGATTGCACCACTGCACTCCAGCCTGGGCAACAAGAGCGGAAAACTCTGTCTCAATCAATCAATCAGGCAGTAGGTGTTTATCTGGGGTAGGCAACCTGTAGTTAAGGCATTTTCTTGTAAGATCCTTTTCTTGATTGGAAGGATGTCAGAGATATGGATTAGACTTTGTTGGGAAAAAAGGTTTTGAATGTATGTTGATATTAAAACATTATGAATAAAATGACATATCACAGATCTGCATCATAATAATTCAGTGCCTGATGGGAGCTGAGAAGGTATACAGGGTTTAGATGACACAAGGTTGACACGAGTTGAAAATTGTTGGCCGGGCATGGTGGCTCACGCCTGTAATCCCAGCACTTTGGGAGACCGAGGCGGGCGGATCACCTGAGGTCGGGAGTTCGAGACCAGCCTGACCAACATGGAGAGACCCCGTCTCTACTAAAAAATACAAAATTAGCCGGGCATGGAGGCACATGCCTGTAATCCCAGCTACTCCAGAGGCTGAAGCAGGAGAATCGCTTGAACCTGGGAGGCAGAGGTTGCAGTGAGCCAAGCTCGCACCACTGCACTCCAGCCTGGGTGACAGAGGAAGACTCTGTCTCGAAAAAAAAAAAAAAAAAAGTAATGTATGTTGACATTTGAGGGAAGTCACTGAAAGAACAGAAAAACAATGAAATTACTGTAAACAAGCAGAAGGAAGAAGGAAGAAAGGAAACGTTTCAACAGAAGGAATAGAAGGAGAAAAATAAGCAAACAAAAAGGATAATAAACAAAGAAAATACACAAAATAATATGGTATAAAATAAGTCTCACTGCACATTTCAGTTGTGAACCCAAAAGTATGAAAGACAGATCTCAATCGATTTAGAAAGTGTGTTTTGCCAAGGTTAAGGATATTCCTGTGACACACAGCCTCGGTGTTACAGGAAAGCGGTCCCGATCCAGACCCCAAGAGAGGGTTCTTGGACTCCACACAAGAAAGAATTCAGGGTGAGTCCACAGATTAAAGTAAAAGCAAGTTTATTAGGAAAGTAAGGGAATAAAAGAATGGCTACTCCATAGACAGAACAACCCTGATGGCTGCTGGTTGCCCCCCCTTTTTTTTTTTTGAGACAGAGTCTTGCTCTGTCACCCAGGCTGGACTGCAATGGCACGATTCTCCTGCCTCAGCTTCCCAAGTAGCTGGGACTACAGGCACATATGCCATCATACCCAGCTAATTTTTGTATTTTTAGTAGAAACGGGGTTTCACCATATTGGCCAAGCTGGTCTCAAACTCCTGACCTCAGGTGACCCACCCGCCTCGACCTCCCAAAGTGCTGGGATTACAGGCATGAGCCACTGCACCTGTCTGGTTGCCCATTTTTATGGTTATTTCTTGATTATATGCTAAACAAGGGGTGGATTATTCATGCCTCCCCTTTTTTAGACCATATAGGGTAACTTTCATGCGTGTCTGTGTGCAGAGACCACCACACAGGCTTTGTGTGAGCAATAAAGCTTTTTAATCACCTGGGTGCAGGTGGGCTGAAGCGAAGGGAGATAGAGGTGGGGCTGTTTTATAGGATTTGGGTAGGTAGTGGAAAATTACAGTCAAAGGGGGTTGTTCTCTGGCTGGCAGGGGTGGGGGTCACAAGGTGCTCAGTGGGGGAGCTTTTGAGCCAGGATGAGCCAGGAGAAGGAATTTCACAAGGTAATATTGTCAGTTAAGGTAGGAACAGGCCATTTTCACTTCTTTTGTGATTCTTCAGGCCATCTGGATGAATACATGCAGGTTTGGGCTCAGAGGCCTGACAGTAACTTGCTGACATTTCCATGGCATTTGTAAGCTCTCACGGCACTGGTGGGAGTGTAGCAATGAGGATGACCAGAGGTCACTCTTGTAGCCATCTTGGTTTTGTTGGGTTTTAGCCGGCTTCTTTCCTGCAATCTGTTTTAACAGCAAGGTCTTTATGACCTGTATCTTGTGCTGATCTCCTGTGTTGTCCTGTGACTTAGAACGACTTAGTCTGTGAATGCAGCCCAGAAGGTCTCAGCCTTATTTCACCCAGCCCCTATGAAGATGGAGTTGCTCTGGTTCACACACCTCTAACATTAGGAAGTCCAGATGACACGTGCCTACTGTGGTTGGGGCACAGCTTGGATTTATACATTTTAGGGAGATATGAGACATCAATCAATATGTGTACGATGTACATTGGTTTGGCCTGGAAAGGTGGTGTTAGAAATAAGAGCTCAGAGTCATAAAGAAAATGAGCACTCAAACAAAAGATTTCTCAGCAAGCCAAATTTACTTCTGCAGAAAGGTGCAGCTTGCACCAGTCATGACTGCAAGAGCACACTGAGCGGGGGAGGGCAGGGGTTTTATCCCTAACGCAGTTCCTAGCACTTCTGTGTCCTTTCCCCATTGGCTGAGGTTGGACTTCACAATCTAAGCTAAGGTTTAAACTGAATAGGGTCTATTAGATGGGAAGGAAGAGGGACTGTCCTTTACTAGGCCAGAAGGACTTGTCTATCTAAGCACCGCAAAGGCGAGAAGGTTGTTTACAGAACAGGTAGCTAGGAGACAAGGAAGTACAAGGAAGTTGGTCATAAGAAACAAAGAACAGAGAACTAAAGCTTTTTGAAGATTAATTTATCATCTCTGACATTGGGACAACTGGGTGTAGGGTGGGAATTTCCAGGTCATAGGTAGATGAGAGACAAGGGGTGCATTCCTTTGAGTCTCTGATTAGCCTCCCACTGAATATGCAATTTACATGTGAGAGGAGGGTAGAGGAATAGTCACTTAGGCCTTAGTCTGGTTTAGTGAAACAATAGGGCAGAGGAAGCAATCAGATAGGCATTTGTCTCAAGTGAGCAGAAGGAAGACTTTGAGTTCTGTCTGTCCCTTGTCCACAAGGAATTTCCTTCTGGGAAACTTGTGAGGGAGGTATGCAGCTTTTTTTTTTTTTTTTTTTTGCTGTTGTTGTCAAACCTTTGTAGCTATGTTATTTAGGAATAAAATGGGAGGCAGGTTTGCCTGACATAGTTCCCAGCTTGACTTTTCCCTTTTGCTTAGTGATTTTTGGGGTCCCGAGATGTATTTTCCTTTCACACAGTAATCACTATAAATAGAGTCTGAGGGTAGAATCTATCAGATTGAACTGAAATAAACAAACTGTGAAGGAGACCATAAGAACCTCACCCAAATCTCCCAAAGTAAGAGTTCCCAGATTCTTCCAGCTCTGATATAACTTGTGTGTTTTGGATTTTTTTTTTTTTTTGAGATGGAGTCTTGCTCTGTCACCCAGGCTGGAGTGCAGTGGTGCGATGTCGGCTCACTGCTGCAACCTCCGCCTCCCAGTTTCAAGCAATTCTCCTGCCTCAGCCTCCTGAGTAGCTGGGACTAGAGGTGTCCATGACCACGCATGCCTGGCTAATTTTTGTATTTTTAGTAAAGATGGGGTTTCACCATGTTGGCCAGAATGGTCTCGATCTCCTGACTTCGTGAGCCACTGCGCCTGGCTGTGTGTTTTGGATTTTTTTGAGAGTCTGAACTAAAAGAGACTTTGGAGATCTAAATCCTCTCATTATAGTTGAGGAAACTGATTTAGGAAGGGAAAGCTACCTACTCAGGGTTACATATTAAATGAGAGCCAGGGAAACCAGAAACCAGAATCTCCTCCCAATCCAACAATTTTTCCTATTCACCAGAGATTCCCGATTCATCAACCACAGGACATAAGATTAGTCTAGAGCGGATGTCACTGGAAAGGGGTCCCAATCCAGACCCCAAGAGAGGGTTCTTGGACCTCGTGTGAAAAAGAAGTGAGAGCAAGTTTATTAGAGAAATAAAGGAATGAAAGATGACTACTCTGGCTGGGCGCGGTGGCTCACACCTGTAATCCCAGCACTTTAGGAGGCCGAGGCCGGTGGATCACAAGGTGAGGAGGTTGAGACCAGCCTGGCCAATATGGTGAAACCCCATCTCTACTAAAAATACAAAAATTAGCCAGGCATGGTGGCAGGCACCTGTAGTCCCAGCTACTCGGGAGGCTGAGACAGAAGAATTGCTTGAACCCGGGAGGCAGAGGTTTCAGTGAGCTGAGATCACACCCCCGCACTCCAGCCTGGGTGACAGAGCGAGACTCTGTCTCAATTTAAAAAAAAAAAAAAAAAGACTACTCCATAGGCAGAGCAGTGGCATGGGTTGGTCAAATGGGAATACTTACAGTTATTTCTCAATTATATGCTAAACAAGGGGTAGATTATTCATGAGTTTTCTGGGAATTCCTGAAACTGAGGGTTCCTTCCCCTTTTAGACCATATAGGGTAATTCCTTGGCGTTGCCATGGCATTTGTAAACTGTCACGGTGTTGGTGGAGTGTCTTTTAGCATGCTAATGTGTTATAATTAGCGTATAATGAGTGATGAGGGTGACCAGAGGCCACTTTCGTGGTCCTCTTGTTTCTGGTGGGGTTTTGGCCAGCTTCTTTAACGCATGCTGCTTTTTGTTTTTGTTTTTTTTTTTTTCTTTTTTTGGAGACCAAGTCTCGCTCTCGCCCAGGCTGGAGTGCTGTGGCGCGATCTCGGCTCACTGCAGGCTCTGCCCCTCTGGGTTCACGCCATTCTCCTGCCTCAGCCTCCCGAGTAGCTGGGACTACAGGCGCCCGCCACCTCGCCCGGCTAATATTTTGTATTTTTAGTAGAGACGGGGTTTCACCGTGTTAGCCAGGATGGTCTCGATCCTCTGACGTCGTGATCCGCCCGCCTCGGCCTCCAGAAGTGCTGGGATTACAGGTGTGAGCCACCGCGCCTGGCCCTAGTGCATGCTGTTTTAACAGCCAGGTCTTTGTGACCTGTATCTTGTGCTGACCTATCTCATCCTGTGACTAAGAGTGCCTTAACCTCCTGGGAATGCAGCCCAGTAGGTCTCAGTCTCATTTTACCCAGCCCCTGTTCAAGATGGGGTTGCTCTGTTTCATACATCTCTGACACAGACACAGAATTTCATCAGATTTAAAATTTTGCCTCACTTTATTGACAATAAAAAACCAGTGATGGGGAAGGCACACGCCATTCTCTGTTGGAAGTGTGGAGTGGTGAAGCCTTGAGAGCAATCTGTCAGGATTCTACACCGATAACTGCCCTGAAAAGCCTGGAAGAAAATATACCCAACTGGTAAGAGTAGTTGCCTCCTCAGCAGAAATGTTCCCAGACCAAACTGAGGGTCGGGCTGCTTATTCCAGTGGCCCAATAACAACATGCAGATGAACTGGGAAAGGAGGGAATTTTTATTTGGGTAACTGGTTACAGGGAGAAGACCTGGAAAATATCACCAGACTAACTCAAAATTAGAAAGTTTTCCAGTGCTTATATACCTTCTAACCTATATGTCTACATGTAAGTCTACATTCATCTGAAGACATAAGTGATTAACTTTTTTTCTTTTTTCTTTTTTTTTTTTTTGAGACAGAGTCTTGCTCTGTCACCCAGGCTGGAGTACAGGAGCGCTATCTTGGCTCACTGCAACCTCTGCCTCCTAGGTTCAAGTGATTTTCCTGCCTCAGCCACCCAAGCAGCTGTGATTACAGGCACGTGCCACCATGCCCGGCTAATTTTTGCATTTTTAGTAGAGACAGGGTTTCACCATGTTGGCCAGGCTGGTCTCCAACTCCTGAACTCAGGTAATGCACCCACCTCAGCCTCCCAAAGTGCTGGGATTACAGGCTTGAGCCACCGCACCCAGCTAACTTCTTTTAATCTATAACTAAGGTCTCAATCCTGAAGACCTTCCTCTATAAATTTACTTAATCTAAATGGCTCCAGGTGCTGGGGTGATTACCCTTATCTTGTCTCCTGCTAAATCATGGAGGTTTGGGGAATTCCTTCAGACCTGATGGGACAAGAGTACCACCATCTTAACAAGACTCCACCACCTTAAACTATCAAGTTTCCATTTCTCAGAACTGTCCATTGCCACCTGACCAAACTGCAAAAGTCAGCCCCACCTATATCTTCAACAGAGCATAACAACCCTAAGCAAGCTTATCAAAGTCCCCAGCAGTCCCAACCAGCCAGCACTCCCCTAACCCCTCCCCCATAGGAACCACACCCAGAGCACACTGCCCCCACTGGGCCCTTTTTAAATGCCTCAGGCTGTAAGAGAAGTTTGCTCCTGATCCTGCCAGCCAGAAGCCCTTCTCAGGTTTACTCTCAATAAACCAGTCTCAAGTGTTTGAGCCACTCTCTTGTTTCGTCTTCCTTCTCTTCTCTCCCACTGCTCTAACAGGACCCCCAATAAACTTCTTCATTGGAGGCCTGGGGAGTTTTTTCAGACCCCCAATGAAACTTGTTTAATCCTAAACAGGTCCCATTAAGAATTCCTTCGTTATCTTGTCATGCTTTATAAGGCCCAGGAAAAGCCTAGGCAAAACTCTTGGTGGACTTTTGTTACATTCCAGCCTTTGAATAAGGGCACTGGCTCTCTCAGCTTTTAACCACTCAGTCAGTGCTGAGACAGTTATGGAGGCCTATGTTAATGAGACCTGGCCTGCCATGGAAAGTCTGAGTTGGGAGTGACTGGTGCTAAAATGAGACTTTTGATTTTTTTTTAAGTGCTATATTTATAAAATAATTTTCTATTGGGAATATGTTCACATATTGTGATTTTTTTGAGAAGAGGCTGCTGGGTGCGGTGGCTCACGCCTGTAATCCTAGCACTTTGGGAGGCTGAGGTGGGCGGATCACAAGGTCAGGAGATCCTGGCTAACACGGTGAAATCCCGTCTCTACTAAAAATGCAAAGAAATTAGCTGGGCATGGTGGCAGGCACCTGTAGTCCCAGCTATTTGGGAGGCTGAGGCAGGAGAATGGCATGAACCTGGGAGGTGGAGCTTGAAGTGAGCTGAGATCGTGCCACTGCACTCCAGCCTGGGCAACAGAGCGAGACTCTGTCTCAAAACAAAAAAAAAAAAAAAAGAGAGAGAGGCCAAGCACATCTGTCATCCCAGAAAATTAAGAGTCCGAGGCAGGTGGATTGCTTGAGCTCAGGAGTTCAAGATCAGCCTGGCCAACATGGTGAAACCGCATCTCTACAAAAAATATAAAAATTAGCTGGGCACGGTGGTGCGCACCTGTAATTCCAGCTACTTGGCGGGTGAAAGGTTTCCTTGAGCCTGGGAGGTCAAAGCTACAGTGAGCCAAGATTGTACCACTGCACTCCAGCCGGGGCAACAGAGTGAGACACCCTGTCTCAAAAACAAATAAATAAAATATATATATATATTTAATTTATATATATCTTTATATTATATAAAAATATAACATTACATATATTATATATCAACAGAAGATGGCAAATCACTCAGAAGTAGTCCTGGAGATAAATATATATATCATTTATTTTTATATATAAAAATAAATAACAGATATATATCTTTATTATATATAATATATAAAAATCCCAACATATATAATATATATATGTGTTATCTATTATATATTATATAAAAATCCCAACATATAGAATAATAATATAATATATAATATATATTTATATATAATATATTTATAATATATAATATATATTTATATATAATATATTTATAATATATAATATATATTTATATATAATATATTTATAATATATAATATATATTTATATATAATATATTTATAATATATAATATATATTTATATATAATATATTTATAATATATAATATATATTTATATATAATATATTTATAATATATAATATATATTTATATATAATATATTTATAATATATAATATATATTTATATATAATATATTTATAATATATAATATATATTTATATATAATATATTTATAATATATAATATATATTTATATATAATATATTTATAATATATAATATATATTTATATATAATATATTTATAATATATAATATATATTTATATATAATATATTTATAATATATAATATATATTTATATATAATATATTTATAATATATATTTATATATAATATATTTATAATATATATTTATAATATATAATATATTTATAATATATATTTATAATATATAATATATTTATAATATATATTTATAATATATAATATATTTATAATATATATTTATAATATATAATATATTTATAATATATATTTATAATATATAATATATTTATAATATATATTTATAATATATAATATATTTATAATATATATTTATAATATATAATATATTTATAATATATATTTATAATATATATTTATAATATATTTATAATATATATTTATAATATATATTTATAATATATATTTATAATATATATTTATAATATATATTTATAATATATATTATAAATATATATTTATAATATATATTTATAATATATAATATATTTATAATATATATTTATAATATATATTTATAATATATAATATATTTATAATATATATTTATAATATATATTTATAATATATATTTATAATATATAATATATTTATAATATATATTTATAATATATAATATATTTATAATATATATTTATAATATATAATATATTTATAATATATATTTATAATATATAATATATTTATAATGTAATATATATTTATAATATATATATAATATATATAATATATATTATATATAATTATATATATATAAATTATATATATATAAAATAGATAATATATATTATATATATAATTCAATGATATATATCTTTATATATTATGTATAGTTATATATCTTCTATTTTTATAAATAAAATAAGAGATATATAATTATATATTTTATTTATTTTTATTATATATAAAATACATAAGTGATATATAATAAGTGCTATGTAAAATAAATGATATATGTTATATAATATATATCTTTTATTTATTTTTATTATATATAAAAATAAATCAGTTATATATATATTTATCTCCATGACTACTTCTGAGTGACTTGCCGTCTCCTGTTGACCCTCTTGTCTTAGTAAATCAGCAGTTAGGAAACAAGGTATTTTTCATTCTCTGCCTCCCCTAGCATTTTTGCTTTGTCCTAGGTATTTTACGTTATCTCATTGTTGGGATTTTGCTCTGACTTGGTCTTGAAGTCTCTCTTGGTCAAGGATCTATAAACTCTAGCCCTGTCCTGATGGGACTCCAGGAGAAGTGGGCGTTTGGAACGTGCCTTTCATGGGATTCTTCTTTTTCTGGTGGACGACCTAAAGCCTGTGTCCAGCTGGTTACCAGGTGTTCCTCTCCCACATGACTTGTTCGTACTGGAAGACACCCTTTTGCTGGTGCTGACCTGTGTCCAGTTTGTTCTTACCAACACGGCCACTTTCTGGGAGGAGAGCCCTGACCAGGAGGAGAGTCAGGCTCAGGTGTGTGGGTCAGGTGAGACACAGAGCTGGCAGTGCAACAAAACACAGGAAACCACAGCAGCGCTTTCTGACTCACAGGTCCAGAGAGAAGAGTGGTGACCACAGGGTTGACGGGACGTCCAAAGGCAGCAGGGAGCTCATCCAGTGGGTGGGGAGCAAGAGAGAGAAGGATCTGCAGGACTAAAGCCTTTACTTGGGTCCAGGGAATCACCCCAGCAAGTTTCCTGTGAGGAGTTCCCACTGGTGGCTTTAAAGCAAGCTTGACCAACTCACGGCCCACAGGCTGCATGTGGCCTCGGATGGCTTGGAATGTGGCCCAATACAAATTCGTAAACTTTCTTAAGACACTGAGATTTTTTTGTATTTTTTTTGTATTTTTTTTTTTTTGTTTAGCTCATCAGCTTTCATTAGCATTAGTGTATTTTATGTGTGGCCCAAGATGACTCCTCTTCTTCCCATGTGGCCCAGGGAAGCCAAAAGGTTGGACAGCCCTGGTTTAAAGCAAGCAGGCACGGGTCGGGCTGTAATTGAGAGGTGATCACTGCGGCATATCTGCACAGCACAGGCAGGCTGTGGGGTTCACTGGAGTGAGTCAGGCAGGTTATATCTAGCTATCCCATGGTGGGGTGGTCACCAGGATAGGGCAGACATCTGGATGGATGACACTGAGGAACTGGGAGGAGGTGGAGAACTGCAAATTGGAACTAAGCCCTGCTTCTGGTATGGGAAAGTGTAACTTGTATTCAAAATGGAGCCATACAAACGCAAATTAAAACCACAATGAGATTCCACCTTACTCCTGCAAGAATGGCCATAATTAGAGTCAAAAAACAATAGATATTGGCATGGATGTGGTGAAAAGGGAACACGTTTACACTGCTGATGGCGATGTAAATTAGTACAACTACTTTGTAAAACAGTGTGCCTCAAAGAACTAAAAGTAGACCTACCATTTGATCCAGCAATCCCACTACTGGGTATCTACACAAAGGAAGAAAAGTCATTTGAAAAAGACATATGCATACATGTTTATAGCAGCACAATTTGCAATTGCAAAGATATGAAACCAAACTACATGCCCATTGACCAAGGAGTAAATAAAGAAAATGTGGTGTATATACACCATAGAATACTCAGTCATAAAAAGGAACAAAACAATGTCTTTTGCAGCAACTTGGATGGAGCTGGAGGTCATTATTCTATGTGAAGTAACAGGAATGGAAAACCAAATACTGTATGTTCTTCCTTTTTTTTTTTTTTTTTTTTTTTTTGATCTAGAGTCTCACTGTGTCACCTGGGCTGGAGTGCAGTGGGGCAATCTTGGCTCACTGCAACCTCCGCCTCCCGGCTTCAAGTGATTCTCCTGCCTCAGCCTGCCAAGTAGCTGGGATTACAGGTGTGTGCCATCACACTCGGCTGATTTTTGTATTTTTAGTAGAGACAGGGTTTCACCATGTTGGTTAGGCTGGTCTTGAACTCCTGACCTCAAGCAATCCACCCACCTTGGCCTTCCAAAGTGCTGGGATTACAGGCATGCGTCACCATACCCAGCCAAAAAAATATGGAATGCTTCACGAATTTGTGTATTATTCTTGCACAGGGGCCATGCTAATCTTCTCTGTATCATTCCAATTTTGGTATATGTGCTGCCAAAGCAAGCCCTGTTCTTACTTTTAAGTGGAAGCTAAGGTATAAGGATGCAAAAACATATGGAGTGACATAATGGACTTTGGGGACTTGGGGTGGGGTGACATTGGGAGGTGGGAGAGATAAAAGACTACATACTGGGTACAGTGTACACTGCTCAAATGACAGGTATAATAAAATCTCAGAATTCGCCACTAAAGACTTCATCCATGTAACCAAAAACTACCTATACCCCAAAAACTATTGAAATAAAAAAAGCAAATAGAACCATAAAATTATAAGAATTTACCACACTCATTTATTCCTTACAGTGGCACTGTATGTATCTATCAGGATTCTTAGTCTCACTTTTATTTTTATTTTTATTTTTTGAGACAGAGTTTCGCTCTTGTCACCCAGGCTGGAGTGCAGTGGCATGATCTCAGCTCACTGCAACCTCTGCCTCCCGGGTTCAAGCGATTCTCCACCTCAGCCTCCCGAGTATCTGGGATTACAGATGTGTGCCACCACGCCTGGCTAACTTTTGTATTTTTTTCAATGGAGATGGGGTTTCGCCATGTTGGCCAGGCTGGTCTCGAACTCCTGACCTCAGGTGATCTGCCTGCCCCAGCCTCCCAAAGTGCTGGGATTACAGGCATGAGCCACCACACCTGGCCTAGTCTACCTCTTAATAGAAGAATAACCAGTTAATTATGGAAAAAGAAACAGAGAAAAAGAGGGAGAAGGAGGGAGGAAAGAAGGGGGAAAGAAAAGAGGAGAAGGGCACAGAAGGGAAGGAAACTATTACAAAATGTAGGTGGCCAGTACTGCCTACATTTTGTACATAGAGAAAAAGAAGGCTCGGAGACATAAAACGTGTTGCCCAAACCAGTTAATAAGTGCTGGAACTGACTTTCAGACCCAAGGGTGTATTTGTGAAGTCCATATTCTAGCACACACCAGTAAATGAGATATGCTGCTTTCCAGGATAGGTTGGGAAGCTACTGCCCTCCTCAATTCCTCAGAGCAAGGTTGTTCTTCCTGTGTCCTGGGAGTCCCCGTTGTCTCAGGCAGGGAGCTACAGAAAGTTACAAATAATTTTTTGGTGCTGCAAAAGAAATAGCACTGGAACATAAATTTAATTTTCTCAGCAAGGCAATTTTACTTCTATAGAAGGGTGTGACTCACGGATGGAGCAATGGCGAGAGCGCACCTGAACAAGGGAGGAGAAGGGGTTTTTATTCCTGACGCAGGTAGCCCCTACTGCCACGTCCCCTATTGGCTAGGGTTGGACCTCACAGTCTAAGCTGATTCTGACTGGCTATTTTAAAGAGAGCAGGGGTATGAACTGGAGTGGTGGAGTAAGTAGTTTGGCAGGAAGGGCAGTTACAGAACAGGTGACTCAGGATAATTCGGGACACAGCAGGTGACCAGGGGTGACTCAGGATGGAGCAGGTGACCAGGGGAACAGATGTGAACTACTGATTAAAACTGGAAAAGGTTGTCTACTGAAACTAGGGGTGAGGAGAATGAGGAAGTTAAACTATAAAATGGAGAATAAAGAACTGAACATACTGACATACTGATTCTTTGAAGAGAAATTTAGAACTCACTGTATTCAACAACTTCATCCTCTTGAATTTTACTTTCTCTTCAAACTTCCTTAACGTGTCTTGGGTTAGTTGTTCTGCCTGATTCTCTAAAAGAAGAAGCTTCTCTGAATAAAGTGGAGGAGAGTTAAGGGAGGTTTTAGTAAGTGCTGTCTCTATGACTCTCTGCACCAGCCCACGGATGCATGGTATGACACAGCACCCAACAAGAATGAGTACACCTATTACAGCTGCAAGAGAAGTAAGAATTGAGGCTATGATTTCTTTCCATTTACCGAACCACCTTTCTAGCCGCCCTGAGAAATGGTTATTTACTCCTGAGTTTTTGGCTAATTCATTGGACAGAGCAGTTAGACTTTGCAATGCCTTTGTTATACTTCCATCAGGGGCGGTATTGTTTGGGATGAAGGTACAATATTGAGGGTTTTTTTGTTTTGTTTTGTTGTTTGTTTGTTTTTTTATTTGAGATGGAGTCTTGCTTTTGCTCTGTTGCCCAGGCTGGAGTGCAATGGCGTGATCTCAGCTCACTGCAACCTCCATCTCCTGGCTCCAAGCAATTCTCCTGCCTCAGCCTCCTGGGTAGCTGGGATTACAGGTGCACATCACCATACCCAGCTAATTTTTGTATTTTTAGTAGAGACGGGGTTTCATCATATTGGTCAGGCTGGTCTTGAACTCCTGATCTCATGATCCACCCACCTTGGCCTCCCAAAGTGCTGGGATTACAGGCATGAGCCACCGTGCCTGGCAACTACAATACTGAGTTTTAATCATGACACAAACTCCTCCTCTTTCTGCTAATATCATATCTAAGTCTATTCTATTTTCCCAAGCTATCTGGCTGGTAGCCCCTAATTGCTCAGCTATTCGTTTAACAGCATCTCTAGTGTAGTTAATAAACTGCTGTTTGTTGTAATAAATGTAATTTATCCAGTCTACATTCTTATTGGCACCCACCAAAATATTGACTCAACTCCTGCAGCTATTTGATCTTGAGCTTTAAATTTATCTAGTACTCCTTGTGGGACTCTAGCTGCATCTAAATAAACATGAGAGTTGAAAGACCCATAAGGGTCTTCCCTTGTTTTACGATGTTGTGTTTTCCCTCTCTCTGGTTGATGAAATGCCAGGGTGAAAGGGATAGCCAGTTGGACTAGAGCACAAGTCCCGCTCCAGTTACTTGGCAGAGTGTCCAGTAAAGGTCCACCACAATACTGCCACACATCTGCTCGGGGATGACTAAGGCTGACTGATTGGTAAGCTCCTGAAAAGTCTCGTGTCCTTTCAGGTCTCCAAGGAATAAGTTCCCTCCTTGTCGTGAAAGACACGAAGTGAACTTAGTGTTGGGAGATGGAGGCTGGATGGCCCTCAGAGGCTGACCAGCAGGGTGTCGGACTTCGGGATATAGCAGAGAGACAGCTTGGCACGACTTGCTACCCCAGGCTGTGGGATCCTGGAAAAGAGCTACCATAGAGCCCATGCCTGGTCGACTGGAGGACCATCCTAGTGGAAAGCAGACAATCTGGGCCTCTGGCCTGTTGTGTGCCCAGGCATAACAATTGCTTTTGTTTAGCGTGCGAACAGAATATCGGATCCATTCCAACTAGGCATTTGCATGTTGATATCCTGTCTCTATTGCTAAAGTTTGTTTTAAATCATTTACTTCCTCAACGTCCACTTTGATCCTATCACTGGGTATATAACAAGAGAAGGTTTGTTTAGCAGAGAACTTAGGAGAGGGAGAAGGCCGTGCAGGAGGTGAGGAGGCAGTGAAGCACATTTCAAAGGATCTTATGGGGTCCTTCCCTGAGACTTCTGTTCCTATATCATAGAAACAGCTTAATGAAGGGGAAGACCTCTGGGGAGCAGAGATGGTCATCTGTACTGGATTATACTGGTTCAGCTGACAATGGGGAGGGTAACTTCTTTAGTAAAATGAACATATGGTTTTAAGAAGCTGCAAGTACTAGTTGGGGCGGTCCATCCTTGCTCTTTAGTATTTTGTAAAGCATTGGACCAACTTCGGCAGAGAAGCTCTTCTCTAGGAGGACGGGATTCCCAGTTTATACTGGAAATCTTCGTCAAACTCTTCCCAAACTAACTTATCCCAGTTAACAGATTTCCGGTCTAAGGAGAGCTAGGAAGGATAAAAATACTTTTCTGAAGTGGAGAGTTGCCTCTGGTTTGGCAAATCTCCACAGGGCATCACAAGGCAAGCATCAAAAGTAATAGTTTGGGGTGAACTCGACCTAGTTACATTAATAACGAGAGGACTAGCAATAGGAGGGGAAAAGAAAGAGATGCAATATAAGAGGATCAACCCCGTTTTAGCTTTAGCTTCCTTGGAATTGGCCTTGGAATAGCTGTCTGTGATTTTGGAGGGGGTGTTGTTCTTTTGACCCAGGTGTGATGAGTCCATCCGTTTTCTGCTTTTCGAACTGAGATCTCGGTGGTTTGCAGCACTAGGTAGGGTCCTTCCCAAGCCAGTTTGAGTTTTCCCTCCATCCAACTTTTGACGAGGTCGTGGTCCTCAGGCTGATGGTGGTGTACTGGAAACTCTAGGGGTGGCACCTGTGCTAAAAGACCTTTAGTTCTGGGGGAAGAGACAGTGGAAGGTAAACCAAGTATATAATTTCTGAGAAACTGATTGTTTGTTTCAAATGTAGGAAGATCAGTAATAGAATGTAGATAAGGCAATCCATAAAGCATCTCATGAGGGGATAGGCCTATGTCTTTGGGGGGAGCAGTTCAGACTCTCAACAGGGTAATAGGCCTTTCTACTTTCCCTGATGAAGGTGGGTGTCAAGGAGTATCTTCCCATGTTATATCTGGTACCTGTGCTAATTTCTTAATGACATGTGCAGTGAAATGAATCCTATTATCTGAATCAAT
This sequence comes from Homo sapiens, assembly GCF_000001405.40. Classification (NCBI taxonomy): domain Eukaryota; kingdom Metazoa; phylum Chordata; class Mammalia; order Primates; family Hominidae; genus Homo; species Homo sapiens. Next base: position 10,491,801 of record NC_000016.10, on the reverse strand, counting down.
GTTTTCTAATAATCTAAACATGGGTACAATATTTTCAACTAATGCCTTGACTACATTATTAGCAGTTGTACTTGAAAAGGAAATAGCTTCTACCCAATGAATAAGGTGATCTACTATTACTAATAAATACTTTAGATGACCAGTTGGAGGCATCTCTGTGTAATCAATCTGGATACTTTGGAATGGCCTTAAGCCTGGACTCCTTTCCCTAAAGGGGAAGCTTTTACTGTGCAACTTTCTGTAACCCATTTGGCCAGGGTATAAATTTCTATCCACCCATAAACTCTGAGGACTGCGTCACACATGACCTGGGGCCCCCAATGGTTCCCTTGATGCAGTTGGAACAAGATTTTCCTCATAAGGGGTTTGGATAACATTTCTTTCTGGTCTGGCAATATCCATTTTCTTTCTGAATTCTCTTTAGCACCTATTTTTATTAGTTTTTAGACCAAAGAAAGCCAAACAGCATTTTATATTTGACAGTGCTTCCTGTATGATTTTATACTGGATAAGCTACATTTCACCTTTATATTAATGTGCTATTAATGTTAAACTCAATTTTAATAAAACCTTGTGACATATTTATGCAATTTTAATGTCTGACCATAAGGTAAGATTTTTATAGACTCTTTTAAACCCTTTATAATTTTTGTTAAAGACCAGGTTAGTGCTTTAAGAAAAACCTGTTGTGCTTTTATTTTAATGCCCAGTTCACAGAAAAACTGGATGATACCCCTTTAACTTTAATATGTTTACACACAGAATTTCCTTTACAATTAATGTTTCAAAACTTCCTTAAATTTTCAAAACAATTTTTAAACTTTTAATGTAGGTAAAAATCCACATTCTTATGCCACCTTATAATCCTTTTACCAAAAGTATATTTTATTTTTCTTACACACCTTGCACATAAACTGTTTCTTCAATAGTTTTACATTCAGGAGGCCTAATTACTTTTAAATTATACAACATTTCTGGCATAAATTCCCTTTTATAACATTTTTCATGACTTTCACAGACAATCTTTAACATGCCTTAACTTTCTGACTTGTTGTAAACATCCTTTTCTTTCAACAACCAGTTAATTTATTTTAGGACAAGAATTTACCATATAAGATTGTTTTTACATAAATTCTTTTTTTTTTTTTAATGTCAGAGATGATAACCATTCTTTCCTAAAGCAAACTTCCTTCATGTCTGTGGACTAGACTGCCTACGGCACAAGATTAAAAGTTAGGATAATACATGTTACACTGTTAACTTTTAGCAAACTTTCCTTTTGTTGAAAACCTTGTAAATTTGGGACTTTAATTAAAGAAAGGCTTTTTCTGGTGTCTGGGGACATGGACAATAGCTATTTCTTTTGGCAATTGAAGGTTATTTAATACTTGGGTGATTAATTCCTTGGGGACCAGGTCTTGGCCTTTGCTATTAATAAGACCTCGTTCAGTCCAAATTTTTCCAAATCTATGAGCCACTCCAAAGGCATGCTTAGAATTGGTATAGATGGCTCTTTCCTGGTTCTGTAAGTGCTTTAAGGCTTGGCTGAGTGCAAACAGCTCACAAGTTTGAGCAGACCAATTATTAGGCAAATTTCCTAACTCTATTTCTACAAGAGTTTCTCTGTCAATTACTGAACACCTATTGTGTCTTTTTCCCTCAATCATCTGGGAGGAACCATCTGTAAATAAGTGTTGTCCTGTTCTGAAGGGAGTTTCTCCTAGGTCTGGTCAGATCTTTGTATGGTAATTAATTACATCTAAACATGTGTGCTCTCTCTTTAGATTTATATCCCCTGTTAGGAAACCTGCTGGGTTAAGCGAATTATCAGTGGTTAATGTTAAATCATCTTTTTCTAACAGAATAGCCTGATTTAAGATTCTTGAGTCAGTAAGCTACCTTTGTTTTTTGACCTAGGATAGTTCTGACCTGGTGAGGTGTGCTCACAATGAGGATTCCTCTAAAAGTTATTTTTCTACTTTCTTCTGTTAGCACAGCAGTTGCCACTATAGATTGAATGCATTTGGGCCATCCACGGGTTACTGGATTAAGGATTTTTGATAGGAAGGCTATGGGTTGCCAGTGGCCTCTGTGCTTTTGGGTATTTCTAAGGCTACGCCCTTGTTCACACTGAAAAAAGATGGAATGGCTGCTTACAGAGGGTAAAGCTAGGACAGGGGCAGTTACTAATAGATGTTTTAACCTTTCCACCTATTGGATTTCTGGTAATTGCCAAATGGGGGGGTTTGGCCCATCTTGCGTGAACTTTTTGTATAAAAGCCTATCCATAGACGACAGTACCCGACTAATCCTAAAATTTTCTAAGTTCTTGTTTAGTCTCCGGCAGAGGCAAGGATATAATGCCTTCAATCCGATCAAGCTCAATGTACGGTTTACCTTTGCTAATTAAATGACTTGTTCTAATATTTGACATTTGGAGACTCTGTAAACCCTTGGGGTAAGACTGTCTATCCGTATTGCTATTTTTGACTGGAGTGAGGGTCTTCTTACTCAAAGGCAAATAGGTCCCGGCTGTCCTCTGCTAACGGACAAGCCCAGAATGCATCTTTTAAATCTATTACTGTAAACCATTGGTGACTGTATGGGACTCTACTGTTAATAGTATAAGCATTGAGAACAACAGGGTGGGTAGTTTGGACTATTTGATTAATAGCTCTAAGGTCTTGCATTAACCGGTATGACCCATCTGGCTTCTTTACAAGCAGTATTGGAGTGTTTTAGGGAGACATACGGGGTTTAAGAAGCCCATCACTGAGAAGACCTTCAATTATCAATTATAGGTTTTAAATTTATCCTGGCTTTTAAAAGAATAGGGTACCTTGCTTTCTCTTTACTACTTCCCCAGGGGTTTTTAATTTAACATGAATCTGAGGAATCTAACTTTCCTCAATTCCCATCTTTTGACGGTATCTCAGGATGAATGTGTTCTTTGTCTGCGGTGGTGAGCAAGTTTAGGGAGGGGAGGAATTTTCCATGATTGATTTGGAGGCCTAAGCCTAATTCTAGCATCAAACCTCTTCGTAGCAGATTTGTCTCTGCTTCTGGAATTAACAGAAATTTAATATTAGCTGATTTTCTTTTATATATGACCTTTGTTCTTCTTCCTATTTGGAACTTTCTCTTTTGAGGGTGACCTATTTTTAATTTGAAGCATTTGTTTTGTCCTCTTTCTCTCCCTTTGCCTCTCCTTCTCTCTTTGCCTGTCTCTCTGCTTCTCTCTCTCTCTTCTACTCTTTCTCTCACTCTGATTCCCTTTGCCTCTCTTTCTCTCTGCCTCTCTCTCCCTTTGACTCTCTGTCTCTCTCTTTCTTTCTCTCTCAGATTTTTTTTTCTTCTATCTTTGAGTCTCCCGGCTTTACTTTCATACCCTTTATATTGCCTGGAGAGTGGGGGTCTAGGTTTTTATAGGTTCTGGGCCCCTGGGTACTTTGTTGCATGGTGGGCAGAATTTTTGCCTTCTGCTTTTGTTTTTCTTCATCTCTTTATTTTTGAGACGGAGTTTCACTCTTATTACCCAGGCTGGAGTGCAATGGCATGATCTCAGCTCACCGCAACCTCCACCTCCCAGGTTCAAGCGATTCTCCTGCCTCAGCCTCCCAAGTAGCTGGGATTATAGGCATGCGCCACCACGCCCGGCTAATTTTGTATTTCTAGTAGGGATGGGGTTTCTACCTGTTGGTCAGGCTGGTCTCGAACCCCTGACCTCAGGTGATCCACCCACCTTGGCCTCCCAGAGTGCTGGGATTACAGCGCCCAGCCTCTTTGTCTCTTCTTACATAGACTTTTTGGGCTTCTCTTAGAAACTCTTCTATAGGTTTATCTTTCTAGTTCTCTTTCTTTTGTAATTTCTTGTTAATATCTGGCTGTTACTGACAAAATGAAGTTTTAACATTTCCTATGCAAGAGGGTCCTCGAGACCTAGACCAGTATATTTTCTCATTTGTTCCTTTAATCTGTCTAAAAATTCTATAGGCCCTTCATCTTTCCCTTGCTGTATATCAAATGTTCAGGTAAGATTCTGGGTTCGGGGTACAGATTCAACCCAGGTACAGATTCTGGGTTTGGGGTACAGGGACAAATCTATTAGGAAGAGATTTGATGCTAGAATTAGGCTTAGGCCTCCAAATCAATCATGGAAAATTCCTCCCCTCCCTAAACTTGCTCACCACCGCACATGAAGAACACATTCATCCCGAGATATGGTCGAAAGACGGGAATCAATTCTCTAAGGTCCTGCATATTTTCTCGGTGGGCTGTGTTGTTATTGTCCCACTGGGGGTCTTCGGTGGGAAATTTTTGATCTGTTGTAGGAATGTTTTGGCCAGGAGGGTGTTCACAGTTCCTAGGCTCCCATAACGGCTCTATGGATCGTGCCTCTTTCCTCCGAGTAGAGGGGAAAGGGAAATTCTGAATATCCTTTTTACATTGCTCTGTCTCGCGTTGAAGTCCTTTTAGGGAAAGGTACTTAGGCTGGTAGTGAGTGGGCTCTTGGGACGATTCCCAAGAGGCAGGGTTATAAGGAGGGGGACAACAGGGATAGGAGAAGGGTCTGGGACAGCAGCTGATTTTTCTTGTTTTTGGTCCTTTCATTATCCTTTTAATATTTTAACGTTAGGCCTAGGGCATTATTAGGTGGAATATTATTGTTGCTAGCTTTATCCTTTTTATCCCTTACATTACTTGGCTTATTTCCCATCTTGATTGTTTTGGGGTGAGGCTCAATCTCCCTTTACTGGAAATTTCTCACGTATTAGGGTAAGGCTCAATTTCCCTTACTGGAAATTGCTTGCCAAAACTTTTGGAGTGAGGCTCAATTTCCCCTACTGGAAATGTCTTGCCACTTCTTCTTACACTTTCAATCTCCAAGATCCCCTGACCAAGGAATACTTCACCACCCCTGAGGCTTTTCTTGCCTTGGTACGTCCCAACCACCAAGGAAATACTTTGCCGCTGTTGCAACGTTTCTTACCTTGGTCTGTGCACAGAGTTACCTAGTCACCGTGGTATGTGAGGATCCTTTCCCCAAGGTCGCCGGTCAGTTTCTTTCCGCGTTGCTGAGAGTGTGGGTTTATTCATCATACCGGGTGGGTCTCAATTCCTTACCCGAGGCTGCTGCAACAAGGCAGTGGGGCACTTCTCCTGATGAGAGCTGTCTAGACCCGCCCCAGATGGAGAATGGGAATCTTGGGCAAGCCCCCAAATTGTTTTTCTGAGACGGAGTCTGGCTCTTTCACCCAGGTTGGAGTGCAGTGGCACTATCTCGGCTTACTGCAAGCTCCGCCTCCTGGGTTCAGGCCATTCTCCTGCCTCAGACTCCCGAGTAGCTGGGACTACAGACGCCCGCCACCGTGCCCGGATAATTTTTTGTATTTTTAGTAGAGACGGGATTTCACCATGTTAGCCAGGATGGATGGTCTCGATCTCCTGACCTCGTGATCCATCTGCCTCGTCCTCCCAAAGTGCTGGGATTACGGGTGTGAGCCACCGCGCCTGGCCGCAAATTGTTATAAATTTTCGGTACCACAAAAGAAATAGCACTCGAACATAAATTTAATTTTCTCAGCAAGGCAATTTTCCTTCTATAGAAGGGTGCGACTCATGGGTGGAGCAATGGTGAGAGCACACCTGAACAAGGGAGGGGGAAGGGGTTTTTATTCCTGACTCAGGTAGCCCCTACTGCTGTGTCATTCCCCTATTGGCTAGGGTTGGACCACACAGTCTAAGCTAATTCTGATAAGCTATTTTAAAAAGAGCAGGGGTACGAGCCAGAGTGGCAGGGTGAGTAGTTTGGTGGGAAGGGCAGTTACAGAACAGGTGACTCAGGATGACTCAGGTCAGAGCAGGTGACCAGGAGAACAGATGTGAACTACTGATTAGATCTGGTGGAAAAGGTTGTTTATTGCAACTAGGGGTGAGGAGAATGAGGAAGTTAAGCTTCAAAATGGAGAACAAAGAACTGAACATACTGACATACTGATCTTTGAAGAGAAATTTAGAACTCGTGGTATTCAACAAGAATAAGGATCTCTCATGGGGCCAGACTTGTTCCTATGCATGAAAGCTGGTGGAGGAGGTCACATAAACTGTTCCCTTTGTGTCTATTGTGAAGCCTGGAGTCACCATCGGTCAACCAGGCAGGCTGTTGGGGAGGAAGGATGGATGTAGTTGGGACCAAGTACAAACTGGAACCTGTGTCACCAATCCCACCTTGAAGCCATGGGAATAATGGGCTGTGGGAAAAACACACAGCAGCACCCATATGTGCCCTGTACTTGGACAGGCTAGAGGTGGCTTTGATGGCAACTGCAGGTCCATCAACTCGCAGATGAGCAACAGTGCACACCAGCTGCCTCGTTCTGATGTCCTGCACTGCCCTTTGGAACCTAAGACATGTGATGCCATTTCACTTCTGCTCTCCAAATCTCAGCAAATGTCTCATGATCAATGCTAACCTTGAACCAGCCAGGGAAGGAAATCCTGGGCAGGTAGTTCTAGCTTAGCTACGGGAACACAGTCCAGAACCACCACACTTACCTTGTGTATACCTCTCACTGAAGATTAGAAATACCAGAGGTTTGCTTCCCCAATTCACCTTGCAACTTGAACATACGCCCTAGGATAAGCCAATCAGAGGCTGGGATTTCAATCTGGAGCCACAAGGCAGCAAAGAGTGTGAATTCTAACTAACTGTTCCTTCAGTCTAGTTCCCACAGACAGCAGAGCATGGTGTACACAGCATGAATCAGAACCATGTAGCTGGTTTTGAATCCTGGCTGTAATTATTCCCTGGGCCTCTGTGACCTTGCACAAGTCTCCTAAGCTCTCTGGGCTCGTCTCTCCATCTTTCAAATGGGCATAAAATGTCTAACATATCATTATGTAGAATGTGAATTGCATAAACTGTAGCAGGTTCCAAACCTCATTGGGTTGTTGCAAAGTATTTTTTCCTTGAGTCTGTAGGATTCCTAGTGATTCCTTGGGCCACTCCGTAGCCTTTTCTCAATGTATTCAATTTTCAGTCATCACTCAGTTTGATTCTGTTACCTAATGAAGGTATAAAGGTTTCCCACTGGAGGTATAGGAAGCATTTTGTGGGGTGGGGTCAGGTTGTGGGTTCTGTGTACTGTGTGACTGTGTTACGAGCATGACTTTTGTCCTTAGGCTGGCTAGCTCCTTTCTGGTGTCACTGCTGTGTTAACAGTCGAGGATCTGCCTATAATCCAAGCACTTTAGGAGGCCCAGGCGGAAGGATCCCTTGAGCTCGAGACCAGGCTGGGCAACATAGTGAGACCTCATCAATACTAAAATTCAAAAAAATTAGCCATGCATGGTGGTGCACACCTGTAGTCCCACCTACTTGAGAGGCTAAGGTGGGAGGATCACTTGAGCCCAAGAAGTCGAGGCTGCAGGGGCACTGATGCTGCCACTGCACTCCGGCCTGGGTAACAGAGATCCTATCTCAAGAACAAATGAACAAACAAAACTGTTGATCTTGCCCCGCCTCACCAAAAGGCAAAACAGTAATGCTTTTTTTTGAGATGGAGTCTTGCTCTGTCGCCCAGGCTGGAGTGCAGTGGTGTGATCTTGGCTCACTGCAAGCTCCGCCTCCTGGGTTCACACCATTCTCCTGCCTCAGCCTCCCGAGTAGCTGGGACTACAGGTGCCTGCCACCACGCCCAGCTAATTTTTTTGTAATTAATTTTAGTAGAGATGGGGTTTCACCATGTTAGCCAGGATGGTCTCAATCTCCTGACCTCGTGATCCACCTGCCTCGGCCTTCCAAAGTGCTGGGATTACAGGCGTGAGCCACCGCGCCAGCTACAGTAATGCTTTCTGAGGTACCACCTCTTAAGAGGTTTGCTGTCAGCCTCTCTCTCTCTTCCTGTGATCATAAAGGCTCATTTGCTAGAGACTTGAGCATCGATCATCGTTCCAGATGGCCCACTGGTTGCAGATGCAGGTTCACTTGGTAATGGGTACCAAAATCTTGTTTATAGGCCGCGTCTTTGGGCTTCACAGTGAGTGAATGTCTAGTCCATGGCAATCCCAGGGTGAGTTCCTGGCTCTGAGTAGGAAATGGAACTCACTGGGCAGTTCCTCTCATGAATCAGTAATTTTCTTAAAAATAAAGACATAGAACACTGCAGAAAATAACAGCTTTATTGCTACAGATGTGAGAGCATTTACAAAATGCCAAGGAAAACCATTCCGTTTTGAGTCTCTGGAGCCTGAACTCTCACCATGTACCAGAAAAGAATGCCCCTCTTTCGAACTTTCAAACAGTTGGGATTATTTTTGTTTCTTATCATCCCAATTATTTGCTCAAGTTTGCCTCCATTGGGCCCCGTTCAGAGTTTCTTGGGCTGCTTGTACTAGTCACAGCTCCACTTCCATCTCTTCTCAGGAAGAGGTGGGCACAAGACACATCTGAGCCCCTTAGTATTGTGATGGTGGCCAGGAAATGATCAAAGGGTAGCATTTAGGAAATCAGCAAACTAAAGCCTCAAATCAAAGGTGGACAAATGCATTCTCAACTCAAACAGGTTGGGTAATGCTTTCATAAGATACATTATGTTTTTGTGTACACAGCACACAAATTTTATTATGTCTACAAACAGATTCAGGAAAGACCTCCAGGCTATTTCCCCAAATGATTGACAAAGTGCAAAACAAAACAAAAAAGAGGAGAGCACAAATGAATAGCCCACTTAGAAGCTGAATAGAAAGAATGGGAAGCCATTTCGTTTCATAAAATCTTTTAATTTTTGGCCAGGCATGGTGGCTTACGCCTATAATCCCAGCACTTCGGGAGGCCGAGGCGGGTGGATCCCCTGAGGTCAGGAGTTTGAGACCAGCCTGACCAACAAGGTGAAACCTCATCTCTACTAAAAATAAATTAGCCGGGCATGGTGGCAAGTGACTATAGTCCCAGCTACTTGGGAGGCTGACATAGGAGAATTGCTTGAACCAGGGAGATGGAGGTTGCAGTGACCACTGTACTCCAGCCTGGGCAACAGAGCAATATTCCATCTCAAAAAAAAAAATCTTTTAATTTTTATAATTAACTTTTATCATGCAGCCCAACATGTCATCTTTTCATAAAATCTTAGTAGAGGTGCACTCCAGGGATGATCTGGCCCTCAGTCAAGGGCTGACTTTTCCTGTAGCTATGCTGACCACAGCAGGTTACTAAAAGCTGATTGTTAACGGAGGAAACAGTGGCTGCTTGTATCCTAGGTCTTCTGATAGAAGCAGCAGTTCCACAGTCACTAAAGGTATTGTTCACAATGCACCTCAGCAACATGGGCCAATGATAGCGTATGTTTTAGAACTTATCCATTGGAAGGACATATTTAATACAAACCAGAAATTCATTAAATTACTGGCCACTTAAAACATATAGAAGAGGACTGTCCCAATAGAAAGGGCTCACAATCTGAGCTGGCCTTTTACAATGGCAAATAGTATTACAGTAACATTGCAAACAAACAAATATGAAAAAAAAAGTAGTATATCATTATTAAACACCTTTTACGTAAGATTTTCAGAAAACCCAGGGATAGATTTTATATCACAGAATGGTCCATATCGTCCAAAAATATCTTTTGATTGGACAGTAAAATAGTATCTGTTGGAAGCTAAAAACTGAGATAAAGTACAGGCCATGGGGAGTGGTAAAGCTTTAATTTCTCCAATCTTCTTCCAAATCAACTTATTATTAGAGTTCTCATGACACAGGAAGAGGTGGTAGCTTTCTACAGGAGCACACTTGGGATTGATTTTGGTTATATTCCAAGTCAGGGCAATGCCATTGGGTCTGAAAACCCGTTTCACTTTGAGCTCAGGCTTCTGGGGAGGAAGTGTGTCTCGGGTTTTGTCTACTAATTCAGGTAGTGGTGCTGGTGGTTCTGGGAGAGGTGGCAGGTGCTCAAAGGACTCAGGAACCTAAAAACACAATTGTAAGAAAATATAGCTTTTAAAGTGGTCAATTGCAGTTGTAGAAATATATATTTCTCATTCTTCAATCCATTTATCAAAATAATAAAAGGATATTTCAGTAATATGTGAGGCTGGATCCAGTCCTTTAAGCAGAATCCTCTTTTGGATTTAAGATTTCTATATCCTGGAATATCAATAATCCAGAATGGGTTAGGTTCCAGACATGTGGGATAAATATTCCATCTCATTTCCAAATTGCGCTCTCAAACACTATACTAATTTACATGAAAAGTGTCAGCATGGCTGGGTGCATTGCCTCACCTGAGGTCAGGAGTTTGAGACCAGCCTGGCCAACATGGCAAAATCCTGTCTCTACTAAAAATACAAAAATTAGCTGTGCGTGGTGGTGCGTGCCTGTAATCCCAGCTACTCGGGAAATCCCAGCTACTCGGGAAATCCCAGCTACTCGGGAAATCCCAGCTACTCGGGAGGCTGAGGCAGGGGACTCACTTGAACCCAGGAGGTGGAGGTTGCAGTGAGCCGAGATCATGCCACCGCACTATAGCCTGGGCAACAGGGCAAGATTCGGTCTCAAAAAGTGACAGTATATGAGAACACCCTTTTCCTCCCATCCTCATCAACAATGGCTATTGCTTCTTTTCCAATTTGTTCAATAAAAAAAGTATTTGTTTTAATTTCTGTAGCTTCTGTAAAACTCAACTGAATAATTTTAATTGTATAAATAAGTAGATTAACAACAGCACACTAAATTGTTGTCTAAGCTGAAATGTGACCCAAATGTTTCTTCAAGAGTAACATAGCTACTTCCCACTCAATTTGGAATAAATATCCCTTACAGAGCACTTTGATTCAGTACCTGGACTGCATTTTGTGCCAATGGGGTTGTTTCCTTTGAGTTTGAAGCAGCTTTCGAATGTGACTCCAGGGGGGATACTGGACTTTCTGTGAACAACACAAGGTTTAAGAAGTAAATCTTATCTGCAATAATCAATTCCATAGCCTTTAAGCTATAGTTTACATCTTTGGTGGTAATTAAATGTGAATTAAAATTATAAAACTGTGAATTATGAAGATACACTTTTAATTAAAGTTCAAGATACAGAGGTACCAAATATAGAAAATTTTTAAGGTGACAAAAATTCCCCTTAAGGTAAACACTTTAGACATTGTGTAACTGGCAACTAGATAGGTTTACACATGGGACAGAGATCTCTGATAAATGATCTTAGAGGCAAATTTTCTCGTTAGGCCAACAAAGATGTCTACAAACACAGAGCCATTTATAATCTATAGCCAAGTTTTAGGAATTCAAACTAAAAATCATGTGGGTTGGGGTTAAAGAAATCTCAACTAATGAGGTCTGTGCTCCTCTGGAAGGAATTAGGCATAAAATGTGGAGTGGGGAAAAGAAGAGGGGAAGGAGGAGAAACAGAAAGGAAAATAGATGGTGAGAAGAAGAAAGGAAGGGAACACGAAAAATGTGGATGGGTGGGAGGGAAAGAAGGTACAAGTAGGCAAAAGAATGGATTGAAAACAACTGGGGAGGCTGTGCATAGTGGCTCACATCTGTCATCCCAGCACTTTAGGACGCAGATGACTTGAGGTCAGGAGTTCCAGATCAGCCTGGGCAACATGGTAGAATGCTGTCTCTACTAAAAATACAAAATTAGCTGGGTGTGGTGGCGCGTGCCTGTAGTCCCAGCTACTCGGGAGGCTGAGACAGAGAATTGCTTAAACCCGGGAGGTGGAGGTTGAAGTGAGCCAAGATCAAGCCACTGCATTCTAGCCTGGGTGACAGAGGGCAGAACAAGACTGTCTCAAAAAAAAAAAAAAAAAAAAAAAAAAAAAAAAAAAAAAAAAAAGTATTTCCAGTTCTAAATCACTGAGAAATCACCAGACTGTTTTCTACAATGGTGGAACTAATTTACATTCCTACCAACAGTGTAAACGCATTCCTATTTCTCCACATCCTCGCCAGCATCTGTTGTTTTCTGACTTTAATAATCGCCATTCTGACAGGCATGAGATGGTATCTCATTGTGGTTTTGATTTGCATTCCTCTGATGATCAGTGATGTTGAGCTTTTTTTCATGTTTGTTGGCCAAATGTACGTCTTCTTTTGAGAAATGTCTGCTCATGTCCTTTGCCCACTTTTTTTTTTTAATTATTATTATACTTTAAGTTTTAGGGTACATGTGCACAATGTGCAGGTTAGTTACATATGTATACATGTGCCATGCTGGTGTGCTGCACCCATTAACTCGTCATTTAGCATTAGGTATATCTCCTAATGCTATCCCTCCCCACTCCCCCTACCCTACAACAGGCCCCAGTGTGTGATGTTCCCCTTCCTGTGTCCATGTGTTCTCATTGTTCAATTCCCACCTATGAGTGAGAATATGTGGTGTTTGGTTTTTTGTTCTTGCGATAGTTTACTGAGTATGATGATTTCCAATTTCATCCATGTCCCTACAACGGACATGAACTCATCATTTTTTATGGCTGCATAGTATTCCATGGTGTATATGTGCCACATTTTCTTAATCCAGTCTATCATTGTTGGACATTTGGGTTGGTTCCAAGTCTTTGCTATTGTGAATAGTGCCGCAATAAACATACGTGTGCATGTGTCTTTATAGCAGCATGATTTATAGTCCTTTGGGTATATACCCAGTAATGGGATGGCTGGGTCAAATGGTATTTCTAGTTCTAGATCCCTGAGGAATTGCCACACTGACTTCCACAAGGGTTGAACTAGTTTACAGTCCCACCAACAGTGTAAAAGTGTTCCTATTTCTCCACATCCTCTCCAGCACCTGTTGTTTCCTGACTTTTTAATGATTGCCATTCTAACTGGTGTGAGATGGTATCTCATTGTGGTTTTGATTTGCATTCCTCTGATGGCCAGTGATGGTGAGCATTTTTTCATGTGTTTTTTGGCTGCATAAATGTCTTCCTTTGAGAAGTGTCTGTTCATGTCCTTCGCCTACTTTTTGATGGGGTTGTTTTTTTCTTGTGAATTTGTTTGAGTTCATTGTAGATTCTGAATATTAGCCCTTTGTCAGATGAGTAGATTGCGAAAATTTTCTCCCATTTTGTAGGTTGCCTGTTCACTCTGATGGTAGTTTCTTTTGCTGTGCAGGAGCTCTTTAGTTTAAGTAGATCCCATTTGTCAATTTTGGCTTTTGTTGCCATTGCTTTTGGTGTTTTAGACATGAAGTCCTTGCCCATGCCTATGTCCTGAATGGTCATGCCTAGGTTTTCTTCTAGGGTTTTTATGGTTTTAGGTCTAACGTTTAAGTCTTTAATCCATCTTGAATAAATTTTTGTATAAGGTGTAAGGAAGGGATCCAGTTTCAGCTTTCCACATATGGCTAGCCAGTTTTCCCAGCACCATTTATTAAATAGGGAATCCTTTCCCCATTGCTTGTGTTTCTCAAGTTTGTCAAAGATCAGATAGTTGTAGATATGTGGCGTTATTTCTGAGGGCTCTGTTCTGTTCCATTGATCTATATCTCTGTTTTGGTACCAGTACCATGCTGTTTTGGTTACTGTAGCCTTGTAGTATAGTTTGAAGTCAGGTAGTGTGATGCCTCCAGCTTTGTTCTTTTGGCTTAGGATTGACTTGGCGATGCGGGCTCTTTTTTGGTTCCATATGAACTTTAAAGTAGTTTTTTCCAATTCTGTGAAGAAAGTCATTGGTAGCTTGATGGGGATGGCATTGAATCTATAAATTACCTTGGGCAGTATGTCCATTTTCATGATATTGATTCTTCCTACCCATGAGCATGGAATGTTCTTCCATTTGTTTGTATCCTCTTTTATTTCATTGAGCAGTGGTTTGTAGTTCTCCTTGAAGAGGTCCTTCACATCCCTTGTAAGTTGGATTCCTAGGTATTTTATTCTCTTTGAAGCAATTGCGAATGGGAGTTCACTCATGATTTGGCTCTCTGTTTGTCTGTTATTGGTGTATAAGTATGCTTGTGATTTTTGTACATTGATTTTGTATCCTGAGACTTTGCTGAAGTTGCCTATCAATCAGCTTAAGGAGATTTTGGGCTGAGACAATGGGGTTTTCTAGATATACAATCATGTCGTCTGCAAACAGGGACAATTTGACTTCCTCTTTTCCTAATTGAATACCCTTTATTTCCTTCTCCTGCCTAATTGCCCTGGCCAGAACTTCCAACACTATGTTGAATAGGAGCGGTGAGAGAGGGCATCCCTGTCTTGTGCCAGTATTCAAAGGGAATGCTTCCAGTTTTCAAAGGGACTGCTTCCAGTTTTTGCCCATTCAGTATGATATTGGCTGTGGGTTTGTCATAGATAGCTCTTATTATTTTGAGATACGTCCCATCAATACCTAATTTATTGAGAGTTTTTAGCATGAAGGGTTGTTGAATTTTGTCAAAGGCCTTTTCTGCATCTATTGAGATAATCATGTGGTTTTTGGCACATCAAAAAGCTTATCCACCATGATCAAGTGGGCTTCATCCCTGGGATGCAAGGCTGGTTCAATATACGCAAATCAATAAATGTAATCTTTTGCCCACTTTTTAATGGGGTTGCTTTTTCTTGTAAATTTGCTTAAGTTCCTTGTAGATTCTGGGTGTTAGACCTTTGTCAGTTAGACAGATTGCAAAAATTTTCTCCCATTCTGTAGGTTGTCTGTTCGCTGATGATAGTTTCTTCTGCTGTATACAGGCTCTTTAATTAGATCCCATTTGTAGATTTTTGCTTTTGTTGCAATTGGTTTTGGCGATTTCATCATAAAATTGTCATTTGGCCTAGCAGTCTCATTACTGGGTATTTACCCAAAGGAATATTAATCATTCTATTAGAAAAATACATGCATGTATATGTTAACTGCAGCACTAATCACAACAGCAAAGACATGGAATCAACCCAAAAGCCCATCAATGATAGACTAAAGAAAATGTGGTACATATACACATGGAATACTATGCAGCCATAAAAAGGAATGAGATCCTGTTCTTTGCAGGGACATGGATGGAGCTAGAAGCCATTATCCTCAGCAAAGTAACGCAGGAACAGAAAACTAAATACCACATGTTCTCACTTAAAAGTGGGAGCTAAACAATGAGAACACATGGACATAGGGAGGGGAACAACACACACTAGGCCTGTTGGGGGAGGGGCAGGGGGTGGAGAGAACATCAGGAAAAATAGTTAATGCATGCCAGGCTTAATACTTAGGTGATGGGTTGATAGGTGCAGCAAACCACCATGGCACACATTTACCTATGTAACAAACCTGCACATCCTGCACATGTACCCCAGAACATAAAGTTTAAAAAAAAACACACACACACACAACTGGGGAGAGTAAATACAGGGATGGTTAAGAAAAGGGGGTTTATATTGGAAAGTATGAAAGTTGGGTAGCTAAAAATCCCAGAATTAAGCAGTAAAAACCATTTTAGATCCTTTATATCCTGTGATGTAACTAATATATTTTATGAATCCTCCAAATGAAATTTCTTTTACTTATATTTTTCTTTTCACAAAGATGAACAAGATTCTGTATTGTGTTTCACAGTTAGTCACCTTATTTACTGGTATTTTTACAAAAACCTTCCTAGAAGTAAGGAGTTTATTATTTTAGAGAGTCTGTTCAGCTATTTTGTACTAGCTTTAAGAGACAGATTTGTACAATTATAATCTACAGGTTAAGAACTAATACAAACAACCTTTACATTTTTAGCCAACAGCTGAATATTTAAAATATCCTAGCAAATATAATTTCTTGTAAATAATATTCCTTCTTTCAAGGCAGTAAGTCAACTGGCCCTTGGCAAATTAAAACAGACTACAACAGAAGCTGAACTTTATGATAATAAGAGACAAAACAGGACTTTCATTCCAACCCAAGTAATGTTTATTTCCTTTTTAAAGTACATCTCTTGTAATCATAGTTGAGACTTGTATTGTTCTCCAGTCAAACAATGCTTTTCAATGGAGTGTTTGGACCATTTACATTTATTATCAGTGTGGTCAGGTTTAAATTGATCATTTTGCCTTTTGTTCTCTATTAGTCTTGTTTGTTCTTTCTCTGTTTTTTTTTTTTTTTTTTTTTTCTGGCTTCTTAGATTGGGTTTTTTTTTTTTGAGACGGAGTTTCGCTCTGTTGCCCAGGCTGGAGTGCAGTGGCGCGATCTCGGCTCACTGCAAGCTCCACTTCCCGGGTTCGCGCCATTCTCCTGCCTCAGCCTCCCGAGTAGCTGGGACTACAGGTGCCCGCCACCACACCCGGCTAATTTTTTTTGTATTTTTAGTAGAGATGGGGTTTCACCATGTTAGCCAGGATAGTCTTGATCTCCTGACCTCATGATCTGCCCGTCTCGGCCTCCCAAAGTGCTGGGATTACAGGCGTGAGCCACCGCGCCCAGCCAGTTTGGATATTTTAAAAATTCCTTTTTATCTCCACTATTGGTTTCTTAGCTTTACTTCTATTTAAAAGAAAAAACTGTTGCTCTAGGCATTACCATATATATCTTTAACTTATCACAGTCTAGCTTCAAATAACGTGACACCACTCCATTTAAGAGCCTTGTAACAGCATACTTCCAATCCTGTGACTATCTTTTGCACTACTGTTTTCATCTACTGACTTCTATATACATTCTACAATATAGTTTTATTCTTTGTGTAGATCTACTTTCCATCTGGTATCTTTTACTATCATTTGAAGAATTTCCTTTATTTCTGATAGCAAAGGTCTGCTGGCAACAAATTTTGTTGATCTGAAAAATTTTAATTTTGCTTTATTTATTCTTATTTTTGTAGAGATGGGGTTTCCCTATGTTGCCTAGGCTGGTCTCAAACTGCTGGCCTCAAGCCATCCTCCTGCCCTGACCTCCCAAAGTTGCTTTCTTTTTTGAAAGCCATATTTTCTAGATAAAGAATTACAGGTTGACAGTTATTTTCCCCCAACCTTTTAATGAAGTCATTCAATTGTCTTTTGGCTTGCATTGTTCTAGCCTAGAAACCTGTGAATTCTTTGTTCTTTCACCTGCATTGTATCTTCATTTTTCTCCTTATCACTGGATTTCAGGAACTTGACTATGTTATGTCTTGGTATGAATTCTTTTGTGTTTATCCTGGAGTTTTTTAAACACCTTGGGTATGTGGGTTTATACTTTTCATTAAATTCCAATGAGACCTTATAACTGATCCCCAGCCCCACGACTGTATTTCACTTCTTTTTCCTTAAATCTGTGAAAGACGACAGACACTGTTGTCACTCTCTGTCTACATTTTCATGTTATACCCCAGTTTCTGTTTCTCTGTGCGTCCTCTTAGCTGCTATTGTTGTGGTTAGGGAAAAAAGTATGTACCACAGGAAGAAAATAAATGTGTAAAAGTCCCCAACAAGCCAGATGTCTTTCAATGGGTTTATGAATAAAGAAATTATGATGCATCCACACCACGGGCTACTCTTGGCAATAAAGAGGAACACACTACTGTTACACAAGAATGTGGATGACCCTCGGAAGAAGTCAATCTCCGAAGGACACATACTGCATTATCAAATTTATGTAAATTTGTGAAATAACAATTATAGTACAGAACAGATTGGTGGCTGCCAGGGATTGGGGCAGAAACAAGGTGTGAGTATAAAGGGGTAGCATGAAGGAGCTTTGTCACTGTGACGGCAGTTACATGAATCTGCACATGAGCTAAAACTGCACAGAGATATAAACATAGGCACACTCACATATTAAAACAAACTTCATAAGTAGACCCAGTGCATTATGAGTTGTTACCCTTCCCTCCTTTTTACAAAAGAAAGATCTAAAAAATCCTTTTACCTGTATTGCAGTTGGATAGGCCTTCTTTTGTCAAATCAATTATAGAATCAAGTTTCTTCTGTACAGCCTAAAAAAATTGTAAAAAAAAAAAAAAAGCTTTGCCTCAATAGCTGAAAATGTTTTTAAAAATTTAAAACCATTTGGTAATTTTAAATGGTAATTTTAAATCACCATTCGGAAACTAGAGATGGAACATTCTCTAAGTCTCTTGTGGTTTAACTCTACTATTAAAAAGCTCTTATAAAATACTAAATGGTTTCTGAGAATATGACTAAGGAGAATGTAAATGAATTTGGTAAATGAGTATCGTTATGAATTATGCTTATCATTAGCTGTCTGCTTTTCAGTGTGTAACGTGGACTAAAACTAAATCATCCAACATGTAGCAAACACTAAAGTTCCTTGAACTAACATATTTAAATAAACAATATTCAGAGTCAATATTTATTACTCACCATAACTTCAGCATTGGGAGAATTGCTAGAATTTCCTGATGTAATTTTTCTGGTATCTGAAAGAAATTAGACATTTGACAAATTTATTACACAATATTTATGGGCTTTGTGAAATATGAATGCTAAAACAAAATAATAGGGATGCTAATTAGCTGTTAATTATACAGTGATAAAAAGTAACTCAATTGACTTTACCTATTCCAAAGACTGAATGAAATTTTTTTAAAAAAATGTAATTTTGGGTCAAACCATTTTGTCTTTCTGTAACTTTGCAACTATATTAGTAACTCTTTTTTTGAAAATCTACCTAGAAATTTCCATGAGAAAATACACCTGGAAATGCACACACTTTTAATTCACAGTATTTTTAGACTACAACTGCCTGACATGGCTGAGAAGCACTCTTCCTGGAACCAGTAGGAAGCCTAAGATAAATGATTAACATCCTTTGTAATTCTCTGATTCACAATCTTAGCCCAAATTGTGGGGACAATTAAGTAGCTATTAAGTGGAGGCAAAGCTTTAAAATTAAGATGCAAATACTTTAACATAGTAGAAAATGAAATGAAAATGGGGAATTTTGAATAAGAAATTATGAGCCAAACAAGATGGGTATTTTTGAGAGAGAGAAAAGTTATCATTGGAAATGTAAGGTTAAAATTTTTTTTTTTTTTTTTTTGAGACGGAGTCTTGCTGTTTTGCCCAGGCTGGAGTGCAGTAGCACGATCTCAGCTCACTGCAGTCTCTGCCTCCAAGGTTCAAGCAATTCTCCTGCCTCACCCTCCAGAGTAGCTGGGATTACAGGCACCTGCCACCATGCCTGGCTAATTTTTGTATTTTTAATACAGATGGGGTTTCATTTTGTTGGCCAGGCTGGTCTTGAACTCCTGACCTCAGGTGATCTGCCTGCCTCAGCCTCCCAAAGTGCTTGGATTACAGGTGTGAGCCACCACACCCAGACTGACTAGACAAATTTTAAATCTTAAGTAGACTATAAGATAACTTAATAGATAAAAAATAAGAAGACAAAAAACAAACCGTCACTACCATCAAAAAAAGGCCAGGGCAAACCATTAAAAATAAGTAGTTTTTACAAGTTATAAAGTCATTAAACACATAAAAGAAACAAAAGGCCCTAAACTGATAAAACACAAGGTTAAAATGAAATCTCAATTACATTAAGGAATCATTTATTTAGGTAATATTAACCATGATATAAATTAGAACATTTGAGAGTACATTTAACTTTTTCATTTTATTAAAAGATATTATTCAATTTTTCACTTTAAAGCAAACATTGATTTAAGGCCTTCTAACTTGATAGATCATATTCTAATCAGCTATAAGATACCTGTTGGATTTGATGTAATTGGAGTTGTCAAATTAGGACTTTCCACAGAAATCAACATAACATCATCATTGTTACTAAAATGATAAAAAGAAATTAAAAACAAAAACTAAACATGCATTATCAGGCTTAAACATGCAATTAGTGGTTAGGAGTCCTCTAACTTAACATTTCATAATGTTTTAATTGAACAATCGTGGGGGGAAATAGAAATGATAAAACCAAATACCCAAAAAAACTCCATTTATTACCAGTTCCGTTATATGACTAAAGATTCATCAAAATCCAATAATTAGATCCCTACTACATTTTATGGGTCTTTCACAATGACTCAAAATATATATAAGTATACAATGGACATAAATGTATAAAACATACAAATTCCTTTGAGCGTATATACTTACTTCTATAAAAATGAAACATCATGTAATGAAGGAAATCTATTAAGACCCATAAAGACACCTGGACTCCTAAAGGTAGAAAACTATAACAAAGAAAATTATTTTAAAAAGAACTGCTACTACTCTTCATTTTATCTCTCCAGTAGCAATATTTACCACAAATTTGAGACAATGATGATAAATGATGCTGATTACGGTTATAGAATATTTCAAGCCATTTTGACCCTTTTTTTTTATGAGCGACTTTTTTGTTTTTTGAGATGGAGTTTTGCTCTTGTCCCCCAGGCTGAAGTGCAGTGGCGCAATCTTGGCTCACCGAAACCTCTGTCTCCCAGGTTCAAGCGATTCTCCTGCCTCAGCCTCTTCAGTAGCTGGGATTACAAGCATATGCCACCATGCCCGGCTAATTTTTCTATTTTTAGTAGAGACAGGGTTTCACCATGTTGGTCAGGCTGGTCTTGAACTCCTGACCTCAGGTGATCCGCCCACCTTGGCCTCCCAAAGTGCTGGGATTACAGGTGTGAGCCACTGCGCCCAGTCCAATTATACCATTTTCTTGCAGACATCTTCTGTTTTTACTGTTTGTACTTAGGTGTATGATCCATTTTGAGTTAATTTTTGTTTATGGTATGAAGTAAGAGCTGAGGTTCACTTTTCCCTCTATTCCAGCAACATTTTTGAAAAGAACATCTTTTCCTGTTAAACTACATCGGTACCTTTGTTGTAAACCAATGAACTACATGTGCAGTCTCTAGTGTGTCCACTGGTCAACATACCTATCCCTATGCCAACACCACTGTCTTAATACTACACCTTTATAGTTAAGTCTTGAACAAAGATAGTGTAGTCTTCTAACTTTCTTTCCCAACATTGTTTTCATCTTCTGGGTCTCTGCATTTTCATATATATATTCACACACACACACACACACATATATATACACACACATATATATATATATACACACACACATATATATATATACATATATATATATTTTTAAGAGACAGACTCGTGCTCTGTCTCCCAGGCTGGAGTGTAGTGGTGCAAATGTATCTTGCTGAAGCCTGAACCTCTGGGCTCAAAAGATCCTCTCATCTCGGCCTCCTAAGTAGCTGGGATGACAGCATGTGTCACCAGGCCTGGCTAACTTTTTAAAAAAATTTTTTTAAAAATGTTTTTTTATGTTGGCCAGGCTGGTCTTGAACTCCTGACCTCAAGTGATCCTCCTGCCCTGGCCTCCCAAGATGCTGGGATTATAAGTGTAAGCCATCATGCCTGGCCTTAAGTTTTTAATCAGTTTGTTACTTACTACAAAAACGGCTGAGGCATTGATAGATATACAATTTGGGGTGAAGTAACATCTTAATGAATTCATGAAAGTTACATATCTCACCACTTATTTAGGTCTCCTTTAATTTCTTCAGTAATACTTTGTAGTTTTAGGTTAGGTGGTTTTGGTTTATCCCTAAATATATTATGTTCTCTGAAGTCATTGTAAATGGCATCCATTTTAAATTTCAAATTCCAATTGTTTCTTGCTTGTGTGTGTGTATATATATAATTTCTAAACTATATATTCTACATATATATAGGATGTAGTGTTTCTATATAGAGTGTGTTGTGTGTATACACTATAAAGAAACAAAAATATTTTCTATTTGCCAACATATTTACAATGTCTGTCAGTCTATATTACTTTGTACAGATCCAAATTTCTATTTAATACTATTTTCCTTTTGCCTGAAAAATCTCCTCCAAAATTTCTTGTAATGTAGGTCTGTTGATGTATTCTCTCCCTTTTTTTTGGCTTAAAAAGTCTGTTTTTCCCCTACACTTTGGAAACATATTTTCACTGCATATAGAATTCTGAATGGACTTTTTTTTTTTTTTAAACTTTCAATACTTTAGAAGTATCTATGATCTCAATTTTAGAGATGTCTTCTAGTTTGCACAGCTTACAGCAAGAAGTATGGTGCCATTCTTACTTTTTGTTCCTTTTTTGTTTTTTGAGACGGTGTTTTGCTCGTTTCCCAGGCTGGAGTGCAGTGGCATGATCTCGGCTCACCGCAACCTCTGCCTCCTTGGTTCAAAGTGATTCTCCTGCCTCAGCCTCCCGAGTAGCTGGGATTACAGGCATGCGCCACAATGCTGGGCTAATTTTATATTTTTAGTAGAGACGGGGTTTTCTCCATGTTGGTCAGACTTTCTGTTCCTTTCTATGTGATGTGTCTTTTGTGTGGCTACTTTTTAAAATTTTCCCTTCCTCACTGACTTTCAGCAATCTGATGATGTGGTTTTGTATGCTTTCATGTTTCTTCTGCTTGAATTTAACATTTTTTCATTTATGGATTTAGAATTTGCATCAACTATGGAAAATTTTCAGACACTGTATCTTCAAACATTTGCTCAGCTCCTGCCTTAGTGATACTCCAATAATGTGTATTAGACTGCCTGATACTGTTCCATAGGTCTCTGATGCTCTGTTCATTGTTTTTTCAGTCTTTTTCCTCTCCATGCTTTAGACTGAACATTTTCTATACCTCTTTCACTGATATATTGGCAATAGCTCTTTTAGGTCGTCTGCTAAGTCCAAATTATTTCTAGGTAGATCACTTCATTCTTCTCCTTGTTGATAGGTCATATTTTTTGCTATGTTGCATGCCTGGGAATTTCTTATTAGATGTCAGATATTGTAAAATTTATGCTGTTGGGTAATGGATGTTGTTTCATTTCTTCAGAAGAGTGTTAGACTTTGTTCTGGCATGCAATTAAATTACTTAGGATTAGCCTGATTCCTTTGAAGCTTGCTTTTGGCTTTTCTGTGTATAGATTCTTTGCAGTCTCTGGGACTAATTGAGCCCCACTAAAGCAATAACCATCTGTGGACCCTACCTGTTACTTCTGATTATAAATTTTCTTCATTTTAGCCAAGGGGAAAGCAAAATGTTACCAATCTTTCTTCTAGCCAGGGGGAAAACAAGATGTATGACTTCTAGGAATCAATCACTTGGCCTTCTTTCCAATAGTTCTTTCCCCAGTCTCTCGTAGTTTCATCCTTTGCATACAGATCTGTATTCAGCCAATATTTCAAGGCCCCTTTGCAGATCTTCAGAGCTCTATCTGAATTTTTTTCTCTTCACTGTTCCACTTCATAAATTCTGGTCAACTCAGATTCTCCAATCTCTGACCTAAACTCAGCAAGACCACAAGGCTCTGTTTGGAATCCCTCCTCCATCCCTGCTCTTGACCTGGAAAATGCCTCCAGGCAGGAAGCTGGGACAATGGTAGAGTTCATGTCATTTGTTTTCCCAATCATGATCCTAAACTCCTGGTAGAACAATATCTGAAAATAATTTTTCAGCCTGATTTGCCTTGTTTATAGCAAAATGTCAGTTCCTGTAGCTGTTGACTGCATGGGGAGAGGCAAAAATCATGTTCATTTTTCAGTTTATGCTCAACAGTTTTCCATGCAGATTTAAAAAAACACAAATTCAACAATTTTTTAAATATCACATTTCTCAATGGGACTCTAACATTTGCCATTATTTCTAAGAAACAAAAACAAATATTTAAATCTAAATTTTATTAAGAATATTTGATTTGGGCCAGGCACGGTGGCTCATGCCTGTAATCCCAGCACTTTGGGAGGTGGAGGTGGGAGGATCACCTGAGGTCGGGAGTTCGAGACCAGCCTGACCAACATGGAGAAACCCCGTCTCTACTAAAAAATACAAAATTAGTCGGGCATGGTGGCACGTGCCTTTAATCCCAGCTACTCGGGAGGCTGAGGCAGGAGAAACGCTTAAACTCGGAAGGCAGAGGTTGTGGTAAGCCAAGATCATGACATTGCACTCTAGCCTGGACAACAAGAGCAAAACTCTGTCTCAAAAAAAAAAAAAAAAAAGAATATTTGATTTTTGGCTGATTTTTGGCTGGGCGCCATGGCTCACACCTGTAATCCCAGCACTTTGTGGGGCCGAGGCGGGTGGATCACCTGAGGTCAGGAGTTTGAGACCAGCCTGGATAACATGGTGAAACCCCATCTCTGCTAAAAATACAAAACATTACCAGGTGTGGTGGGAGCTCTACTCAGGAGGCTGAGGCAGGAGAATCGCTTGAACTGTGAGGCACAGGTTGCAGTGAGCCAAGATACACCACTGCACTCCAGCCTGGGTGACAGAGAAAATCCATCTCAAAAAAAAAAAAAAATTGATTTTTCTATCCACTTTTACCCTCTAAATTGTTAAATTTCTTTTATATATATTTTTGTCTTCTAGTAATAGTAGTCATAAATTGGATGAAAGACTGATAGCTGTATTTTTCATTGCTAATCTGTAAGAAAATTTTAAGTAATTCTTCTCAGATGTTCATTATACGATAGTCAAAATACTTTATCAATTTCAAAATCCTTCACTTAATTTTTCTTTGGTTGAAGCTACAGTACTTCAAATTATTGCTATTTGAGAGTATAAGAAACTGAGCAGAAAATCTTTAAAAAGGAGGTAATTTTTGGCAGTCTCATTGTATTTATGAGGTAAATAATAATATTTGGGACCCACCAAGGTGAAGGAGCCCTGGCAAACAGTCTAAGCTTTCAGATGGTAACCATGGTAGGCTATGTCTTAGAGACCAGAGTGAACTAGAGGTAGAAGGAGCCTTACCAAGATTACTACAAGCCTTGTGATATCATTCCCTTAGAAGATTAGGTAATCAGATCCTACTCTATTTGGCAAGCAGAGGATTAGCCTTGTCTTATGGCAAGATATCACTTACAGCCTCAACAATTTTTCAGAAACTATCAAGCATGCCAAAAAAAAAACCAGAGACTGACAGAAAAACAATAGAAACAGATGCACAGGTGATCCAAACACTTGAGTTAAAACAAGAGCATTAAAACAACCATGATTAATAATTTTAAAAATATGGAAGTAGGAGCAAACAGTTAAAAAAGATAGAGCATTCATCAGAAAAGCATATAGTCTATGAAAAAAACTACACTGAAATTAAGTACAGTCAGTTCATATAAAGACACCATTAGGGAAACAACATGACTTTGGGTCAGGAAAGATATTTATAATAAATGTATCTGTCAAAAAAATTGAAAAGACAAAGCAAAAATCTTCATAAAAGAAGATATCCAAATGGCTAACATGCAAATTTGCTTAATTTTCATTATTAGAAGGAAATACAAATTAAAACCACAATGTGATGCTATACACCAGTATGGCTAAAAAGAAAGAGATACCACCAAGAGTTGGCAAGGATACGCAGTAATAAAAATCTCATGTACTTATAGTGGGAGTATAACTTGGTACAACTTCTTTGGTAAACTGGTTGGTGGTATCAGACCTCAAGATACGCATACCTTATGACCTAGCAATTCCACTTCTAGGCATATGTCCAACAGAAGTGTATATATGTACATTCACCAAAAGACATGTAAAAGAATGTTCACAGCAGCACCATTTATATTTTCCCCAATCTGCAAACAATCAAAATGGCAATGAACTGAACTAAACAGATTAATTGTAGCACATTCATATGATAGATATAATTGTGGCATATTCATATGATATTATATAGCAATGAATAAACTGCTGAATAGCAACAGCACGGATGGGTATCATGACACATAATGTGGGATGAAAGAAGACATAAAAGAGCTCACTGAGTATGATTCCATTTCTATAAAGGCAAAAATAAAGCAAAAACAATTTATGGTGTTAGAAGACTGATGACTAGGAGAACAGGCATGAGGCAGGCTGGATGCCATTGGTGTTTCTTAATCTGGGTCATCTGTCACTCTGTGAAAATTCATCAGGCTAACATACTGTTCATGTAGCTTTTAGTAGATATTACATGTCAACTATATTTTAAAAATTATGTCTGTATATAAAGCTGTTAATGCTTATCTTGAGAAATCCATTTGTAAAATGGCAAACTTATGGTCTAACGGGAATTCCACTAGATTTTAATGTAATGATATGAAACTTTCATGAAACTATTCAACTAACTGCTACCAATGAAAGCTCTTTTTTGTTTTTGGGCCGGAGTCTCGTTCTGTTGCCCAGGCTGGAGTGCAGTGGTGCAATCTCGGATGACGCCAACCTCCACCTCCCAGGTTCAAGCAATTCTCCTGCCTCAGCCTCCTGAGTAGCTGGGACTACAGGTGCACACCACTACGCCCAGCTAATTTTCTGTGTTTTTAGTAGAGATGGGGTTTCACCGTGTTGCCCAGGCTGGTGTCAAATTCCTGACCTCAGGAGCCTCGGCCTCCCAAAGTGCTGGGATTACAGGCGTGAGTCACTGTGCCCGGCCCAGCTCTTTTTTAATGAACCACATCTGGGAGGGAAACTGAGGAAACTGATAATTTTTATGGAAGCCTGAGTGTGACTAACATATGTTATCTACTTGTAGTTTACCTTGGAGAAACATTTCTATGTCTAAAATTAGTAATTCATTTCTCTAGGCATTGTTATTATGTAGTAGGTAAGAGCATAGTTTCTGGAGACAGAATGTTTAGATCCAAATCCAGCCTCTGCCATTTACTACTTGAGTGTTTTGGGGCAAGAAACTCTGCTTTGGTTTCCTCATCTGTAAAAGAGGGATACATTTATTATTAGGATTAAATAAATTTTAATAATGAGTAGGATGGACAGGCGTGGTGGCTCACGCCTGTAATTCCACCACTTTGGGAGGCTGAGGCAGGTGGATCACCTGAGGTGACGAGTTTGAGAGCAGCCTGACTAACATGGCGAAACCCCTTCTCTACTAAAAACACAAAATTAGCTGGGCGTGGCAACACATGCCTGTAATCCCAGCTATTCAGGAGGCTGAGGCGGAAGAATCACCTAAACCCAGGAGGGGAAAGGTTGCAGTGAGCTGAGATCGTGCCGTTGCACTCCAGCCTGGATAACAAGAGCGAAACTCCGTCTTCCAAACAACAACATCAACAACAGCAGCAACAAAAGAATGAGTAGGGAGCAACACATGCAAAATAGTAGTAACTTTCTTAAGATACTGTGGCTAGTAACTCCTTCCTGTCCCCCTTTCCATCTCTGTAAACATTTCCTTATCACACGAAATTCAATGCAAGATTTTTTTAGGCAGGATTAATATTTTATTCAATCAGTATTGGTGAAATGGTCTACTCTTGGGTGCCTTAGACCCTGATGCTTACTCTTTGGAAGTAATTGCACATAAAGGCATTTCCTTCCAACTTAAGCAAGTTTAATTTTTGTCATGTGTTTTGGGCCATAAACTTTCTCTTCTATGAGCTTCTGCAGCTCAGTTGTTATTGCCTTTCCCATTTCCTCCTGATTTTAAAAACAGAAATGCTTAAACTTCTAAATCTAGCCATACTATAGACACGGACAACAGTGGCACTAATTCCTTCAATACCTGTGGCATGAGAAAAAACAATTATAAAATCTCCTGGTTTTCTCTAGAGCCAGGATAACAACAGGGAACAATATATTTCTTTTTTCCTTTGTAAGGGTTCCTTTATTTCTTAAATGTTTTTAAACATTTAAAAATAGATAATGTATACAAAAGTACATGAAGGACAGGTAGAACAGCCATGATGGAGCCCCACACTTGAGCAATTTGAAAAATTGGGGAAAAAAATATCTAAATATCTATTTGAAGACATTAGAAAGCTGTGGTGGCAGCCATAACTTGAGAGACCAATAACTAGAGAGACCAAGATCCAAGAGAAGTGAGCTGGACGCTTGGCCAGTGTTCTTCTCTCAAGGCATTTGTCAACCCAGCCACACAGGATGCTATGAAAGCAAGCAAAAACTGACTGAAATCACAGAGGGCTGGTATTGAGGAGCCAAGAACTGGAATATAAGACCAGCAATAGGAGGGGTGCCACAATCCATATCCCAGGCAAGAGGGCTGTAACACAAGAATGGGGGAAAATAAGAAATCACTGTCTTATAAAATCTGTAGATCAGCCTCAGTTCTGCTCAAGTTCTGAATAGATTGAAATATTGTATTGTATCTCTATTGCCATGTAATAATTTACCCCAAAACATAATGGCCTAAAAATCCAAACATTCATTATCTCAGTTCCTGTGGGTAAATAAGTAGGAAGTCGTGTAGTTCAGGAGTTCTACCTCACGTTTTCTCATGAGGTTGCAGTCAGGATGTTGGCAGGTGCTGTAGTCACCAAAGGTCTGACCAGGGCTGGGGGTCAGAGCCTAAAACGGCTTGTTCACATAGCTATTAGCAGGATGCCTCACCATGTAGAGCTCTGCATAGATTGCTTGATGTTCTTATGACATGACAGTTAACTTGCTCCAGAGCAAGTCATCTAAGGGAAAGCAAGGAAGCTAATGTCTTTTATGACCTACAAAAATAATGTCACTTGTGCCATATTCTATTCATTAGAAGTGAGTCACTAAGTATAGTCCAAGATGGAAATTAGGCTTCACATTTTAAAGGAGGGGTATCGAAAATTTGTGGACATATTTAAAATCCATCACAGGTGCTGTGTCTCTCTGCTGCTTTCCAGAGTACAGAGTGAATCTAGTCTGGTGGAAGACATCATTTAGAGCCTTTACAGTTTCCAATATACAATATCCAGTAATCAAACACAAAATTAGCAACTGTCCTAACAAATAGGACAAAGATGTAAAACAGCAAACACAAATAGAGTTCAAAGTGACCCAGATAGGAGAGTCATCAGAAATAGATCTGAAAATCTTAGTGACTAAAATGTACAACGCTTGGATGGCAAGGTAAAGAATTTCACCAAAGAACATGAATTTGTAAAAAATAACCAAGAACTGAAAAATATACAAATTGAAATTAAGAATACATGGGTTTAATAGCTACTTGGATCCAATAAAAGAAAGGATTAATAAGCTGGAACACAACACAGGTTAGTTGAAAATATCCAGACAAAAGTATCTAGAGCAAAACAGATGGAGTATATAGAAAAGCACATAATTAGAAACCAGTAAGACAGAAGACATAGAATGCTCCAGAAGCAATATCTGAAGCAATAATGTCAAGAATTTTCCCAAGATAATGAAAGGTATCAAGCCATAGATTCAAGAAGGGCCACAAGCCCCCATCAGTATAAATTTAAAAGGCTAAGTATACTACCACCACCCCACCACCTAACATCTTATAGTATATTGATGAAAACCAAAGTAGAGGATCTTAAAAGCAGCTAGAGACTTATCTTTGAAAAAGCAAAAATAAAACAAATGTTAAAACATTTCAACAGAAATAGAAGTCAGAAAGCAATGTGATGAAAATGAAAGTGCTGAAAGAAAAATAACTGCCAACCTCTAATTCTATACCCAAGTTAAAATACCCTTCAAAATTAAGACAAAATGAAGTCATTTCCGGATAAAAACTGATGGCATTTTTCCTAAGCAAAACTAAAAGCAAAAGAAATAATAAATGGAGATCTTCTTGTGGAAAAAAAAATGAGCCCAGATGGAAAGATGAAACTACAGGAAGAAATGAGCAAGAGAAAACATAAATATGTGGGTAACTCGAAATAAAAAATGATGGTACATAGTAGTCATCCTCTAGGACTTAATGTAAAATCGAAACGCACAAAAACACATAAGATGGGGAAAACAGTAAACAAAGCTAAAGTATTCTAAGATCAAGCATTGTCTATAAAATAGCAGAAGTACTATTCCGAGTAAAGAATACATATCATTATCTTAGAATAACTTCTAAAGGAATAATGAAAACGGTAAAATTAACAAAGTAATGGGGAATGGAAAAAAGATTAATTCAAAAGATGGCTATAACAGAGAGACAGATACATATGAGGAAAAGGACCATAAAACAGGGCAAACAGAAAACAGGTAGTAAGATTGTAATTATAAATCCACACACATCAGTCAGATTACACTAAGCATAAATCATTTTTCTGATTAAAAGATAATTATTTTCAGATTATATTAAAATATATTTTCCATTAAATAAATACAATGCCAGTGCCCATGCAGCCATATTCAGGTAAGTAAATTTTAAATTATCAGCACTTCAGAAATCCATATGCTTCTATCCTATATCATAAACTTCCTCACCATAAATGGCATATGTGGTACTAATCTCCTTGTTTTACTCTTTAGATTTACTATCCAGCTTAGAATCCCTGAATCATGCACTTTGTTTTATGGCTATTTTTGAACTTCATTTAAATGGAATCATATGAGTCTTTTGTGTCTGCTTTCCAATCATACGTTGTGGGAATAATCCATACTGTTGCATGTGACTGCAGTTCCTTCATTTTCATTCATTTGCAACATTCCACCGTATAGATTTAGGGTAATTTCTTTTTCAACTGTAGATGGACACTTTTTCCTTTCAGTTTTTGGCCATTATAAAAAATGCTGCTAATAAACATTCCTAAACATATATTCTATGGCATATCAACATGCAATAGATATACCTCTAACTAGGATATATCAAGAGCTGGGACTGCTAGGTCAAAGGATATTCATATCTTTGATATTTCCAGATAATGCCAATTTTCTTTAGAGTACTATACCAATTTACTCACGCAACAAAACATTAAATACTACTCCCTTTATTTCAAAACTTCACCAATACCCAGTAGTCAGATTTTTAAATGTATTTTTTCCTTACCTGATATGAAATGATATCTCATTGTGGTTTTAATTTGCATTTCCCTGATTACTAATGAAGATAAACACCTTTTCATATGTATATTGGCCATTTCGAACTCCTCTTTTGTGAAGTGGATGCACAAGTCTTTTGCCCATTTTTCTTTTGTATTATTTGGCTTTTACTCATTGACTTGTTGAAGTTCTTTATATATATTCTGCGTTACTAGTCCTCTACAGGTTATATGTGCTGCGATTATCTTCTCCAACTCGGATGGCCTGTCTTCTCACTATCTTTATAGTGCCTTTTGAGAAACGAAGTTTCTAATTTCAATGTGGTAAAATTAATCAATTTTTCTTTTATGGCAACGGCATTTATGTCTTAAGAAAACATTCCCTATCCAAGTTCATGAAGACATTATATATTCTAAAAGCTTTATAATTTCCTTTAGATATTTTTAGTTCCTTAATCCATATGAGTTTTTTTGTATAGCTTTACAAAGGAGTCCAATTTCATATTTCCCCCAACATAAACAGCAAACAAGATGGTACCATTTACTAAAAGTCAATCATTTCCCAAATGACTGACTGCCACGCAATCTCCATCACATATCACATATACATACATACATGGGTTTCCGGACTCTCTACTGTTACACTGGTCTATTTGTCCAGCGCATGCCAATCTCATGCTATGCTATTACTGTAGCTTTGTAATATCCTAACGTCTGATGGCAAATTCCTTCCATTTTGTTTCACTAATTAAAGAGTATCTTGACCTCTGAACCCATTGCATTTTAGAATCACGTCATAAAGTTCTATAAAATTACACACTGAGATACTGACTGAAGTTGTACTCTATAAATATAATACTCCTTTGTCCACACCATATATCTTTTTAATTGATTTTTCTTTAATATCTAACGTTTTACATTTTCTTCAGCTATTGTTTCTCTTATTAAATGTATTCCTAGGTACTTGATATGTTTTGGGGCTTCTATAATGGTGTTACAGCTTTTCCAAAATTTTATTTCCTGATTGTTTCTATCTTGTATTCTAAACAGGAATACGAAAGATTTCTTAGATATTTGAATTCAGCAATCTTGTTTTACTCTTATTAATTTTAATAATTAATCTCTAGGTTTCACTAGATTTCATACACACACCCCCCAATCACCCCAAAATAGTAATAATATTGTTCCTTCTTTACTATACTTTGTATTTTTCCTTTTCCCCCGATTTTTTGGCATTCTTGCATTAGCTAAGGCATCCAGTATGTTATATAAAATGGTGACAGCAGGCATCTTTCTTTTGTATCTCCAAGGAACACCTCCAATGTTTTACCATCAGATTTGTCTTAGGGATTCTGTAGATAATTTTTGTCAGATTAAAGAAGTTACCTCTATTCTGAGTTTGCCACGAATTTATTTTAATCATAAATGGGTATTTTATCAAGTCCTGCATCTATAGTGAGTTGTGAGTTGATAATGGTTTTTCTCCAGGCAAATCACATTAGTGTATTTATTTTATTTTTTGAGATAGAGTCTTGCTCTGTCACCCAGGCTGGAGTACAGTGGCGTGATCTCAGCTCACTGCAGCCTCTGCCTCCCGGGTTCAAGCAATTCTCCTGTGTCAGCCTCCCGAGTAGCTGGAATTACAGGCATGCACCACCATGCCCAGCTAATTTTGTATTTTTTTTTTTTTTTTTCTTTTTGAGATGGAGTCTCGCTCTGTCGCCCAGGCTGGAGCACAGTGGTGTGATACCGGCTCACTGCAAGCTCCGCCTCCCAGGTTCAAGCCATTCTCCTGCCTCAGCCTCCTGAGTAGCTGGGAGTACAGGCACCCGCCACCATGCCCGGCTAATTTTTTATATTTTTAGTAGAGACGGCGTTTCACCATGTTAGCCAGGATGGTCTTCATCTCCTGACCTCGTGATCCACCCACCTAGGCCTCCGAAAGTGCTGGGATGGAAGGCGTGAGCCACCGCACCGGGCCTAATTTTGTATTTTTAGCAGAGACAGGGTTTCTCCATGTTGGTCAGGCTAGTCTCGAACTCCCGACCTCAGGTGATCTGCCCGCCTCGGCCTCCCAAAGAGCTGGGATTACAGGCATGAGCCACCGTGCCTGGCCAATTTTTGTATTATTATTATTATTTTTTAGTAGAGATGGAGTTTTACCATGTTGGTCAGGCTGGTCTCAAACTCCTGACCTCAAGTGATCCACCTGCCTCAGCCTCCCAAACTGCTGGGATTACAGGCGTGAGCCACCGCGCCCAGCCACATTAATTGATGTTTAATTGTTAAACGAAGGTTCCCTGAGTCAAACTCAACTTTTGTAGACTATTAAACTTGGTTTACTAGTTATCTTGTTTAGGACGGCTGCATCTATTTTGTGGTTTAAAGCAGGCTGTAATTTTCCATTTCTGTAAAATTTAAAAATTGATTTTATAATACTATTAGGGTTATGCTAGTCTCATAAAATGAGCTGAAGAACATTCCCTTTTTTTCTATTCTTTGGAAGAGTTTGCTTCAAGCTGGTGTTATTTCTTGCTTAAATATTTTATAAAACTCACCATTAAAGCCATCAGAATCAAGTTACACATTTGTTACACCTATCCGCACATTCACCATGGGCTGAGAGTGCTGCCTTAAACAGTTTTATAAATCGCAGGGTTCTTCCTTCAGAATAGAACATGAGATAGATTTGTTCATATAAAAGACACAAACCATGGCTAAATTGGATATATTTTTCTATGAAGTGCTATTTTAATGGTGTCTTTTTCACTTCCATCACTAGCACTTTTTATTTTTTGTTACTTCATGAGTTTTAGCACATGCATCAATAAGGGGTCACACTACAAAGTGTCACTGAAATGTAGCTCTTGCCTTCATCAACTAAATGCCTCCTTCACAGCAGCTTCCTGGCTTAAAACTAAAATGTGGGCCCAATATTACAGAATATTAGGGCATCTCCTGAAGGGTCACAACTGCATGTGAAATCCCCCAAAACAAACATAAATGGTTTAGATCTGTAATGCTTCTCCTTTGCTTTAGAGCCTCCTTGTGTACGCATAGTTATCTGTGGGAAAGGGTGTTCTTCAAACAATGGCCATCATTTAATCTACTTATTTTTGATTGTATGTTTTCCTCTTTTTAAAAACTCAAGTATAGGGCCAGGCGCAGTGGCTCATGCCTGTAATCCCAGCACTCTGGGAGGCCGAGGCAGACAGATTGCCTGAGCCCAGGAATTCCAGACCAGCCTGGGCAACATGGTGAAGCCCTGCCTCTACAAAAAATATAAAAAATTAGCCCAGCATGGTGATTGCACACCTGTAGTCCCAGTTACTTGGGAGGCTGAGGTGGAAGATCACTTGAGCCCAGGAAGGAGGTCGAGGCTGCAGTGAGCCGTGACTGTACCACTATACTCCAGCCTGGACAACAAAGTGAGACCCTATCTCAAAAAACACCAGAAAACCCAAAAACCAAAAAAAAACCCCCACAACTGAAGTATAATATGTAAAAGTAAAACTATAGGACATTTTAAGAGTGAATGTTAAGAATAATCAATATTACAAAGATCCAAAACTGTGATGAAGAAAAAATTCATTATTATAGATTTAGATAAATTTATGCATTTTTGCAGAAACACCTACCTTTCAGAAACAGACTTATTTTGATCTGATGACAAATTAATTTTTTTACTTCCTTTTTCGGAAGGGTTAGAAGGCTCATAATTCACAGAAGACTTTTCAATTGGACTATTAACTGACTCAAGATTCTTATCCAAAATCATAGCCTCTGAATTTGCAACCTATTAAATAGGTGAGAAAAAAGCAGTTGAAGGGAATTTTACCAATTGTATCCTTCCAAACAAAATTAGCATTTTCAAAGTATTCTTGCATACATATGGCAAAACATAAGTTAAATCACATGTATTTCGATGGCTGATGACCATGATTGTGATTTGCCTGCCAAAATGAATTTTTAAAAACTCCGAAGAAATAAAAATGATGGTATACATCAACTTCCTAGCTTGGATGGAAAGAAGGAAAAACAAATGTTCAGGTACTTAGACAACACTTTATTCCTATTAGACTAACTTTTAGGAACTAATAAACACTATATTTAAGAAAATTTTACTTTTGTTATACTTTTAATAAAGACTAGAAATAACTCAGATTGCTAACTTGCTCTTCCAATTGTTGAGTTTATTTAAAACTTGAAGCTGAAACATTCAGTGTTCTCAGCTTTGGTTGAGAACTTGCAGCATTTTATATATATGTAAATATATATGTACATTAATTCAAAAGGATCAAGGACAGCATGAACAAAAATGCACTAGGTGCCATGGAAGCTGGGCACCCATCTGTTGCCCCAAACCTGTAGCAGTGGTGGCTAACCCCCCAATTCCATACTGGTAGGATTAGGGGGCCCAATTCACCACAGCAGCACTATCAGTTGGGTGCTCATCTGACATCTGGGGCAATGGCAGGCCCAATCCATTGCAGTGGTAGTGACCATAGGCCAACTTTTCCTGAATTTCCCACCCAATGGCACTGGGGATTGAGGTGGCACCGGCAGGGGCTAAATGGGAGACCCAGTGGAGCCAGAAGAATGAAGCTAAGCAGTATGGCACTGTAAGAGCTCTGAAAAGTAAACTGTCATTGAAACTGCAGCTTAAAAGAAGAGGCCAGGATCTACACACTAAACCTAAACAGGGGAACTTCCTGCTGAAAGGGAGTCCTATGCTTAGTGTTTTCAAAGAGCCCTCCCTGTGACTGGATACTGAGACATTTGATCCTTCCAAGGCACTAGCAAAAGGGTGTCCAGCCAAAATCTTGACTTTCTCTCCGGGGCATACTCTTCTGATAGTGAGCCTCTTAGAGTCTTCTGCAATCTGGTCAGGCTGAGAATTGCCTAAATCATTAAGTCCTGGTTCCTTTCTGCTAAACAGTTTGTTTCTTCTTCAATTTTTCTCTTTTTTTTTCTCACATTGTGAAAAGAAGCAAGAGGAAATCAGGCCAAACCTTCAACACTTTGCTTAGAAACCTCATACACCCCGGTAATCCCAGCTACTCAGGAGGCTAAGGCACGAGAATTGATTGAACCCAGGAGGCGGATGTTGCAGTGAGCCGAGATTGTGTCACTGCACTCCAGCCTGGGCAACAGAGCCAGACTTTGACTCCAAAAAATAAAAAAAGAAATAAAATCTCATAAGTCAAACAAAATCCAAATTCATAGTTTACAAGTTGTTTTCCATATAATGTAGGATACAATGCAACTAAACTTCCTGCCACTACGTAACACAAATCCCCTTTCCTCCTGTTTCCAATAACATGTATCCTCATTTCCTTTCAAGTCCTCACCAACAATGCTTTTAATGTCTATATTTCTATCAAAAGTTTGTTTATGAAGATCTAGGTATTAAGTCCATGGTAGGTTTTCTCCACTGTGCTCATTTCCTTTTAACCTCCACGGGCAGTCTTTAACTTCCAAATTTCTACTAAGAGTCTGTTCAAGGTAATCTAGGCTTTTTATAAAGCATGCTCCTCAAAACTCCTCTAGTCTCTATGCATTACCCTACTCAAAAGCCACTTTCACATTTTTAGGTATTGGTTACAGCAGCACCCCACACTTCCTGGTACCAAATTCTTTGTGAATTTCCTGAAGTTACCTTAACAAATTACCACAAACTGCATGACTTATTTTATCACAGCTTTAGAAGCCAAAAGTTGGAAATCAGTTTTACTAAGCTAAAATCAAGGTACTGGCCTTCCTTCTGGAGGCTGCCTGCGTTTCTGGACTTGAGGCCCTCCTCCATCTTCAGTGTACTTCATTCCAGCCTCTGCTTCCATTGTCCCATTTCCTTTTTCTGCCTTTGACCTTCTTGCCACTTTTTTTGTAAGAACCCTTTTGATTAAAATGAGCCCACACAGATAATCCAGGATTAACTACCCATCATCTCAAGGTACTTAATTTAATAATACCTACAAAGACTCTTTTCACCATGTAAGGTAACATATTCACAAGTTCTGGGAATTAGGTCATGGACATCTTGCAGGGACCATTTTTTCCATCTACCATAGCTGTAGAAGGTCGAAAAAACACTATCAACCATCTTGGCACAATTAACTCAAACATGACATTTACAGAACATTACAACCAACATTCTGTACATGGAACATTCGTCAAGTAAAATAATATGCTGGACTATAAAATAAGTTTAACTTTCAAAATTTAAGTTTTACATAGTATGTTCTCTGACCAAATGAAATCAGGTATTATAAAAATAAAATACCTAGAAGTCACAAATATTTTGAAATTAAACACACACTTCCAAATAATTCATATGTCAAAGAATACAAGGAACATTATAAATCATTTTGAACTGATGGAAAACAAAGATATGATGTATCAAAGATTATAATATTTGCATTAAGAAGTACATAATCTAACCACTAAGAAGATGCTTAGAATAAGTGATACTTAGAAGGAAATTCAGCTTTAAATGTTTAATGTTAGAAAAGGTCTCTTAAGAACCTGGAAAAAGAACAAATTATAACTAAAGTCAGTAAAAGAAAGACAATAAAGAAAAACAGGAATCAAAATAAAGAAAACAAATGATAGAAATAACAAAATCTGGTTGATCAAGAAGGAAAAATAATAAATATACAGATTAACCCACATCAGAAACAAAGTACAGTGATACACTGTAGAACCCCAAACATTAAAAGGACAAGTGAATTTTTTTTTTTTTTTTTTTTTTTTTTTTTTGAGATGGAGTCTCACACTGTCACTGGGCTGGAGTACAGTGGCACAATCTTGGCTCACTGCAACCTCCGCCTCCCAGGTTCAAGCGATTCTCCTGCCTCAGCCTTCCAAGTAGCTGGGATTACAGGCACCTGTCACCATGCCCGGCTAATTTTTTGTATTTTTAGTTGAGACGGGGTTTCACCGTGTTAGCAAGGCTGGTCTCGAACTTCTGACCTTGTGATCTGCCCGCCTCAGCCTCCCAAAGTGCTGGGATTACAGGTGTGAGCCACCGCGCCCAGCCTAGGACAAGTGAATTTTACTGATAACTTTATGACAGTGAATTCAATAATTTAGATAACATGGATAAATTCCTTACAAAGATAACTTGCAAAACTGATAAAAGATGGAAAAAAAAAAAAAACTGAATGGCTCTGTACCTACGAAAGAATTGGATTTTCAAGTAAAAGCCTTCTTACGAAGAAAGCTGTGGGCCAGGCGTAGTGGCTCATGCCTGTAATCCCAGGACTTTGGGAGGCCAAGGCGGGTGGATCACCTGGGGTCAGGGCAGGCGGATCACATGAGGTCGGGAGTTCAAGACCAGCCTGACCAACATGGAGAAACCCTGTCTCTACTAAAAATACAAAATTAGCCAGGTGTGGTGGCGCATGACTGTAATCCCAGCTACTCGGGAGGCTGAGGTAGGAGAATTGCTTGAACCCAGGAGATGGAGGTTGCGATGAGCTGAGATTGTGCCACTGCACTCCAGCCTGGGCAACAAGACTGAAACTCCATCTCAAAAAAATAAATAAACAAAGAAAGCTCCTTGCTCAGTTTTCAGAATCTAAGTGCTGAGTATACAAGTATTCACTATAAAATTATTTCGGATTGCTGGCAAGATGGCTGAATAGGAACAGCTCCGGTCTGCAGCTCCCAGTAAGATTGATGCAGAAGGCAGGTGATTTCTGCATTTCTAACTGAGGTACCTGGTTCATCTCATTGGGACTAGTTGGACAGTGGGTGTAGCCACAGACAGCGAGCTAAAGCATGGTGGGGCTCTCACCAGGGAAGCACAACGGGTCAAGGAATTCTCTTCCCTACCCAAGGGAAGCCATGATGGACTATGCCGTGAGGAACGGTACACTCCAGCCCAGATACTGCATTTTTCCCACAGTCTTCACAACCCACAGACCAGGAGATTCCCTCCGGTGCCTATGCTACCACGGCCCTGGGTTTCAAGCACAAAGCTGGGTGGCTGTTAGGGCAGACACTGAGTTAGGTGCAGGAGTTTTTCTTTTCCATACCCTAGTGGTGCCTAGAATGCCAGTGAGAGAGAACCGTTCACTCTTCCTGCAAAGGGGGCTGAAGCCAGGGAGCCAAGTGTTCTGGCTCGGCAGGTCCCACCCACACGGAGCCCAGCTAGCTAAGATCCACTGGCTTGAAATTCTCGCTGCCAGCACAGCAGTCTGAGGTTGACCTGGGATGGTCAAGCTTGGTGAGGGGAGGGGCATTGACCATTGCTGAGGCTTGAGTAGGCGGTTTCCCCCTCACAGTGCAAACAAAGCCACTGGGAAGTTTGAACTGGGCCGAGCCCACTGCAGCTCGGCAAGGCCACTGTGGCCAGACTGCCTCTCTAGATTCCTCCTCTCTGGACAGGGCATCTCTGAAAAAAAGGCAGCAGGGGCTTATAGATAAACCCCCCATCTCCCTGGGACAGAGCACCTGAGGGCTTCAGTAGACTTAAATGTCCCTGCCGGACAGGACTCTGAAGAGAGCAGCAGATCAGTGGATCTCCCAGCACAGCATTTGAGCTCTGCTAAATGTCAGACTGGCTCCTCAAGTGGGTCCCTGACCCCCGTGTATCCTGACTGGGAGACACCTCCCAGTAGGGGCCAACAGACACCTCATACAAGAGAGCTCTGGCTGGCATCTGTCAGTGCCCCTCTGGGATGAAGCTTCCAGAGGAAGGAACAGGCAGCAATCGTTGCTGTTCTGCAGCCTCTGCTGGTGATACCCAGGCAAACAAGGTCGGGAGTGGACCTCAAGCAGACCTGCACCACAGGGGCCTGACAGAAGAGTAACAAACAGAAAGGAATAGCATCAACATCAACAAAAAGGACGTCCACTCAGAGACCCCATCCGAAGGTCACCAACATCAAAGACCAAAGGTAGATAAATCCACAAAGATGGGGAGAAACCAGCCCAAAAAGGCTGAAAATTCCAAAAACAAGAACGCCTCTTCTCCTCCAAAGGATCACAACTACTTGCCAGCAACAGACCAAAACTGGACGGAGAATGAGGGTGACAAGTTGACAGAAGTAGGCTTCAGAAGGTGGGTAATAACAAACTCCAATGAGCTAAAGGAGCACTTTTTTTTTTTGGGACGGAGTTTTGCTCTTGTCGCCCAGGCTGGAGTGCAGTGGAGCGATCTCGACTCACTGCAACCTCTGCCTCCCGGGTTCAAGCGATTCTCCTGCATAGCCTCCTGAGTAGCTGGGACTACAGGCGTGCACCACCACGCCCAGCTACTTTTTTGTATTTTTAGTAGAGATGGGGTTTCACTATGTTGGCTAGGGTGGTCTTGAACTTTTGACCTTGTGTCCATCTCGACCTCTCAAAGTGCTGGGATTACAGGTGTGAGCCAGTGTACCCAGCCTAAAGGAGCATCTTCTAACTCAATGCAAGGAAGCTAAGAGCTTTGAAAAAAGGTTAGATAAATAGCTAAGTAGAATAACCAGTTTAGAGAAGAATATAAATGACCTGATGGAGCTGAAAAACACGGTATGAGAACTTCATGAAGCATACACAAGTATTAACAGCTGAACTGATCAAGCGGAAGAAAGGATATCAGAGATTGAAGATCAACTTAATGAAATAAAGTGAGAAGACAAGATTAGAGAAAAAAGAATTTTTGAAAAGGAACGAACACAGCCTCCAAGAAATATGGGACTATGTGAAAAGACCACACCTATGTTTGATTGTTGTACCCGAAAGTGACAGGGAGAAGGGAACCAAGTTAGAAAACACTCTTCAGGATATTATCCAGGAGAACTTCCCCAACCTAGCAAGACAGGCCAACATTCAAATTCAGGAAATACAGAGACCACCACAAAGATACTCCTGGAGAAGAGCAACCCTAAGACACATAATCGTCAGATTCACCAAGGTTGAAATGAAAGAAAAAATGTTAAGGGCAGCCAGAGAGAAAGGTAAGGTTACCCACAAAGGGAAGCCCATCAGACTAACAGCAGCTCTCTCTGCAGAAACCCTACAAGCCAGAAGAGAGTGGGGGCCAATATTCAACATTTTTAAAGAAAAGAATTTTCAACCCAAAATTTCATATCCAGCCAAACTAAGCTTCATAAGTGAAGGAGAAATAAAATCCTTTACAGACAAGCCAATGCTGAGACATTTTGTCACCACCAGGCCTGCCTTACAAGAGCTCCTGAAAGAAGCACTAAACATGGAAAGGAACAACCAGTACCAGCCACTGCAAAAACATACCAAATTGTAAAGACCATTGACACTGTGAAGAAACTGCATCAACTAACCGGCAAAATAACCAGCTAGCATCATAATGACAGGATCAAATTCACACATAACAATATTAACCTTAAATGTAAATGGGCTAAATGCCCCAATTAAAAGACACAGACTGGCAAACTGGATAAAGAGTCAAGACCCATTGGTGTGCTGTATTCAGGAGATCCATCTCACATGCAAAGACACACACAGGCTCAAAATAAAGGGATGGAGGAAGATCTACCAAGCAAATGGAAAACAAAAAAAAAAGCAGGGGTTGCAATCCTAGTCTCTGATAAAACAGACTTTAAACCAACAATGATCAAAAGAGACAAAGAAAGGCATTACCTAATGGTAAAGGGATCAATGAAACAAGAAGAACTATCATAAATATATATGCACCCAATGCAGGAACACCCAGATTCATAAAGCAAGTTCTTAAAGACCTACAAAGAGACTTAAGACTCTCAGACAGTAATAGTGGGAGACTTTAACAACGCACTGTCAATATCAGACAGATCAACGAGACAGAAAATTAGCAAGGATACTCAGGACTAGAACTCAACTCTGGACCAAGTGGACCTAATAGACATCTACAGAACTCTCCACCCCAAATCAATAGAATATACATTCTTCTCAGCACCTCATCATACTTATTCTAAAATTGACCACATAACTGGAATTAAAACACTCCTTAGCAAATGCACAAGAATGGGAATCCTAACAGTCTCTCAGACCACAGTGCAATAAAATTAGAACTCAGTATTAAGAAACTCACTCAAAACCACACAACTACATGGAAACTGAACAACCTGCTCCTGAATGACTAATGGATAAATAACAAAATTAAGGCAGAAATAAAGATGTTCTTTGAAACCAATGGGACCAAAGACACAATGTATCAGAATCCCTGGGACACATTTAAAACAGTGTTTAGAGGGAAATTTATAGCACTAAATGCCCACAAGCGGGAAAGATCTAAAATCGACACCCTAACATCAAAATTAAAAGAAGTAGAGAAGCATGAGCAAACAAATTCAAAAGCTAGCAGAAGACAAGAAATAACTCTAAGATCAGAGCAGAACTGAAGGAGATAGAGACATGAAAAACCCTTAAAAACAAACAAACAAACAAAAAAATCAATGAATCCAGGAGCTGGTTTTCTTAA
Source organism: Homo sapiens (assembly GCF_000001405.40). Taxonomy (NCBI): domain Eukaryota; kingdom Metazoa; phylum Chordata; class Mammalia; order Primates; family Hominidae; genus Homo; species Homo sapiens. The sequence continues at coordinate 10,449,742 of NC_000016.10, read as the reverse complement.
AAAAGATCCAACAAAATAGACCGCTAGCCTGACTAATAAAGAAGAAAAGACAGAAGAATCAAATAGACACAATAAAAAATCATAAAGGGGATATCACCACTGATCCCACAGAAATACAGACTACCATCAGAGAATAATATGAACACCTCTATGCAAATAAACTAGAAAATCTAGAAGAAATGTATAAATTCCTGGACACATACACCCTCCCAAGTCTAAAGCAGGAAGAAATCGAATTCCTGAAAAGACCAATAACGAGTTCTGAAATTGAGGCAGTAATTAATAGTCTACCAACCAAAAGTCCAGGACCAGATGGATTCACAGCCAAATCCTACCAGAGGTACAAAGAGGAGCTGGTACTGTTCCTTCTGAAACCATTCCAAAGAATAGAAAAAGAGGGAATCCTCCCTAATTCATTTTATGAGTCCAGCGTCATCCTGATACCAAAACCTCACAGAGACACAACAAAAGAAAATTTCAGGCCAATATCCCTGATGAACATCAATGCGAAAATCCTCAATAAAATACTGGCAAACTGAAACCAGCAGCACATCAAAAAGCTTATCCACCACGGTCAAGTTGGCTTCATACCTAGGATGCAGGGCTGGTTCAACATACACAAATCAATAAACTTAATCCATCACATAAACAGAACCAATGAGAAAAACCACATGATTATCTCAATAGATGCAGAAAAGGCCTTTGACAAAATTCAACACCCCTTCATGCTAAAAACTCTCAATAAACTAGGTACTGATGGAACATATCTCAAAATAATAAGAGTTATTTATGACAAACCCACAGCCAATATCATACTGAATGGGCAGAAACTGGAAGCATTCCCTTTGAAAACTGGCACAAGAGAAGGATGCCCTCTCTCTCACTACTCCTATTCAACATAGTATTGGAAGTTCTGGCCAGGGCAATCAGGCAAGAGAAAGAAATATGGGGTATTCAAATAAGAAGAGAGGAAGTCAAATTGTCTCTGTTTGCAGATAACATGCAATTTTTAGATTTAGAAATATCTACATCTAAAATAGATTGAGATTTTCTAAATAATATTTAGAAAACCCCATCATCTCAGCCCCAAATCTCCTTAAGCTGATAAGCAACTTCAGCAAAGTCTCAGGATACAAAATCAATGTGCAAAAATCACAAGCATTCCTATATACCAATAACAGAGAACCAAATCATGAGTGAACTCCCATTCACAATTGCTACAAAGAGAATACCTAGGAATCCAACTTACAAGGGATGTGAAGGACCTCTTCAAGGAGAACTACAAACCACTGCTCAAGGAAATAAGAGAGGCCACAAATAAATGGAAAATATTCCATGCTAATGGATAGGAAGAATCAATACTGTGAAAATGGCCATACTGCCCAAAGTAATTTATAGATTCAATGCTATCCCCATCAAGCTACCATTGACTTTCTTCACAGAATTGGAAAAAAATACTTAAAATTTCATATGGAACCAAAAAAGAGCCCATATAGCCAAGACAGTCCTAAGCAAAAAGTACAAAGCTGGAGGCATCACACTACCTGACTTCAAACCATATTACAAGGCTACAGTAACCAAAACAGCATGGTACTGGTACCAAAAGAGATATATAGACCAATGGAACAGAACAGAGGCCTTAGATATAACACCACCTATCTACAACCATCTGATCTTTGACAAACCTGACCAAAACAAGCAATGGGGAAAGGATTCCCTATTTAATAAATGGTGTTGGGAAACCTGGTTAGCCATATGCAGAAAACTGCAACTGGACCCCTTCCTTACACGTTATACAAAAATTAGTTCAAGATGGATTAAAGACTTAACCATAAGACCTAAAACCATAAAAGCCTTAGAAGAAAACCTAGGTGTTAGGAACAGTTTCTCTTCAAAGGATTTCACCCCCCTTGTCCTTTGTTCTATTTTTAAGTTATCTTTCCTGCCTTTAACAGGCCCAGGCATCCACCAAGCTTGTAGCTGACCCACACTGCCTTACTTTAAGTTGTTAGGTACAAACAATAAACTTCCTGGTTCTTTGTCCTATTCTAAATGCTAAATCTAGTCAATTGGGATCTGTTTAGATTGTGCAGTCTGACCCCAATTAACGGGGGAGGTGGGGGAGGCAGGGAAGACACAGAAACAGGAGCGGCATTAGGAATAAAAACCCCTGCTTTCCTTTGTTCGGTGTGCTCTTGTGATTGTGACTGACGCAGGCAGCACCCTTCTGCAGAAGTAAATTTACCTTGCCGAGAAGTCTTTTGAGTGTTCGTTTTCTTTGCAACTCCCAGCTCATTTCTAACAATTTGGGGGCCCTGCCTGGGATCCCATTCTTCTCCGGAGAAGGGTCTCCGGTCATCTTCTGGGAGGGGATGCATCCCACTGACTTGGTGCAGTGGCCTCAAAGGCTGGAGACTGAGACCCACCCGTTGTGACAAATAAACCTGGAATCTCAGCAACGCGAGAAGACAAGGACTACAAATACTGTGGCGACCAGGTAACTATGTGCACAGACCAAGGTAAGAAAAGCCGCTGGGGTGGTGAAGTGCTTCCTTGATGGTTGGAGTATCTTGGAGGTTGAAAGTGCGTGAATGGTAACAAGCACTACTGCTGTGCAGAGTGAGTGAGTCCAATCTGCAGTTCCGTGGTCAACTCATATGGCTTATGGCGGCCCTTTGGGGGTCCCGTCAGGGTTTTCTACTGATCCATCAATGTTAAGAGGGACCTAAATTCCCTCTGGGGAAGTAGCCAGAGAAGACGAAGCAAAAGGAGAAGAGTGCGAGAAACCTCCAGTGGTTGGGGGGCAGGGGGCGGGTTGAGGCTATAGGAAAGGAAAGGCAAGAAATCTCCAGCAGGGGGGCATTGAGCCTCACACAAACTTCCAATAGTTGGGAAGGCAAGAAACTTCCAATAGGGGATATTGAGCCTCACCCCAAAACCCCCAAGATGGGAAACACCCCAAATAAGGTAGGGCATAAAAAGGATAACACTAGCAGCAATAACATTCCCCCTGATAGTCCCCTAGGGCTTATGTTAAAATATGGAAAGATAATGAAAGGACTAAACACAAGAAAAAGCAACAGATGATAAAATATTGTTGTCTCATTCGGACCCAGGAACCAATCCTCGAACCCTCAGTTTTTTGGCCAAAGTTTGGGTCATATGAGGATTGGATGTGTCAGCTTTCAATAGAACATATTAATAGTAAGAGCCCTACCTCCCAAGAGGAAATAGGTTATGCCCTATGTTGGTGGCAAGGACCTGTACTCCTTCACCCCCTAAAGACTGGAGGGAACAAGTCAAAAACTAACCTTTGGTGGAAAGTTGGTTGTAATCACACCTCATCAAGTTAGAACCATCTTAAATCAAAAGGCAGGAAGGTGGCTTACTGACTCAAGAATTTTAAAATATGAAGCTATCCTGTTAGAGATTATTTAACACTATCCACTGATGATTCACTTAACCCAGCAGGTTTCTTGACTGGAGATCCAAATCTAAAGAGACCTGAACATGAGTGTTTAGATTTAATTAATTACCATACAAAAGTTAGGCCTAATTTAAGAGAGACCCCTTTCAAAACAGGGCAGCACTTATTTATAGGTGGCTCTTGCTGAGTAACTGAAGGAAAAAGATATAATGGGTACTCAGTAGTCAATCAATGGGGAAGCCCTTGAAGAAGTAGGGCTTGAAGTAGCCCTTGAAGAAGTCAGGAAGACTGCCCAATAATTGGTCTGCCCAAACATGTGAATTGTTTGCATTATATCAAGCCTAAAGCACTTGCAGAACCAAGAAGGAACTATTTATACTGATTCCAAGTATGCTTTCAGGGTAGCTCACACTTTTGGAAAAATTTCGATTGAACAAGGCTTTATTAATAGCAAAGGTCAAGACCTAGTTCACAAAGAGTTAATCACCCATGTATTTAATAATCTCCAGGGCCAGGCGTGGTGGCTCACGCCTGTAATCCCAGTACTTTGGGAGGCCGAGGTGGGCAGATCACCTGAGGTCGGGAGTTCGAGACCAGCCTGACCAACATAAAGAAATCCTGTCTCTACTAAAAATACAAAAAAATTAGACAGTCATGGCGGCACATGCCTGTAATTCCAGCTACTTGGGAGGCTGAGGCAGGAGAATTGCTTGAACCTGGGAGGCGGAGGTTGCTGTGAGCCAAGATCACACCATTGCACTCCAGCCTGGGCAACAAGAGTAAAGCCCTGTCTCAAATAAATAAATAAATAAATAATCTCCAGCTGCCAGAATAAATAGCTATTGTCCATGTCCCAGGACACAAGAAAAGCCTTTCTTTTGAAAGTCAAGGAAATAACCTTGCAGATCAAATAGCCAAACAAGTGGCTGTTTCCTCTGAGAGGCCTGTTTTTCACTTAACTCCTTGCCTTCCTCCCCCTACCACAGTCCCCATTTTCTCTTCCACTGAAAAAAGAAAAATTAATAAAAACAGGGGCTAAAGAAAACTCAGAAGGGAAATGGGTATTATCAGACCAAAGAGAAATGTTATCCAAACCTCTCATGAAGGAGGTCTTGTCTCAGCTGCATCAAGGAACCCATTGGGGACCCCAAGCTATGTGTGATGCAGTTCTCAGAGTTTATGGGTGTATAGGAATTTATACCCTAGCCAAACAAGTTACAGATAGTTGCTTAATACGTAAGAAAACTAATAAGCAAACTCTAAAAAAATCACCACTTGCGGGAAGACGTCCAGGACTAAGACCATTCCATAGTGTCCAAACTGATTACACAGAAATACCTCAATAGGTCACCTAAAATTCCTATTAGTAATAGTAGATCACCTCACTCACTGGGTAGAAGCTATTCCCTTTTCAAATGCAACTGCTAATAATGTAGTTAAGGCATTAATTGAAAATATTGTACCCAGGTTTGAAATAATAAAAAACATTGATTCAGATAATGGAACTCGTTTCAGTGCAAATATTGTTAAAGGGCTTACTCAAACTCTAGGAATAAATTGGGAATATCATACTCCATGGCATCCACCTTCATCAAGGAAGGTAGAAAAAAATGAACCAAACTTTAAAGAATCATTTAAATCGATTTTGAAAACTTCATTGCCTTGGACCAAGTGTCTCCCCATTGCCCTGCTCAGAATTCAAACTGCCCCTCAAAAAGACATTACGTACTTGGTCTATCTTCTATTCGAACTGCCCCTCAAAAAGACATTACATACTTGGTCTATCTTCTACTTTGTCTTCTCTTAGGACCCAAGGTCTCTTAGCACAAACACTGCCTCTTGAGTTCCCAGTGCATCTGTATCAATCTGGAGATTACGTCCTCATCAAAAGCTGGAAAGAAGAAAAACTCGAACCAACCTGGGAGACCTTATCTAGTGCCCCTAACCACTGAGACAGCAGTCTGGACCGTTAAGAAAGGGTAGACCCATCACACTCAGGTGAAAAAGGCATGACCCCCTTTGGAGGCATAGGTTGTCACTCCCGGGCCAACACCTTCCAAACTAATATTCAAAAAAACTTAACCTGTCTAATTTGCTCCCTCTTTCTTTCGTTAGCTACCCAGGAACATTTTATTTTATCAATGTAACCTGATCATCGTTTCCTCAAACAATTACATTTGATGCTTGTCTTGTTATGCCCTGTGGGGACCTACAAACCCAAAGGCAACTAGCCTCTTCAGGTAAGTACCTTTGCCCTGGCCCTCTAGAACACACAGAACCCACCCCTAACTCTCACCATTGTGACCGTCTAGCATGGTATTTGAAACCCTGTAGCTCTTGGGAACGTGTTTATTGGACCACTCAGTACCAAGGCTGGACTTTCACGGAAGGTCCCTGTGCCGCCCTAAAGCCTTATCTCTATATCGCTAAATGAACCACCCCCTCTAATTGTCAGTCCTAGCAATGTAACCCAGTTCTTCTCTCCACTACCACTTCTACTTCCATTGACCCTAAGCCCACCTTAGGCTGTCTCTATGGTTTAGGAGCCAATGTTGCTGGAAGGGACCCTATAGCCTCCTTGAAATACATTTTGTCCACCATTCTCCACCTCCTACCACTTCACCTTCCCTAAATCCACCAAATCAAATAGTGGGTGCCACTCCTCACCCCCTTCCCAATGACAAAACTAAAGTAGCTATTGTAAAAGTAAAAGATTTAAAACAGACTTTAGCAATTGAGACTGGATACCAAGAAGCAAATGCCTGCATGGAATGAATTGAATATTCTGTTTGCACTCTCAACAAAAGCAGTTGTTACGCTTGTGCACACGGTAGGCCAGAGGCCCAGGTTGTCCGCTTTCTACTTGCATGGCCTTCAAATCGACTGGGTGTGGACTGTATGGTAGCTCTCTTCTAGCACCCCACAGCCTGGGGTAATAAGTCATGCCAAGCTCTCTCTCTGCTATTGCCTGAAGTCCAGCACCCTGCAGGTCAGTCCCTGAGGGCCACCCAGCTTCCATCTAACGATGCCAATTTTACTTTGTGTCTCTCATGACAGGGAGAAAATTTGGCATTTCTTGGAGACCTAAAGGGATGCAGTGAGCTTAAGCCTTTCTAAGAGCTTACCAATCAGTCTGCCCTTACTCATCCTCGAGTGGATGTGTTGTGGTACTGTGGTGGACCCTTATTGGACACTCTGCCAAATAACTGGAGCAGTACTTGCGCTCTAATTCAATTGGCCATCCCTTTCACTCTAGCATTCCATCAACCAGGAAAAGGAAAAACACCACCATAAAACAAGAGAGGCCCCTCACGATCTTTTGATTCTCACGTTTATATAGATGCCATTGGAGTCCCATGAGGGGTACCAGATAAATTTAAAGCATGAAACCAAACAGCTGCAGGGTTTGAATCCTTGTTCTGGTGGGTAACTGTTAATAAAAACGTGGATTGGATAAATTATATCTACTATAACCAACAACAATTTGTCAGTTATACTAAGGATGCCATTAAAGGAACAGCTGAGCAATTAGGGCCAAATGGCCTGTGAAAATAGAATGGCACTAGATATGATACTAGCAGAAAAAGATGGAGTCTGTATCGTGATAGGAACCCAATGTTTTACCTTCATCCCTAACAATACAGCCCCTCATGGAACAATCACTAAACCTCTACAAGGTCTCACCTCCTTATCTAATGAGTTAACCAGGAATTCTAGGGTAAATGACCCCTTTACAGGATGGTTAGAAAGGTGGTTTGGTAAATGGAAAGGACTCATGGCTTCTATTTTTACTTCCCTTGCAATTATAGTTAGGGTACTCATTCCCACTGGCTGCTGTATCATACCTTCTATTCATGGACTAGTTCAATAAAACAATAAAACTTATAAAAACAGCCCCTACTAAAACTTTCCTCATTTCTTTTCCACACTATTCTGACAAGCTTTTACTGCTAGAAAATCAAGAAGAACAGCAAAGTCAAGACATGTTAGATAAGTTTGAAGAATAAAGTGTATAAATTCAAGAGGGGGAAAATTGTTAGGAACAAACAAGTTTCTCTTCATAAGGGTTTCACCCTCCTTGTCCTTTGTTCCAATTTATAAGTAACCTTTCCTGCCTTTTACACACCCAGGCATGCCTTCATCTACCATGGTTGTAGCTGACCCACACCACCTTACTTTAAGTTGTTAGGTACAAACAAACTTCCTGGTTCTTTATCCTATTCTAAATGCTAAATCTAGTCAATTGGGATGAGTTTAGATTGTGCAATCCGACCCCAATTAATGGGGGGAGGACACAGAAACAGGAACAGCATTAGGAATAAAATCCCCTGCTTTCCTTTGTTCAGTGTGCTTTTGCGATCATGACTGATGCAGGCAGCACCTTTCTGCAGAAGTAAATTTGCCTTGTTGAGAAATCTTTTGTCTGAGTGCATGTTTTCTTTGTGACTCCCAGCTCTTGTTTCTAACATAGGCAATAACATACAGGACATAGGAATGGGCAAAGACTTCATGACTAAAACACCAAAAGCAACAGCAACAAAAGCCAAAATTGACAAATGGGATCTAATTAAACTAAAGAGATTCTGCGCAGCAAAGGAAACTATCATCAGAGTGAACAGGCAACCTACAGAATGGGAGAAAATTTTTGCAATCTATCCATTTGACAAAGGGCTAATGTCCAGAATCTATAAAGAACTTAAATTTACAAGAAAAAAACAACCCCATCAAAAAGCGGGCGAAGGATATGAACAGACACTTCTCCAAAGAAGACATTTATGCAGCCAACAAACATGAAAAATAGCTGATCATCACTGGTCATTATAGAAATGCAAATCAAAACCACAGTAAGATACTAACTCATGCCAGTTAGAATGGCGATCATTAAAAAGTCAGGAAACAACAGATGCTGGAGAGGATGTGCAGAAATAGGAATGCTTTTTATACTGTTGGTGAAAGTGTAAATTAGTTCAACCATTGTGGAAGACAGTGTGGCGATTCCTCAAGGATCTATAGAACCAGAACTACCACATGACCCAGCAATCCCATTACTGGGTATATACCCAAAGGATTATACATCATTCTGCTATAAAGACACATGCACACGTACGTTTATTGCAGCACTATTTACAATAGCAAAGACTTGGAATCAACCCAAATCCCCGTCAATGATAGACTGGATAAAGACAATGTGGCACTTATACACCATGGAATACTATGCAGCCAAAAAAAGGATGAATTCATGTCCTTTGCAGCGACATGGATGAAGCTGAAAACCATCATTCTCAGCAAACTAACACGAGAACAGAAAACCAAACACTACATGTTCTCACTCATAAGTGGGAGTTGAACAATGAGAACACATGGACACACGGAGGGGAACACCACACACCAGGGCCTGTCAGGGGGTGGGGAGGCTAGGGGAGGGATAGCATTAGGAGAAATACCTAATGTAGATGACAGGTTGATGGGTCTGACAAACCACCATGACACGTGTATACCTATGTAATGCAACTGCACATTTTGCTCATGTACCCCAGAACTTAAACTATAATTAAAAACACATAATTTCAACTTTGCTGTATATATTTGATACTTTTCATGATAAAATGGGGGTGGGGGAAGCCAATCTTGGCAATCACCAATCCTCTTTCTACTCCCTTTACTACAGAAATACAAGTGGCATGTACTACCTAAGGGTGTCTTTTCCAGAGACAGATGCATGGGAACACTCTAAGTAAAAACTTACTTACCTTTACACCTTCTGTCCTAGCCTGGAAATATATTCATTTCTTCTAATCAAACCACTTATATGAGTCAAATAGATGATTACAATTCCTGTGTGTTTATACAAACCTTAGAGGCTCCATTACTGGATAACATGTTTGGTTTCAAACAATTCCTTTGAAATAATAATACTGTTTTAATACGTCTTTGAAGTTTTGCTATTTTTGCCTAGAAGAAAAAGAGAAAAAAATAAATACTAAGCCAGAGTACTATATATCACATAGAGATAGAGGGTAAATTATTTGCCAAAGTAGTTTTGTAAGACCTAGACATCTACCCAAATGAAAAATTCTAATATATGCAAAAGCTTGAAATCACATTTTATGCTTGTATAACATATACATATATATAAATAAAAAAAATTTTTTTTTGAGATGGAGTTTCGCTCTTGTTGCCCATGCTGGCGTGCAATGGTGCGATCTCGACTCACTGCAACCTCTGCCTCCCGGGTTCAAGCGATTCTCCTGCCTCAGCCTCCCAAGTAGCTAGGATTACAGGCATGCGCCACCATACCTGGCTAATTTTGTATTTTTAGTAGTGACGGGGTTTCTCCATGTTGGTCAGGCTGGTTTGAACTCCTGACCCCAGCATCCACCTGCCTCTGCCTCCCAAAGTGCTGGGATTACAGGCGTGAGCCACCGTGCCCAGCCTATGCTTGTATAATATTAAAGGTAAGGAAGATAAAAATCTCAAACTTCGGCCGGGCGCAGTGGCTCACGCCTGTAATTCCAGCACTTTGGGAAGCCGAGGCGGGCAGATCACTTGAGGTCAGGAGTTTGAGACCAGCCTGACCAACATGGAGAAACCCCATCTCTACTAAGAACACAAAAAATTAGCTGGGTGTAGTGGCAGGCGCCTGTAATCCCAGCTACTCGGGAGGCTGAGGCAGGAGACTCGCTTGAACCTGGGAGGCAGAGGTTGCAGTGAGCTGAGATCACACGACTGCACTCCAGCCTAGGCGACAGAGTGAGACTGTTTAAAAAAAAAAAAAAAAAAAAGGCTGGGGGCGGTGGCTCACGCCTATAATCCCAGCACTTTGGGAAGCCGAGGCAGGCGGATCATGAGGTCAGGAGATTGAGACCATCAACGCTAATACAGTGAAACCCGTCTCTACTAAAAATACAAAAAATTAGCCGGGCACGGTGGCGGGCGCCTGTAGTCCCAGCTACTGGGACTACAGTAGGCTGAGGCAGGTGAATGGTGTGAACCCTGAGGCAGAGCTTGCAGTGAGCCGAGATCGCGCCACTGCACTCCAGCCTGGGCGACAGAGCGAGACTCCATCTCAAACAAACGAAACAAAACAAAAAACTCAAACTTCTAATTGGTCTACAATAAAATTAATGTGGTTAAAAACATCAATCAGCAAGTAATACTAGAAGAGGAAAACAAAAAGTCCAAAAAGGCTTGAAACAGGTTGTACAAGTTCTAATAAAGGATATATTTAGGTTTAAAAGAAACTGCCTATTTTTTTTTTTTTTTTTTGAGATGGAGTCTCGCTGTCGGCAGACTGGAGTGCAGTGGTGCAATCTCTGCTCACTGCAATATCTGCCTCCTTGGTTCAAGCAATTCTCCTGCCTCAGCCTCCTGAGTAGCTGGGACTACAGGCACACGCCACCATGCCCAACTAATTTTTGTATTTTTAGGAGAGATTGGGTTTCACTATGTTGCCCAGGACGGTCTCGATCTCTTGACCTTGTGATCCGCCCACCTTGGCCTCCCAAAGTGCTGGGATTACAGGCATGAGCCATCGCGCCTGGCCGAAGCTGCCTAAGTATTAAGCCTGTCAATTGACACAGAATGCCTAACAGTTCTGAGTATTTCTCAAAAGCCGATATTGCTAAGCTATAGTAAATTACATTGCCTATGATATGTTCTCACATTAGGCTAATGGCCAGGAATCAGGTATGTCTTCCCTTATTGTTTTCCTTTGCTAATATGAAAAATATCACCAAATTCTTCTTTTTAAAAGGACTCACATGGGCCAGGTGTGGTGACGCACGCCTGTAGTCCCAGCACTTTGGGAGGCTGAGGCTAGAGAATCACTTGAGCTCAGGAGTTTGAGGGAAGCATGGGCAACATGGTGAAACCTCATCTCTAAAAAAAAAAAAAAAACCCAAAAATTAGCAGGGTATGGTGGTGTGCACCTGTAGTCTCAGCTACTCTGGAGACTGAGGTGGTAGGATTGCTTGAGCTCAGAAGGCAGAGGCTGCAGTGAGCCACCGTACTGCAGCCTGAGCAACAGAGCAACAACACCCCCTACTCCCCTAAAAAAGACTCAAATGAAATCAAAACTTACCAAAAGTTTATCAGCTATTCCTTCATGCTTATTTCTGCACTCTGTCTTCCCAATGCGTTGGTTCAATTCTTTCAGTTTCTTATCAAATAGTTCATAATTTATGCTATAGATCTCCTGCTGAATCAAATGTCTGACCTAGAATTTTAAAATAAAAACCAAAACACCCTACGTTTCAAATTTAAAAGCAATTTTACTTTCTACTTAAAAAGCCTTGCTCTTTTCCAGATTTACTGTAACCAATTAAATATAGTTTATTTATATTTGTATGTTTATATAACTATACCAGTAAGTTTTTCAAAACTTGAATATTAAACTCAGAACACATCCAATATTTAAGTATACTGGACATGTTAGAAATTAAATTTATTCTCATAATGCTAACTTTAGTTTCCTATAGTTCCACTTGAATTCCATACTATACATTATAGAAACAATTAAAAGACTATATGCCATTTATATTTTTTAATATCCATAACTCCTAGTTAGTATTCCATATAAAGGAACTCTACTTATCTGAAAACCAGCACCTGATGAAAATGGTTGGTTGGTCTGTAGTAGATATAGAACAAATTACACAAGTGTGAGACTTGACATTACCACTAATAAGCTACTTGACCCTTTAGTCAGTCACATTATTTTTGAGCTTCATTTTCCTTGTTGACAAATGAGTAGATAATATAATAAATGTTGAACAAGTGATACTCAAAGGATTTTTATAGGAACATAAGGTAATACGCAAAAGAGCACCATAAAATAAAAAACACTGAATTGATATGAAAGAAGTAAATATGTAAGATAATCACCATTACTTCCATAATTGTTTTAGGGGGTGGCTTTCTTATTGTTAAAATTGAAATAATATCAATCAGTTGGTTAGCTCAGCTAGTTAGAGCACGGTGCTAAAACTGAAAGAAGCCAGCCGGGTGCAGTGGCTCACGCCTGTAATCCCAACACTCTGGGAGGCCGAGGTGGGCAGATCACGAGGTCAGGAGTTGAAGACCAGCCTGACCAACATGGTGAAACCCCGACTCTACTAAAAATACAAAAATTAGCCAGGCATGGTGGCAGGCAACATAGTCTCAGCTACTCTGGAGGCTGAGACAGGAGAACTGCTTGAATCCAGGAGGTGGAGGTTGCAGTGAGCCGAGATCACACCACTGTACTCCAGGCCTGGGTGATTGAGCGAGACTCCGTCTCAAAAAAAAAAAAAAAATGGGAAAAATAGCCAAGGACAATTATGTAGTTACCAATGTTATCTGCCATAATGCATGCCATTCTAACAAATCGTAGTAGCTGTAATATGAAAAATTAATGAACTTATCTTTTTTTTTTGAAAACAGACTGGCCCATTTTCAGGGAGAATAATTAATTTCAATGCCCACTGATATGAGCAGCTCTGCTGAGCCATACATTCAGAAACATTCACTGTAGTTTTTCACTCAGTGTGTATCCTCCTGGTAAGCAATTTTCACCACAGTGTAAGTAGTCTTTGTTAATATGACCTGTTATGATACATTTAAGGTATTTATAATATTTATATATTTTTTCCTCCAGTATCTTGCTTCATGATGCTCAAAATAGAACACATAGTTCCTACGTTAAACTCTTATATTGATATCACCTGGATGATTATATTCTTTAATTTTGATCATTCCCAAGGCTCTTCCTTCCTGTTTCCAAGTGTTCTCACTCTTCAACATTGTCTACTTGATCTCTTCTCTAATGCTTCACTAACATTTCTTCCATGGTTTCTCTACATTAGACATGATTGTCATTTTTACTTTCATAACTTTTAAACATGTGAGCAAATGAATGTGCTCAAAATGTATTATTTAAAAAAAAAAGGCTCAGTAACACATACTATTATATTTTTTGGGACAGAGTCTCGCTCTGTTGCTCAGGCTGCAGTGCAGCAGCGTGATCCCGGCTCACTGCAATCTTCACCCACCATGTTTAAGTGATTTTCCTGCCTCAGCCTTCCTAGTAGCTGAGCCTACAGGCATGCTCCACCATGTCCAGCTAATTTTTATATTTTTAGCCGAGACAGGGTTTCACCATTGTTGGCCAGGCTGGTCTTGAACTCCTGACCTCAAGTGATCCACCCAACTTGGCCTCCCAAAGTGCTAGGATTATAAGCGTGAGCCACCACGCCCGGCCAATACTATTATTTTTACCGATGACCATTACCTATTACTCGTGTGGTTTCTATGGATCATCACATGTTTGTTAGTTCACTGGCTGGGTTCAATATGTGAAGCTCATACCCACATGAATCTTGGAGAAACAAATCTAAATCTTTTGAACGTGGAAACACTGTTTTGTACAGTGTTTCTCTAACAGTGTTCCTCATCCTTGGTGAGGAACAATCACATGGGATGGTTGTTAAAAATCGAATTCCTAGGCCACATCCTGGATCCACCAAACACAATCTTTTGGAAAGGAGCCTGGAAAGTTGTATACTAAACAGTTACTACAAATGATTTTTATCAGGTACGTTTGAGAAAGCAGTAGCCTACAACAACAGTCTTCAACTATTAGCTCAAGAAACCACAATTTAAACAAGTACTCCTGGTGGTTCACATTGGGACAGGTCCTTAAATTTGATCATTTTTGACTAAGTACCCACCATGGGGCAACTCCTCTTGGTTAGACTATACACTTGTTCTAATTTAATGGTAATGTTCCTTATACAAAAGGAAGACACAATAACCTCCATCAAATACCTCATAAATGTTTTTACCAATGGTAATGTGCCCATCAACAGGGAATCAGATTGAAGTCCTGGCTTCAAAGTGGAGATGGCAGCCAAACTGGCCTAAAGTTTGGAGAAAGTACAAACTTATCTCCAATCTGTGCCAACTTTCTGAGATAATGGGTAGAGTGAATAACTTAAGACTGTAAAGGAAAAACCCTTCCTCTTCAGTAATTTAACTGGAATTAACCCGGCCATGCTCCTTATGAAACCTCAAAAGGCTAAGAAATGATCACTGCAGGACTCCTTCAGTAGGGGAGAACAATGTCAGAATGACGGGGAGGGCTATCTCATTGAGATTCAAACAAGGTAAACATCTAGATATGGTTGAGAGAGACAACTGTTTGGACAGCAATAAGAAGTGAGGAAAAGCTAGCTATTTAGAGATGGTTATGTACACATCAGAAGTTACTTCTGGCTGGGCGCGGTGGCTCACACCTGTAATCCCAGCACTTTGGGAGGCCGAGGCGGGCGGATCACTGAAACTGCTGTTCAAGACCAGCCTGGCCAACATGGTAAAATCTGTCTCTACTAAAAATACACACAAAAAGTTAGCTGGGTGTGCTAGTGCACACCTGTAGTCCCAACTACTCAGGAGGTGGAGGTAGCACTGAGCCGAGACTGTGCCACTGCACTCCAGTCTGGGTGACAAAGTGAGACTCTGCCTCAAACAAACAAACAAACAAAAACTTACTTCTCACTTCAGCTACTAATTACTGGAAACAAGACACAGCTGGAATCCCCAACCTTCTTCTTGAATAACATGGTCCTTAGGGCTAGGATCCATGCTTACCATACTTCTACCCTTTCCCTGCCAACAACAGAACACTTACATATTTTTTACTGTCTCCTTTGGTCTTCTTCGAAGAAAACCAAAAGGGAGACACAGAAAAACTGTTGACTCGCCCTTTAAGCTGGTTCTGCGTAACTCTTTCCCTTTATTTTCCCTTATTATTAGGTGAAGAATACACATTCATAGTATATGTAACTATGTAATTGTAATGGTCTGTTTTAAAAAATGGTAGTGTTTCTGTTTCTGAAACAGTTTGCAGGGTAGTTTAGACGGGGAAATTTCGGTCCATTACAGCTGGAAGACATTAGTCTACTAGGTAATGATTTGTAGTGGTGGCATTCTAGTGGTAGTGAAATAGGAAAACATGGTCATCAAAACCCGTCCTCAGTATAACCATTCTACTAGAACTGAAACACGCTACATACACTTCAGCTAACAATTGATCAAACGCATACTGAGACTGTAGTACAATGAGATAAAATGAGGCCACAATGAAAGCAAGAAGTGTATTTAATGATGCTATACAGCAAAATGTCAGATAATGTACCATATCCGTTTAAGTTTGGAAAATAGGGCAAGTAAACCTGAATGCACAGGGACTTTGCAATGGACTTCCAGGTTGTTTGAGTCTTCTGGGTTGTGGTGAGATCTACAAATGGATAGAGCTGCAGATCTAAGAACCCCATGACTAGTACAAAAGAGACTGGATTCTTTAATAAAGCTGAAGGTCATGCAGTGTCTGACTTACAGACAAATATGAGTGTAATACTGACTGAAAGCCCATTCTCTTTTTGCAACAGGACTCTACCTACACATGATCCCTAGGTTATTCTGCATGAGACCATTTTCAAGAAACCAGAGCTGTTTTGGTAATGTAAGTAGTTATCTCTCCCCAGTCTGTCTGATAATTTGGCTTTCACACACCAGCTCTGCAGCAAGTGAAAGTCGTCTGTATTATGCCACTGTGGGGACCAGATAATTAACTTTTACCATGTTTTACTAATCAAAAGTAAAAGTTCCATTTAAGCCCCAATATTTTACCTGTTCCAGGAATGCTGTTTGCCTTTCCAAACTTACACAAATATTTTCATTAATTTGCTCTGAAGTTTTCATGCGTTTAACATTTTCCTCGTTTTCTGAAAACATCCTCTTCTTTTGATAATGGCCTTGAGGAGATCAAAAGATTAGAAAGAAAGATATTTTAAAGAAAAAAACAGGTTCAGTGTGGTGGCTCATGTCTGTAATCCCAGCACTCTGGGAGGCTAAGGAGGGAGGGTGGCTTAAGGCCAGGAGTTCAAGACCAGCCTGGGCAACATAGTGAAAATTCATCTCCACAAAAAATTTAAAATTAGCTGGGTATGGTGGGGCATGCCCGTAGTCTCAGCTACTCAGGAGGTTGAGGTGAGAGGATTGCTTGAGGCTGGGAGGTTGAGGTGGCAGTGAGCACCTTGACTACTGCACTCTAGCCTGGGCAACACAGTGAGACCCTGTTTCAAGGAGGAAAAAAGAGAAGGAAATAGGAATTCTCTAATTTAGAGACCCTCTGAGCAAATGGAAAAACTAAAATGTGACACTGCAGCATTTTTTAGAACATTCAATTGCATAAATACGTACCCACAAACTAACCTTGAAAAAAAATGAGTTATCTTAGGTAGGGTTCTGGTCTCAGATACTCTGTCCCTTTAATCTTACTTAATAACTCAATACACATATACGAACAAAAACTTAACAAATTATGGCATTTAATTCTCTATTTATAGTGACTTAAGTGGTTCTACGTTATTTTATATAAAGGTACTCTTTTTTCATTTTGAGAAGGAGTCTCACTCTTGTCGCCCAGGCAAGAGTGAAGTGGCACGATCTTGGCTCAGTGCAACTTCCGCCCCCCAGGTTCAAGCAATTCTCCTGTCTCAGTCTCCCAAGTAGCTGCGATAATAATAATAGGTGCCCACCACCACGCCTGGCTAATTTTTTTTGTATTTTTAGTAGAGACGGGGTTTCGCCATGTTGGCCAGGCTGGTCTTGAACTCCTGACCTCAGGTGATCCACCTGCCTCAACCTTCCAAAGTGCTGGGATTGTATTCGTTAGGCACAGCGCCCGGCTTCTTTTTTTTTCTTTAAGAGACAGGGTCTTGGATCTGTTGCCCAGGCTAGCCTGGATGGCTCAAGCGATCCTCCTGCCTCGGCCTCCCAAAGTGCTGTTAATTACAGGCATGAGCCACCACACCCAGCCTATTATACATATTTGAAATAGATGATACTGTTATTATTTTTAAGGAATTTTAAATTCATCTTGTTAAATGACCATTCTGTAGTCTAGACAAGAACACAAAATTTATAGCATTAAATCAGTTTTTTTCTATTTCATTAACAAAATACCCTACTTCAAATGAAATTCACTTTTGCTATTTTAATGATGTTATAACCCAAGGACTTCATTTATTATTTGGGGTGCTTCTCTTTCTCTACACACACATATACACATGTGTGAATATATTATCTATCATACTTAGCATGTGATTTACAGGTCAATTCTATAGAAAGAAATAGGGTTGGCTGGGCACAGTGGCTCACGCCTGTAATCCCAGCACTTTGGGAGGCCAAGGCGGGTGGATCACGAGGTCAGGAGTTCGAGACCAGCATGACCAACATGGTGAAACCCTGTTTCTACTAAAAATACAAAAAAAAAAAAAAAAAAAATTAGCCGGGCGTAGTGGTGCCCATCTGTAATCCCACCTACTCAGGAGGCTGAGGCAGGCAAATCACTCGAACCCAGGAGGTGGGGGTTGCAGTGAGCCAAGATCGCGCCACTGCACTCCAGCCTGAGCGACAGAGCGAGACTCCGTCTCAAAAAAAAAAAAAAAAAAAAAGAAATAGGGTTACCAACAATTTTTAAAACTCACTCTTTCAACTAGCCTCCTTCTTAATCTAATAAAACTTCAAAATAAGAAGAGATGTATATGAAATGAACCAAATAATTGCTATAAACCACCTTTTGATATTTTGTACTTAAGGAAAAGTGATTGATTCCTTCTTTGCAATAATTACCCTTTTAATATGGTGGATACCTGTCCCCCACCTCACTAAGAATGGTTCAGAAACAAGATACTGTGAAATAATTGTCATCATTTACCTTTTTTCTGTCTATACTGGTTTGTATATTTGAGACTTTAAAATACCCTAAAGAAAAGTGACTATTTTAATTTTTCTAAAAGGTGCATAAGTATATACTTACTGTTGTTATTAGTGTCAAGTGATGACTGCCATGTTGAGTCTGCACTTTCACAATTTGAAATACTGGTTCTACTACACTCATCAGTTTTCAAAATGTCATCAGCACAGTTGTTAGAAGTGACTGAATTCACCAAATTAGGTGTTTTCTCAACAGGCACAAAACCTGAGTCTTCTGAACATAAAATGTTGTCACTTTGCCTTTTATCATGTGATTCTGAATTGGAGTTTGTTTCTAAATGGAAAACCATCTGGTCAGTTTTCTTGTCACCCACGGTACTGGTTACTGTAGACTCTGGCATCTGAACAACACCACTCAATACACTGGGTGGACAGCAACTGGACTTTAGACTACAAGCCCCCTCATGCTCAAAAAGGGATCTTGTTACATTTGTCTGATGCTCAGAATCGTTTTCAGAAGTGTTCAGTGAATCTTTTGCCTCTTCTGTGAAGACTCTGCTGGGGGATTCTGTTGTTCTACTTGGCTTTTGGTACGAACAAACAACTTGTTCCAATTTTGTTTCTGAATGAACAATTTCTTCTACTGGTTTTATGCAATTCTGAGAGAATACTTTACTTTTCTCTGATATTGAATTTTTATTAGAGTCCAATGAGGATGCACCATTTTCAGAAGGGCTACATTTGGTTATTTCAGTCGTCCTAGTTATGACACTAGGACTGAAACTCTGATTACCGCTTGGAACATTACTCCCAATTGCTGTTTTCAGCGCTTCAACATTCCTTGACTTATTCAGCATCTCTACTTGCTTCCGGCAACTTAGGGGCATTGTCTTTTTGGCTTTTAATATCTTCCGTTTACTTCTATCTGGACTTGCCATCTTTCATATCCTGGAATTTAAGACATCATATTTAAATGCATTTCTCTAGTGAATAAAAGTTATTTACTACTGAATTAAAGTTATTTATTTACAATATTAAAATAACATTGACACTGTCTCTCCATATTTAGATAATCACCTTACTGAAAATCATATCCATTTTCATGACACTGAAAACATAAAAATCTTTTCTATTGTTTCTATAAATCTAAACTACATAAATTCAAAATCTGTATTGCTAGTAAGCCTCTACCTGATAGTTTTATCTAGCCACTTCTTGTTATATCACCTCAGTGCTATAACCATTCACTATTTTTTTATCCAGGTAAGTCATAGTTTAAATAATCTAAACATTAAATTGCACTTATTCATAAAAACAAAAAAAAGTTTTTATAAAACATTCCATTTTCTATACATAATGGCATCTGTTTAAGCTTTCCTAATGTTCAAGTTTCTAAAATAAATGTGGCCAGGTGTCGTGGCTCATGCCTGTAATCCCAGCAGTTTGGGAGGCCGAGTTGGAAGGATTATTTGCAGTAAGGGGTTCGAGACCAGCTTGGTCAACGTGGTGAAACCCTGTCTCTACTAAAAGTACAAAAATTAGCCAGGCATGGTGGCATGCACCTGTAATCCCAAGCTACTCGGCAGGCTGAAGCACAAGAATCACTCGAACCCGGGAGGTGGAGGTTGCAGTGAGCCAACATCGCGCCACTGTACTCCAGCTTGGGCAACAGAGTGAGACAGTCTAAAAATAAAATAAAATAAAATAAAAATAAAATAAAATAAAACAAAATAAAAATAAAATAAATGAAGTAAAATAAATAAAATAAAAATTAAATTAAATTAAAATAAAATAAAATAATAAAATAAAATAAATAAAATAAAATAAATAAAATAAAATAAAATAAAATAAAATAAAATAAAACCAGCACTAAGATACATAACATTCCAGCTTAAATAAATAAGCCAACTAACCTGGTAGGGTGGCTCACGCCTGTAATCCTAGCACTTTGGGAGGCCGAGGCAGGTGGATCACCTGAGGTCAGGAGTTCAGGCCAGCCTGGCCAACAGGGCAAAACGCCATCTCTATTAAAAATACAAAAACTAGCCAGGCATGCTGGCACATGCCTGTAATCCCAGCTTCTGGGAGGCCGAGGCAAGCGAATCACTTGAACTCAGGAGGCAGAGGTTGCAGTGAGCCGAGATCGTGCCATTGTACTCCAGCCTGGATGACAGAGCGAGACTCTGTCTTAAAACAAACACACAAACAAACCTGATATATATACTAAATAAATCCAAAAAACAGCACAATACTCTTCATTAATTAAGACCCTAATATGCCTATACAATTCTATTTTTCCTATAGGACTGTGTATTATATGATTGTCTCTTCATGAATACAATTTTTGTATTATTTTCCAAAGAAAATGAACAAATCAAATCTTTCCTCTAGCATGGTTTTATGATGTATTTGCTAAAAGTGATAATCATGATGCATAAAATTAGCAGCTTTGCCTGAAGACACTGCTACAGTTTTGTGTCCTACAAATAAAAACATTCTTATATTATTTTAAAGGGAGAATTCAACCAGGTGTGGCACATACCTGTGGTCTCAGCTATTCAGGAGGCTGATGCAAAAGGTTCACTTGAGCCCAGGAATTAGACACTGCCGTGATCTGTGATTGCACCACTGCACTCCAGCAAGGGTGACAGAGTGAGACCGTGTCTCAAAGAAAAAAAAAAAGCAGGATTCCTATCAAAAAAAGAAAATAAATATATGGTGAATTTATAATTGAATGTGCTATGTTATTTTTGACAGGAGAAAAGTGCTGTTTTGACTGGAAATTGATGAGAACGAAATCCTACACTTAAAATTTTAAACATCAGATAATTGGGAATTTTTTCCTGATTACCTTCTGGTTCCATAATTTGCACTTTGGCTTCTCTAATACTCACATATTACAGGTGCCAGGCACCAGAGACCACATTCCCAACACAATCAGGCTGACAGGCTATAATTACCTACATCCAGAAATGACTCTGAATCACAAACACATCCCACTAAACACAAATAAATCCCCCAATCACAAAATGCCTGAAACCACTCTACTGCCAGCTGACACAAAGAAGAAATCAAGGTGAAGAGAGACAGGGGTCTTAAATGACTATACTTAAAATATCTTACTATTGTAAATCTGATGAAAACATCCAACCACGTGAACATATTGTTACTATGGCCCTTCTAAGGGCCTTTGGAAAAGGCCCAAATTAGTAAAACGTGCTGAAATTTAAGCTCTGGAGTAAAAAAATGCCTCTACATTTGATGCATACAAAAGACTTGTAATATGTGTTAATTACAAAGTATAATAAAGTGAACATCTTTGAAACACCTGCAACAAATAAGTAGAATACTATCAGTAACCTGCATTTACTTATGTTTCTCCAAACTATGCCCCTTGCACCTCTTCTCCATCCTGATGATGTATCCTAAACTTAGTTTATAATTCTATTACTTTTTCTACAGTTTCATCATAAATGTCATATGTAAACAAATATACTGTTTAATTTTGTTGTTGAGCAAACTATAGCTAATACTTGTTTTTTCAGTTATGTATATGTACAAAATTCATCCATGTGCTTACGTATAGCAATAATTCGTGTTCTTCTTTGCACTGTAATAATTCTTTGGGTAGATATACCAAAATTTGTTTATCTGATCATTTGTGAAAGATCTTTGGGTCACCTCCAGTTCCTTTTTTTTTTTTTTTGAGACAGGGTCTTGCTGCTCTGTTACCCAGGCTGGAGTGCAGCATGGCTCATGGCAGCTTCAGCCTCCCAGGCTCAAGCTATCCTCCCACCTCAGCCTCCTAAGAGGCTGGGATTACAGGCATGCACCACCACAACTGGCTAATTTGTAAAAAAAATTCTGTGGATATTGGGTCTTACTATGTTGCCCACGCTAGTCTGAAACTCCTGGGCTGAAGTGATCCTCATGCCTTAGCCTCCCAAAGTGCTGGGATTACATTTCCAGTTCTTGTTGATGTTCTGACACAACAATGCTATTCTGATTATTTCTGTCTCAAGGGGCTTATGTGTAAGCATTTCCTGAGTGAATTTCTAGATACTGAAAAGGTATCCATGTTCAACTTTTCAAGAAAACCAAATTATTTCCTGGAGCAGTTTTACCAGTTTGCATCCATACAGTCAATACGTAAGAGTTACCACTGAGCCACATCCTCTTGAACCCTTGGTATTGCCAGATTTGATTTTAGCCAATCTACTTGGATAAAGAATTAGCTCTCATTGTCTTAATTTGGGTTTCCCTAATTACTATCATCTTTTCCTATGTTTATTAGCTATGTTTACTTGTCTGTAAAAATTCCTGGTTATTTCCTGCTCATGACTTCTTGGGGTGTCTTTCCTCTTTCATTTTCAAAGCATACTTAACATATTATAAACCATATTCCGGCCAGGTGCAGTGGCTCAAGCCTGTAATCCCAGCACTCTGGAAGGCTGAGGCGAACGGATCACCTGAGGCCAGGAGTTCGAGACCACCCTGGCCAAAAGGGTGAAACCCTGTCTGTACTAAAAACTACAAAAATTTGCTGGGTGTGGTGGCACACGTCTGTATTCCCGGCTACTTGGGAGGACAAGGTAAGAGAATCGCTTGAACCCGGGAGATGGAGGTTGCAGTGAGCCGAGATCACACCACTGTACTTCAGCCTGGACAACAGAGTGGGACACTGTCTTAAAAAAAAACAACAACAAAAAAAAACCAAAAACCAAAAACATATTCCTTGTCAATCCTTTGTTATATGAGTTACAGGTATCTTATTAGGCTCTTCCTAATTTTAATATAGTCAAGTTAAATAATTTTTTTTCTTTTATGGTTAAAGTTTGATCTCTCTTCCTTGTGACATCCTTCTCTACTCCATGTTGTGTGAAATAGTGAAGCCTACTGGTGGTAAAGAAGCCTTTCACTGATGTAAGTTATTTAAGGACACGGTGCTATACCATGGCTGTGCAATTATTACAATATATAGTAAGAATGCAGAGTGCCAGCTCAGAGTAAATTTGTTAAACTTCATGAAAAACATGAACTAAATGGTCATTAACATTACACACTTCATAACTGGTTAAACTTCCGGCTCTGAGGAGAGGTATTTCACCTGGAAAATGTCTGCATGAGAATGCTTAGGGGAGACAAGTAAAACTGCTGATAAAAGGTGCAAGTAAGTTAAATATTTCTAACTATATAGTTTGCCTATCATAGAACCCGTTCAGTGAAGTTGAATTCATTGCTGAGAATAAAAAGCCACCCAAACTAATTGGGGATCCCTACCAACACCAGAACTCCTCTCTTTAGCCAATTTGAATTATTTGCTGTCACATAAGCCACAACTCACAGATCTTTGAGATGGTAATACTGTCCTGTAACACATGCTGCAAAAGATGAAATTACATTTTCTCAAGTTTTAATTATATTTTCTCAAGTCATTTATAATTTAAGTCCTTAATCCATCTAGAATTTATTTTAGCACATAGAAAGAGGAAAGGACCTATTTTCATTTTTCCCTCAGATGCATAATTGCTTGGCTGTATCCTCACTGTTAACTTCATTTTGAAATAATAAAATTATCTAATCTGTACTTTTAATGTTTTATGATGATGTAAATCCCACTGAATATAATGTTGTCCATCCTTTACCTTTAACTTTTTTTTTTTTTGAGATGGAGTTTCACTCTTGTTGCCCAGGCTGGGGTGCAATGGCATGATCTCAGCTCATCGCAACCTCTGCCTCCCAGGTTCAAGTGATTCTCCTGCCTCAGCCTCACGAACAGCTGGGATTATAGGCGTGTGGCACCAGGCCTGGCTAATTTTGTATTTTTAATAGAGATGGGGTTCCTCAGTGTTGGTCAGGCTGGTCTCAAACTCCCAACCTCAGGTGATGTGCCCACCTCGGCCTCCCAAAGTGCTGGGATTACAGATGTGAGCCACCACACCCGGCCTACTTTTAACATTTTTGTATCAATTTATGTTTCCTGTAATACATAAATATTTTCACCTAATGAATTTGTCTTTCAACAGAATTTAATCCATTTAGTTATACATGCCATATTAAAGCCTTAATTTACATTATTTACATTATTGCTTCTATATTATTTAATATTAAGGTGTCATTAATTTTTTTTTTTAAGATCTGAATCTGCTTCACAATTGCATGGAATTGAATACCTTTAAAGATTTCCAGCTGGGCACAGTGGCTCACGCCTGTGTAATGCCAGCAGTTTAGGAGGCTGAGGCGGGTGGATCACTTGAGGTCAGGAGTTCAAGACCAGCCTGGCCAACGTGGTGAAACCCCGTTTCTACTAAAAGTACAAAAAAAAAAAAAAAACTAGCCAGGCATGGTGGTAGGCACCTGTAAACCCAGCTACTCAGGAGGCTGAGGTGGGATAATCGCTTGAACCCGGGAGGCAGAGGGTGCCGTGAGCCGAGATTGAGCCATTGCACGCTAGCCTGGTCAACAGGAGTGAAACTCTGTCTCAAAAAAAAAAAAAAAAAAAAATCTGATATAAACATTCATGTACAAGTTTTTATGTGGACATAATGTTTTCATGTTTCTTTGTTCTATATACCTAGCAGTAGAATTATTTGGTCATGTGGTAACTCTAGATTTAACCTTCTGAGGAACTACCAGACTGTTTCCCAAAATGGCCGGAACAACTTACATTCACACCAGCAGTGGATGAGAGTTCCAATTTTAACATCTTTTCACCAACACTTCTTATCTGTTTGTCTTAGTATAGTCATCCTGTTTCAACTGATGTAGTGCCTTATTGCCATTTTGATTTGTATTTACCTGACGGCTAATGATGTTGAGAATCTTTTCATGTACTTCTTGGAGGCTTGTGCATCTTCTTTGGATAAATGTCTATGCAGATTCTTTGAGAATTTAAAAACTGTGTTATTTGCGTTTTTATTACTGGCTTGTAAGAGTTCCTTATATATTTTAGATTAAGTCCCTTATAAGATACAATTTACAAACTTTCCCTCGCATTATATGGATTGTCTTTCCCATTCCTTGATGGTATGCTTTGAAAACAGTGTAAAATTTTCATAAAGCATAATTTCTAAAGATTTAAAAACACATTTACGTGTGTTTTTAGCAAGTATATCACAGCCTAATCCAAGGTCCTAAGAATTTTAAAGTTTTATAAGTGCTTATATTTAGGTTTTTGATCCATTTTCAGTTAAGTTTTGCTTATGGTGAGAGATAGGGGTCTGTTGGGAACAGGACCCCAAATCTAGCCATAAACAGACCCCAAAACTGGCCATAAACAAAATCTCTGCAGCAGTGTGACAGGCTCGTGATGGCTATGATGCCCACGCTGAAGGTTGTTGGTTTACCAGAATTAGGGCAAGGGAACACCTCGCCCACCCAGGGCAGAAAACCCCTTAAGGCATTCCAGAACTGCAAACAATAGCATGAGTGATCTGTGCCTTAAAGACATGTTCCTGCTGCAGATAACTAGCCAGAGCCCATCCTTTTGTTTCCCGATTTAAACTATAATCTATAGAAACAATGCTTATCACTGGCTTGCTATCAATAAATATGTGGGTAAAACTCTTCGTGGCTCTCAGCTATGAAGGCTATCAGCCCCGATTCCTGCTCCACACTCTATATTTCTATGCGTGTGCCGGAACAATGACTGGAGAACATGGAACTACGCTGGAGGACACCCGAGTACTCTTAAGCAATCCCTGTGGTAAGAAGGGGAGCTCGGAAGCATCAGGGTAACAATGGGACAAGTATGGGCTCTGGCTCGTTCCACCTTGGAACCTTTTCACACTGATGAGGAGGAGGAAGGAGGGTGTAATGAAGTAACATAAGAGGTAACAGAGCAGGTTTGTCGGCCAGCTAAAGCTAAAGTGGCAAAGGAGGGAGAGGTTTGTCCCTACCCTTCTGCACCCCCTCATTATTTTGAAGAAAAAGAGTGGCCTGACCCTCCAGATCTTTTTCCAGAGGACAGTGGGTGAAAAGTAGATGCCCCAGTAACTGTTTGGGCAGTGCCTTGAGCGACCGCTCTCAGTTCTTTTCAGGCAGGAATTCAGCAAGCTAGACGAGAGGGTGATATAGAGGCTTGGCAGTTCCCTGTCAGAATACACCACCCATATCAACAGGGAAATATCATAGCTACGTTTGAGCCTTTTCCTTTTAAAATACTTAAAGAATGTAAACAAGCTATAAATCATTATAGACCAGGTTCTCCTTTTGTAACAGGACTGTTCAAGAATGTTGCTGTCTCCAGCCAGATGATGCCAGCATTACTTCTAGGTAGGTCTAGTTTAAATAAATTTATTTATTTATTTATTTATTTGATGGAGTCTCACTCTGTCACCCAGGCTGGAGTGCAGTGGTGTGGTCTCGGCTCACTGCCAGCTCCGCCTCCCAGGCTCACGCCATTCTCCTGCCTCAGCCTCCTGAGTAGATGGGACTACAGGTGCCCGCCACCACGCCTGGCTAATTTTTTGTATTTTTAGTAGAGACGAAGTTCCACCATGTTAGCCAGGATGGTCTTGATCTCCTGACCTCGTGATCTGCCTGCCTCGGCCTCCCAAAGTGCTGGGATTACAGGCGTGAGCCACTGCACCTGGCCTCTAGTTTAAATTTAAAAGGAATGCAAGTACATACAGGAGTCATTAATTCAGATTACAATGGGGAAATTCAAATTGCAGTATCTACTTCTGTTCCCTGGAAAGCAGAGCCAGGAGCGTGTATAGCGCAGCTCCTGATTGTGCCATATGTGGAAATGGGGAAAAGTGAAACTAAACGAACAGGAGGATTTGGAAGCACAAATAAACAAGGCAAAGCAGCTTATTGGGGGAATCAAATTACTGATAAATGTCCTATCTGTGAAATAACTGTTCAGGGAAAGAAATTTAAAAGTTTGGTAGATACAGGAACAGACATTTCATTCATTTCTCTACAGCACTGGCTGTCCTCATGGCCAATTCAACCTGCTCAATTTAACATAGCTGAAGTTCGTAAAGCCCCTGAAGTATATCAAAATAGTTATATCTTGCATTGTGAAGGGCCTGATGGGACAACCTGGGACTATTCAACCAATTGTAACTTCTATACCTATAAATTTATGGGGGAGAGATTTATTACAACAATGAGGAGAACAAGTTCTAATTCCAGAGCAATTATACAGCCCTCAAAGTCAACATATGATGCATGAAACGGGGTATGTCCCTGGTATGGGGCTAGGAAAAAATTTGCAAAGTTTGAAGGAACTGCTTCAAGTGGAAAGACAAAGTCCCGCCAAGGTTTAGGATATCATTTTTGATGGTGGCCATTGTTAAGCCTCCAGAACCTATACCTTTAAAATGGTTAACAGATAAGCCAATTTGGATAGAACAATGGCTGCTGAGCAAAGAGAAACTGGAGGCTTTAGAGGACTTAGTTACTGAACAATTAGAAAAAGGACACATAGCTCCAACATTTTCCCCTTGGAATTCTCCAGTTTTCGTAATTAAGACAAAATCAGGTAAATGGATAATGTTAACTGACTTAAGGGCCATTAATTCAGTTATACAACCTATGGGGGCATTGCAGCCAGGACTGCCTTCTCCTGCTATGATTCTGAAAAATTGGCCTTTAATAGTCATAGATTTAAAAGACTGTTTCTTTACTAACCCCTTAGCTGAGCAAGACTGTGAATGGCTTGTATTTACAATTCCTGCGGTAAACAACCTGCAGCCTGCTAAGCATTTTCACTGGAAAGTGTTGCCACAAGGCATGCTAAACAGTCCAACAATTTGCCAGACGTATGTAGGGCAAGCAATTGAATCTACTCGTAAAAAATGTCCACAGTGTTACATTATTCATCATATGGATGATATACTTTGTGCTGCCCCACTAGAGAATTATTACTCCAATCTTATGATCACTTGCAAATTTTGATTTCTTGTGCTGGTTTAATCATAGCTCCTGACAAAATTCAGACTACTACTCCTTACTCCTACTTGGGGACCTTAGTAAATGATACTACCATTGTGCCACAGAAAGCAACCATACGTAGGGATCAATTGAAAACATTAAGTGACTTTCAAAAATTACTAGGGGACATAAATTGGATACAACCTGCTGTAGGCATTCCTACCTATGCCACGAGTGATCTATTTTCTATCCTTAGAGGAGATCCTAGTCGCAATAGCCCTCAGCAATTAACAAAGGAGGTGGAGGCAGAGTTCCAGCTAATTGAGAAGCAAGTGCATAAGGCTCAAATAAGTAGAAAAGATCCAGAGAAGACTCTAGATTTCTAATTTTTTTCAACTCAGATTCACCTACTGGTGTTATTGTTCAAGAGCAAGATCTTGTACAGTGGCTTTTCTTCCACATACTAATTCACGGACTCTAACTCCTTATTTAGATCAAATTGCTACTGTGATAGGAAATCAGAGAACTCAGATTGTTAAATTACATGGATATGATCCTGGAAAAATTGTCCCTCTCACAAAGGCACAAATACAGCAAGCTTTTATAAATAGTCTTACTTGGCAAACTCATTTAGCTGACTTTGTGGATATTCTCAATAACCATTTTCCTAAAACAAAACTGTTTCAATTTTTGAAATTAACTAATTGGATTCTCCCTAAAATAACTAAATTTTAACCAACTGAAGGTGCTGAAAATGTCTTCACAGGTGGGTCTAGTAATGGTAAAGCTTCTTATTCTGGCTTGAAAGGTAAAGTATTTCAGATGCCCTATACTTCAGCTCAAAAAGCAGAGCTTGTAGCTGTAATTGAGGTATTGACTGCCTTCGATATGCCTATTAATGTGATTTCTGATTCTTCATAGGTGGTTCATTCCACACAATTAATTGAAAATGCTCAGTTACGATTTCACACAGATGAACAACTGATTATTTTCCCAATTGCAAACAGCAGTTAGGAGTAGAATGCACCCTTTTACATCATTTACATTAGGACTCACACACCTCTTCCAGGACCTTGGACTGCAGGGAATCAAATGGCTGATCACCTAGTTGCTACTGCAGTATCTAAGACAGACACTTTCACAATTTAACCCATGTTAATGCCTCTGGTCTCAAACGCAGGTATAGCATTACCTGGAAAGAAGCTAAAGCTATTATCCAGCGATGCCCAACTTGCCAAATGGTGCATTCCTCATCTTTTATAGGAGGAGTTAATCCTCGCAGATTAGAACCTAATTCTCTTTGGCAAATGGATGTCACCCATGTTCCCTCGTTTGGGAGACTAGCTTATGTTCATGTATGTGTAGATACCTTTTCTCATTTTGTCTGGGCTACATGCCAATCAGGACAGTCTTCTGCCTGTGTTAAACATCATCTTTTGCAGTATTTTGCGGTGATGGGCATTCCAGCATCTATTAAAATGGACAATGCCCCAGGCTATATATACTAACCAAGCTCTAGCTACATTTTTCTCTGTATGGAATATTAAACACATTACTGGCATCCCATGTAATTCTCAAGGACAACCCATTGTGGAATGAATGAATCTCTCCCCGAAACAGCCGTTGCAAAAGCAAAAGGAGGGAAACAGAGACTACAGGACATCATGAATATGCAACTGAATCTAGCATTACTGACTTTACATTTTTTGAGCCTGCCTAAAGGCCAGATGCTATCAGCAGCTGAACAGCATCTACAGAAACCAGCTGCAAAGGCAGAAGCAGAACAACTGGTTTGGTGGAGAGATGCAATAACAAAAATTGGGAAACAGGTAAAATAATAATTTGGGGTAGAGGTTATGCTTGTGTTTTGCCAGGACTGAATCAACAGCCAATTTGGGTGCCACTGAGATACCTAAAGCCTTACTATGAGCCAGATACTCCGGAAGAGGTTTTGGGAGGATTCCAAACACACACCAGTTGCAGCCATGTTGAGACTGACACTGAGGAGGACCCCAACTGTCACGAGCAACACCTGTCGAATGCAGCCACCTACCTGGGGACAGATCAAGAAGCTGTCACAGACGGCGGAAGAAAACCTGAGGAAAGCGGAACAACCAATCACAATGAGTAATTTAATGATAGCTATGATAGCAGTGATCACCATTGCCATGAGTATTCCTTTAGCAAGGGCTGACACAGAGAACAATTATACTTATTGGGTATATTTACCTTTTCCACCACTTCTATGGCCTGTAACTTGGCTGGACCCCCCAGTGGAGGTATACACTAATGATAGCTCTTGGATGCTCGGTCCTACAGATAATAGAGGCCCGTCTCACCCACATGAGGAAGGAACTGTTAGGAATATTTCTTTAGGATTTGAACATTCACCTATCTGTTTGGGAAAGGTCACCAGTTGCCTACCCCCTCACTATCAATCTTGGCTGGCAATAATGCCTGGATGTAATCATTCTATGACACAGTTACACATGCTTTCTGGTCTCACTATTTACCATAATAAATCTGCTCCTATAATTGAGGCATACTGCCATCAAAAACCTGTTTGTAAACAGAATTGGACCTGGCCCGAAAAAATGAACGTACTTGTTTGGGAAGATTGCACTGCAGAACAGGCAGAGGTGCTGCGCAACGATTCCCATGGAATCATTATTGATTGGTCCCCTAAGGGGATGTTTAGCACAAATTGTACCTCTCAGTCTGCGTGCCATGGCCACACTATGTTCAGTTGGTCTGAACAAAACGGTCAGATGGTAGAAATGGTAAGAAGTATGGCAAGAGTTCCTATTATCTGGAAACACGGCAGTATAGTGGCACCTCAACCTCAAATGATATGGCCCGCTCTAGGAGCTAAACATAAGGATTTGTGGAAACTATTAACGGCTCTTAATAAGATCAAAATTTGGGACAGAATAAAAAAGCATCTAGAAGGGCACTCTACAAACTTGTCGTTGGACATTGCAAAATTAAAAGAACAAATATTTAAAGCATCCCAGGCACACCTGACCTTAATGCCAGGAACTGGAGTGCTTGAAGGAGCTGCAGACAGATTAGCAGCTATTAACCCATTAAAATGGATAAAAACACTTGGAGGCTCTGTGATTTCAATGATGATTGCACTTTTAATCTGTGTTGTCTTTGTATAGTCTGCAGATGTGGATCCTGACTCCTGCAAGAAGTAGCTCACCGTGATAAAGCCGCCTTTGCTTCTATCGTCTTGCAAAAACAAAAAAGGGGGACATGTTGGGAACAGGCCCCCAAATCTGGCCATCAACAGGCCCCAAAACTGGCCATAAACAAAATCTCTGCAGCAGTGTGACATGCTTGTGATAGCTATGATGCCCACGCTGAAGGTTGTTGGTTTACCAGAATGAGGGCAAGGAACACCTGGCCCACCTGGGGTGGAAAACCGCTTAAGGCGTTCCTGAACCACAAACAATAGCATGAGTGTCTGTGCCTTAAGGACATATACCTGCTGCAGATAACTAGCCAGAGCCCATCCCTTTGTTTCCCATTTTAGTTAATCTATACTCTATAGAAACAATGCTTACCACTGGCTTGCTGTCAATGAATATGTGGGTAAAACTCTGTTTGTGGCTTTCAGCTTTGAAGGCTGTCAGCCCCCTGATTCCCACTCCGCACTCTATATTTCTGTGTGTGTGTCTTTAATTCCTCTAGTGCCACTGGGTTAGGGTCTCCACGACCGACGTGGACATCCAATTGTTCCAGCACAATTTTAAAACACCATTACTTACCTTTTTTATGACACCCTCATAAAAAACAAATTGACTTTAAATGAGAAGGTGTATTTCTGGGTTCACGATTCTATTCCATTTGTGTATAGGTCTGTACCACATTATCTTGATTACTGTCATTTGTGAGAAGTTTGGAATTCAGGATGTGTTAAGTCCTCCAACTTTGTTATTCTTGGAGAAGACTGTTTTGGCTATTGTGGGTCCCTTGAATTTCCATATAAATTTTAGGACCAGATTATCAATTTCTGTCTAGTATGAGTGTGGTGTTGTTCCCTACCATTATTGTTCAGCTATCTATCTCTTTCTTTAACTATAGTAATATTTAATGAATCTGGGTGGCCCAGTGTTCAGTGCATGCATATTTAGGATTGTTATATCCTCTTGTTGAATTGATCCCTTTATCATTAAATAATGATCATGTTTGTCTTTCTTTACTGCTTTTGATTTAAAGCTAATTGTATGTGAGATATGTCTAGCTGCTCCTGCTCAATTTTGGTTTCCATTGCACAGAATATCTTTTTCTACCCCTTCAACTTGAGTCTAAATGTGTCTTACCATGTAAGACACATTTCTGGTAAGCAGCATATACGTGGTTGATGGGTTTTGAAAATCCATTCCATCAACCTCTCTTTTCAGTGGAGCATTTCATCCATTCAGGTTCCATGTTAATATTAATATGAGAGGTTTTGATCCTGTCACATTATCGATTATTACCTAGTTGTTGTATAAATTCTTTCCTTGTTTTCCTCGTCTTTGTGGTATAATGGAATTACACTGTGTTGCCATTTGATTCCTTTCTCTTCCTTTATGTGATTGTTTTATATGACCTCTGATTCTTATACTTTCATGAGGTTTCATTTCCAGTTTTAATTTGTAACTTCTGTGCGTACATAAGATAATTTGATACAGAAATGCAATGCATAATAATCACATTGGTAAATGGGGTATCTATCCCCTGAAGCATTTATCCTTTGTGTTACAAACAATCCAATTATAGTCTTAGTTATTTTTAAATGTATAACTAAATTATTGATGACTATAGTCACCCAGTTGTGCAATTAAATACTAGGTTAACTAGGTCTTAATTCATTCTAACTACTTTTTTTTGAGACAGAGTCTTGCTCTGTTGCCCAGGCTGGAGTGCAGTGGTGTGATCTTGGCTCAATGCAACCTCCGCCTACTGGGTTCATGTGATTCTGCTGCCTCTGCCTCCTGAGTAGCAGGGATTACAGGTGCCCATCACTACCACACCAGGCTAACTTTTGTGTTTTTTAGTAGAGAGGCAGTTTCGCCATGTTGGCCAGGCTGGTCTTGAACTCCTGGCCTCAGGTGATCCACCTGCCTCGGCCTCCCAAAGTGCTAGGATTACAGGTGTAAGCCACTGTGCCTGGCCCATTCTAACTACTTTTTATACCCATTAACCACCCCCACCTTCTTCCCCAACACAAAATACCTTTCCCAGCCTATGGTAACCATCCTTCTATTCTCACCACAAATTCAAATGTTTTAATTTTTAGCTCCCACAAATAAGTGAGAACATAAGTGTGCCTTTCTGTGCCTGGCTTATTTCACTGAAGATAATGACCTCTAGAGCCATCCACATTGTTGCAAATGACAGATCTCATTCTTTTGCATGGCTGAATAGTATTCTATTGTGTATATGTACCACATTTTCTTTATCCATTTATCTGCTGATGAGCACTTAGGTTGCTTCCAAATCTTGGCTATTGTGAACAGTGCTGCAACAAACATGGAATTGCAGATATCCCTTTGATATACTGATTTCCTTTCATTTGGGTATATATTCAGCACCTGGATCGCTGGATTGCATGGTAGCTCTATTTTTAGTTTTTTAAGGAACCTCCAAACTGGTCTCCATACTGGTTGTACAAATTTACATCCCCACCAACAATGTACAAGGATTCCCTTTCTACACATCCTCACCTGCATTTCATATTACCTGTCTTTTGAATAAGAGCTATTTTAAATGAGGTGTGATATCTCACTGTAGCTTTGATTTGCATTTTGTTGATGATCAATGACATTAGGTAGCTATTCACATGCCTGTTTTCCATTTGTATCTCTCCTTTTGAGAAATGTCTATTCAGGTATTACCATTGTATAATTGGATTATTAGATTCTTTCCTACAGAGTCGTATGAGCTTCTTATATTCTGGTTATTAATGCCATGTCAAACATGTAGTTTACAAATATTTTCTCCCATTCTGTGCCTTGTCTCTTTACTTTGTAGATTGTTTCCTTTGCTGTGCAGAAGCTTAACTTGAAGTGATCCAATTTGTCCATTTTTCATTTGATTACCAAGGCTTATGAAAATTCTTTTGCCCAGAACAATGTCCTAGAGAGTTTCCCCAATGATTTCTTCTAGCAGTTTCATAGTTTGGGGTCTTAGATTTAAGCAATCCATTTTGCCTTTTTATATATAGTGAGAGATAACAGATCTAATTTCATTCTTCTGTATGTGAATAGCCAGTTTTCCCAGCACCATTTATTGAAGAGACTGTCTTCTCGCAAATGTTTGTTCTTGACATCTTTGTCAAACATGAGTTCACCCGCTGTAGGTATATGGATTTGTTTCCGGGATATCTATTCTGTTCTACTGTTTGGTCTGTTTTTATGCTAGTACCATGCTGTTTTAGTTACTATAGCTCTGCAGTATAACTTCAAGTAAGGTAATGTGATTCCTTCAGTTTTCTTCCTTTTGTTCAGAATAGTGTTGGCTATTCTCAGTCTTCTGTGGTTCCATATTAATTTTAGGATTGTTTTCTCTATTTCTGTGAAGAATGTCATCGATGCTTTGATAGGGACTGCACTGAATCTGCAGACTGCTTTAAGCAGTATGAACATTTTAACAATATCGATTTTTCTAATCCACAAACATGAAGTATCTTTTAATTTTTTTGTGTCCTCTTCAATTTCTTTCATCAGTGTTTTACAGTCTTCATTGTAGGTATCTTTCACATCTTCGGTTAGTTACTAGGTATTTAATTTTAAAGAGAGATAACAATCACTACAGCTCAGCTCTCAGAAAGCCACATTCCTAGGAAAAGGGGAAGAGTACTGCATCAAGGGAACATCCCGTGGGACAAAAGAATCTGAACAACAGTCTTGATCCCTAAACCTTTCCTCTGACAGAGCCTACCCAAATGGGAAGGAACCAGAAAACCAACTCTGGTAATATGACAAAACAAGGTTCCTTAACATCCCCCACCCCCCCGCCCAAACACACACACACACACACACACACACACACACACAATCACACTAGCTCACCAGCAGTGGATCCAAACCAAGAAGAAATCCCTGATTTACCTGAAAAAGAATTCAGACGGTCAGTTATTAAGCTAATCAAGGAGGCACCAGAGAAAGGTGAAGCCTAATTTAAGGAAATCAAAAAAATCATACAAGAAATAAGGGGAGAAATCTTCAGTGAAATAGATAGCATAAATAAAAAACAATCAAAACTTCAGGAAATAATGGACACATTTATAGAAATGCAAAATGCTCTAGAAAGTCTCAGCAACAAAACTGACCAAGCAGAAGAGAACTTTAGAGCTTGACAAGGCTTTTTAATTAATCCAACAAAGACAAAGAAAAAAGAATAAGAAAATATGAACAAAGCCTCCAAGAAGTCTGAGATTATGTTAAACAACCAAACCTAAGAATAATCAGCATTCCTGAGGAAGAAGAGAAAGCGAAAAGTTTAGAAAACGTATTTGGGAGAATAGTCAAGGAAAACTTCCCGGGCCTTGTTAAAAACCTAGATATCCAAATACAGTAAGCTCAAAGAACACCTGGGAAATTCACTGCAAAAAGAGCATCACCTAGGCACACTGGCATCAGATTATCTAAAGTTAAGATGAAGGAAAGAATCTTATCAGCTACAAGGCAAAAGCACCAGGTAATCTATAAAGGAAAACCTATCTTATGAGCTGTAAGGCAAAAGCATCAGGTAATCTATAAAGGAAAACCTATCACATAAACAGCAGATTTCTCGGCAAACCCTCCTAGCTTGAAGGATTTGGGGCCCTATCTTCAGCCTGCTTAACAAAACAATTATCAGCTAAGAGTTTTGTATCCAGTGAAACTAAGCTTCATAAATTAAGGAAACATACAGTCTTTTTCAGACAAACAAATGATGAGTGAATTCATCACTACCAAGCTAACACTGTAAAAACTGCTATAAGGAGCTCTAAATCTTGAAACAAATCTCGGAAACACATCAAAACAGAACCTCTTTAAAGCATAAATCTCATAGGACCTATAAAGCAAAAATACAATAAACAAACAAACAAAAAACCAAGGTATAAAGGCAACAAACAGCATGATGAACAGAATAGTACCTCACAACTAAACACTAACTGTATTAGTCCATTTTCATGCTGGTGATAAAGACATACCTGAGATTGGGAAGAAAAAGAGGTTTAATTGGACTTACAGTTCCACATGGCTGGGGATGTCTCAGAACCATGGCGGGAGGCAAAATGCACTTCTGACATGGCAGTGGCAAGAGAAAAATGAGGAAGCAGCAAAAGCGGAAACCCCTGATAAACCCATCAAATCTCATGAGACTTATTCACTATCACGAGAATAGCATGAGAAAGACTGGTCCCCATGTTTCAATTACCTCCCCCTGGGTCCCTCCCACAACACATAGAAATTCTGGGAGATACAATGCAAGTTGAGATTTGAGTACGGACACAGCCAAACCATATCATTAACATTAAATGTAAATGGCCTAAATGCTCCACTTAAAAGACATGAATTTGCAGAATGGATACGAATTCACAAACCAACTATCTCCTGCCTTGAAGAGACTCACCTAACACATAAGGGCTCACATAAGCTTAAGGTAAAGGGGTGGAAAAAGACATTCTATGCAAATGAATATCAAAAGCAAGCAGGAGTAGCTATTCTTATATCAGATAAAACAAACTTTAAAGCAACAGCACTTAAAAAAGACAAAGAGGGACATTATATAATGATAAAAAGCATTATCCAACAGAAAAATATCACAATCCTAAATATATAAGTACCTAACACTGGAGTTCCCAAACTGATAAAACTTAAGAAATGAGATAGACAGCAACACAATAATAGTGGGGGACTTCAACTCCACTGACAGCACTAGGCAGGTCATTAAGACAGAAAGTCAACAAAGAAATAATGGATTTAAACTATACCCTGAAACAAATGGACTCAACAGATATTTACAGAACATTCTACCCAACAACTGCAGAATATACATTCTATTCATTACACATGGAACTTTCTCCAAGGTAGATCATATCATAGGCTACAAAACAAGCCTCAATAAATTTAATAAAATTGAAATTATATCAAGCACTCTCTCAGACCATAGTGGAAAAAAACTGGAAATCAACTCCAAAAGGAAACTTCAAAACCATGCAAACACATAGAAATTAAATAACCTGCTCCTGAATGATCACTGGGTCAACAATGAAATCAAGATGGAAATTAAAAAGTTCTTCAAACTGAATGACAATAGAGATACAACCTATAAAACTTCTGGGATATAGCAAAGGCGGGGCTAGGAGGAAAGTTCATAGCCCTAAATGCCTAAATCAAAAAGTCTGAAAGAGCACAAACAGACAATCTAAGGTCACACCTCAAGGAAATACAGAAACAAGAACAAACCAAACCCAAACACAGCACAAGAAAGAATATAACTAAGATCAGAGCAGAGCTAAATGAAATTGAAACAAAAAAAAAAATACAAAAGATAAATGAGATGAGTTAATGGGTGCAGCAAACCAACATGTCACATGTATACCTATGTAACAAACCTGTACCTTGTGCACATGTACCCTAGAACTTAAAAGTGTAAAAAAAAAAAAAAAAAAAAAAAAAAAAACAAAAAAAGATAAATGAAACAAAAAGCTGGGTCTTTGAAAAGGTTAATAAAATTAATAGACCATTAGCAAGATTAACCAAGAAAAGCTGAGGAAAAAAAAAAAAACAAATAAGCTCAACTAGAAACAAAATGGGAGATAATACAACTGACACCACAGAAATATAAAAGATCATTCAAGGCTAATTCAACACCTTTATGCATATAAACTAGAAAACCTAGAGGAGATGGATAAATTCCCAGAAAGATATAACCCTCCTAGCTTAAATCAGGAAGAAGTAGATACCCTGAAAGACCAATAACATACAGTGAGATTGACATGGCAATTAAAAAATTGCCAACATAGGCCAGGCGCAGTGGCTCACACCTGTAATCCCAGCACTTTGAGAGACCAAGGTGGGTGGATCACCAGAGGTCAGGAGTTCAAACCAGCCTGGCCAACATGGTGAAACCACATCTCTACTAAAAATACAAAATCAGCCAGGAATGGTGGCACACGCCTGTAATCCCAGCTACTCTGGAGGCTGAGACAGGAGAACTGCTTGAGCCAAGACTGTGCCACTACACTTCAGCCTGGGTGACACAGCCAGACTCTGTCTCAAAAAAACAAAACAAAACAAAACAACAACAACAACAACAACAAAACACCAAAAAAAAAAAAACAAAAAGGCCCAGTACCAGACAGACTCACAGCTGAATCGTACCAGGCATTCAAAGAAAAATTGGTACCAATCCTGACTCTATTCCAAAAGATAGAGAAAGAGGGAATCCTCCCTAAATCATTCTATGAAGCCAGTATCACCCTAATACAAAAACCAGCAAAGGACATAATCAAAACAGGAAACTACAGACCAACATCCCTGATGAACTTAGATGCAAAAGTCCTTAACAAAATACTAGCTAACTGAACCAACAACATATCAAAAAGATAACCCACCATGATCAAGTGGGTTTCATACCAGAAATACAGGGGTGGTTTCACATATGCAATTCAATAAATGTGATACACCACATAACAAGAATTAAAAACAAAAATTATACAATTATCTCTAAATAAACACAGAAAAAGGATTCAACAAAATCCAGCATCCCTTTATGATTAAAACGTTCAGCAAAATTGGCATACAAAGGACATACCTCAATGTAATAAAAGCCATCTATGACAAATCCACAGCCAACATAATACTAAATGGGGAAAAGTTGAAAACATTTAAATCAGGAAGAAGCAGATATCCTGAAAGACCAATAACATACTGAGATTGACATGGCAATTAAAGAATTGCCAACATAGGCCAGGCGCAGTGGCCTCAGTTCCTCTGAGAAGTGAAACAAGACAAGGATGCCCACTCTTACCACTTCTCTTCCTAGCCAGAGCAATCAGAAAAGAGAAAGAAATAAAGGGCATCCAAATCGATAAAGAGGAAGTCAAACTGTCACTGTGTGCTGATGATGTGACTGTATACCTAGAAAACCCTAAAGAGTCCTCCAAAAAGCTCCCAAACTAACAAAAGAATTCAGCAAAGTTTCTGGATACAAAGTTACTATACACAAATCAGTAGCTCTCCTATACACCAGCAGCAACCAAGCTGAGAAACGTCCAGAACTCAACAACTTTTACAATAGCTGGGGGAAAACAAAACAAAACAAAAACAAAAACAAAACAAAACAAAACAAAACAAAACAAAACAAAACAAAACAAAACTTAGGAATATACCTAACCAAGGAGTCAAAAGACCTCTACAAGGAAAACTACAAAACACTGCTGATAGAAATCACAGATGATACAAACAAATGAAAACACATCCCGTGCTCACGGATGGGTAGAGACAATACTGTGAAAATGACCACACTGCCAAGAGCAATCTACAAATTCAATGCAATTCCCATCAAAATACCACCATCTTCTTCACAAAACTAGAAAAAAGAATCCTAAATTCATATGGAACCAAAAAAGAGCCTGTATAACCAAAGCAAGACTAAGCAAAAAGAACATATCTGGAGGCATCACATTACCTGACTTCAAACTACATTATAAGGCCATAGTCACCAAAACAGCATGCTACTGGTATAAAAATAGGCACAAAGACCAATGGAACAGGATACAGAACTGAGAAAATCAAATACTTACAGTCAACTGAGCTTTGACAAAGCAAACAAAAACATAAAGTGGGGAAAGGGCACTCTATTCAACACATGGTGTTGGGATAACTGGCAAGCCACATGTAGGAGAATGAAACTGGATCCTCATCTCTCACCTTAGACAAAAATCAACTCAAGATGGATCAAGGAGGCTGGGCATGGTGGCTCACGCCTGTAATCCCAGCACTTTGGGAGGCCCAGGCGGGCGGATCATGAGGTCAGGAGATCGAGATCGTCCTGGCTAACGCCGTGAAACCCTGTCTCTATTAAAATTCAAAAAATTAGCTGGGCGTGGTTGCAGGGGCCTGTAGTCTCAGCTACTTAGGAGGCTGAGGCAAGAGAATGGCTCATTAAAAAAAAAGTCTCAATAAAAAAAAAATGGATCAAGGATTTAAATCTAAGACCTGAAACTATAAAAATTCTAGAAGATAACATCAGAAAAACCCTTCTACATATAAGATATAATAAATTCCTCTTCAAAGGTTTAGCTTGTTAACTTCCTTATTCTTTGTTCTCAAACTCAACTTTCTTGTTCTCCATGCCTCCTTGCCCCTAATTAGTGTAAACAACCTTCCTATCAGTTCTAATCAATAACTCACATCTGTTCCCTTGGTTGCTAACTCTGCACCCATTCCACCCTTCGAAACCACACGTCCCACCACTGTAACTCACATCCCCCTTCCCTTCCTTATTTGGGAAAATATCCACAAATAGCCAATCAGGTCAACTTAGAATGTGCAGTCTGACCCGCCTACCCCCCGCCCATGGGAGATTGACACAGATGTAGGGGCCACATTAGGAATAACCCTTTCTCTCCTTTGTTCAGTGTGCTCTTGTGATCGTGAATGACATGAGCAGCACCCTTCTGCAGAAGTAAATTGCCTTGCTGGGAAAACTTTTGCCCGAGTGCTGGTTTCACTTTGCGAACCGAGCATTTATCTCCAACATAGACATTGACTTAGGCAAGGATTTCATGACCAAAAACCCAAAAGCAAATGCAACAAAAACAAAGATGAATAGGCAGGACTTAATTAAACTAAAGAGCTTCTGCACAGAAAAAGGAAGAGTCAGCAGAGTAAGCAGATAACCCACAGAGTGGGAGAAAATCTTTATAACCTATACATCCAACAAATGACTAATATCTAGAGTCTACAAGGCACTCAAACAAATTAGCAAGAAAAAAAACAAATAATCCCATCAAAAAGTGGGCTAACGAAATGAACAGGCAATTCTCAAAAGAAGATATACCAATGGCCAACAAACATATGAAAAAATGCTCATCACCACTAATGATCAGGGAAATGCAAATCAAAACCACAGTGCAATACCACCTTACTCCTGCAATGGCCATAATCAAAAAGTCAAAAAATAATAGATGTTGGTGTGGATGTGGTGTAAATGGAACACTTCTATGCTGCTGGTGGGAATGTAAACTAGCACAACCATCATGGAAAACAGTGTGGCGACTCCTTAAAGAACTAAAAGTAGAACTACCATTTGACCCGGCAATCCCACTATTGGGTATCCACCTAGAGGAAAAGTAGTCATTATACAAAAAAGACATTTGCAAAGGCTTATTTATAGCAGCACAATTCACAATTGCAGAAATATGGAACCAGCCCAAATGCCCATTAATCAACGAGTGCATAAAGAAATTGTGATATAAGCTGGGCATGGTGGCTCACATCTGCAATCCCAGCACTTTGGGAGGCCAAGGCAGGTGGATCGCGAGGTCAGGAAATCAAGATCATCCTGGCCAACATTGTGAAACCCCACCTCTACTAAAAATACAAAAATTAGCTAGGTATGGTGGCACATGCCTGTAGTCCCAACTACTTGGGAGGCTGAGGCTGGAGAATCGCTTGAACCCAGGAGGCAGAGGTTGCAGTGAACCAAGATCATGCCACTGCACTCCAGCCTGGTGAGAGAGCGAGACTCCGTCTAAAAAAAAAAAAAAGAAAGAAAGAAGTAACTCAAGAGTAGAAAACCAAACATTGCATGTTCTCACTCACAAGTAGGAGCTAAGCTATGAGAATGTAAAGGCCTAAGAATGATACAATGAACTATGGGGACTCAGGGGAAAGGGTGATGAGGGATAAAAGACCACAAATTGGGTTCAGTGTATAGTGCTCGGGTGATGGGTGCACCAAAATCTCACAAATCACCACTAAAGAACTTATGTAACCGAGTAACACCTGTTCCTGAATAACCTACAGAAATAAAAAATTTTAAAAATAATCTTATTTGTCAATATTATAAATGAGACTATTTTGATTTCCTTTACATATCATTCACTGTTAGCATATAGAAATGGTACTGAATTTTGTACGGTGATTTTGTATACTGCAACTATACTCAATTTATCAGTATTACTAGTTTTGGTGTATTGTTTAGGATTTTCCAAATATAAGATCTTATCATCTGTAAATAAGGACAATTTGACTTCTTCCTTCCCAATTTGCATGCCCCTTATTTCTCCTCTGATTCGCCTAGCTAGGACTTATAGTACTATGTTCAGTAACTGTGGTGAAAACGGGCAGCCTTGTTGTGTTCCAGATCTTAAACCAAAGGTTTGTAGTTCTTTTGTAGATTTTCCCCATTCAGGATGATACTAACTGTGGTCTGTCATATACGGCTTTTATTACGTTGAGATACATTCCTTCTATACCCAGTTTCTTGAGGGTTTTTATCATGTAGGGAAGTTGAATGTTATCAAATGCATTTTCAGCATCAAATGAAATGACCATATTTTTGTCCTTCATTTTGTTGATATAATGTATCACATTGATAGCTAGCACATGTTGAAGCCAGGTGAAATCCTACTTAGTCATGATTAATAATCTTCTTCATGCACTGTTAAATTCAGTTTTCTACCATTTTGCTGATTTTTACATCAATACTCATATTGGTCTGTAATTTTATTTATTTTTATGTGTCTGTTTGGTTTTGGTATTGGGTAACCTCATGGAATGAGTTTGGAAGTATTACCTCCTCATCTATTTTTCAAAATGATTTCAGTAGGATTGGTATTACTTCTTTAAATGTTCAGTAGAATTCAGCAGTGAAGCAATTAGGGCACAGGCTTTTCTTTGCTGGGCAATGTTTTATTACGGCTTTTATGTCATTACTTTTTACTGGTCTGTTCAGGTTTTTGATTTCTTAATGGTTCAATCTTTGTAGGTTGTATGTGCCTAGGAATGGATCCATTTCCTCTAGATTTTCCAATTTATTGGCCTACAAAGTTGCTCATAGTAGCCACAAAGGATGCTTCGAATTTCTGAGGTGTTCTTTTTCATAGTCTGCATAAATGTTTGCTTTATATTTAAAAAAACTAACTTTTCATTTCATTGATCTTTTGTTTCTTCTGCAATGATCTTTATTACTTCTTTTCTTCTACTACTTTTGTGTTTGCTTTGCTCTTGCTTTTCTAGTTCTTTAAGATGCATCATTAGGTTAATTATTTTAGGTTGGCTGGGCACAGTGGTTCACGCCTGTAATCCCAGCACTTTGGAAGGCTGAGGCAAGTGGACAGCTTGAGCCCAGGAGATCAAGACCAGCCCAAGCAACGTGGCAAAACCCCATCTCTACAAAATATAAAAAATTAGTTAAGGGTGGTGGTGCACACCTGTAGTCCCAGCTACTCGAGAGGCTGAGATGGCAGGATTGCTTGATCCTGTGGAGGTCGAGGCTGTGGTGAGCCGTGATTGCACCACTGCACTCCAGCCTGAGTGACAGAGTAAAATATTCTATGAAAAAAATTATTTGAAGCTTTTCTTTTTTTTTTTTGAGACAGATTCTCACTCTGTCGCCCAGGCTGGAGTGCAGTGGCACGATCTCAGCTCACTGCAACCTCCACCTCCTGGGTTCAAGCAATTCTCCTGCTTCAGCCTCCTGAGTAGCTGGGATTACAGGCACGTGCCACCACACCCAGCTAGTTTGTTTTTAGTAGAGATGGGGTTTTACCATGTTGGTCAGGCTGGTTATGAACTCCTGACTTCAAGTGAAAGCTTCTGTTAGGTTTTGAAGGAAAGTCAAGGGTTAAGGACAGAGT
Organism: Homo sapiens; assembly: GCF_000001405.40. Classification (NCBI taxonomy): domain Eukaryota; kingdom Metazoa; phylum Chordata; class Mammalia; order Primates; family Hominidae; genus Homo; species Homo sapiens. Next base: position 10,405,823 of record NC_000016.10, on the reverse strand, counting down.
TGGCAGCTCAACAGCAACACAGGTTTATTGTCAGTACAAACCTACACAGGGGGACCAACTTAGTGCCAGGACCCACTGCCACTTACAGGCTGGGGTAATTGTAGGTCTGGGCAGGAGGGATCTAGGTGGTATGGCTTGCTGCCTGGGAGGACGTTGATGAAGATATTCCTGTGGTCAGGTGGTTTGGCCTTTTTGTCCGGCAGGATGTGATAAGAATGTTCCTTGGGCCTTTGTCCAGCAGGATGTGATAAGAATGTTTCTGTAGTCAGGTGGTTAGGCAGGATGTTTCTCACGGCCCAAGCCCCTGTGGAATGTTTCACTCTGACCAAGGTCTGCAAAATGGTGGGGGGCTTACAAAACAATGCAGCTTGGACTAACAGTTTCCATTCAGCCACCTTGCTCTGCCCCTTCCAGGTGTCTTCACGATAATGAATATTAACTTTTTTTTTTTGAGATGGAGTTTTGCTGTTGTTGCTCAGGCTGGAGTACAATGTGGTATGATCTCGGCTCACTGCAACCTCCGCCTCCTGGGTTCAAGCAATTCTCCTGCCTCAGTCTCCTGAGTAGCTAGATAACTGGCACCTGCCACCAGACTCGGCTAATTTTTTGTATTTTTTTTTTTTAGTAGAGACCGGGTTTCACCATGTTGGCCAGGCTGGTCTTGAACTCCTGACCTCAGGCAATCCATCCATCTCAGCCTCCCAAAGTGCCGAGATTACAGGCATGAGCCACGGCACCCAGCCAAATATTGACCTTTCATTAAGATGTTTAGGATCTGAGGATTTATTATAGGGAGGGTCTACTTACTGGTGATGAATTCCCTCACCATTTGCTTCTATAAGAAAAACTATTTCTCCTTCATTTATGAAGCTTAATCTAGTTGGATATAAAATTCCTGGTTCACTGGTTTTTTTTCTTTCAGCACTTTGACAATCCCATCCCATCCCATTCCATCCCATTCTGACTTGTAAGGTTACTTCTGGTTGGGCCCACTGGTTCATGCCTGTAATACCAGCACCTTGGGAGGCCAAAGTGGGCGGTTTACTTGAGTCCAGGAGTTCGAGGCCAGGAGCCTGGCCAACATGGGGAAATCCTGTCACTACTAAAAATACAAAAAAATTATCTGGGCATGGTGGCACATGCTTGTAGTCCCAGCTGGAGGCAGTGGCATGAGAACTGCTTAAACCTGGAGGTGGAGGTTGCAGTAAGCCATGATCGTGCCACTGCATACTATCCTGGGCAACACAGTGAGATTCTGTCTCAAAAAATAAAAAAAAGGCTGGGCAGAGTGGCTCACGCCTATAATCCCAGCACTTTGGGAGGCCAAGGTGGGTGGATCATTTATAAAGTCAGGAGTTCAAGACCGGCCGGGCCAACATGGTGAAACCCAGTATCTACTAAAAATCAGCAGAGTCTGGGGGCACACACCTGTAATCCCAGCTACTCGGGAGGCTGAGGCAGGAGAATCGCTTGAACCTGGGAGGCGGAAGGTGCAGTGAGCAGAGATCGCACCACTTCAATCCAGCCTGGGTGACAGAGTGAGACTCTGTCTCAAAAAGGAAAAACAAAAGATTATTGTTGACAAGTACACTATTCATCTAATGAAGTTTCTTTTATAGGTGATTAGACACTTTTCTCTTGCTGATTTTAAAATTCTTTCCTTCACCTTGACTTGAGACAGTTTGATGACTATATAGCTAGCATTAAATCCATGTTGCAACATATTTTCCTAGGAATCATTAGGCTTCCTGTATCTAAGATGTCTGAATCTTTTGCTAGACTAGGGAGGTTTTCATTAATTATTTCCTGAAAAAGGTTCCCTAAATATTTGCTTTTTCTTTCCCTTTGGAAATACTGTTAATTCATTAGTTCTGCGGCTTTATGTAGTCTCGTATGTTTCAAAGGCCTTCTTCAGTCTTATATATTATTTTTGTCTCACTAGGTTAATTTAAAAGATTATTTCTTCTGCCTTGGCTGATCTATACTTGAGGCTTTCAAATGCATTCCAAAATTTCTTCAATGAATTTTTCATTGCCATAAAGTTCTGTTTGGTTTTACGAAAAGATATCTATTTCCTTGGTAAATTTCTCATTCATATCCTAAATTAATTTTCTGACTTCTTTGTATGGGTTTTCAGATTTCCCTTGCATTTCATTAAGTTTCTTTAAAAACATTTTGAGCTCTTCAGCATTTCAATTATCATTTTTGGTTAGAATCTGTTGCTAAGGAATTCCTATGTTCCTTTGAGGGGGTGTTATAATACCTTACTTTTTCATGCTTCCTGTAACTTTATGCTTATTTCTGCACATCCAGAGACACATCTGCTTCTTGCTATTATTAAATTTATTTTCACTAGGACAGGAGTTTTTTTTCTTGAGGTTGTGACTTTGCTTCTGGATGAGTTCAGTGGTGAAAACTCTATTATTTCCTTGGTTCTAAAAAGCCTTAGTGTGGTGGTTTTCTCAAATGCCAGTCGTAGTAGTAGTGTGCCAGGTAGGTGAGCAGGTTCACAACCTCTTGAGTAGCCAGCATGGTATGGACAATTCTGGTAACATGAAGTCATGAGAACTCACCTCACACTCCTGAGCCTGGTGCATATGTGTCACATATTGTAATAAGCTATGTGGGCTGACCTCCAGGCCAATAGGTGGCACTTACAGTTAAGAGCCAGCTGCAGTGTTAGCAGGATTTATATCTGACATCCATTAACATGGAAAATCACTAATCTCCACAGAAACATCACTAGACAGATGGAAACAGAAAAATCAAATATTGGACTGAAATTGAACTTTAAACCAAATGAACATAACATTCATTCATAGAACAGAGTATACATTTTTCTCATTAGCACATGGAACATTCTCCAAGTCAGACCATTAGACCACAAAACAAGACTCAACATTTTTTTTTTTTTTTGAGAAAGGGTCTCGCTGTGTCGTTGAGGCTGGTCTTGAACTCCTCACCTCAAGCAAACCTGCTGCCTCAGCCTCCCAAAATGCTGGGACTACAGAGGGAGCCACTGTACCTGGCTGTGAACAAATTTTTAAAAAACCAAAATCAGGCCAGACATAGTCACGCATGCCTGTAATCCCAACACTTTGGGAGGCTGAGGTGGGAGGATCACTTGAGCTCAGGAGTTTGAAACCAGTCTGGCAACATGGTGAAACCCTGTTTCTACAAAAAAGTATAAAAATTAGCCAAGCATGGTGGCACATGCTTGTAGTCCCAGCTAGTTGGGAGGCTGAGGTGGAAGAATCGCTTGAGCCCAGGAGGTTAAGGCTGCAGTAAGTAAAAAATCATGCCAATGCACTCCAGCCTGGGTGACAGAGTAAGACCTTGTCTCAAAACGAAACAAACCAAAGGAAAAATCAAAATCATATCAAGTATCTTCTCAGACCACAGCAGAATAAAACTAGAAATCAATGCAAAGAGAATCTTCAGAACTATAAAAATATATGGAAATTCAACATGCTTCTGAACTATCACTGAGTCATTGTAAAAATGAATATGGGTATTAAGAACATTTGAGACAAATGAAAATAGAAAAACGACATACTAAAACTTCTGGGATATAGCAAAGGCAGTGCTTAGAGAGAAGTTTATGGCATTCAACGTCTCCATCAAAAAAACAGTTCAAAAATTAAAAATCTTACATTGTACCTCAAGAGACTAGAAAAATAATCAAGCCAAAAATTAGCAGAAGAAATAAAGGTCACAGCAGAACTAAATGAAATAGAGACCAAAAAGAAGTATCAATAAAACAAAAAGTTGGTTCTTTGAAAATTTAAACAAAATTGGAAAACTACTACCTACACCAACCAAGAAGAGGTAAGGTCCAAATAAACAAAATCAGAAATTAAGAAGGACACCTTACAGCTGATACCACAGAAATACAAAACAACAACAGAGACTATTATGAACAACTATATACTGACAAACAGGAAACCCTATGGGAAATGGATAAATTACTGGAAACATACAACCTCCTAAGCCTTAACCAAGAAGAAACAGAAATCCTGAATAGATGAATAATTAGTGAGACTGAATCAATTAAAAAAAAAAAAAAGACTCCCAACAACAAAAAAGCCCATAACCAGATGGATTCACAGCTGAATTCTACCATACAAAGCTGAACTAATACCAATCCTCTTGAAACTATTCAAAAAAAAGAGGGAAAAAAAAGGAGGGAATTCTTCCTAACACATTCTATGAAGATAGTATCACTTTGATATCAAAACCAAGCAAGGACACAGCAAAAAAAGAAACTACAGACCAATATCCCTGATAAACATAAATGAAATAATCCTAAACAACATACTAGCAAACTGAATCTAACAGCACATAAAAAAGATAACAGGCCAAGCACAGTGGCTCACGCCTGTAATCCCAGCACTGTGGGAGGCCGAGGTGGGCGGATCACAAGGTCAGGAGTTCGAGACCAGCCTGGCCAACATGGTGAAACCCTGTCTTTACTAAAAATACAAAAAAATGAGCCAGGCATGGTGGTACGCACCTGTAATCCCAGGTACTCGGGATGCTGGGGCAGGAGAATCGCTTGAACCTGGGAGGTGGAGGTTGCAGTGAGCCGAGATCACACCACTGCACTGCAGCTTGGGCAACAAGAACAAAACTCCATCTCAAAAATAAATAAATAAATAAAAATAAACCATAATCAAGCGGGTTTTATACCAAGGATGCAAGGATGGTTCTACACACGCAAATCAATAAATGTGATTTATCACAGCTAAGAACAAAAACCATATGATCTCAATATATGCACAAAAAGCATTTCATAAAATTTAGCATTATGGTAAATTTAGCATTAAGGCCAGGGTGGCTCATACCTATATTCCCAGCACTTTGGGAGGCTGAGGCAGGTGGATCACCTGAGGCGGGTGGATCACCTGAGGTTAAGAGTTCGAGACCAGCCTGGCCACAACATGGCGAAACCCTGTCTCTACTGAAAATACAAAATTTAGTTGGGCATGGTGGCGGGCACCTGTAATCTCAGCTACTCAGGAGGCTGAGGCATAAGAATCACTTGAACCCAAGAGATGGAGGTTGCAATGAGCCAAGATCGTGCCACTGCACTCCAACCTGGCAACAGAGCAAGACTCTGTCTCAAAAAAACACACACACGCACAAAAAGGAAGGAACATAGCTAAAAATAATAAAGGCCATAAGGCCATATACAACAAACCCACAGCCAAAATCATACTAAATCAAGAAAGGTTGAAAGAATCCCCTCTAAGAACTTGAACAAAACAAAGATGCCCACTTTCACCACTTCTATTCAACATACTACTATATATCCTGGAGGCCACAGCAATCAAGCAAGAGAGAGAAAGAAAAGGGAAATAGGATATCAGTGTATCTGTTTGCTGATGATATATGATCTTATGTATAGAAAATCCTGAAGACTCTTCCAAAAAACTCTTAATTTAATAAACAAACTAAGTTTCAGGATGCAAAAATCAACACACGGCTGGGCACGGTGGCTAATGCCTGTAATCCCAACACTTTGGGAGGCCAAGGCAGGTAAATTACCTGAGGTCAGGAGTTCAAGACCAGCCTGACCAACATGGTGAAACCCCATCTCTACTAAAAATACAAAAATTAGCCAGGCGTGGTGGCAGGCGCCTGTAATCCCAGCTACTTGGGAGGCTGAGGCAGGAGAATGGCTTGAGCCCGGGCGATGGAAGTTGCAGTGGGCCGAGATTGTGCCGCTGTACTCCAGCCTGGCTGACAGAGTAAGACTCTCTCTCAAAATAAATAAATAAATAAAATAATCAACAAATTAAAATGTGTAGCATTTCTATACACCAATAACAATCAAACTGAGAGCCAAATCAGAAGGCAATCCCATTTACCATAGCTACAAAACGTAAAATAAAATACTCAGGAATATTTTTAACCAAGGAGGTCAAAGACCTCCTATACAAGAAAAACTATAAAACACTGACAAAAGAAATTGTAGCTGACACAAATGGAAAAATATCCCATGCTCACTGATCAGGAGAATTAATATTGTTAAAATGGCCATACTGCCCAAAGCAATCTACAAATTCAATGCATTCACTATCAAAATACCAATGTCATTCTTCACTGAATTACAAAAAAGTCTTGAAAATCACATGGAACCAAAAGAGAGCCCAAATAGCCAAAGCAATCCTAAGCTAAAACAATAAAGCTGAAGATATTGCATTACCTGACTTCTAACAATATTATAACACAAAGCTGATGGTAATCAAAACAGCATAGTAATGTATAGAAATAGACATACAGATCAACTGAACAGAGAACCCGGAAATAAAGCCACGTATCTACAGCCAAGTGATCTTTGACAAAGTTGACAAGAATATATGCTGCAGAAAGGACACATACTTTTCAATAAATGGTGCTGGGAAAACTGGATTAACATATGTATAAGAATGAAACTGAATCCCTATCTGTTACCATACTTAAAAATAAACTCTCATTAAATTTACACAGAAAAGAAAAATCATAAATTTCTCCCAAGCCAGCTGCAATTTTCATAAGGATTGTGTTGAATTTGTAGATCAGTTTAGTATTACTATTTTTTCATTTAAGATTATAGTTATTATTTATGAATTTCAACAATACCGTTGTACAATTTTCCAAGTATACAGCATATTGTTACTGACTAGTCAGATTTTGCACAATAGAACAATAGATCTTTTTTTTTCTTTTAGTCTGAATTTCCTTCTTGTTGCCCAGGCTGGAGTGCAATGGCACAATCTCGGCTCACTGCAAACTCCGCCTCACGGGTTCAAGCGATTCTCCTGCCTCAGCCTCCTGAATAGCTGGGATTACAGGCATGCACCACCACGCCCAGCTAATTTTGCATTTTTAGTAGAGATGGGGTTTCTCCAGGTTGGTCAGGCTGGTCTTGAACTCCTGACCTCAGGTGATCTGCCTGCCTCGGCCTCCCAAAGTGGTGGGATTACAGGAGTGAGCCACCACATCTGGCCAGATCTCTTGAACATATTTCACTAAATGAAATTCTATATCCTTTGACCAGTATCTATTCAACCCCACCCCCCAGCTGTAAAATCACCTTTCTACTCCTTCCTTAAATGAGTCTTAGATTCCAAAAATGAGTGACATCATATAGTATTTGTCTGTGTCTAGATTATTTCACTTAACACAATGTTCAGGTTTATTCATGTTCTTGCAAATGACAGGCAAAATGGTATTCCATCATATACATATACCACATTTTCTTTGTTCATTCCTTGATAAACAGGTTGATTCTGTTATCTACTGTGAATAATGCTGCAATAAACATGTGAGTGCAAGTATCTCTTCAATATAATGATTTAATATCCTTTAGATATATATCCAATAAGATTCCTGGATCATAGGCATATTTTTAATTTTTTTGAACTTCTAAAAAATAATGGCTATACTAATTCATGTTTCCATGAACTGTGTGCAAGAGTTCCCTTTTCTCTACATCTTTGCCAACATTTGTTATTTATTATTATTTTTTTTTTTTTGAGATGGAGTCTTGCTCTGTTGCCCAGACTAGAGTGCAGTGGCGCAATCTTGGCTCACTACAACCTCTGCCTCCCGGGTTCAAGCAATTCTCCTGCCTCAGCCTCCCGAGTTGCTGGGATTACAGGTGTCCACCACTGCACCCAGCTAATTTTTGTATTTTTAGTAGAGATGGGGTTTCGCCATCTTGGCCAGGCTGGTCTCAAAACTCCTGACCTCATGATCCACCCGCCTCAGCCTCCCAAAGTGCTGGGATTACAAGCTTGAGCCACCATGCCCAGTCTTATCTTTCATTTTTGATAAGTCATCCTAACAGGTGTGAGATGTGATATTTCATAGTGGTTTTAACTGACATTTCCATGAATATTAGTGATGTGCACTTTAGCCATTTGTATGTCTTCTTTTGAAAAACATCTCTTCAGGTCCTTTGCCTTTTTTTTTTTTTTTTGAAATGAGGTCTCACTCTTGTCACCCAGGTTGCAGGGCAGTGGCACGATTTCAGTTCACTACAACTTCCACCTCTCAGGCTCATGCAATCTTCTCACCTCAGCCTCCTGAGTAGCTGAAACCACTGGCGTGCACCTAATTTCCTGCAGAGACAGGGTTTTGCCATGTTGCCCAGGCTGGTCTCAAACTCCTAAGCTCAAACGATTCACCCGCTTTGGCCTCCCAAAGTCCTGGGATTGTAGGCATGAGCCACCACGCCCAGCCCATTTTCTTTTGAGGCACGGTCTCTCTGTGGCCCAGGCTGGAATGCCACTGCAAGATCACAGCTCACTGTAACCTCAAACTCTTGAATTCATTTTTTAATTGGCTTATTTTCTTGTTATTTGAGTTCCTTATATATTTTGGAAGAATTAATACTGCTAAAATGACTATACTACCCAGAACACTTTATAGAGACAATGCAATCCCTATAACAATTCCAATGACGCTTTTCATAGAAATCAAAAATACAATCCTAAAATGGATAATGTATGTGGTACCACAGAAGAGTCCAAAAAGCCAAATCAATCTTAAGCAAAAAGAATAAAGCTGGAGGGATCATACTAGACAATTTCAAAATATACCACAAAGCTACAGTAAACAAAACAGTACAGTATTGGGATAAAAACAGACACATAACCAATGGAACAGAATAGAGAACTCAGAAATAAAATCCACAGATTTATATTAAATTGATTTTCAACCAAATGGCAAAACATACAATTTGGAAAGAATAGTTGCTTTGATAAATGGTGCTGGGTAAACAGAATATCTACATGCAGAAGAAACTAGGCAGTATCTCACACCATATACAAAAATCAACTTTAAATGCATTACTACAAAGTTAAATGTAGGCTGGGCGTGGTAGCTCATGCCTGTAATCCCAACACTTTGGGAGGTCAAAGCAGGAGGACTGCTTGAGCCCAGGAGTTTGAGACCACCCTGGGCAATACAAGGAAATCTTGTCACTACAAAAATCTTAAAAAAAAAATTTTTTTTTTAATTAGTCAGGCATGGTGTCACGTGCCTCTTGTCCCAGCTACTGGGACAAGCTGAAGCAGGAGCATCACCTGAGCCCAGGAGGTGGAGGCTGCAGTGAGCCAAGATCAAGCACTCCATCCTGTGAGACAGTGAGACACTGTCTCAATTAAAACAAACAAACAAACAACAAAAACAGGCTGAGGTACAACAATTGTTTCAATCTAGGAGGCAGACGCTGCAGTGAGCAAAGATCATGCCACTGCACTCCAGCCTGGGCCACAGAGCAAGATTCCATCTCGAAAAAAAGAAAACAAACTTATATGTAAGACCCAAAACTGTAAAACTACTGGAAACACAGGGAAAATCTCCATGACGTTGGTCTGCACGATGACCTTTTTTAGATATGACCCCGACAGCATAGGGAACGAAGGCAAAAATAGACCACTAAAATTATATATGAAACTTAAAAACTTCTGTACAGGAAGAGAACAATCAACAGAATGAAGAGCCAATGTATGAAATGGGAGAAAATATTTGCAAACCATACATCTGATCAGGGGTTAATAACCAAAATATATGAGTCCTCTGGCTAGATGAACATGGGATTATCTATTTACTTATTTAATTTCTCTCAACATTCTGCAGTTTTCAGAGTATATGTTTTGTACTACTTTTTGATGCTATTATATATGCTTTCCTCAATCTCAGTTTTGGATTCCTCTTTGCAAGTATATGGAAATAAAACAGATTTATGTACACTGATCTTCCATCCTTCAACTTTGTTGAACTGGCTTTTATCTTTAATGGTTTGTGAATCTCTTAGAATTTTCTACATATTAAATCATGTTATCCGTGTATATTTTACTTCTCCCTTTCCAATTTCGATGCTTTTATTATTTGAAAAAAAAAAATGGGCTTCATTTTCCTGACTAGATCCTCCAGTACAATGTTGAATAGAAATGCCAGGAGGGGTCCATCTTGTTCCTGAATTAGCAGGAAAACCTCCAATCCTCCACTATGATGTTAACCGTGGGTTTTTTTACAGATGCTTTTTAACAAGTTAAGGAAGTTCCAAACTTTCCCTATTGTTTAATGTTTTTATCATGAAGGGACACTGGATCTTATCAATGCTTTTCACTATCTCTTAAAAAGATCATGTAGCTTTGTTCTCTTTGATATGGCACTTAACATTAAAGATTCTTGCATGAGAAATTTATTTTGCATTCCTGAAATAAATCTCACTTGGTCATGGTGTATAATCCTTTTATGTTAATTTCAAATTACTAGTATTTGGTTGAGGATTTTCACATCTCTATACATTAAAAAAACATCGTTCTGCAGTTTTCTTTTCCTATAGTATTGGGGTCTGCTTTTGGTATCCAAATAATACTAGCCTTACAGAATTATTTCAGAAATGTTCTGTCCTCTTCTATTTCTTGAAAGAATTGAAGAACTGTACCTTTAAATGTTTGGTAGAATTTACTAATAAAACCATCTGATTTGGGGCTTTTCATTTTGTCCTAATTCCACTGCTTTGTTTATGTTTGTTCAGATTTTCCTCTTCTTCAGTCAGTTCTGGCAGTTTTGTGTCTTTTTAGGAATTTGTCTGTTTCATCTATTAAATGGAGTACCATACAATTGGAATTATTCTATAGTATTCCCTTATAATTTTTTTTTTTAACTACTGGAAGGTCAGAAGTAATGTCCCCTCATTCATTCCTGATTTTAGTAATTTGAGTCTTCTCTCCCTTTTTTGTGCTCAGTTTAGCTGAATGTTTAATTTTCTTGATCGTTTAAGAAAATGATTTATGGTTTCCTTTTCTATTTTTGTCTATTCTATTAATTTCCACACTAATTTTTTCCTACATTCTGCTGACTTCAGGCTCAGTTTGTTCTTCTAGTTCCAGTTTTTCTTAAAAGGTCTAGGTTACTGATTTGAGGTCTTTTTTAATATAGCATTTATCACTATAAATTTTCTAAGAATTGCTGTAATTGTACCCTCCAAAACCTTTGATATGTTTGTCTTCATTTTCATTCACCTCAAAGTATTTTCTAATTAACCTCATGATTTCTTTGACCCATTATTTAGGAGTGTTAATTTCAACATATTTGTAAATTTCTCAAGTTTCTTTTTAGTACTGATTTCTGATTTTATTCACTGGTCAGATAATGTTCTTTCCCATAATTTCAGTCCTTTTAAGTGTGTTGGTTTGCTTCATGGCCTAGTGTGACTATATTGATGGATGTTCTACATACACTCCAAAAGTCTATTCTGCTGTTGTTGGGTGGACTGTTCAAAGATATCTCTTAAGTCTAGTTGGTTTAGTGTTGCTCAAGTCGTCTCTTGTCTCACTGATTTCCTCAGTTTTCTATCCATTATGACAGTGTTGTATTGAATTCTCCAATTATTACTGAACTGTGCATTTCTTCCTTCAATTCTGTCAATAGTTGCTTCATACATTTTGCTGCTCTCTTAGTAGGTGCATATATGTTTATGATTTGTATGCCTGAGGCACCAACTCTTCTGTCATTATAGAATGTCCCTATGTATCTCCAGCAATACTGTTTCAGTATATTTTGTCTGAAATCAGTATAGGCACGATAGCTTTACTATGGTTGCTATTTGCATGTTGTATCTTCATCTATCCTTTTACTTTCAGCCTATTTGCATCTTTGAATCCAAAGTCTGTCTCCTGTAAACAGCCTATAGGCCAAGGCTGTTTTTCCCTTCAGTATGAAAATCTCTGCCATTTCATGGGATTGTTTAATCCTTTCACACCTGACATTACTTGGTTGTTTTTGTTTGTTTAGAGATAGGTCTCTCTATCATGCACAGTGCTGAGATCAGAGCTCACTGCAGCCTTGAACTCCTGGGCTCAAGTGATCTTCCCACATCAGCCTACCAAGCAGCTGGGACTACACGTATGTGCCATCACACTCAGCTAATTTTAAAATTTTTTTGTAGAGACAAGGTCTTACTATGGTGCCCAAGCTCATCTCAAACTCCTGGCCTCAAATGATCCTCGGCCTACCAAGGTGCTAGGATTCCAGACATGAGCCACTGTACCTGGCCTTCATATTACTATTGACATACAGATGCTGTGTGACTTGCAGTAGTATTACATCCCAAAAAACCTATCAGAAATTGAAAATATCCTAGGTCAAAGATGCAGTTAATACAGGTACAACTAACCTACCGAGCATCATAGCAAAACCTAAGCCTACCTTAAACATGTTCAGAACACTCATATTAGCCTACAATTGAGCAAAATAATTTAACCCAAAGTTGATTTTATACTGAAGTCTTGAATTTCTCATGGCTTTATATTCTACCGAATGCCTATCACTTTCTGTAGCATCATAAACTAAAAATCATGTCAAATCACAATTCAGGGTCCACCTGTAGCTTGATTTATGTCTGCCTTTCACTTTTTGGCTTATGTCTCATGCCTTTTGTTCTATTCCTTTACTGCCATAGGATTTTTCCAATGGTGTCTTTTTTTTTTTTTTTTTTTTTTTTTTTGAGACAGAGTCTCACTCTGTCACCCAGCCTGGAGTGCACTGGCATTGAGGCAATCTCAGCTCACTGCAACCTCCGCCTCCCAGGTTCAAGCAATTCTCCTGCCTCAGCCTCCCAAGTAGCTGGGATTACAGGTGCCCACCACCATGCCCAGCTAATGCTTGTATTTTTAGTAGAGAGGGGGTTTCACCATGTTGGCCAGGCTGGTCTCAAACTTCTGACCTCAAGTGATCCGTCCACCTTAGCCTCCCAAAGTGCTGGAATTACAGGTGTGAGCCATCGCACCTGGCCTAATGGTTTCATTTTTAAAACTTCATTTTTCTTTTCTTTTGGAGACATGGATTCACGTTGTTGCTCAGGCTAAAGTACAGTGGGCATGAACACAGCTTACTGCAGCCTCAACCTCCGGGACTCAAACAAGACTCTAACCTGACCCTTCAAGTAGCAGGGACATCAGGGGCGCCCATCACACCCAGCTAATTTTTTTTTTTTTTTAAAGACAGAGTCTCACTATGTTGCCCAGGCTGGTCTTCAACTCTTGGGCTCAAGAAATCCTCCTGCATTGGCCTCCCAAAGTGCTGACATTAGACAATTTATGGGCCTGTGCCTGGCCTATAAATGGCTAACATTATGTTTATAATTTTTATATCAATGTTAATGAGAGATGGGTCTATTTTATTGGGTGTTGATATCAAAGGTTTGCTGACCTCATACAAACTACAAAGTCTTTCTAGTCTCTGAACAATTTCTGTGTGAATGGTGTTATTTTTCCTTAAATATTAGAATAATTAACCACTAATGCCATTTGGGCCTGGGGTTAACTTAGTGGTAAAGGTTTTCCATTAAAATTGAGGTAGAACCAGCTGGGAGCAGTGGCTCACACCTGTAATCCTAGCACTCTGGGAGGCCAAGGCTCAAACAGCCCAGGAGTTCAAAACCATCTTGGAGATGTCATCTCCAGTTTAAAAAAAAAAAAAAAAGGCCAGGCGCAGTGGCTCATGACTATAATCCCGGCACTTTAGGAGGCCAAGGCATGTGGATCACCTGAGGTCAGTAGTTCAAGACCAGCCTGACCAACATGGCGAAACCCCATTTCTACTAAGTACAAAAATTAGCTGGGCATGGTGGCGGGTGCTACTTGGGAGGCTGAGGCAAGAGAATCACTTGAACCTGGGGGGTGGGGGTTGCAGTGAGCTGAGATCTTGCCCGTTCACTCCAGCCTGGGGAAAAGAGTGAAAATCCGTCAAAAAAAAAAAAAAAAAGATAATACAACCATTCATACTTTTTATATCTTTTGGTGTCAATTTTACCTATTTTTCCATTTCAACACAATTTAAAATTTGTCAACACAAAGTTCTTATAGTATTCTCTAATTGTATGTGTAATACCTGTAGTGCTGTCCCTCCTTTTCTTTTTTTTTTTTTAAACAGAATCTCACTCTGTCACCCAGGCTGAAAGGCAGTGGCACGATCTCAGCTCACTGCAACCTCCACCTCCCGGGTTTAAGCAATTCTCCTGCTTCAGCCCTCCAGCAGCTGGGACTACAGGCGTGCACCACCATGCCCAGCTAATTTTTGTATTTTAGTAGAGATAGTGTTTCACCATGTTGGCTAGGCTGGACTTGAACTCCTGACCTCAGGTAATCCACCTGACCTGGCCTCCTAAAGTGCTGGGATTACAGGCATGAGCCACTGCACCCGGCCTCATTCTTGATATTAGTGATGTGCTTTTCTCTTTTTCTTGATCATTTTTATTAAACATGTACCAAGATTGTCAAAGTCAACAAAAATACAAAAAAGACAAAAAGAGGCTGTCAAAGTACTTTAAGTTTGCTAGCTTCCTATTATACAGTGTTCCATTTCATAATTTCCTGCCATATTCCTTTTCTTTTTTTATTTGACACAGAGTTTCACTCTTGTTGCCCAGGCTGGAGTGCAATGCAAGATCTCCGCTCACCGCAACCTCTGCCTCCTGGGTTCAAGTGATTCTCCCATCTCAGCCTCCTGAGTAGCTGGGAGCCACAGCGCCTGGTCTTTTTAAAATTTTTATTGCCCAGGCTGGTCTTGAACTTCTGGGCTCCAGCAATCCACCCACCTCAGCCTCCCAAAGTACTGGGATTACAGGTGTGAGCCCCCACGCCCAGCACATTTTTTTTTTTTTTTGAGACAGGGTCTCTCTCTGTGGCCCAGGCTGGAATGCAATGGCGCGATCATAGCTCACTGTAACCTTGAACTCTTGGGCTCAGCAATTCTCCCATCTCATTCTCCAGAGTAGCTAGGACTACTGGCGCATGCTACTGCACCCAGCTAATTGTTTTTCATAGCGATGGGGTCTCATTATGCTGCCCAGGCTGGCTTCAAATTCCTAGGCTTAAGTAATCCTCCAGTCTTGGCCTCCTAAACCATTGGGATTACAAATGTGAGCTACAATGCCCTACCCTCCTTCTGCTTTCTTTGCGTTTGCTTTGCTGTTCTTGTTGCAGCTTCAGGTAAAAACTCAGATATTTTTTCAGTCTCTCTTTTTCCTTTTCATTTTTAGAGTCACACTTTGTCACCCAGCTGGAGTGCAGTGGCATGAACACAGCTCACTGCAACCTCAAAATCCTAGGCTCAAGTAATCCTACTGCCTCAGCCTCCCAAGGAGGTAGGACTACAAGTGTGTCCCTCCATGGCTGGCTAATTTTACAAAACATTGTTTTGTAGAGACAGGGTCCTGTGTAATGTTACCCAGGTGGGTCTCAAACTCCTGACCTCAAGTTATCCTCTACCTTGGCCTCACAAAGTGGTGGGATTACAGGCATGAGTCAGCATGCCCAGCCTATTACCTTTTTTTCTAATTTCTCACTTAAAGCTGTAAATTTTCCTCTAAGCCCTACTTTAGTTGAGCCCACAAGTTTTGAAAAACTCTACCTTATAATTTGATATTTATCCAATATTCTCTAAGATGCATTGTAATTTTTTAACCTGTAGATTATTCACAAGCATGTTACTTTCCAAGCAATAACATATTTCCTGTATCTTTGTGGTTAAAAGTTAGCTTAATCTTTTTTCCTGTTATAGTTCGAAGTTATGGGTGCATGCTGATTTAGTTGGGTTTTTTCCTGCTTCATTGGGTTTCTCCATTATAAAACATCTCTGTTCTCCAGTGATGTTCTCCAAGGTAGTATCTTAATACATAATAAACACTTTAATAAGAACAATTCTCATTAAATTAAAAAAAACTACTGAACTGAATTTTTACTGTTACTCTTTTTAAAAAGTAAAAATTTAGAAAAAACCCATTTAACTAATCTTGTTCAAAGTCAGGTACTTCAGCCAATATTTGAACGGAGGGTCTTAAGACTCGAAGAAGTCTATCACAAACACAAAACAGTTATTATGAAGCGACAGGGCCCTTTAAGAGTTATATAGTGGTTAACAAAATAACAAAACTCAGGCCAGGTGGCAGTTAATCTCATAATGACCATGAAGTAATGCCAAGTGTGGTTCATAGACCAGCAGCATCCGCATCACCTGAATGCTAATAGAATTCTGACATTACTTTTTTCAAGTTTTATCAATGTAATAGTATAAAATGCTCATTATGAAATAAAGCAGTTGCTTGCCAGCACTCCCGAATATCTAATGGCAATCACTTTAATTTTAACAACTTGTTTTTAAAATCTCAGTATTTTAAAATATTTTCATACTGTTTCTTGAGTTACAAATTTTAGCCATGTCGATTTCCTGTAATTGCAGATGAAGATTTAGCTCACATATGTATTTTTTTTGGAGGTGGGTTGGAAACATTTTAATTGGATGGTAGGGGATGGTAACACTGGACGGGGAGCACTCACAGTTCCAAGAGTTTCCCTCCAAATTATAAAGACGTTCTTGTAATTAGCTAGATTTCCTATAGCCAGGTCTTATGCCCAAGGGAAGGAGGGGAGGATGTGAAAAGCACTGTGGTCTGCCCTCCTGTCATTCGTAGATCCAGTTCTGTAGTTCACACGTCTCTTACAGCTCATCGTATTTTCAGTTAAATCAATATTTAAGTTGTTATAAATATTCTCTATATAGCCAGATAGACTACCATGACTACACTATCTTTCTTTCACAGTAGTTTGTCTTTTCCTGGAGATATCAACTGAACCTTCTTATAAACCTAACCTTCACTTTCCAAATTGACCAGAACTGTCATATTATCAACCTTCCCTCCTAGTCTATGCTCTTTCAAGATCAAGCTTAAAGATCACCTCCTCAAAAAAACAGCCCCGAGAGAACTACTACTTCTTTATCTAAATTTCCCACTATAATTTTTTTTTTTTTTTGAGACAGTCTTGCTCTGTCGCCCAGGATGGAATGCAGTGGTGCGATCTCGGCTCACTGCAAGCTCCGCCTCCCGGCTTCACGCCATTCTCCTGCCTCAGCTTCCCGAGAAGCTGGGACTACAGGCGCCGGCCACCACGCCCGGCTAATTTTTTTGTATTTTTTAGTGGAGACGGGGTTTCACCATGTTAACCAAGATGGTCTCAATCTCCTGACCTCGTGATCCACCTGCCTCAGCCTCCCAAAGTGCTGGGATTACAGGTGTGAGCCACCGCGCCCGGCCTACAAATATTTTTTATATCTTCAGTGACATGCCTTTCTTACAGTAGTTTTAATGCTGTTTAATGAATATTCACTTAAAAAACAAACCTCTGGAAAGCCACCCAGAGTTATTCTCTCCTTAATAACAAGTACTGAAAAGCCTCCCAAAGTCACTGTCTCCTTAGTAAAGAGTACTAAAAAGGCCTTGGCAACTTTTGCCATGGCTATCTGATAAGCTATTTCACATCAGCATACTGTACACACTAGAGCCTCAGAGGTATACTAATGAAACTTATGACCACATTTAGTAGACACATATAATGCCTCTAAATAATTCATGGCTAACTTCAGTAACACCTCTCTAAACATTTCATGGCTTAATCAGAAGTTCAAAAAAATCCAATATATTATCTCCCTTTCCTCCAAAAAGTCATGGTTATTTCTCTCTAGACACTGGCTGACTCCAATCTGTCCCATCGTTGGTAAAAATGAAGATGAAAAACTATCCTAGTCTACTGTAAAGCAGAATAATTATCTAAATGATATAAAAATATGAGATAGGCCGGGCGCTAAGACTAGCGCCTGTCATCCTAGCACTTTGGGAGGCAGAGGCGGGCTGATCACCTGAGGTCAGGAATTCGAGACCAGCCTGGCCAACACGGTGAAACCCCATCTCTACTAAAAATACAAAAACTAGTCGGGCGCCTATAATCCCAGCTACTTGCAAGGCTGAGGCAGGAGAATCACTTGAACCCGGAGGGAGGAGGTTGCAGTGAGCCGAGATCGCGCCACTTCACTCCAGCCTGAGCCAAAGAGCGAATCTCTGCCTCACAAAGAAAAATAAATAAGTAAAATAAAATAAAATAAACGAGATAGATAAGTCACCGCAGTGTGTGTGTGTCCGGGTGGCGGGGGGAGGGGGGGGGAGTAAAATAGACTGACATAGAATGAGAGAATAAGATTTTTTGGTATTTTGTATCATCTCGCTCAACAATGAGAACTAATACTCTTGCGCATTTAAAGTTGTATTTTATTTTTAACTATCCAATATATTAAACTTTGATTACATCAAATGAAATAGATTGTGCACACTCACTATAAGAGAGCTATGATATATGCAGAAGCAAAGGTGCAGGGATCATGCAATAGTTTCGTACCAGATTTCAAGATACCAAGTAGCAAGGAAACACAATGGAATTGAAGGCTGAGGTGAAGTACAGGCATAAGGCAAGGAAAGCAGAACATTCAAGATGTACCTATATACACCAGTTCTTAAAACACGCAAATCATTTCCAATAAGGCACTGGCTCATGTATTTCTGTTGAGGCAGAAGTCAATCTTAGGATGTGGTCTGTACATATCTGCAGATAAGACTGAGAGTGAAGTAAATTTGATTAAGATCGGAGTCAACACTTCTACAAACGTATTGCAGAATAAACGAGCTAAGAAGAAAGGCATACTTCACAAAAGCTGAATTCAGTGTTATTAGTCCTTCATTCAGATGCTTCATTTTTGCATTTTCAATTGCTTTCCTGTGATATAACTTATCTTTATCTTGGTCTTCCCCATTTGTTTTGCAAATAGTTATGTCGCAGGTCATTTACTGGCTACAATAAATATGACAAAATCATAATAAAAACAGTATTAAGTCGCAATCTAGAATAACAATTTAAGTGAATATGACATAATTTTTCTAATGTGGACTATTCAGTACAACTGTCCTCTTCTTCCATACATATTAACCATATGCAAGTCTTCAGAACAGAAAAAGCCATTGTGTCGTAAAGGAAGGAACACGTGGTTAGAAACTTCATTTTCAACACAGAAACACGGAAAGGTAGAAAGTCCGTTTCCTTAAGTGCGGTAAGGTTTTAACAAAAATAAGGCAAAAAAAATTATTGCGTCCTCTCTTTCTCAAACTTGCTTGCCAAACTTGGAGAAAACTGGTTAGAGAAGGGCGATAAGATGGAATTTTCTTAAAAACATATTCATAAAAACGAACTTCTACCTTAAGGAAATCGTCTTCCTTAAATCCTACCATCCTTACACCGGCAAGCTCAGAGGTACGGGATTTCAGCATTTTACTCAGAATTTTGTATTTTTCCTGATGCTCTGGTCCCTACTTTTTAACAAACTTCAAGGCCGCCAGGCGAGATCCAGTTGCCTTCTGGCACCTGACTTCATTAGATGATTAAAACAACTCAAGAAAATTTGGCAATGGGACACTAAAATTGGTGGAGGTGGAGATTTATCCGTTAATTTCTGAAAGCATTCCGGACAAGAGCGAGCTTTTACTTACCCCTCAGGACAAAAAACACGCACCACTTCCCTCCGCAGTCCCTAACCCCAGTGCCGCCCGGACCTGAGGCCGCACACCACTCCCGCTTCACCAGTATCCCTCTGCGAAAACGGTGGAGACGCGCCCGTCCGCCCCTCAGGGGCCTCTTCCCGGACCTGTCAGACGGCCCCGCGGACGCTTTTCAGTCAGGGCAGCTTCGCCGCAAACGTCCGGTAGGCCCGGCGCTCCGAGGCCTCCGGGGCCGGCCCTCAGAGAGGCGACCGACGCTCCTAGAGCCGCCACCCCGCCAATCGCCGCTCTCGCAGGACACTCGCCCGGCCCCAACGTACCTAGAGCGACGACGCACCAGCCGCAGCAATACCCACAGCCACTTCGAACCGCAGCCGTTAACAATGCTGGTCCGGCCAGGACCTGCTGAAGTAGGTCTCCCTACGCCCACCCCCAGCTGATTATGGACCAATGGCAGCGCGAATATGCGGCAGCCCAGCCAGTCAGGCACAGCCAGCTAGAGTGGGCGGGGCGAAGGGTCGCGAGGGGAAATGGAAGTAGGCTGAGGGGCGCCTGGGGTTCGCCTCCGTGGGCGCTTCTTCCGGTCAGCCACCGGGGCTTACCCGCCATAGCGCAGATGCAGGCTCCTGAGCTGGGCCTTTCTTTTGAGTGACTCGTGTGAAGATTTAGACTTTCGAAACTTATTAGGAATAAGACCTTATTTACAAAAACAACTCCTCACCCGGTCGGTAGTTTCCGATTTGAATTTTCTAATATTGTTTGAAAATATTTATCTTATTTACTTTTTTGGACGACTCCTTAAATTTTGTGACTCAGGAGATTGGTCCTAGCACCGTAGTCTTTTTTTTTTTTTTTTTTTTTTGAGACGGAGTTTCGCTCTTGTCGCCCAGGCTGGAGTTCAGTGGCGTGATCTCAGCTCACTGTACCCCCATTTCCCACCTCCCAGGTTCAAGCGATTCTCCTGCCTTAGCCTCCCGAGTAGCTGGGACCACAGGTGTGCACCACCATGCCCGGCTAATTTTTGTACTTTTAATAGACATGGGGTTTCACTATGTTGGCCAGGCTGGTCTTGAACTCCTGGACCTCAGGTGATCCGCCACCTCTGCCTCCCCATATGTTGGGATTACAGGCATGAGCCACTGCACCCACCCGCACCATAGCCTTGAGTTTGCTAAATTGTCCCAGGAACCTGCCAGCCTTGGCTGCTTGTGATTTCATGAGGCCCGATGCCTTAGGTGGCTGTGCACTTGGATGCCATGAACTCACTCAACAGGTGGTCACTGAATGCCCACTGTGTAGAAAATACAGGAAATACAACAGTAGATTAGATCCATAATGCCCTCTTTTTCATTAATTAATTTATTTATTTATTTGACAGAGTTTTGCTCTTGTTGCCTAGGCTGGAGTGCAATGGCGCGATCTCGGCTCACCACAACCTCCGCCTCCCGGGTTCAAGCGCTTCTCCTACCTCTGCCCCCAACAAGTAGCTGGGATTATAGGCATGCGCCACAGTGCCTGGCTAAGTTTTTTTTTTATTTTTAGTAGAGACGGGGTTTCTCAATGTTGATCAGGCTGGTCATGAACTCCCGACCTCAGGTAATCCACCTGCTTCGGCCTCCCAAAGTGCTGGGATTACAGGCGTGAGCCACCACGCTTGTCATGAGGCTAGAGCTGCCTGCCTTGTCACTTCCAGTTAGGAGAAAAATGAGGCAAGTCCGGACAATCTAGGTTGGGTCATCAATGGAATAACATACTCCAACCAGCCAGTTCCCCAAATATGCTCCAGGGATCTAGGGGTAATCTTTAATGTCAATCCTATTTTTATAATTATACTATTTTTATAATAATATAAAGATGATTTTGCTTTTTTCATTCTCTGAGTCAGGAGAGTACATGGAATTTTCTAGAAGCCTCTGGAAAATCGACGGGTGATATTGCTACAGATTGAATACAGAAGCAGACATGAGAATCTAACTACCAACCTGGGCAACAAAGTGAGATACCCACTTTTCTAGAAAAGTAAAAATAAAAAGTTAGCTGCATCCTTCCACCTACACGGGAGGCTGAGAGGACGGGAGGATCGCTTAAGCTTAGGAGTTAGGGACTGCAGTGAGCTGTGATAGTGTCACTGCACTCCACCCTGGGTGATAGAGCAAGAGACTGTCTTAGAAAAGAGAGAGAGAGAGGCCAAGCGCAGTGGCTCACATCTGTAATCCCAGCACTTTGGGAGGCTGAGGCAGCCGGATCATGAGGTCAATAGTTCGAGACCAGCCTGGCCAACATAGTGAAACCCCATCTCTACTAAAAATACAAAAATTAGCCGGGCATGGTGGCGCGTGCCTGTAATCCCAGCTACTCGGGAGGCTGAAGCAGGAGAATCGACTGAACCCGAGAGGTGGAGTTTGTGGTAAGCCAAGATCGCACTACTGCACCCCAGCATGGGCAACAGAGTGAGACTCCGTCTCAAAAACCAAAAAAAAAAAAAAAAGAGAGAGAGAGTCTTACTGTATTAAGTCAGACGTTAAGGAAATTAGCAAAAATGTAAAACAATCCTAATCTTTGCACATTTTTTGTTGTTCTAGAACATGATTTTGAAAATAATTATAGGGTTGCTAAGAGAGATAGTGTGGGAGGGAGTGGGAGGTAGTAAGTTGCAGTCAGATAAGGAATTTGGACTTAATTCAGTTAACAGTGAGTAACTAGCCTTTAGAAATGTTATGTCTATTTAAGGTACTAGGATATCTTGTATGTCATTTTAACAATAGTAATATAATAGGCCAGGTGGACACCTGTAATCCTAGCATTTTAGGATGCCAAGACCGACAGATAGCTTGAGCCCAGGAGTTTGAGACCAGCCTGGGCAATATAGCGAGACCCCATCTCTATAAAAAAATTATAATAATTGATATTTACTGGACATTATGTTAATAAAGTTTATTGTTGGCTGGGTGCGGTGGCTCATGCCTGTAATCCCAGCACTTTGGGAGGCCAAGGTGGGCAGATCACTTGAGATCAAGACCATCCTGGCCAACATGGTGAAACCCTGTCTCTACTAAAAATACAAAAATTAGCTGGGCATGATGGTGCGCACCTGTAGTCCCAGCTACTTGGGAGACTGAGGTAGGAGAATTGCTTGAACCTGAAAGAAGGAGGTTGCAATGAGTCAAGATCACGCCACTGCACTCCAGCCTGGTGACAGAGCGAGACTCCATCTCAATAAATAAATAAATAAATTCATTCACATAATGTGCTATATGAAGTACTATGAAGTCTCTCAATTTGCTGTTTGACTTTTTAAAATAATGCTTAACATAATAACAGATACAGTTGCTTGTACATTTCCTGACTTATAGTAGACACTTGATGTATAGTAACTATTATTATTAAAATTAATAAAGCTGAGAATATCAATTATCTTGAGTAAATTCTTTACATTTTTGTGTTGGAATGCTTTCTTGTTTGATAGTTTTCTTCCATTGAGGATTGTGGCGGGCAGAATTTGTACTCCCATGATCTTTGTCTCCTAGTGTGCGTCTTATGGTTATAAGTCACCTTACATGGCAAAAGGGACTTTGCAAATATGATTAAGGTTGTAATCAGCTGACCTTAAGATGGAGAACTTAACCGGGATTTCCCTGGTGAGTACAGTGTAATCACGTGAATCCCTAAAGGCAAAAGACAAGTCACACAGATGCAGCAGAAAGGAAAGTCATAGATTTTCAAAGCACAGGCAGAACTCAGCCCATGGTTCCTGGCTTGAAGATGAGGGGGACCACATGTAAACCTTGAGAATGAAAGTAGTACTGCCAACGACCTGAATGAACCCAGAAGCAGATTCTTCTGCAGAGCCTTAGCTGGCTGACAGCCTATTGAGACCCTAAGCAGAGTTCCCAGCTGAGTCCACTGTGCTTCTGACTTCTATATAGAACTGTGAGATAAGTGGGTAGTGTTTTAAGCCATTATGTTTGTGGTAACTTTTTATGGCAACAATAGAAAACAAATGCAAGCATTCATTCCACACACTTCTCAGCACTCCCTAAGGCAAGGCGGAAACCCTATGAACTACATTTCCCAGGAGCCCTTGCCTCCTGTATTCTGGATTCAGTTGTGTTTTACCCAGTGTAATGCACTTCCTGAAATTTGAAAAGTGGCAGAGATACATGTTATTGTGGGTTTTTTCCTTAGGCTTTGGCTCTCTTTCGCACCAGTCCCTGTCTCAGTTATTTAAAGGCAGCTGTGACAACAGTGGTTTTCTGAACTTTTCTGCCCTTTGGGCAGCAGAAGCAGCACCCTTCTTATTCTCTGGACCACAGAGGCAGCAGCACAAATGAAAACCAATGTGAGGCTGGGCGTGGTGGCTCACGCTTGTAATTCCAGCACTTTGGGAGGCCGAGGCAGGCGGATCACCTGAGGTCAGGAGTTCAAGGCCAGCCTGACCAACATGATGAAACCCTGTCTCTACTAAAAATACAAAAATTAGCTAAGCGTGGTGGCGGGCACCTGTAATCCCAGCTACTAAGGAGGCTGAGGTAGGATAATTGCTTGAACCCAGAAGCAGAGGTTGCGGTGAGCCGAGATCGCACCATTGCACTCCAGCCTAGGTGACAAGAGTGAAACTCTGTCTAAAAAAAAAAAAAAAGAAAGAAAACCAATGTGACAGTAGCTCCTCCAGCCCTTACAAACTTATGAGCATCTAATTCTCTGTACTAAATACCATTATGTTTGAAATATCTGGAGTGGTTTCATTTTTCCATGACTGAACCCTAATTAATAGACTTCTCCATGCCTGAGTTTCCTGACATATAGAATGAAATTACTAACAATATGTAACACATAGTAAAAATGTAACCATTTAGAATTATTACATGAATTAAATTACATTGACCCAATTCATGTAAAGTGCTCAATAGAGTACTTAACCAATAGTAAGTGTTCAATAAACGTGTGTTAGTATTTTATTTCCTAAGGGGCTATTAGTGTGATACCATATTGGCACTACAAAATGCCAGTTTATTCTACCTTTTCTCTAACCTATCATGAACATTCCTAGCTTGAAAACAAACATACACCAGCCTTAGCAACATAGAGAGACCCTGTCTCTACAGTTTTTTTGTTTTTTTTGTTTTGTTTTGTTTTTTGGTTAGCCAGGTGTTGTGGTGTGTGTCTATATTTCTAGCTACTCAGGAGGCTGAAGTGGGAGGATTACTTCAGCC
Source organism: Homo sapiens (assembly GCF_000001405.40). Classification (NCBI taxonomy): domain Eukaryota; kingdom Metazoa; phylum Chordata; class Mammalia; order Primates; family Hominidae; genus Homo; species Homo sapiens. The sequence goes on along the minus strand of NC_000016.10, from coordinate 10,381,229 downwards.
CAGGAGTTCCAGGCTGCACTCCAGCCTGGGTGACAGAGCAAGACCAAAAAAAAAGAAGATGAAAGTAAAAGAAAAGGGGCCAGGTGCGGTGGCTCACGCCTGTAATCCCAGTGCTTTAGGAGGCCAAGGCAGGCGGATCACGAGGTCAGGAGTTCGAGACCAGCCTGGCCAACATGGTGAAACCTTGTCTCCACTAAAAATACAAAAAATTATCTGGTTGAGGTGGCAGGCACCTGTAATCCCAGATGCTTGGGAGGCTGAGGCCCGAGAATTACTTGAACCTGGGAGGCAGAGGATGAAGTGAGCTGAGACCGTGCCACTGCACTCCAGCCTGGGCAACAAAGCGAGCCTCTGTCTCAAAAAAAGAGAAAAAGAAAAAGAAAAGAAAAGAAAACACACATGCATTGTGAGGACTAAACTCTGATTTTTAAAAATGTTGGCCAAATTCCTATTTAAGGGACCTGGGGAGTCACGCCCTACAAACCATAAATTCTCATCAGTTGGGTATAAAACCCATGTATCATGACTTACTTTCCAACCTGACAAGAAAGTCAAAATATTTTACCCCAAAATATGTTTCTTTGACGTATTTTGAAATGATCCTGCAAAGCTGTCCTTTGTGGAGCAAAATGTGCATCTGTAAAGAATCTCTATTAACACAGCTAGATATTTTTCTTCCAGGCCCTCCCAATCCTGAAGAGATTAAGTAAAAGTCTAGCACCCTTTAAAGGTATGAATAGGAAACATGTGTCATCTGTTGTCTCTAAGGGCAGCCACTATAAGACTTCAAAAGAACCTTGGTCTCCACAGTCTTTTATCTTCATCTGAACACTTCTTGATCCCAGGTCTTTTTTTTTTTTTTTGGTGGAGTTTCACTCTTGTTGCACAGCCCAGGGTGGAGTGCAGTGGCACGATCTCGGCTCACTGCAACCTCCACCTCCTGGGTTCAAGTGATTCTCCTGCCTCAGCCTCCAGAGTAGCTGAGATTACAGGTGTGCACCACCATGCCCGGCTAATTTTTTTGTATTTTTAGTAGAGACGGGGTTTCACCATGTTGGCCAGGCTGGTCTCGAACTCCTGACCACAGATGAACCACCTGCCTCAGCCTCCAAAAGTGCTGGAATTACAGGCGTGAGCCACTGCACCCAGCCTGATCCCAGGTCTTTAGACAAACTCAACCAATCATCAATCAGAATGTTTAAATTTTCCTATAGCCTGGAAGCCCCCATCACCCCTGCCTTTCCGGACCAAACCAATGTTTTTCTTCAACGTGTTTGATTGATGTCTTATACCTCCCTAAAATGTATAAAACCAAGTTGCACCCCTACCACTTTGGGCACATGTTCTCAGGACCTCCTGAGGGCTGTGTCATGGGCCATGGTCGCTCATATTTGGATCAGAATAAATCTCTTCACATATTTTACAGATGGTGACTCTTTTCATAGACAATTGCCACCTCTTTATCTATTGGAGGGCTTTAGCAGCCACAAAATAACATAAGAAGTCAGAATTATATGTAGTTTTCAGACTGTCAAGTATAAAAAAAAAACTCTGAGGTTAGACTATTATGTATTGGTCTTTATTGGATTTTTTATTTTATTTTATTTTATTTTTGAGAAGGAGTTTTGCTCTTGTTGCCCAGGCTGGAATGCAATGGCGCGATCTCGGTTCACCTCGACCTCCGCCTCCCAGGTTCAAGCGAGTCTCCTGCCTCAGCCTCCTGAGTAGCTGGGACTACAGGCGAGTGCCACTATGCCTTGCTAATCTTTTGTATTTTTAGTAGAGACGGGGTTTCACCGTGTTAGCCAGGATGATCTCCATCTTCTCACCTCGTGATCCACCTGCCTTGGCCTCCCAAAGTGATGGATTATAGGCATGAGCCACCATGCCTGGCCAGATTGATTCTCTTTCAAAAGCCATATGAGGCCAGGCACGGTGGCTCACGCCTGTAATCCCAGCACTTTGGAAGGCCAAGGCAGGCAGATCACCTGAGGTCAGGAGCTCGAGATCAGCCTGGCCAAGATGGTGAAACCCTGTCTATACTAAAAATACACAAATTAGCTGGGTATGGTGGTGGGAGCCTGTAATCCCAGCTACTTGGGAGGCTGAGGCATGAGAATCGCTTGAACCCAGAAGACAGAGGTTGCAGTGAGCCGAGATCGCGCCAGTGCACTCCAGCCTGTGCAGCAGAGCGAGACTCCATCTCAAAAAAAAAAAAAAAAAAAAAAAGTCTGGAAATACAGCCATCACAGTAGGCAAAAACACTTTTATGGTGACTATGGAATAGTAACCCTTGTCTACCTTACAATTCTCATTTCTAGGCTCTTGATCTACAGCCTCTCTAGAAGACACTGTATTATTTCAAGACTTCAGGAATTTGCATTTGCTGCTTCAACTATTTGGAAAATCCTTTTCCCCCTTCCTCAAATGGCTAATGTCTACTCATTCTTCACCTTTGGTGACAAGGTTGAGTAATTGCAACAGAGACTATAAGTTCCACAAAGCCTTTTTTTTTTTTTTTTTTTTTTTTTTTTTTTTTGAGATAGAGACTCGCTGTGTCCCCAGGCTGGCATGCAGTGGTGCCATCTTGGGTCACCGCAATCTCTGCCTCCCAGGTTCAAGCGATTCCCTGCCTCAGCCTCCTGAGTAGCTGGGATTGCAGGCACCCACCACCACCACACCTGGCTAATTTTTGTATTTTCAGTAGAGACGGGGTTTCACCATCTTGGCCAGGCTGGTCTTGAACTCCTGACCTGGTGATCCACCTGCCTTGGCCTCTCAAAGTGCTGGGATTACAGGCATCAGCCACTGTGCCCAGCCCACAAAGTCTTTTAAAGAAAAGTGGGACAACCACTTCGAGAGATCATAGTAGGCCAATCCTTCCATTGACAACTACGTCTACTCATTCTTCAAATCACTTCACCTTTACCTGCAGCATAATGCTTATTATATTGTTTTTTCTCTTTCCTCATTTGTCTCTTCTTACTATTTATGAGCATTTTGAGGGTAGTGGCTCATCTTTCAGGTAATATGTAAAATAATATGGGTAAAGCACTTTAAAAAGTACCTGCCCCATAGTAAGTGCTTAGTAAAAGTTTACAACAACTATTACAAGTATAATCATCACCATCCTCTCATTATCATTTTATCTCCTTGTTTCCATTATATGACTATATAATAGATGCTCAATGAAAGAAGCTCATAAAATGAAAGAGAATAAATTCTTTCAGAAGTAGTTTTTCAACATATCTTTATAATATTTTGACAAGCATACATCGAAATAGAACAATTGAAATTTATTTAAGGCAAAATTATAGATAGCAACATAATTGCTGATTACGAATGCAATATTATATTATAGGATAGAAATACTGTTATCGTGAATGTATTTCTTAAAGTATGATTACTGTGATGGTTAAATTTTATGTGGTAACTTAGCAAGACTATGATACCCAGTTGTTTGAAACATAAGTCTAGATATCATTGTGAAAATATTCTGTAGATGTGATTGACATCTATAATCAATTGACTTTAAGTAAATTACCTTAAATAATGTGTGTGAGCCTAATCCAATTAGTCCAAGATGTTAAGAGAAAAAACGGGCTTCCCAGAGAAGGAATTATGCCACAAAACTAACATAGAAATCCTGCCTCAGACCAGGCACAATGGCTCATGCCTATAATCTCAATACTTTGGGAGGAGGAGATAGGAGGATGGCTTGAGTCCAGGCGTTTGAGACCAGCCTGGGCTGAACTGAGACCCCATCTCTACAAAAATAAAAATAAAAAAATTATCTGGACTTGGTGGCTTACACCTGTAGTCCCAGCTACTTGGAAAGCTGAGGTGGGAGGATCTCTTGAGCCCAGGAAGTTGAAGCTGTAGTGAGCCATTGTAGCACCGCTGTACTCCAGCCTGGGCAACAAAGCAAGACAAAGAAATCCTGTCTGAGTTTCTAGCTTGCAATCCTGCCCAACAAATTTCCGACTCAAGACTACAGCAATAGGCCAGGCACGGTGGCCCACACCTATAATTCCAGCGTTTTGGGAGGCTGAGGTAGGCGGATCATTTGAGATCAGGAGTTAGAGATCAGTTGGCCAACATGGTGAAACCCCGTCTCTACTAAAAACATGAAAATGAGCCGGGCATGGTGGCGCACGCTTGTAATCCCAGCTACTCAGAAAGCTGGGGCAGGAGGATCGCTTGAACCAAGGAAGCAGGGGTTGCAGTGAGCCAAGAACATGCCACTGCACTCTAGCCTGGGAGACAGAACGAGACTCCATCTTAAAAAAAGAAAAACAAAAAACAACTCAAACAACTCTCAGGGCAGAAACATGGCTATTTGGAAGACATTCCTTATAAACACTGAAAGACAAATGAACAACCTGCTGCCACATGAGGCAAAATATTACATTTAAGCAAAAAAAAAAAAAAAAAGATACACTAAATGCCTTGGAAGAAAAGCTCATGATTGGGATTCACCGAATAATTAGGGCAGTAAACACCAACAATGAATCCTGGGGAATATTGAAAGCCATGGCCTTGCCCGCAGCATGATTAATATTCATAAAAGACCTGAGAAGATCCTACCCTATGATTTTAACTCTGGCTGATTGTTAGAGAAAAAAGGAACTGAATGCTAAAGCAGAGACAAAGAGCTCCAAGAAAGGTAAATGCAAAGGGCTCCACACTAACATGTTATATCATCAAACTGTCAAATACCAAAGATACAGAGAGAATCTTGAAAGCAGCAAGAGAGAGGCACTCTGTCAGGTAAAGGGGATCCTCCAAAAGATCAACAGCCAATTTCTCAGCAGAAACCAAGGAGGTCAGAAGACAGTGGGATGACAAATTTGAAGTGCTGAAAGAAAAAACAAAACAAAAACAAAGGAAAAAAAATAAACAACCACACTGTCAACCAGGAATTCGATACCTGGCAAAACTAGCCTTCAAAAATGAAGAAGAAAATAGGACATTGCCAGATAAACAAAAGCTGAAGAAATACGTAACTAGCAAACCTGCCCTACAAAAAATGCTAAAAAGACTCCTTTGGGCTGGGTGCAGTGGCTCACACCTATAATCCCAGCACTTTGGGAGGCCGAGGTGGGTGGATCACGAGGTCAGGAGTTCAAGACCAGCCTGGCCAATATGGTGAAACCCTGTCTCTACTAAAAATACAAAAATTATCCAGGCATGGTAGCAGACGCCTGTAGTCCTAGCTACTCGGAAGGCTGAGGTAGGAGAATCGCTTGAACCCGGGAGGTGGAGGTTGCAGTGAGCCAATATCATGCCACCGTACTCCAGCCTGGGCAACAGAGCAAGACTCCATCTCAAAAAAAAAAAAAAAAAAAAAAAAGACTCCTTCAAGAAATCCTGAAAGAAAATAAAAGGACACTGAACAGTAACACAAAGCTACATGAAGAAATAGAAAACACTGGTAAAAATAACTACCAAGAAAGATGCAAACACCAGCATTATTTTATTTTTGGTTGATTGCCCCTTATTTTATTTCTGTGTGATTTTAAACATACAAAAATAAGTCTATGTTAATAGACACACAATGTATAAAGATAAAATTTGTGATAAGGCTGAGTGCGGTGGCTCATGCCTATAATCCGAGCATTTTGGGAGGACAAGACAGGCAGCTCACCGGAGGTCAGGACTTTGAGACCAGCCTGGCCAACATGGCAAAACCCTGTCTCTACTAAAACTACAAAAATTAGCTGGGCGTGGTGGCAGGCTCCTGTAATCTCAGCTACTTGGGAGGCTAAGGCAGGAGAATCACTTGAACCTAGGAGGCAGAAATTGCAGTGAGCCAAGATCATGCCACTGCACTCCAGCCTGGGTAAAAGAGCAAGACCATGTCTCAAAAAACAAACAAACAAAAAATTGTGACAGCAATAACATATGGGGAGGTAAGGAACTGTATAAGAGCAGGAATTCTGTATGTTATTGAATTTAGGTGATAATAATACGGTACCTTAAGAATCTAGTTGTAATCTTCAGGTAACCACTAAGAAAATAAATTTTTAAAAATTAACATGCTGGGCATGGTGGCTCACACCTGTAATCCCAGCACTTTGGGAGGCCGAGGCAGGTGGATCACATGAGGTCAGGAGTTCGAGACCAGCCTGGCCAAGATGGTGAAACCCCATCTCTCTAAAAATACAAAAATTAGCTAGGTATGGCGGTGGGTGCCTGTAATCCCAGCTACTTGGGAGGCTGAAGCAGGAGAATCGCTTGAACCCAGGAGGCGGAGGTTGCAGTGAGCCAAGATCATGCCATTGCACTCCAGCCTGTGTGACCGAGCGAGACTCCATCGCAAAAAAAAAAAAAAAAAAAAAAAAAAAAAGAAATTCACACAAAAGGAAATGAGAAATAAATAAAAATGCTATGCTACAAAAAATCACTTAAACACAAAAGAAAAAGGTAATGGAAGAATTGAGGAACAACATCAAAAAAAGACATGGAGAGGCCAGGCGTGGTGGCTCATACCTGTAATCCCAGCAGTTTGGGAGTCCAAGGCAGGCAGATCAGTTGAAGTCAGGAGTTTGAGGCCACCATGGCCAACATAGTGAAACACTGTTTCTACTAAAAATACAAAAATTAGCTGGGCATGTTGGTGGATGCCTGTAATCCCAGCTACTCAGGAGGCCGAGACTAGAGAATCACTTGAACCTGGGAGGTGGAGGTTGAAGTGAACCCAGATTGCACCACTGCACTCCAGTCTGGGCACCAGAGTGAGACTTCATCTCCAATTAAAACAAAAAAAGACAGAAAAACCAAATAGAAAAGTGACAAGTAAGTCCTTCCATATCAGCAATTACTTTAAATGTGAATAGAATAAAGTCTCCAATTAAAAGCAGAGTTGGATTGACAGAATGGATTTAAAAAATAAACACAATCCTACTATGTATCTTCCATAAGAGATTTACTTTAAATGCAAAGATATAAGTAGGTTGAAAGTGAAAAGATAAAAATAGATATTCTATGTAAATAGTAACAAAAAGACAGAGTGGCTATCTTAATATCAGACAAAGTAGATTTTGCACGAGTCAAAGATAGGCATTATATACTGATAAAAGGGTCAACCCATAAAGAAAATATAGCAATTATAAACATATATGCACCTAACAACTGAGTTCAAAAATGTATGATGCAAAACCTGACAGAAATGAAGGAAAAACTAGACAATTCTAAAATTATCATGGAGACTTCAATACCCCACTTTCAATAATGCATAGAACCACTAGGCATAAGACCAAATAGAAGGTAGAAAACTTGAACAATAGTATACACTAACCAGACCTAAGAGATAAATGGAGAACATTCTACCTGAAAACAGGAAAACATACAATTCTCCCATATACATGGAATATTGTCTGTAATATACCATATGGTAGGCATGGTAGACCACACCTGTAATCCTAGCACTTTGGGAGGCTAAAGCAGGAGGATCACTTGAGGAACAGGAGTTTGAGACCAGCCTGGGCAGTATAGTGAGACCCTACCTCCACAAAACTAGCAAAAAAAAAAAAAAAAGGCTGGGCATGCTGATATGTGCCTGTAGTCCCAGATACTGGAAAGGCGGAAGTGGTAGGATCACTTGAGCCCAGGAGGTCAAGGCTGCAGTGAGCCATCATTTCACTAGTGCACTCCAGCCTGAGCAACAGAGCAAGACCCTGTCTCAAAACAAAGAAACAAAGCCTGATTTTTTGCAAATGGCAAAATTGTGTATATTAAAATCCCCCCAAAAATCCACTGACACATTATTAATAAATGAATTTAATAAGATTGCCAGATACAAAGCCAATATACAAAAATCAATTGTGTTTGTATATATCACAATTAATAAATGAAAACTTTAAAGTAGTACTATTTCCAATAGCATGAAAATATATCATACATAAGTGTAACTCTAAGGAAAAAATGTGCAATACTTCCATACGGAAAATGACAAAGCATTATTAAGAGATATTAAAGAAGATAGTAGATAACATGCTATATCCATAAATAAGTGATATTGCAATCCTATAGGGAAACTTTTTTTTTTAATACTAAGTGGTGCTGGGTCAAGTGGCCATTCATTTGAAAAAAAAAACATATTTTGCCCTCTGTCTCATGTTACACACACACGCACACACACACACACACACACTCAATTCCTGATAATTCCAGTTTGCTTCAACTGTTAAAGGTAAGATAATAAATTTTTCATAGGAAAATGTTAAGAGCATTTTTATAACCAAATTAGGCAAACATTTCTTAAAGAGGACACAAAAAGCACTCACTGGGAAAATGGATAATTTGGACAACCTTAAAAATAAGCACAGGCAGGCCAGGCATGGTGGCTCATGCCTATAATCCCAGCACTTTGGGAGGCAGAGGCCAGCGGATCACGAGGTTAGGAGTTCAAGACCAACCTGGCCAACATGATGAAACCCCATCTTTACTAAAAATACAAAAATTAGCTGGGCATGGGGGCGTGTGCCTGTAATCCCAGCTACTCCAGAGGCTGAGGCAGGAGAATCACTTGAACCTGGGAGGCAGAGGTTGCAGTGAGCTGAAATCATGCCACTGTACTCCAGCCTGGGCAACAGAGTGAGGCTCCTGAAAGAAAGAAAGAAAGAAAGAAAGAAAGAAAGAAAGAAAGAAAGAAAGAAAGATGAAGGGAAGGGGAGGGGAGGGGAGGGGAGGGGAGGGGAAGGGAAGGGAAGGGAAAGGAGCCCCTTTTCTTTTCTTGTTTTTGAGATGGAGCCTTGCTCTGTCACCCAGGCTGGAGTGCAGTGGTGCAATCTCGGCTCACTGCAACCTCCACCTCCCAGGTTCAAGTGATTCTCCTGCCTCAGCCTCCCAAGTAGCTGGGATTACAGGCATGCACCACCACGCCTGGCTAATTTTTGTATGTTTAGTAGAGACGGTGTTTCACTATGTTGGCCAGGCTGGTCTCAAACTCATGACCCTGTGATCTGCCCACTTTTGACTCCCAAAGTGCTGGGATTACAGGCATAAGCCACTGTGTCTGGTGAAAATAAGCACTTCTGCTTATCAAAATACTCCACTGGGAGAATAAAAAAGTAGTCCACAGAAGGGGAGTAAATATTCGCAATTTATATATCCCAAAGTAGATTTATATCCACAATATATAAAGAACACCTACAAATCACTAAAAGTGATAGGCAACCCAACCAAAAAAAAAAAAAATGAGCACACATATTTTGAACAGACACTTTACAAATGAGGATATCCAAATGGCCGATAAACAATACAAAAATGTTCAACCATATGAATTAGGAAAATGCAAATTACAACCATAGTGTGATCCACTACATACCTACTAGATAGGCTAAAATGACAAGGTCAAAAATATCAAGTGTTGGAGAGAATATGCAACACCAAGGACTCTCATGTGCTGCTGATATGAGTGCAATTGGTACAATTTGACTTTGTACCAATTGTACAAAGTCCAGGTGTATTGTACAGTTTGTATTGTCAAAACTTTGACAATATCTACTAAATTTGAATACAGCAATGCCTCATGCCCCACCAATTCTACTCCTAGTTTTTGTTTTGTTTTGTTTTGTTGTTGTTGTTGTTGTTGTTTTTGAGATGGAGTCTCGTTCTGTCACCCAGGCTGGAGAGCAGTGGCACGATCTCAGCTCACTGCAACCTCCTGGGTTCAAGCGATTCTCCTGCTTCAGCCTCTTGAGTAGCTGGAACTACAGGTGCCCGCCACCATGCCCGGCTAATTTTGTTTTGGATTTTTAGTAGAGATGGGGTTTCACCATATTGGCCAGGCTGGTCTCAAACTCCTGACCTTGTGATCTGCCCGCCTTGGCCTCCCAAAGTGTTGGGATTACGGGCGTGAGCCACTGTGCCCAGCCATTCTACTCCTAAGTTTGTAACAACAGAAATGCCTATGTGTGTATAACCAAATGACATATACCAGAATGTGCATAGCAGCACTATGTGTAATAACCCGAAACTGAACGTGTCCCAAATGCCCATCAATAATAGGGTATAACCAGAATATGGGCCAGACATTGTGGCTCACACCTGTAATTTCAGCACTTTGGAAGGCTGAGGCAAGAGGATAGTTTGAGGCCAAGAACTGAAGACCAGCCTGGGCAACATAGTGAGACTCTCTCTCTACAAAAATATATTAAAAATTTGGTCAGGCACAGTGGCTCACGCTTGTAATGCCGGCACTTCGGGAGGCTGAGGAGGGAGGGTCATTTGAGCCCAGGATTTTGAGACCAGCCTAGGCAACAATGAGACCCCATTTCTACAAAAAAAGGGAAAAAATATTAGTGGTACATGGCTGTAGTCCCGGCTACTCAGGAGGCTGAGGCGGGAGAATCACTGAAACCTTGGAGGTTGTGGCTGCAGTGAGCTATGATCTCATCACTGCACTCCAGTCTGGACTTGAGCAAGACCCTGTCTCAAATAAATGAAAAAGATATTTTCCCTTCTCTCTGACCTTTTCCTCCTCCATTCATGATTGCCTGCACATAGTCATTTCAATAAGTGGTAGTCACTAATAATTGATTATCTTCCTGTCCTAGCCCCAAGGCAGGCTGACCAAAAGGTTAATGAACTTTCTTTTTTATTAAACAACAATTCTTAAATCACGCAGACCTCCTAGATGGCTTCCAGATGTTAGACTTGTCAAGGGAGCTGCCAGGTGGCTTTGACCACCAGAAATCTCACCTCCCACAAACTTTTCTACTAAGCTACTGGCATAGTTAAATGATAACCTGCCATTGTTTCTCAGCTTGCTTTCCATAGTAACTGGCAGTCACAAACACTACTGTAAAACTTAAGACTGGTCTTTGGGATATTTTTCAGGCTTTACCTGCAAGAGGACCAGCTGACACCATGTGGGTCAGTGGCCCATGTCCCCAGCCAAGGAACTGACTTGACTGGTCGTGTGACTCCCCTATTTTGCAAGGACTGACTCAGCTCATGAAGACAGCTTAGACACTGCTATGATTTCATCCCTAATCAATCAGCAGAACCCATTCTCTGGACCCCTGCTGATATGGTTTGGCTCTGTGTTCCCATGCAAATCTCACCTCGAATTGTAATTCCCACGTGTCAAGGGAGGGAAGTGATTAGATTATGGGGGTGGTTCCTCCATGCTGTTCTCGTATTAGTGAGTGAATTCTCATGAGATCTGATGGTTTTATAAATGGTTGTTTTTCCTGTGCTCTTACATACTCTCTTGCCTGCTGCCATGTAAGACATGCCTGCTTTTCCTTCTGTTATAATTGTATGTTCTAAGGCCTCCCCAGCCATGTGGAACTGCAAGTCAATTAAACCTCTTTTCTTTATAAATTACCCAGTCTTGAGCAGTTCTTTATAGCAGTGTGTAAATGGACTAACACACCTGCCCACCAAACTATCCTTTAAAAAATCCTAGCCACTGGCTGGGTTCAGTGGCTCATGCCTGTAATCCTAGAACTTTGGGAGGCCAAGGTGGGTGGATCACTTGAGATTACAAGTTTGAGACCAGTCTGGCCCACATGGTGAAATCCTGTCTCTACTAAAAATACAAAATTAGCTGGGCATGGTGATGGGCACCTGTAATCCAGCTACTTGGGAGGCTGAGGTGGGAGAATCACTTGAATCCAGGAGGCAGAGATTGCAATGAACCAAGATTGTACCACTGCACTCCAGCATGGGCAAAGGAGCAAGACTCCATCTCAAAAAACAAAAACAAAAACAAAAACAAACAAACAAAAAAAAGAACAACAAAAAACAAAAATATCCTAACCTCTGAATTCTCAGGGAGGTGGCTTTGAGAAATATCTCTTGTTCTCCCACTCAGTTGTCTCACAATAATTAAACTCTTTCTTTACAGCAACAACTGCTGTCTCAGTGTTGGCTCTATGGGCAGTGGGCAAGAACCCACTCAGGTGGTAACAATGTAGCAGGTCCCTGAAAGATGCTTCTGCAGTGGGACTTGTTCTCTCTTGCCACTCTTGGGAGTTCTGCCACCATGTGGACAAGTCCAGGCTAGCTTGCTGGAGAAAGAGAGATCATGCGGAGAGAAGCTTCAATTATCCCAGCCATTTCACCCTGCCCAGTCAAGTGTCCTGGTATTTGAACATGTGCAACGAAGAATAAATAATTAAGCCCATGCTCAACATAGCTGAGTCCTTCCCAGATTGCTAGCCTGACTAACTTTGAGCTAATACATGTTTGTAGTTTCAAACCAGTAAGTTTTGGGCTGGCTTGTTACATGGGGCAAAAGCTAACCAATAAAATATCATATTTCAATGAAAACTGCTTTTTAGGGGTAAAAAGTAAGTAATGGAAGGGGGGAAACCTTCCTGAATTGAAAGTAAGTCTGCATCTTCTTCAACCCTATCTCGTGCAATTAAACATTCCCCATATGGTAAAATCACCTAGAAGCTGTACCTGAGAAGTTGTGATGTCTCATGAGATAACTATTAACCTGTAACCTTAAGCTACGTAAACTGGTGTCAGACACATCTTAAGAGTCTTTTTGTCAACACTGAAGTAAGGACCAAGTAATAATTGAGCCAGTGATTGGATAGATAGTGTTAGTCAGTGTGAGGTCTGCAGACTTGCACCAATCTGGTTTGCTTTGTTACTGGTTTGCTTTGAGACAAGTACAGAAAGGGACAATAAGAGTTTGGCATCTAAGTAGCAATTTAACATTGCTAAGAAAATGTTATTGTATTTTACAAAAGTAGTGTGTTTGCAAAGGGTTGGGGGAAAAAACCCAACTGATCTTTCACTGAAGATAGTTTGAGAAGCACTGTTTAACTCCCTCTATTATATTATGATTACACCTCAAATAGATTTTGTTCTTTTCCTTGTTGTTTCCATTTCCCTTTATCTTCTTTCCACCTTTTATCACTTCTCCAGGATTCTGTTATCATATGGATGGAATGAAAGACAAATCATAATAATAATAGGATAACTTGTCTTTTTCTGCTTCAAGATCAGAGGCTTTCTATTCAGACTGCAGATTAAAATTACACAATTCAAGAAAAGCAAAAACAAAAATAAAAGATCACCAAATCCAGTTTAATGTATGTCAGTTATACCTCAACAAAGCTGTTCAGTTATTTGTAATCACCTAATCTGTTCTATATACTAGATATTCAGATTTTATTGGTCCGGGTGGGGATCTGCGTATTGGGAATTTTTAGAGATGAGGTCACACGGCACTGTCCAGGCTGGTCTTAAACTCCTGGCCTCAAGCAATCCTCCTTCCTTGGCCTCCTAAGGTGCTGGGATTATGAGCATGAGCCACTGCACCCAGCTGGGATTTTTATTTATTTTTTAATTTAATTTTTTTTTTGTTTGTTTGCGACAGGGCCTTGCTCTGTGACCCAGGCTGGAATGCAGTTGTGCAATCATAGCTCATTGTAGCTTCAACCTCCTTGGCTGAAGTGATCTTCTGATCTTCTGGCCTCAGCTTCATGAGTAGCTGGGACTATAGGCACATGCCACCACCCTCAGCTAATTTTTATTTTTTGTAGAGATGGAGTCTTGCTATGTTGCTTAGGCTGATCTCAAACTCCTGGCCTCAAGTAATCCTCTCTTCTTGGCCTCCCAAACTGTTGGAATTACAGGCGTGAGCTACAGTGACCAGCCAGCATTTTTTTTAGAAGCTCTTCAGCTAGATCTAATATGCAGCCAGCATTTAGAACTATTGCTCAGTTTCTTTCTTTCTTTCTTTTTTTTTTTTGAGATGGAGTCTCGCTTTGTCCCCCAAGCTGGAGTGCAGTGGCACGATCTCGGCTCACTGCAAGCTCTGCCTCCCAGGTTTACGCCATTCTCCTGCTTCAGCCTCCTGAGTAGCTGGGTCTACAGGCGCCCGCCACCATGCCCAGCTAATTTTTTGTATTTTTAGTAGAGACGGGGTTTCACCATGTTAGCCAGGAGGGTCTCAATCTCCTGACCTCGTGATCCGCCCGCCTCGGCCTCCCAAAGTGCTGGGATTACAGGCGTGAGCCACCGCTCCCAGCCTATTGCTCAGTTTCTTAGTCTCTGCCAGAATAAATATTGGATGTCGAGATGGCTTTTTTACTCATGTGGCATAAACTGGGCTTCTCAAACTGGAATATGTAGGAATATGCAGTAATATGCAGTGCCAGGTCAAGGGAAATTCCTAGCCAAACCACAAACACATTTCATTTTTATGAAAGGTTAACTTTACTTGAAGACTTTGGGGGTAACGTCCATAGCTTCTAAGATGACTCCCAGTGATCCCCACTTGGGAGTCATACCTTTTTAATTCCCCTCTTACTGAGTATGGGTTGAACTTGAACTGCCTTTTTTTTTTTTTTTTTTTTGAGATGGAGTTTCGCTCTTGTTGCCCAGGCTGGAGTGCAATGTTGCAATCTCGGCTCACCGCAACCTCCGCCTCCAAGGTTCAATTGATTCTCCTGCCTTAGCCTCCTGAGTAGCTGAGATTACAGGCATTAGCCGGCCATTTTGTTTTTAGCAGAGAGACGGTTTCTCCATATTGGTCAGGCTGGTCTCAAACTCCTGACCTCAGGTGATCTGCCTGCCTTGGCCTCCCAAAGGGCTGGGATTACAGGTGTGAGCCACCGCACCCAGCCTTGAACTGCTTTTAACAAATAGAATATGGCAGGAATGATCAGATGTCATTTCTGAGATTAGGTTACAGCAAGTCTGTGACTTCTGTCTTGGGAACCTTCCCTGGTTCTCTTGGAAACCTGTAAGCCTTCCTATAAAAAGGCTCACCATGAGAAATTGCTGCCCAACAACCATGTGAGTGAGCTTGGAAGTGGATCCTCAGGCGCAGTAGAGTCTTTTTATTTATTTATTTATTTGTTTGTTTGTTTATTTATTTATTTATTTTCAGGCAGAGTCTTGCTCTGTCACCCAGGTTGGAATGCAGTGGCGCAATCATGGCTCAATGCAGCCTCCACCTCCCGGGTTCAAGTGATGCTTCTGCCTTAGCCTCCCCAGTAGCTGCGATTACAGGCATGTGCCACCACGCCCAGCTAATTTTTTTTTTTTTTTTTTTTTTTTTTTTTTTTTTTGAGACGGAGTCTCGCTTTGTTGCCCAGGCTGGAGTGCAGTGGCGGGATCTCGGCTCACTGCAAGCTCCGCCTCCCGGGTTCACGCCATTCTCCTGCCTCAGCCTCCCAAGTAGCTGGGACTACAGGCGCCCGCCACTACGCCCGGCTAATTTTTTGTATTTTTAGTAGAGACAGGGTTTCACCATGTTGGCCAGCTGGTTTCGAACTCCTGACCTCAGGTGATATGGCCACCTTGGCCTCCAAAAGTGCTGGGATTACAGGAGCGAGCCATTGTGCCTGGCCAATTGTCTTGAGCTGACTACAGTTGACAGCTCGACTGGAACCCCCTGCACAATCTTGAGAAGCACCCACCTAAGCTGTACCTGCATTCCTGATACACAGAAACTGTGAGACGCTAAGTGGTTTTTGTTTGAAGTTTTGGGGTTGTTGCATAGCAATGGATAACTAATTCAGAAAAGAAAATACATAATTTGACTCTTACATAATAAAATATTTTTTACATGAAACAAACGTATGTAGGGCCAGGTATGGTGGCTCATGCCTGTAATCCCAGCATTTTGGGAGGTTGAGAGCAAGAATTCCTTGAAGCATGGAGTTCAAGATCAGCCTGGCAACATAGCAAGACCTTGTCCTTGTCCTACAAAATGTTTTTTTTTTTTAATTCGACACTTATAGTGGCACATGCCTGTGGTCCTAGATACTTGGGAGGCTGAGGTGGGAGGATCGCTTGACCCTAGAAGTTTGAGGCTGCAGTGAGCTATGATCAAGCCACTGTACTCTAGTCTGGGTGACAGAGCAAGACTCATCCCTTTTTTTTTTCCTGAGATAGTCTTGCTCTGTTGCCCAGGCTGGAGTGCAGTGGCATGATCTCAGCTTACCACAACCTCCACCAACCAGGTTCAAACAATTCTCCTGCCTCAGCCTCCCGAGAAGCTGGGATCACAGACACACGCCACAACAGCTGGCTAATTTTTGTATTTTTAGCAGAGATGGGTTTCACCATGTCGGCCAAGCTGGTCTCAAACTCTTGACCTTGTGATTCGCCCACGTTGGCCTCCCAAAGTGCTGAGATCACACTGTGCCTGGCCTGCAAGACCTATCTCTAAACAAAAAATAAGAATTTAAATAAATAAACAAACAAACAAGCTGTCGGGTGCAGTGGCTTATGCCTGTAATCCCAGCACTTTGGGAGGCCGTGGCAGGCAGATCACCTGAGGTCAGGAGTTTGAGACCAGCCTGGCCAACATGGTGAAATC
Source organism: Homo sapiens (assembly GCF_000001405.40). Lineage (NCBI taxonomy): Eukaryota > Metazoa > Chordata > Mammalia > Primates > Hominidae > Homo > Homo sapiens. The sequence continues at coordinate 10,364,926 of NC_000016.10, read as the reverse complement.
CCATCTCTACTAAAAATACAAAAATTAGCTGGATGTGGTGGTTGGCACCTGTAATCCCAGCTACTTGGGAGGCTGAGGCAGGAGCATTGCTTGAACCCGGAAGGCAGAGCTTGCAGTGAGCCGAGATCATGCCATCACACTCCAGACTGGGTGACAATAGAGAAACTCCATCTCAATAAATAAATAAATTGGAAAGGAAATGAACACCAGCTGTAAGAAAACAAACCCTAAGGTCAAGATTACAAACTGTAGTGGCCAGGGGCGGTGGCTCATGCCTGTAATCCCAACACTTTGGGAAGCTGAGGCGGGCAGATCACCTGAGGTCAGGAGTTGGGAGACCAGCCTGACCAACATGGAGAAACCCCATCTTTACTAAAAATACAAAAATTAGCCGGGTGTTGTGGCACACGCCTGTGATCCCAGCTGCTCAGGAAGCTGAGGCAGGAGAATTGCTTGAACCCAGGAGGTGGAGGTTGCGGTGAGCTGAGATCACGCCACTGCACTCTAGCCTGGGCAACAAGGTTGAAACTCTATCTTAAAAAAAAAAAAAAAAAAAAAAAAAAGGAATACAATCTCTAACAGATTAAATTGTTAAATTAGTCTTGTATAGAAAACTTTATAATCCTCAGACCAGGCTTGGTGGCTCACTCCTGTAATCCCAGCACTTTGGGAGGCTGAGACGGGCAGATCATGAGGTCAGGAGTTCGAGACCAGCCTGGCCAACATGGTGAAATCCCGTCTCTACTAAAAATACAAAAATTAGTCAGGCATGGTCATGGGCACCTGTAATCCCAGCTACTCCTTGAATCTGGGAGGTGAAGGTTGCAGTGAGCTGAGATCATGCTTTTGCACTCCAGCCTGGGCGACAAGAGCAAAAAACTCCATCTCAAAAAAAAATAAAAAGAAAAGAAAACATAATCCTGTTAATTTCCTTTGTTTTCTGTGTATGTGAGCAAGAACTTAGCTTTTAACTTGAGTACACTGATTCCATTTTCTCTAGTGCTCATGTCTCCAGACAAGAAAATGACTGCCCTCTTGGGTTTTAGACTTTCATGGGGCCTGCAGCCCTTTTATTTTGGCCAATTTCTCCCATTTGGAATGGGAACAATTAACGAATGCCTGTACCCCCATTGCATCTTGGAAATAACTAACTTGCTTTGTATTTTACAGGCTCCTAGGCAGAAGGGACTTGCCTTGTCTCTGATGAGACTTTGGAGTCACACTTTTGGGCTAATACTAGAATGAGGTAAGACTTTGGGGGACTGTTTCCTTTCCATGTTTTTTTTTTTTTTCCTCAAGATGTCGCCCAGGGTAGAGTGCAGTGGCGGGATCTCGGCTCACTGCAACCTCCACCTTCCGGGTTCAAGCAATTCTCCTGCCTCAGCCTCCTAAGTAGTTGGGATTACAGGGGCATGCTACCACGTTTGGCTAATTTTTATATTTTTAGTAGAGACGGGGTTTCACCATATTGGTCAAGCTTGTCTTGAACTCCTGACCTCAGGTGATCCACCCAGCTTGGCCTCCCAAAGTGCTGGGATTACAGGCATGAGCCACCATACTTGGCCTCCTTTCCAATTTAAAAGAGTATATTTAACATTCCATCTTAGACATTGTGATAGCTGTGAAGTCTTTGTGTGAGAAAGGTTTATTCAAGTGAAAAGCCATTCCCAGCTTTTCACTTGAATAAACTCTTTAAAACTGGATTTTAAGCCTTTCAATTATTTCAGGTTGACATAACTAAATAGAACAAGATTATATACTCTTAGAATGCATTCAGACTGTGAACTATAAAATTACTCCATTCTTGTTAAAGCTTTACTTTTGGGGAATTCACATCAATGGGTATCAGAGCTAGGCACAGTGATGTGGTTAAAAGAAAGGCGCCTCGGCTGGGCACAGTGGCTCATGACTGTAATCCCAGTACTTTGGGAGGCCGAGGTGGGCAGATCACCTGGGGTCAGAAGTTTGAGACCAGCCTGGCCAATGTAGTGAAACCCTGTCTCTACTAAAAATACAAAAATTAGTCAGGCATGGTGGTGGGAGCCTATAATACCAGCTACTCGAGAGGCTGAGGCAGGAGAATCGCTTAAACCTGGGGTGTGGGGCAGAGGTTGCAGTGAGCTGAGATCGAGCCATTGCACTCCAGTCTGGGTGACAGAGGGAGACTCTGTCCCAAAAAAAAAAAAAAACAAAAACAGAAAAAAGAAAATAAAAAAAAAGAAAGGTGCCTCACCACAGATGGTGTTGCAGACTATGTCTTTGATAACATAGTTTATGGAAATATTTACAGAGTGAAAATTACGCAAATGGGTAAAGGTACAATGTTCCTAGCTCCCTGGACTCCCCACATGACTGTGAGAGAGGAGACAGGGGCTGGTTAGGCAGATAAGAGGCGGAGGACCTCAGAAGAAAGATAATGCCTACAGGAATGCACCCGCAACCACCCCTGTTATACAGCTAGCAGATGGAAATGTGGTTAAGAACTTCCTCTTTTACTAGAATTTTTGCTCAAAAGGATGTTTGTCCCGACTTAGACACAGGCACAATAAATCAACTAAATGTCCTTAACCTGACCCAAGCTCATTATAATATCATTAATATGACATCTGCAGTGCAGTTTTACCCCCCCTCAGTGGGCTTTTCTGTGGTGCTTATGGCTAATAACTAACATGGAGTAACTATAGAGAAGAACGCACCTGCGCACTAACAACTGGGACCAGGAAGCAGCCAGGAAGCAGAGGTTTGTGTACGATGCAAATGAGAAAAACACCCCTAGAAAGGAAGGATACAAGCCCCTGGGAAGGCTGGGCATGGTGGCTCACACCTGTAATTCCAGCACTTTGTGAGGCTGAGGCAGGCAGATTGCTTGAGGTCGGGAGTTCGAGACCAGCCTGGCCAACATGGTGAAATCCCGTCTCTATCAAAAATACAAAAATTAGCCAGGCGTGGTGGTGCATGTCTGTAATCACAGCTACTTGGGAGGCTGAGGCAGGATAATCGCTTGAACCTGGGAGACGGAGGTTGCAATGAGCCGAGATCGTGACATTGCACTCCAGCCTGGGCAACAGAGCAAGACTCCATCTCAAAAAACAAAACAAAACAAAACAAAACACCCTGGGGCTGACCTTGTTGGTGGCAACCCACTTTCAGGACCCCTGTCTTTACTGAGAACTTTCTGTTGCTTAATAAAACTCTACTCTGTGCCAGGCATGGTGGCTCATGCCTGTAATCCCAGCAATTTGGGAGGCCAAGGCAGGTGGATCACCTGAAGTCAGTAGTTCGAGACCAGCCTGGCCAACATGGTGAAACCCTCTCTGTACTAAAAACACAAAAATTAGCTGGGCATGGTGGCAGGTGCCTGTAATCCCAGCTACTCAGAAGGCTGAAGCAGGAGAATCGTTTGAACTCGGGAAGCAGAGGTTGCAGTGAGCCGAGATCGTGTCATTGCACTCCAGCCTGGGTGACAAGAGTGAAACTGTCTCAAAAAACAAAAAAACAAAAAAACAAAAAAACTCTACTCTGCCTTACCTACCCTCCTGTGTCCAATAAGGAAACTGTGACAATTGTATCAGTACCAAACATAAGGCCCAAGTGGAGTGATGAGTCCAGCAGGAGAACACTGCTTTTCCCCCTTGTATTAGTCCATTCTCACACTGCTATGAATATACTACCTGAGACTGGGTAATTTATAAAGAAAGGAGGTTTAATTGACTTATAGTTCTGCATGTCTGGAAGGGTTTGGGAAATGTACAATCATGGCGGAAGGTGAAGGGGAAGCAAGGCACCTCTTACATGGTGTCAGGAAAGAGAGCGAGTGCAGGGGAAACTGCCACATTTTTTGTTTGTTTGTTTTGTTTGAGATGGAGTCTCGCTCTGTCACCCAGGCTGGAGTGCAGTGGTGCTATCTTGGTTCACTGCAACCTCCGCCCCCTAGGTTCAAAGGATTCTCCTGCCTCAGCTTCCCGAGTAGCTGGGACTACAGGCACGTGCCACCGTGCCCAGCTAATTTTTTGTATTTTTAGTAGAGACGGTGTTTCACCTTGTTAGCCAGGATGGTCTCGATCTCCTGATCTTGTGATCTGCCCACCTTAGCCTCCCAAAGTGCTGGGATTACAGGTGTGAGCCACTGCGCCTGGCCGAAACTGCCACTTTTAAAGCATCAGATCTCATGAGAATTCTCTATCATAAGAACGGCATGGGGGAAACCGTCCCCACAATCCAATCACCTCCCACCGGATCCCTCTCTTGACACGTGGGGATTACAATTTCAGAAGAGATTTGAGTGGGGACACAGAGGCAAACCATATCACCCCTCCAGATTTCGGAGAGATTTTGCATATTTATGGTCCCTCCCTGGAGGGAATAGACTTAGGTTATCTATCTGCCTGTTTACTATATGCTTGTTATCAGTCTCCCGTCTGCAGTGTGTTGATGGGAAACGTTGACATGACTTGATGCTCATCAGTCTAGTAGCCAGCACAAACAAACTCAGCATATTCCTGGCCATTTACTTGAAGGGATCAAAGGCTAGTCTCCAAGATGCTTACATCAGAAGTAGGCTCTGTATCTGAGGTCCGTTTCTGCTTAGATTATTTCAAATATTTTACTAAAGTGAGACTTTGCTTCGATATTTGTTTCCATCATATGAGTTCAAGTTTGAGTCATTCCAAAATTTTTTTCTTTTTTAATGAAGTCAACTTTATGGATGTAAAAATTACATAAAGCAAAAGGCACATATTTTAAGTGTACAATGAGTTTGGAGAAGTATAGACATTGTCATACCAAAGATGAACTTCCATCACCATCCCCACATTCCCTTATGCCCTTTGCAATCATCCCCCAACCACTGATCACCAACCCCATAAAACTCATCTTCTTTCAATTAAAATGTATTAGTTGCCTTGTTTTAGAATTTATTCTAAGTGGGATTATGCAGTACTGTATTTTAAAATTATTGTTCTTTTCTTCAGCATAACTTCTTTTCTTTTTTTTTTAAGAGTTGGGATCTCTGTCATCCAGAGCACAGTGGTGCAATCATAGCTCACTGCAGTCTCCAACTCTGGGGCTCAAGCGATTCTCCCTCAACCTCCCATGTAGCTGGGATTACAGGCACTCCCCACTGTGCCTGGCTTCTTTTTTACTTTTTGGTATCAAAAATACTTAGCTAAACCCAAAAAAGATACCAATTTTGGTCATGCAACAGCTCGATTTAGTTTGAATAATTCAGACATAAGCAACTATATTAGAAAAAGAGAGGGTAATTATTTTTCCCTTTTCAACTAACACAGAAAAGTCATTACCAAAAGAAAACATTGGATGGTGTGTTGACAACTAAACTTTCTAAAGGAAATTGAGAAAAGGAGAATAGGGAACCTCACATTCATCTACATCAGGAAAGCGCCTTTATCCAAATAACTCTTTCATACACTGAACTCATGATCTATTTACTCTTTTGAAAGCAAAAGCAATATGTATTTCCTAGCTTTCCATGCTGAAAAACCCAGGAAAAATGACCAACCTAATGGCTATGAACTCCCCCAGTGTTCAGTTAAAATGTTATTTCCCACTCCACGAAACCATGGCTTCCTGAAGAAATAGTTGATTGCAGGTCTCAGACAGAAAAGCACAATTTAACCTGGAACATCCCACATTCAAAGGGTTGGGGAATTGAGTTTTATCACTTAAATGGAGGAGTATCTTAGAATTTGTGAGCATATTTTGAAACCACCACAAATTCATTAAATGATTTTGATTTTTTAAAAGATATTCCATCCGTAGACATCCTTATAAAACTCAAACAATATAAAGGCATATTCCATACAGCAGAAATTGAAATGACCTCTTCACAACAAAACCCACTCATACCCCCACTCCAACCTTCCTTGCACAACTTCACAGACTTCCCTAAATAGATACACACACGAGAGAGAGAGAGAGAGATTTGGGGTTTTGATTATTATATGAATGGGCTTGTCCTACTATGCCACTTATCAATCAAAACATCATGTCTTGACTGGGCGCGGTGGCTCACACCTGTAATCCCAGCACTTTGAGAGGCTGAGGCGGGCAGATCACCTGAGGTTAGGAGTTCAAGACCAGCCTGGCCAACATGGTGAAAACTCATTTCTACTAAAACTACAAAAAAATTAGCTGGTGGTGATGGTGGGCACCTGTAATCCCAGCTACTCGAGAGGCTGAGGCAGAAGAATCACTTGAACCCGGGAGGCAGAGTTTGCAGTGAGCTGATTTCACAGCAGTGTACTCCAGCCTGGGCAACAGAGCAAGATTCTATCTCAAAAACAAACAAACAAACAAACAAACAAACAACCACCAAAAAAAAAACCATCATGTCTTGAAGATCTTTCCATGTGAGCATAGAGCTAAGTCATTCTTCTTAAAAACTGCACCACATTTCATTGTGCTGATGCACAGTAATTTACTTAATCAATTCCCAGTAGGCAGGCATAGATGATGTACCATTTTGCCTTTTTTTCTATTGTACACATTGTTGCAGTGAAATCTTTTCAGTCTTGCCCTTCTAGTCATAGAAATTATAAGACCTTGGAATGAAAAAACTGCTGCATTAAAGGGTACGTGTATATTAAAGTTTAACAGTAGTTGCCAAATGGTGAGTTGGGGGAAATTCTCTGAAAGAGAAATTGTTCCAGGAAAAAGGACAGAATCTTTACCAGTTAGCCTGTTGGCAAGTAAGAAAAAACAACCCAAAGTGGCTCACAGGAAAGGAAAAGATATTTATTAAAAGATAGAGGAATGCAGCCAGGCTTTGGTAGCATAAGGGAATGTAGAACTGATAAGCCATCCAGACTCTGTCTCTCATCTGTGCTTCTTTCCCTAGTCCAATTTCCTTGCCTTCTCCATCCATAAAATAGATAGAATATTGCAATCTCAAGGCTTCCATATTTACATCCCTGTCCAAGAGACCCATCTAGACTAACTGGAACCCCAGATTCCAGAAGGAGAGGGCCTCCTTGGTCAGACTGGGCCTGTTAAGTTGAAGATGGTCGAGCGTCCTGCACTACAAACATGGGACATCCCACTACCAGGACACATCCTTCCACTCTTAATAAAACACCAGGGTTGAGGGTAAACTGCTTCCAGAGTAGAGACAACATTGTGATCTCATGGGAAAAGAGACAGCCTACATATGTTAAATATACTGCTCTAGGCTGACTCTGGGTGCACTGCCTATGAGTTCTTGAACTCTTGGGCTAAAGCAATCCTCCTGCCTCAGCCTCTCAAAGTGCTGGGAGTACAGGTGTGAGCCACCTTGCCTAGCCAGTACCATTTATAAAAATACTTAAAAAACAAAATACATTTACTGATCTAAGAATTAGTGAGAGAAAAAGTTAAGCAGTTAGGGTGGGTCCTTGGTAAAACGCCTTTAAACAGACAAACGGCCTGAAAAATCAGGCCAAAGGCACAGATAAGGAAACTTGCACAAACCTATGGCCCATTCAGATAAAGGAACAAGGCCCAACATAGAAACGCCTTTGTCCTTTGTGTCTAAGACATGCCCACAGATACACTGATATGGGAACAAGACCCAACACAGAAATGCCTTTGTCCTTTGTATAATCAGCAGGCTTCCAGGAAACAGCGTCTTCTCCTTTTGGGGGCATGTACGCGGCGGGCTCCAGTGGGTTCTGGTGGGCACTTTCCTTTCCTGTTTTGGACATGCTTTGGACTGTGAGCCAAGCCTCTGTGAATCATCACTTCAGCCCCTGATTGGTCCCAGGCAAGCTGACTAGGGCTTTCTCCAAGACCATCAGCACACTTCTTCCCTTCCCAGTCCATAAAAACCCCTGGACCCAGCTTTATACTTGGCAACCCATTCACCCGTCTCTGCTGTGGAGAGCTTTCTTCTTTCGCATATTAAACTTTTGCTCCAACCTCACCCTTTTGTGTCCATGGTCCTTAATTCTCTTGGTCATGAGACAAAGGACTCTAGGTGATACTTTGCAAGGAGACACTGTGGTGCATTGGCGAGGACTCTTAACACTAAGACAGAACCCGACTTAATGATTTAAAAAAAATTATACTACTTCTGTAGTTAGTGATTGCGAAGTATCATTTCCTGTCACCTCCTCAGTGCAGGGACTAAGATCCTGTGGATTCAGAGTAATTGAAAACGTGGGGCTGGCACGGTGGCTCATGTCTTTAATCCCAGCACTTTGGGAAGCCTAGGTGAGAGGATCACTTGAGCCTAGGAGGTTGAGACTAGCCTAGGTAACATGGTGAAACGCATCTCTGTACAAAAAATACAAAAATTAGCTGGGCATGATGGCACGCACTCGCACCTGTGGTCCCAGGTACTCGAGAGGCTGAAGTGGGAGGATCACTTGAGCCCAGAGTCAGAGGCAGCAGTGAGCTGAGATTGTGCCACTGCACTCCAGCCTGGGCTCGAAAATGTGGAGTAGAAACACAGGGTTATGCCAGGCATGGTGGCTCCTGCCTGTAATCCCAGCACTTTGGGAGACCAAGGCAGGCGGATCACGAGGTCAAGAGATTGAGACCATCCTGGCCAACATGGTGAAACCCTCTCTCTAAAATACAAAAATTAGCTGGGCATGGTGGCTTGTGCTTGTAGTCCCAGCTACTTGGGAGGCTGAGGCAGGAGAATCGCTTGAATTCCGGAGGCAGAGGTTGCAGTGAGCCGAGATTGCACCACTGCACTCCAGCCTGGCAAAAGAGCGAGACTCCGTCTCAAAAAAAAGAAAAAAAAAGAATAAAAAGAAACGCAGGGTTATATAATGCTAGTAACTTCAGCCTGATTGTGTTATTTTTGCTGTCGTTTATTAAAAACAAGAAAAAATGACAAAATTGCTGCATAGAGCTCCAGAGTGGGCAAGGCCTGTGCCCCAGGAACCTGTATCAGCTGAGGCCCAGGGATGGCTGCACCCACTGGCCCAGTCCAGGCCTAGAAGCAACAGACCCCGCAGGCTCCACGCCCTGATGGCCCCAGTAGCCTCCCCGAGTCTGGACTCTTCGACTCATATCGGCTGGACGGCAGCAAACACTCGCCAGGCCACCTAGGACGTGGAATCTTTCGGTGGCGGGCAAGGCAGGGCGACAAAAATGGCGGTGCTGGAAGGCCCTATTGAGACCTCTGGCCCAGAAGGCAAAGCTGTGTGGAGCAGTGACTGGCCAACGAGCTGCACGGATCCGGGACTTGGAGTTGCCGCTCAGTGCCCCTGAGATGGAACAATAATGACAAAGGCCTTCCAGGCCGGGAAATGAGCGGCCCAGCGACTGTTAGAACCGTTAAAACCGTTAGCAACCTTCCGTGCATGGTACTGGCAGTGGAAGCCAGAAACGGTAGAAAAACTTAACAGCACCGGGCCAAGAGAAAGAAGTGCCCAGCATCCTTCGGGGAGATTTAGGAGGCAGTGTAGAAGTCCTGTGCATATAAGAACAAATTGATCTCCACTCTCCACATCCCACATTTTTTTTTTCTTTTTTTGAGACAGGGTCTCCCTCTGTCACCCAGGCTGCAGTGCAGTGGTACAATCACTGCTGAGGTTCACAGCAGCCTCAAATTCCTAGATTCAAGTGATCCTCGCATCTCAGCCTCCCGATTAGGTGGGGCAATAAGTGCGCCCCACCACCCCAGGCTTTTTTTTTTTTTTTTGAGACGGAGTCTCGCTTTGTCGCCCAGGCTGGAGTGCAGTGGCGCGATCTCGGCTCACTGCAAGCTCCGCCTCCCTCGTTCACGCCATTCTCCTGCCTCAGCCTCCCGAGTCGCTGGGAATACAGGTGCCCGCCACCACGCCCAGCTAATTTTTTTGTATTTTTAGTAGAGACGGGGTTTCACTGTGTTAGCCAGGATGGTCTCAGTCTGCTGACCTCGTGATTCACCTGCCTCAGCCTCCCAAAGTGCTGGGATTACAGCCGTGAGCCACCGCGCCCGGCATTTTTATTTTTTTTTTAGATAGAGACAGCATCCTCCTGTGTTTCCCAGGCTGGTCTCCCAACTCCTGGGCTCAAGCAGTCCTCCCACTTTGGCCTCCCAAAGTGCTGGGATTACAGGCTCGACCCCCCACACCCTCGCCTACATTTATCTTTTTCTAGAGACATGGTCTCACTCTGTCACCTAGGCTAGTGTGCAGTGGTGTGATTAATATTTTATTTTTTGTAGAGATGAGGGTCTTGCTGTGTTGCCCAGGGTGGTCTCAAACTCCTATCCAGAAGCAATCCTCCTGCTTCAGCCCCCAGAATAGCTTGGAATTCAGGAGTAATCCACCACGGCCGCCTCTCACACCTTTTAAAAGAAAACACTTTTTTTCTTTTTTTCCCCCTGACAGGGGCTCACTTTGTTACTCAGGCTGGAGTGCTGTGGTGTGAACATGGCTCACTGCAGCCTTGATCTCCCAGGCTCAGGTGATCCTCCCACCTCAGCCTCCTAAGTAGCTGGAACTGCAGGCGCGTGCCACCATGCCCAGCTAATTTTTGTATTTTTTTTGTAGAGATAGGATTTCACAGCGTTGCCCAGGCTGGTCTTGAACTCCTGAGCTAAGTTGATCCCCCGGCCTGGGCCTCCCAAAGTGCTGGATTACAGGTGTGAGGCACTGTGCTCGGCCTAAAACTTTTTTATTTGTAAAATTTTTGTACAATAGAAAAAAAAATTTGCTGAAGTGGGAGGATGTACAATAGAAAAAAAAATTTGCTGAAGTGGGAGGATCGCTTAAGGCCAGAAGTTTGAGACCAGCCTGGGCAATAAGTGACATCCCTGTCTCTATAAAAATATAAATAAATAAAACGTTTGCTACATCTAGGCCTTCTAGATAGAAAGGTTGCTGACATGATAAAGTAGACCTGGAAAATCACATAACTTGTAAATGGCCATTTTTTTTTTAATTGCAGGAAAGAAATGTCTTTTGGAAAGAACTTTTTGAAATGGAATTGTTAGACCACCAGTAGAAGCAACACACGTCCATTTTTGTTCAATGATTTAGAAGACATGGGACAGGGTGGCTCATGCCTGTAATCCCACCTGTTTGGGAGGCCAAGGCAGGTGGATCATCTGAGGTTGCGAGTTTGAAACCAGCCTGGCCAACATGGTGAAAGCCCGTCTGTACTAAAAATACAAAAATTAGCTGGGAGTGGTGGCACGTGCCCATAGTCCCAGCTACTGGGGAGGCTGAGGCAGGATAATCGCTTGAACCCCAGAGGCGGAGGTTGCAAAATGCTGAGATCATACCACTGCACTCTAGCCTGGACGACAGCACAAGACTGTCTCAAGGAAAAAAGAAAAAAAAAAAGGCCTGAGGAGGAAGAGAAGAAGCTTCTACGCCAGTCTGGTCATATTTAGAAGTCATCTTCATATTATAACTATGCTCTCTGTGTGAATTTTATTTCTCCCTGTATATACAATTGATAAGTATTTTTTGAAATATCTATGCCAAAATGTTCATATTTAGAAGACACCTTATTATAACTATTGCTATGTGTGTGCAGTTTTATTTAGCAGTTTTATATATCTAGTGGACAGGTAAGTAAGCTCTTACTTGAAACATCTAGTCTTTCTGGATATTTTCAAGTATTTGATGTATCTAAAATTAGAGATATCCGTTAGGCTGATAGTTCCCTAAATTTTTTTTAAAAAAGAAATTAGAGGGCTGGGCGCGGTGGCTCATGCCTGTAATCCCAGCACTTTGGGAGGCCAAGGTGGGTGGATCACGAGGTCAGGAGATCGAGACCATCCTGGTTAACACAGAGAAACCCCATCTCTACTAAAAACATAAAAAATTAGCTGGGCATGGTGGCGGGCACCTGTAGTACCAGCTACTCAGGAGGCTGAGGCAGGAGAATAGCGTGAACCTGGGAGGCGGAGCTTGCAGTGAGCCAAGATCGCACCACTGCACTCCAGCCTGGGCAACAGAGCAAAACTCCGACTCAAAAACAAAACAAAACAAAAAAAAAAGAAATTAGAGGTAGTAGTAAAACACTTTGTAGATAGTTTTTAAAAATTGATGGGCCTGGCTGGGCATGGTGGCTCACGCCTGTAATCCCAGCACTTTGGGAGGCCAAGGTGGGTGGATCACCTGAGGTCAGGAGTTCAAGACCAACCTGGCCAACATGGCAAAATCTCATCTCTACTAAACATACAAAAATTAGCCAGTGTCCTGGTGGACACGTAATCCCAGGTACTGGGGAGGCTGAAGCAGGAGAATCGCTTGAACCCGGGAAAGGGAGATTGCAGTAAACCAAGATCGTACCACCACACTCCAGCTTGGATGACAGAGCGAGACTCTGTCTCAAAAAAAAAAAAAAAATTCATGTGACAATTGTATGATTCCACTTATATGAGGTACTTAGAATAGTTAAATTCACAGAGACAGAAAGTAGAACAGTGGTTATCAGAGGCCAAGGGGATGGAGGAGCTGCTCACGGCGAGTTATTGCTTCAAGGGTACAGAGTTTCAGTTTGGGATGATAAAAAATTCTGGAGCTGGTTGGGAGTGATGATTGCACAACAGTGTGAATGTACTTAATGCCACTGAACTGTACACCTAAAATGGTTAAACAGTAAATTTTATGTCAAATATATTTTACCATAATAACATTTTTAAAAATTGATGGGAAATATTATTTTGCAATGGAATAGTTGCAAGTTGTTTGTTAATTGTTCAAACCACCTTGGTACTTGCTCATTTGGTTGAGGGAGATTAGAGGGAAGAAATTGCAAAAGATGTTTTGCTAGTGTGTACTACAAGATTTCAGATGACTTGTTGCCTGGTATAGTAGCTGCACTTCTTTAAACTTTGCTATACTGTATATACAGCCAGGAATGTTTTTCTCAAGGACATGGCAGCTACCTCTTTGAAATAAAATCTTCAAGGGAGATAGTTTTCCTAACTCTTACTTTTGTGGGAGGGTAGGAGTCTAACTTCAGTGGGTATCTTGCTCCAAGCTGCAAAACTGCCTCCTGTCTTAGAGATATGAAACATCTGTTTCTTCTTTGGATAAAGCCAACTAGCAAACAAAGACCACCCCCAATTAACAGATACATTTAAGATGGACTATATGTGATGAATGATGCTGTCAACTCCTCTTACTTGGGGACAAGTTATCATTTATCATAAGAATATGTATGTCATAGATTGCATCTGCTTGACATCACAAAATATACCAGGAAAAAAGGGTGAAATGTATCCCTTTCTTGGTTGGGTGCGGTGGCTCATGCCTGTAATCCCAGCACTTTGGGAGGCAAAGGTGGGTGGATCACCTGAGCCCAGGAGTTCCAGACCAGCCTGGGCAATATGGTGAGACCCCCCACCGTCTCTACAAAAAATACAAAAATTAGCTGGGTGTGATGGCATGTCCCCTGCACTCCCAGCTCCTTGGGAGGCTGAGGTAGGAGGATGGATTGAGCCTGAGAGGTCAAGACTGCGGTGAGCTATGTGATTGTACCACTGCATTCCAGCCTGGGTGACAGAGTGAGACCCTTTCTCAAAAAAAAAAAAAAAAAAAAAAAAAAAGCAACAACAAAAAAACCCCAAAAAACGAAAACAAAAACAAAAACAAAAAAAGGTCGGGCGCGGTAGCTCATGGTTGTAATCCCAGCATGTTGGGAAGCCAAGGTGGGTGGATCACCTGAGGTCAGGAGTTCAAGACAAGCCTCGCCAACATGGTGAAACCCCATCTCAACTAAAAATACATAAATTAGCCTGGCGTGGTGGCACGTGCCAGTAGTCCCAGCTACTCGGAGGCTGAGGCACGAGAATCACTTCAACCCGGGAGGCAGAAGTTGCAGTGAGCCGAGATCATGCCACCACACTCCAGCCTGGGCCAGAGTGTGACTCCATTTCGAAAACAAAAAGATTTCTTTCTATCTTTGCAATCTCTTTGTGGATTGCCACATATCATGTTCTTTCTTAATGCATATTCAATAATAATACTAATAAAACTATTTTTCTTTCTCTACTACTTTTGTGAAGAGGATTTCTGGGAGATTACTTTTGTGGGAGAAGATTTTGTTTTTAATTCTGTTTCCCCAATAATGACAAAAATAGTGGCAGTAGACTAACACATTTTGTTCATTTAGCGTTAAAGTACTTAGGCTGTCTTTTGATACTGACTATTGGAAATGAAATTGTAAAAACACATCTCATTCATTGGATTGGTTTCAGAAAGAAAAAATTGGGAGAAATGAATTATAGACCAGACTGTTCCTGATTAGAAGCCACTTTCAGATATAACCATTGTTATATGTGAAGTTGATTTAATACTACTGTATATATAGTAGGCAAAATTAAGCCATTGTTTGAAACATCAAGCCTTTCTAGATTTTTTTTTTTGTGTGAGACAGGGTGTCATTCTGTTGCCCAGTGGCTTGATCAGAGATCACTGCAGCCTCAAACTACTGGTCTCAAGGGATCCTCCTGTCTTAGCCTCCCAAGTAGCTGGGACCACAGGCATATATCACTACACCTGGTTAATTTTAAAATTTCTCTGGAGATGGGGTCTCACTGTGTTGCCCAGGCTGGTTTCCAATTCCTGGGCTCAAGCAATCCTCCTGCCTCGACCTCCCAAAATGCTGGGATTACAGGTGTGGGCCACCTCACCCAGCCTCTAGATCTTTAAAAGTACAAGAAGTGTGTTAAAAGTAGAGGTAGTAAAATAATACTGTGTTAGTGCATTTTCACACTGCTGTAAAGAACTACCTGAGACTGGGTAAGTTATAAACAAAAGAAGTGTAATTGACTTACAGTTCCACATGTCTGGGAGGCCTCAGGAAACTTAACAGTTATGGTGGAAGAAGAAGGGGACGCAGGCACAGTCTTCAAATGTCAGGACTAGAGGTGCACGCCACTATGCCCAGCTAAATTTGGTATTTTTGGTAGAGACAGGGTTTCGCAATGTTGGCCAGGCTCGTCTCAAACTCCTAAAATCAACCAATCTGCCTGCCTCAGCCTCCCAAAGTGCTGGGATTACAGGCATGACACCCAGCCCTGCCTATTTTAAGTCCCACCGACTGGGAGGCTTAAAACAACAGAATTGTATTGTCTCACAGTTTTGGAGGTTAGGAGTTGAAATTGAGTTTTCAGCAGGGCAGGTTCTTTCGGGATGCTCTAAGGAAGGATCTGTTCCTTGCCTCTCCGCTAGCTTCTGCTGGTTGCCGCAGTCTTTGGAGTTCTTACCTACATCACTCTAGTCTTTGCCTCCCAATGGAGGCTCTTGGCCTTCTTGACTATGTGTCTCCATGTGTTCTCTCTTCTCGTAAGGTCACCAGTCATATGAGATTTAAAACCTACCTTAATCCAGTATGACTTCATATTTTAACTTAATTATAACTGCAAATACCTTATCTTCAAACAAGGTCACATTCACAGGTAGTGGGGACTAGGAATTGAATGTACCTTTTTTAGGGGACACAGTGAAACCCACAACAGTTGCAGGTCAGTGATGGCTCTTCTGCCAGATGCTTCTTTCCATTGCTGGATGTAGCTGGACATAGACTGACGAAGTGGCCCCTACTTAACATGTGCTATTCCTGTGATAGAACAAACTATACATCTTAAAACATCCATTCAGATCAGTCATGTATCAAGTTCTACTGCATAACAGTTTTCATCACATGCCGTAACTCACTCTGTGTTAGGGATTTCTGCTTCAGGGTCACGTTTGTACAAAACCTGCATTGCCTCACGATGACGGAATTCCTGTTAAGAATCAATCTGGGGCTGGGCGCGGTGGCTCATGCCTGTAATCCCAGCACTTTGGGAGGCCGAGGCGGGTGGATCACCTGAGGTCAGGAGTTCGAGACCAGCCTGACCAACATGGAGAAACCCCGTCTCTACTAAAAATACAAAATTAGCCAGGAATGGTGGCGCATGCCTGTAATCCCAGCTACTTGGAAGGCTGAGGCAGGAGAATCGCTTGTACCCGGGAGGCAGAGATTGTGGTGAGCCGAGATCGTACCATTGCACTCCAGCCTGGGCAACAAGAGCAAAATTCTGTCTCAAAAAAGAAAAAAAAAATTAATCTGGGCTGGGCACAGTGGCTCACGCCTATAATCCCAGCACTTTGGGAGGCCAAGGCGGGTGGATTACTTGAGGTCAGGAGTATGAGACGAGGCCAGCCTTTTTAGCAGAGATGAAACCCCGTCTCTATGGTGGAGGTTGCAGTGAGCCAAGATTCAGCCACTGCACTCTAGCCTGGGCGACAGAGCGAGACTCTATCTCAAAAAAAAAATAAAAAATAAAAAAAAGAATCAATCTGGCTGGGTGTGG
The DNA here is from genome assembly GCF_000001405.40 of Homo sapiens. Taxonomy (NCBI): domain Eukaryota; kingdom Metazoa; phylum Chordata; class Mammalia; order Primates; family Hominidae; genus Homo; species Homo sapiens. Next base: position 10,348,674 of record NC_000016.10, on the reverse strand, counting down.
TGGCTCATGCCTGCAATGCCAGCACTTTGGAAGGCTTGGATGGGTGGATCACCTGAAGTTGGGAGTTTGAGACCAGCCTGGCCAGAATGGTGAAACCCTGTCACTACTAAAAATAAAAAAATTAGCCAGGTGTGGTGGCACATGCCTGTAATCCCAGCTACTCAGGAACCTGAGACAGGAGAATCATTTGAACCTGGCACGCAGCGGCTGCAGTGAATTGCGATTGTGCCACTGCACTCCAAACTGGACAATGGAATAAGACTGTCTCAAATAAAAAAGTAAATTAAAAAAGTAATCAATCTGTTTCTAAGAGAAAATATGTGCATGTCATATATTGGACAAGGGACTCACATATAAAATATACAAGGAACTCAAACTACTCAATAACAAGAAAACAAGAAATCCAATTTAAAAATAGGCGAAGGACTTGAATAGACATTTCTCAAAAGAAGAAATACAGAGGCTGGGCGTGGTGGCTTGTGCCTGTAATCCCAGCACTTTGGAAGGTCGAGGCGGGCAGATCACTTCAGGTCAGGTGTTCAAGAATAGCCTGGGCAACATGGCAAAAACCCTGTCTCAACCAAAAATACAAAAAATTAGCCAGGCATGGTGGCGTGCACTTGTGGCCCCAGCTACTCAGGAGACTGAGGTAGAGGATCACTTGAGCCCAGGAGTTAGAGGTTGCAGTGAGCCGAGATCTCACCATGGCACTCCAGCCTGGACAACATAGCAAGACCCTGTTTCAAAATATATATATGTATATATATACACACACACCCACACATATATACACATACATATATAATATAAATAGATACACATTCACACACATATATATGCACACACACATATATACACACACATATGTACACACATATATATATAATGGCCAATAGATATATGAAAAAAATGCTCAACATCTCTAATCACCAGAGAAATGCAAATTAAGAACACAATGAGATATCACCTCACACCTGTTAGATTGGCTATTGTTAAAAAGATAAAAGACAAGTTTTGTCAAGAATGTGGAGAAAAGGAAACCAATATACACTATTGGTGGTATTGTAAATCAGTAAAGCCATTCTGGAAAACAGGATGGAGGTGCCTCCAAAAACTACAGCTAGAATTACCATATGATCCAGCCATCTTACTGCTGGATATATACCCAAAAGAAATGATAACAGTATGCCAAATAGATGTCTGCACTCTCATGTTTCTTGGGAGCATCATTCACAATAGCTGATATACAGAGAAAACTTAAATGTCTAAAAGTACATGGATGGATTTTTTCTTTTTCTTTTTTGAGGTGGAGTCTCACCCTGTCTCCCAGGCTGGAGTGGAGTGGCACAATCTTGGCTCGCTGCAACCTCTGCCTCCCGGGTTCAAGCAATTCTCCTGCCTCAGCCTCCTGAGTAGCTGGGACAACAGGGGCCTACCACCACGCCCAGCTAATTTTTGTATTTTCAGTAGAGACGGGGTTTCACTATGTTGGCCAGGCTGGTCTCGAACTCCTGACCTTTTGATCCACCTGCCTTGGCCTCCCAAAGTGCTGGGATTACAGGCATGAGCCACCGTGCCCAGCCTGCATAGTCTTTTCTACAAACTGAGGATGCTAGGAGAGGCTTCACCACACCTCTGGACATCAGGAAGTAGACAACACTATCCAGTAGAGGCATGCATCCTTTAATCCATTGCCTAGAGATTCTGGGGCACAAGTTGGAAGCTTGTGAGCTTTTCAAAATTTGGTTACTGACATGGTTTGGATTTGTGTCCCTGCCCAAATATCATGTCAAATTGTAATTCCCAATGTTGGAGGAGGGGTATGGTGGGAGGTGATTGGATCATGGGGGCAAACTCCCCCTTTGGTGTTCTCATGATAGTGAGTGAGTTCTCACAAGATCCGGTTGTTTAAAAGTGGGTGGCACCTCTTCCTTCTCTCTCTTCCTCATTCTCCAGCCATGTAAGATGTACCTGCTTCCCCTTTGCCTTCTGCCGTGACTGTAAGTTTCCTGAGGCCTCCCCAGCCGTGTTTCTTGTACAGCCTGCAGAACCATGAGCCAATTAAATCTCTTTTCTTTATGAGTTATCCAGTCTCAGGTAGTGCTTTATAGCAATGCAAGAACAGACTAATAAAGTTGTTTTTTGCCTTTGTATTTAAGTTAACTTATTCCACTTTACCTAGGAATGACTTATAATGACATGAAAAGGTGCTCAACACAGTCCTCACAGTCATCAGAGAAATCCCATATAAAACCATGATATGATGACATTATACATCCTCTAGAAAGGCAACAATTAAAACGACTGGCAGTACCAAGTGTTGGGGAAGATGTACAGCAGCCGGATTCTCACGCACTGCTGGTGGAAACATAAAATGGTGCAACCACTTTGGAAAACAGTTTGGCAGCTTTTCTGTTTTGTTTTTAAATAAAATTAAACATAAATTTACCATACCACTCAGCCATTTCTTTTTTTCTTTCTTTTTAAAATACTTTCAACTTTTGTTTTAGATTCAGGGGTACACGACCAAGTTTGTTACCTGGGCATATTGTGTGATGTTGAGATTTGGGGTCCAATTGATTCCATCACCCAGGTACTGAGCATAATACACAATAGAGAGTTTTTCAGCCCTTGCCTCCTCTCCTGCCTCCCCTTTCTAGGAGTCTCCAGTGTCTACTGTTGGCACCTTTATGTCCATGAGTAACCAGTGTTCAGCTCCCACTCAAAAGTCAGAACACGCGGTATTTGGTTTTCTGTTCCTGCATTAATTCCCTTGGGATAATTGCCTCCAACTGCATCCATGTTGCTGCAAAGAACATGATTTTGTTCTTCTTTATGGCTGCATACTCAGCATTTTCATATCTAGGTATCTATCCCAGAGAGCTACAGTCACAAAAAATGTTTGAGATGAATATCATTAGCAGATTTATTCTGGAAACAATTTTAATATCCACAACACAAAATTGGACAAATTTACGCACATTCTTGAATGGAATCCTACTGAGCAATGAAAAGGAGCAATACAAAAACACAGATGAATCTCAAAGACATTACATAGGCCAGGTGTGGTGGTTTGCACCTGTAACCCCAGCACTTTCGGAGGCTGAGGCCAGCAGATCACCAGGTCACGAGATTGAGACCATCCTGGCTAACATGATGAAACCCTGTCTCTACTAAAAATATAAAAAATTAGCCGGGTGTGGTGGCACATGCCTGTAGTCCCAGCTACACGAGAGGCTGAAGCAGTTGAATCCTTTGAACCTGGGAGGCGGAGGTTGCAGTAAGCCGAGATTGCGCCACTGCACTCCAGCCTGGGTGACAGAGCGAGACTCCATCTCAAAAAAAAAAAAAAAAAAAAAAGTTTACTAAACATATCCAGGACTTAACAAACCCAAGAAATGTCCCAATGCCCTGATATCTTAAAGACAAAAGCATTCTTTTCGAGAATAAGTTTCATTTTAAAGATAAGATTTCAGTCTGGGCACAGTGGCTCATGCCTGTTATCCCAGCACTTCGGGAAGCCACGGCAGGCAGATCACTTGAGCTCGGGAATTCGAGACCAGCCTGGCCAACACAGTGAAACCCTGACTCTACTAAAAACACAAAAATTAGCCAGGTGTGGTGGTGCTCGCCTGTAGTCCCAGCTACTGGGGAGGCTGAGACATGAGAATCACTTGAACTTGGGAGGTGAAAGTTGCAGTGAACTAAGATTGCACCACTGCACTCCAGCCTGGGTGACAAAGCAAGAATGTGTCTTAAATAAATAAATAAATAAATAAATAAATAAATAAATAAATAGATTATTGCAAAAGTCTGTAGTTACACAAAGGTTAACAATTCTTTGTCACAAGAGCTTGCATTAGAGAAAATCTCCCCCTTGATTTTTTGGCTTGTCTTATATATAAACAGGCATTGTACCTAAGGTGGGCACCTTCCTTCTCTTGCTTTTGGGAACACCCTGTTCTGTCTAGGCAGTAGTTATCCTTATATTCCTTTACTTTTTTTTTTTTTTTTTTTTTTTGAGACAAGGTCTCACTCGATCACCCACGCTGGAGTGCAGTGGCACAATTTTAGTTCACTGCGACCTCTGCCACCCGAGTTCAAGTGATTCTCCTGCCTCAGCCACCAGAGTGGCTGGGATTACAGGCTCCTGCTACCATGCCTGGCTAATTTTTGTGTTTTAGTAGAGATAGGGTTTCACCATGTTGGCCAGGCTGGTCTCAAACTCCTGAGCTCAAGCAATCCACCTGCCTCGGCCTCCCAAAATGCTGGGATTACAGCATGAACCACCGTGCTGGGCCTATTCCCTTACTTTCACTTTACTCTGTGGACTCACCCCAAATTCTTTCTTGCTTAAATTCCATGAAGCCTCTCTTGGGGTCTGGATTGGGACCTCTTTCTGGTAACATATTCATTTCCTAGGGCAACCATAACAAATTACTACAAATGGGGTGACCTGAAAAAACAAAAATGTATTCTCTTACAGTTTAGAAGGCTTGGAGTCTGCATTCAAGGTGTTGGTCGGGCCATGCTTGCTCTGAAGGCCTCAGGGGAGGATCCTTCCTCACCTCTTCTAGAAAGGTGGCTCCAGGTGTTCCTTGGCATTCCTTGATCTGCAGCTGTATCACTCCAAGGCCAAGGCACTTTGTCCCTTAAAGGCTTGCTGAAAAATCTCTGACATGAGGTAGTTTGAGAAGTGGGAGAAAAGGCATACACATTTATTTAACACATATACCAAGGAGCCTTCTTGTTTTTTTTTTATGAAGTTTCACTCTTGTTACTCAGGTTGGAGTGCAATGGTACAATCTCAGCACACTGCAACCTGCATCTCCTGGGTTCAAGTGATTGTCCTGCCTCAGCCTCCTGAGTAGTTGGAATTACAGGTGCGCACCACCATACTGGTCTAAGTTTTGTATTTTTAGTAGAGACAGGGTTTCACCATGTTGTCCAGGCTGGTCTCGAACTCCTGGCCTCAGCTGATCCACCTGCCTTGGCCTCCCAAAGTGCTGGGATTACAGGCAAGAGCCACCTTGCCTAGCCTTGTTGCAGGAATCAGGAGACCAGAGAGACCAATGGGTGGGACGGAAGGATTTTATTAAGGTGCGCACCAGCTCAGTGGATTTGCATCCAAAAGACTGAGCTGCGAACAAAGACGGCTTGACTTTTGTACATGCATCTGAAGGGTGGTTGGCTAGTTTGAAACAAGCTTACAGTGGCGCAAAATGCAGTGGTGTGAAAGCAAGTTTACAGAAACAGAACAGGGACCGTTTATCAACAGTAACAGGCTTGCAAGTCAGGCTCACTTAGGCATGTCATCTGACCCTTGCTGTATGGCCCATATGGCTGTAATTTAGGTTTGCTCAGGCTTATCTTGGGACCTTCACTGTGGTGCCCAGATGGCTGCAATCTAGGCTTGCTCAAGCTTATCTTGTGACCTTCGCTGTGCTGCCTTGATGGAGACCAGGTACTTACAGAAACCAGCTGCGGAACACAGGAATTTACAAGCCTACAGAACTTACAGAACAGGGTGCAATAGCAGGGAGTGGGTGGGGAGCTGCCTAAAGCAAAAATTCATGTTTTCTTTTTATATCTCCTGCTTCAGCCTTACATGAGAGCTTTCAAAATGAAGATCTGACATCCCAGTGAAGTAAAAAGGCTTCTATTTCATCTTGAGGTTACAGAGAGAATATGAGCTTGGATCCTGGTAAAACAGGTGATGGGAGGGAGGATAGGAGGAATTTGGTGGAGTGGTTACTAGGAAGAATGAGTGGAGCATAGATTAACTTCTAAACAATTCTCTTTATGATTTAAATGATCCTTGCAGACAGTCATTATACTGTTCAGGTGTGGTTAAATTATTAGCCTTAAAGGGAGAGAAAGAAAAACCAATTGTTCTCTGTGGGGGGTCTAGATCTTAGGCAGATGGAGGAACTTCAGTTTCTATGGAAGAGGCTGTGTGGCAGTGGGGCATTACAGCACAGGGGTCCCGATTCAGACCCCAAGAGAGGGTTCTTGGATCTCACGCAAGAAGGAATTCAGGGAGAGTCCGCACAGCAAAGTAAAAGCAAATTTATTAAGAAAGTAAAGGAATAAAAGAATGGCTACTCTGTAGACAGACCAGCTGTGAAAGCTGCTGGTTGTCCATTTTTATGGTTATTGCTTGATAATATGCTACACAAGGGGTGGATTATTCATGCCTCCCCTTTTTAGACCATATAGGGCAACTTCCTGACATTACCATGACATTTGTAAACTGTCATGGCGCTAGTGGGAGTGTAGCAGTGAGGATGACCAGAGGTCACTCTCATCACCATTTTGGTTTTGCTGGGTTTTGGCCAGCTCCTTTACTGCAAACTGTTTTATCAGCAAAGTTTTTATGACCTGTATTTTGTGTTGAGCTCCTGTCTCATCCTGTGACTTAGAATGCCTTAACCATCTGGGAATGCAGCCCAGAGATTATGAGTCAAATCAGCCTTCCTGAGAACTCAGAGGTTGTGTTTTAATGGATAATTTGGTGGGCAGCGGGGCTAGGGAATGGGTGTTGTTGATTGGTGGGCGATGAAATCATAGCGGTATGAAAAACGGTCCTCTTGCACTCAGTCTGCCTCTGGCTGAGGGCCACAGGACTGGTTGAGTCATGAGTCACAGGTCCAGGTAGGGTCAATTGATTGTCAGAATGCAAAAGTATGAAAAACATTTACAATCTTAGGCACTATAATAGTGATGTTATCTCTGGGTGTGGTGGCTCATGCCTATAATCCCAGCACTTTGGGAGGCCAAGTTAGGCGGATCACCTGAGGTCAGGAGTTTGAGACCAGCCTGGCCAACATGGAGAAACCCCATGGCTACTAAAAATACAAATATTAGCTGGGTGTGGTGGTGGGTGACTGGAATCCCAGCTACTCAGGAGGCTGAGACAGGAGAATCGCTTGAACCCAGGAGGCAGAGGTTGCAGTGAGCCGAGATTGCTTCACTGCACTCCAGCCTGGGCAACAGAGCTAAAAATAATTAGCTGGGTGTGGTGGAACATGTCTGTAATCCCAGCTACTTGGGAGGCTGAGGCAGGAGATCACTTGAACCCGGGAGGCGGAGGTTTCGGTGAGTCAACTTTGAGCCATTGTACTCCAGCCAGTGCAACAAGAGTGAAAAAAAGAATAGAAAAAAAAAGAATTTTTAAAAAAAGACATAAGACATTTCCTATAGGGCCTGAGATAACTTTCTGGGGTAATAGAAATAGTCTGTATCTTGATTGTGGTGGCTATTACACAGGTGTACACATTTGTCAAACCCACGAAATGGTACACTTTTGTTTTTTTTGAGACAGAGTGTCATTCTGTTGCTCAGGCTGGAGTGCAGTGGTGTGATCTCAGCTCACTGAAACCTCTACCTCCCAGGTTCAAGCAATTCTCCTGTCTCAGCCTCCCAAGTAGCTGGGACTACAAGCATGCACCACCATGCCTGGCTAATATTTTTTTGGTAATTTTTAGTAGAGATGGGGTTTTACCATGTGGGCCAGTCTGGTCTTGAACTCCTGACCTCAAGTGATCCACCTGCCTTGGCATCCCAAAGTGCTGGGATTCCAGGTGTAAGCCACCACACCTGACCTGTATACTTTTTAAAATAGGTTTTTTTTTTTTTTTTTTTTTTTTTTTGTGACAGAGTGTTGCTCGGTTGCCCAGTCTGGAGTGTAGTGGCATTATCTTGGCTCACTGTAACCTCCGCCTCCCAGGTTCAAACCATTCTTGTGCCTCAGCCTCCCAAGTAGCTGGGATTACAGGTGCCTGCCACCACACTTGGCTAATTTTTGTATGTTAGCAGAGATGGGGTTTCACCATGTTGGCCAGGCTGGTTTCAAACTCCTGACCCCAGGTGACCTACTCACCTCAGCCTCCCAAAGTGCTGGGATTACAGGCATGAGCCACTGTGCCCAGCCAAAATAGGGGAATTTTATTATAAGTTACACTGTTGCAGGAATCAAGGGACAGGAGAGACCAATGGGTGGGACATGAGGATTTTATTAGGTGAGCACCAGCCCAGTGGATTAACATCCAAAGGCTGAGCCCTGAGCAAAGACAGGGCTTGACTTTTATACATGCATCTGAAATGGGGTTGGCCGGTTTGATGGCGCGAAACCTGTAGAGCAGGCAAGCGAGCTTACAGAAGCAGAACAAAGGCAGTTTGTCAAACAGTGATAGGTTTTAGAACTCAAACTTATCTTGTGACCTTGCCGTGCTGCACAGAAGGGAAAAACAGGAACTTACAAAACTTGCAAAAATAATTATGAGAACAGAACAAGGAACAACGGTAAGGGGGAAGAATCTGAAGGGGGAAGCTGAAAGAAAAACTTGTTTTCTTCATCCCTGCTCTGGGATGGGAGGGAGAGGCTCTGGATCCCATCCCTTCTGGGCCCTGCCTCTGTAGATAGTGCTATCAAAGTCCCAACAGAGCCCTGCCCATTGCTGGGCCTTTGAGTGAGTCAGCCTAGTACAGGAAAACTTGTTTTTCTTTTTATGTCTTCTGCTTCAATACCACCTTAAAGTTAATTCTTAAAAAAGTAAGGTTCTCTACATGTAAGGTCCTCTGAATGGGCTACACCATGGTCAAGCCATTGTGACCCCTGTGACCCACACATACAGGCCTCCTGGAGTCACAAAGCCTGGAGCAACAAGAGAACCACTAAAGAAGAAGAAACAGCTAGTTCCTGCCTTAACTGATTAACCAAATTTGCAACATTCCACCATTGTCATATGTTCCTGCCCTACCCTAACTAATCAATCGACCTTGTGATACGGTGCCTTGTGACCTCCCCCTACCTCATGACTATGCATCTTATGACATTCTTCCCCTGCCCAAAAAAACTGCCCCTAAATGTAACTTTCCTCTTCCTACCCCAAACCTATAAAACCAGTTCCACTCCCACCACCCTTCATTGACTCCTTTCTCAGACTCAGCCGACTTGCACCCAAGTAAACAGCCTTGTTGCTCACACTAATCCTACTCAGGTGTTCCCTTATAAAGATGTGTGTAACACTATGCACTGCAGGTAAACACAAAGGAGGAGCACTTTGCACTTTTTTAGAAGATTTTTTTTTTTTTAAGAGACAAGGTCTCACTCTACCACCCAGGCTGGAGTATGATCATACCACACTGCAGCCTCAAACTCCTGGGCTCAAGCAATCCTCTCACTTCAGCCTCCTGAGTAGCTAGGACTACAGGTGTACAAAATTAGCCTAATTTTCACTTTTCATTTTTTGTAGAGACAGGCTCTCGCCATGTTCCCTAGGCTGGTGTCAAACTGCCAGCCTCAAGCAATCCTCCTACCTCAGCCTCCCTAAGTGCTGCAATTACAGTTATGAGCCACTGTGCCCAGTCCCATGCACTCTTTCAAGAGTGTAGGAAACTTCTTGGAAGGGATGGTATTGGAACTTCTACTTGAAGAATGAATAGGGCCGTATGGCAATTTAAAACCAGATCCTGAAATTCCATGGCCCTGCCCCCATCAAGATCTGTGACTGGTGATCTTTTTTTTTTTTTTTTTTTTTTTTGAGACGGACTCTCGGTCTGTCACCCAGGCTGGAGTACAGTGGTACAATCTCAGCTCATCGCAACCTCCGCCTCCCAGGTTCAAGCAATTCTCCTGCCTCAGCCTCCCGAGTATCTGGGACTACAGGTGCATGCCACCATGCCCAGCTAATTTTTGTATTTTTGGTAGAGATGGGGTTTCACCATGTTGGCCAGATGGTCTCGATTTCTTGACCTCGTGATCTGCCCACCTCGGCCTCCCAAAGTGTTGGGATTATAGGCGTGAGCCACCCCGCCAGGCCTGTGGATACTCATATTTAATGACTCAACCACTAGAATGAAGTAGAATTGATGCTGTGCTAGCTTCTGGGCCCACCTTTAGACAGGGGCAGCTTTTGCTTCTTGTCCCTTGGTCTAGGAACCCAGCCACCATGCTGTGAGGAAGCCCGTATAGCCTGCAGAGAGCTGGTGTGGAAAGGAACTGAACCCCTCCCTCCCAGACCTGGCTGGGTTCCCAGCTGACAGCCAGCCCTAGCTTGCTTATTATTTTAAGCTGAAGACATTTGAGATTCAACAGATGTGGAAAGAAGCCTTCTGGGAGCTGCCTTCATTTGACTAAAAGCAGCATCTTCTGGGAAATAAGGCTACCATAAACCCTCTCTCTTTGAGAGCATCATAGCCAAGAACAAGAAAGACACTTGCACCTGCATAAACAAACATTACCGCAGACTTTACTTCTCATTTTTTCTCCTAAAATCCTATTTATCTTTCCTAAAGAAACCTATTTGTTCTTCTCATAAGAGCCTTTTCTCTCCCCTCCCTTTTCCCTTAGGTGTATAAGCCTTTAACTCTAATCATTTAATGTACAAGCCACTTTTTTTTTTTTGAGACATTCTCACTCTGTCATCCAGACTGGAGTGCAGTGGCATGATCATGGCTCACTGCAGCCTCGACCTCCCAGGCTCAAGCAATCCTTTCACCCCTCAGCCTCCCCAGTAGTTGATGCAGGTGTATGCCACCACAGCCAGCTAATTTTTTTTTTTTTTGTAAAGATGGGGTCTCACCATATTGCCTGGGCTGGTCTCAAACTTCTGAGCTCAAGCAATTCCCCGCTTCAGCCTCCCAAATTTCTAGATTGTAGGCTTGAGCCACTGCACCTGGTCAGCAAGCTACTTCTTTTTTTTTTTTTTTTGACGGAATCTCACTCTGTTGCCTAGGCTGGAGTGCAGTGGCGTGATCCTGGCTCACTGCAACCTCTGCCTCCTGGGTTGCAGCAGTCTTCCTGCCACGGCCTCCCAAGTAGCTGGGATTACAGGTGTGTGCCACTACACCCAGCTAATTTTTGTATTTTTAGTGGAGATGGGGTTTCGCCATGTTGGCCAGGCTGGCCTTGAACTCCTGACCTCAGGTGATTCACCCACCTCAGCCTCCCAAATTGCTGGGATTACAGGCGTGAGCCACCGCGCCCGGCCTGCAAGCTACTTCTTTTGTTGGCTCCTGTATTGCATACATATAAGCCGTTTTTCTCGTGTTAATCTAGCTTTCTTCACCTTAATTCGCAGTCCGCCACACCCCCCACCACCCAAAAGAACCTAAAAGGGTAGAGGAAAAGTTTTTCCTCCTCCACACCATAAATAGTCACAAGTCAGGCTTTGCTACCAAATGAGTTCACTGGGGAAAAAAATCAATTTAGTTTTAAAACTATTTTGGATGTGAATTTTGGAAGTGCACTTAAGAGGAAGTGCACTTAAAGAACTTGGGTCAGGTGCAGTGGCTCACACCTGTAATCCCAGCCCTTTGGGAGGCTGAGGTGGGCGGATCACTTGAGGTCAGGAGTTTGAGACCAGCGTGGCCAATGCGGTGAAACCCCATCTCTACCAAAAATATAAAAAGTTAGCTGGGTGTGGTGGTGCATGCCTGTAATCCCAGCTACTGGGGAGGCCGAGGCAGGAGAATCACTGGGACCCAGGAGGCAGAGGTTGCAGTGAGCCTAGATCATGCCACTGCACTCTGGCCCAGATGACAGAACAAGACTCTGCCTCAAAAAAAAAAAAAAAAAGTGCTGGGCGCAGTGGCTCATGCTTGTAATCCCAGCACTTTGTGAGGCTGAGGCGGGCGGATCACGAGGTCAGGAGATCGAGACCACGGTGAAACCCTGTCTCTACTAAAAATACACACAAAAAAATAAGATTAGCCAGGCGTGGTGGAGGGCGCCTGTAGTCCCAGCTACTTGGAGAGGCTGAGGCAGGAGGATGGCGTGAACCCAGGAGGCGGAGGTTGCAGCGAGCCAAGATCGCGCCACTGCACTCCACCCTGGGTGACAGAGAGAGATGCCATCTCAAAAAAAAAAAAAAAAAAAAAAAAAGAATAGCAAGGGTGGAGGGTTGGCTGTGGGTGGGGAAGTTTTGAAAAATGTTACCGGAATATACTTACCCATTGCTACTGTGAATATATAAAGACGTATGGCATATAAGATCTTCTGGTGCCAGGCATGGTGGCTCACACTTCTAATCTCAGCACTTTGTGAGGTTAGCTTGAGCCCAGGAGTTTGAGACCAGCCTGAACAACATGGCAAAATCTTGTGTCTATGAAAACTACAAAAATTCGCAGGACCTGGTGGCGCTCACCTGTAGTCCCGGCTACTCAGGAGGCTAAGGTGGAAGAATCACTTGAGCCTGGGAGGTCAAGGCTGCAGGGAACCCTGATCATGCCACTGCACTGCAGCCTGGGAGACAAAGTGAGACCCTGTCTCAAAAAAAAAAAAAAAAAAAAAAAGATGTTCTTGCAGTTTTCTTATGATTTGCTCTACGGTGTGATTAATAACAGTTGCTGTTGCAATAATTCCTGCTATATTTTGACACAGTGCTGTGAAAAGAAATCCAACATGGAGGCCAGGCGTGGTGGCTCACGCCTGCAATCCCAGCACTTTGGGAGGCCGAGGTGGGCGGATCACCTGAGGTCGGGAGCTCGAGACCAGCCTGGCCAACATGGAGAAACCCTGTCTCTATTAAAAATACAAAATTAGCTGGGCATTGTGGCACATGCCTGTAATCCCAGCTACTAAGGAGGCTGAGGCAGGAGAATCGCTTGAACCTAGGAGGCGGAGGTTGCGGTGAGCCGAGATTGCGCCATTGCACTCCAGTCTGGGAAACGAGCAAAACTCCGTCTCAAAAAAAAAAAAAAAGAAAGAAAGCCAACGTGGAGATGATTTGTCGGAGGTCTCTGTCAAGGAGCCAGGAGGGCAAAAGTTGGCCCTCAGTCATATATGGATCCAGAGGGATCTGACCTGTTTGAACTGGGCCAGATCGCAAACGTTCTGGAGAAGCAGCTTCATTGGGTTTGAACTGCTCACACTGGGGCAGATCACGAACCTCCTGAAGACACAGCTGTGCTGAATTTTAAGCTGATCATGGCCTAGAGTCTTTCTAAGCTGTCAGCTGGCCTATAGGGGGAGGAAAAAACAAACAAATGAAAAAAACAAGAAGAAATGTTTTATTCAAGGAATACAGGCCCCTTTAAGCCATCAGGCCAAAGAGGCATTGAAATGAAACAGCAGTTAGGTTACTTCCCTTTGAATTAATAATCACCTTATTTTTTATTTTTTTTTTTCAGAGACAGGGTCCGCCTCTGTGGCCCAGGCTGGACTGCAGTGGCACCGTCACAGCTCACTGCAGCCTCCCCCTCCTGGGCTCAAGTGATCCTCCCATCTCAGCCTCCTGAGTAGCTGGGACTGCAAGCACACACCAGCATGCATGGCTAATTTTTAAATTTTTTGTAGAGACAGGGTCTCACTGTGTTGTCTAGGCTGGTCTCAAACTCTTAGGCCCAAGCAATCCTCTGGCTTTCACCCCTGAGTAGCTGGGGCTACAGGTGTGCACCACCATGTCCGGCTAAATTTTTAAAAAGTTTTCAGCAGAGATATAGTCGCCCTATGTTGCCCAGGCTGGTCTCACACTCCTGGGCTCAAGTCATCCTCCCACTTCAACCTCCCAAAGTGCTGGGATTACAGGCTTGAGTCACTGCACCCAGCCAAATAATAATCACCTCTTGAAGCCACTTGCTGTGTGGCTTCTACACTTAACTAAGGCCACGTACCCCTAAAATACCAAATGCCCTACAGTTCACCAATATATAGCCAATCACTAGCCAATGTTATTTCTGTAAACCCATGAGAATTCCTAACAATGTTTGTAATCACCCTCTCTCCTCATTGGTTATTTTTTCTTTAAAAACTTCAGCCTCTCTAATGTCCTCTGGAGCACGCCCCACAGCAAGTTGGAAGTGTGTCCTGGACTGCTGCCCTCAACCTTGACCCAAATAAACTTTATATTAATATTGTCTCAGCTTCTCCCTTTGAGGTTGACAGGTCATGTGTCAATCACAGACTGTGCTACTGTCTTCCGCTTAGGTAAACTTGCAGTAAACCTTTAGAAACCCCTGCCTAGAGTCTTGCCTGGCTGAAACACGTTTTAGCTACTTGCTAGATTTGTTTCTCCCAAATTGCAATGCATAAAAACCCTGATTAAAATGCCTTCCTGGGCCAGGTGCAGTGACTCACGCCTGTAATTCCAGCACTTTGGGAGGCCAAGGATGGTGGATCACCTGAGGTCAGGAATGCCAGACCAGCCTGGCCAACATGGGGAAACCCCATCTCTACAAAAATACAAAAATTAGCCGGGCATGATGGCGGATGCCTGTAGTCCCAGCTACTCAGGAGGCTGAGGTGGGAGAATCATTTGAATCTGGGAGGTGGAGATTGCATGGAGCTGAGATCACTCCACTGCACTCCAGCCTGGGTGACAGATCGAGACTCTGTCTCAAAAATAAAATGGGCGGGGCACGGTGGCTCACGCTTGTCATCCCAGCACTTTGGGAAGCCGACATGGGCAGATCACAGGGTCAGGAGTTCGAGACCAGCCTGGCCAACATGGTGAAGCCCCGTCTCCACTAAAAATACAAAATGAGCCGGGTGTGGTGGCGCATGTCTGTAATCCAAGCTACTCGGGAGGCTGAGGCAGGAGAATCACTTGAACCCCTGGAGGCAGAGCTTTCAGTAAGCTGAGATCGTGCCACTGGACTCTACCCTGGATGACAAAGCGAGACTCTGTGTCAAAAAAATAAAAATAAAATAAAATAAAAGTCCCTCCCTTTGTTTGTGGCTCCCCAGTGTTGGTTGATAGTGCATGGATGAAATGTATAATGCCTCCTGAGTTCTCCTGCCCTTCAGGAAGGTTTTTTACACATATAGTGGCCTCAGATGCATTTCTTGATTTGGAGTTGAGGGTGGAATCTTGGCAGAATTGACAGAAGAGGCACCAGTGGGACAGAGGAGGGACAAGGGGAGCAACCTTTTTTTTGTTTAATAATGAGGGGGGAGGCGATGGCCTTCTCCTCCTTCCTCCCAGGGTGTCTCCTTAAAAACATAACAGGCCCCACAAAAAGTTGAAGGAGTGAAGAACGTGCCAACCCAAAATATGCTAGATTGGCATATTGATTATTTCGAGTTGAAAACATTGATGAAATTGTGGTTGGTATGTTTGCTTGTTTTATTTATTTTGAGATAGAGTCTCATTTTGTTGCCCAGGCTGGAGTGCAATGGCGCAATCACAGCTCACTGCAGCCTTCACCTCCTGGGCCCAAGCATTTGTCCTACTTCAGCTTCCTGAGTAGCTGGGTCTGTAGGTGTGCATCACCACACCCACTCAAGAGGAAATATACACTTTTTTTTTTTTTTGAGACGGAGTCTCTCTCTGTGTCACCCAGGCTGGAGGGCAGTGGTGCGATCTCGGCTCACTGCAACCTCCGCCTCCCGGGTTCAAGCGATTCTCCTACCTTAGCCTCCCAAGCAGCTGGGACTACAGGTATGCGCCATCACGCCCAGCTAATTTTTGTATTTTTAGTAGAGACGGGGTTTCACCATGTTGGCCAGGATGATCTCGATCTCTTGACCTTGTGATCTGCCCACCTCAGCCTCCCAAAGTGCTGGAATTACAGGCATGAGCCACCCCATCCGGCCCACATTTTATTAGTTTTACATGTACATGGGGATCTTCACAAGAAACAAAAAAATGATTCTTTTTTTTAGATGGAATCTTGCTCTATTGCCCAGGCTGGAGCGTAGTGGCGTGATCTCAGCTCACTGCAACTTCCGCCTCCTAGATTCAAGCAGTTCTCCTGTCTGAGCCTCCTGAGTAGCTGGGATTACAGGCACACACCACTACGTCCAGCTAATTTTTGTGTTTTTAGTACAGAAGGGGTTTCATCATGTTGGCCAGGCTGGTCTTGAAGTCCTGAGCCCAAGTGATGTGCCTGCCTTGGCCTCCCATAGTGCTGGGATTACAGGTGTCAGTCACCGTGCTCGGGCCCAAGAATGTGATTCTTCACGAGCAGGAAGATTGGTTGGGCCCAAGAGTTTGAGACCAGCTAGGCAACATAGCAAGACCCTATCTCTATAAAAAGAAAAGTGAAATAATTATCTGGGCTTGGTGGAGCATGCCTGTAATCACAGCTACTTGAGTGGCTGAGGCAAGAGGATGGTTTGAGCCCAGGAGTTTGAGGCTGTAGTGAGCTATGATCATGCCACTGCACTCCAGCCTGGTGACAGAGCAAGAGCAAGACCTTGCTCTAAAAAAAAAAATTAAAAAGGGCTAACTGACCTCTCTCTTTGTGCATGCAGCAGGCCATAAAAATTCCTCTGGGAGGAGGGCTGTCACATACCAGGGTGAGAAAATAGCCCTTATCACCAGAGACTGGGAATTGGGGACTGTGATGGACCTGAATAAACATACTTAATGAAACAATCTTTATCTTCCACTGTTTGACACCCCCATATATCTCCTAGCAACTCCCCTAGAAAATTTATTGCCCTAGCCAGGTTTTCCTGTCATTTCTTCTCAAATGTAATCTAAATAGTGTACAAATAGTATACAAGCATCTATCTTTAGCCACTTGTTTGAACTTCACGCTATTATGAAGACCCCCATGTACAGGTAAAACTAATAAAATGTATATACTTTTGTTAATCTGCATGGTGTCAATTTGGTGTCTAGATCCAGCCAAAGAGCCCACATAGGAGCTAAAGGGGAGCTGGAGGTGACCACTGGCTCCTTTACAAGGTCCAGCCTTTTGATTTCATAGCACAAAATCATGGGCTTTCTGAGGCCAGGCACAGTGGCTCATGCCTGTAATCCCAGCACTTTGGGAGGCTGAGGAGACCGGTGATCATAAGGTCAGGAGTTTGAGACCAGCCTGACCAACATGGTGAAACCCTGTCTCTATTAAAAATACAAAAATTAGCTGGGCATGGTGGCACGCACCTGTAATCTCAGCTACTCAGGAGGCTGAGGCAGGAGAATCGCTTGAACCCGGGAGGTGGAGGTTGCAGTGAGCCGAGATCACACCACTGCCCTCCAGCCTGGGCGACACAGAGCGAGACTCCGTCTCAAAAAAAAAAAAAAAAATTATGGGCTTTCTGATCCTTGGAACTGTAAACACGCACCTCCAAGGCTGACATAGAAGGAGGAGTACAGGAGGCAATCCAGAGATAAGATTTTCTTTTAAATTTTTATTTTTTTGGAGACAAGTCTCACTCTGTTGCCCAGGCTGTAGTGCAGTCATTCCATCATAGCTTACTGCAGCCTCAGGCTCCTGGGCTCAAGTGCTCCTTCTGCCTCAGCTTCCTGAGTAGCTGGGTTATAGACGCGCACAACAAGCCTAGCTAATTTATTGTTTACTTTTTGTAGAGACGGGGTGTTGCTCTGTTGTCCAGGCTGGTCTTGAACTCCTGGGTTCAAGTGATACTCTCGCCTCAGTCTCCTAAAGTTCTGGGAGTACAGGAGTGAGCCACTGCACCTGACCCAATAAGAGATGCTTCAATTATTCTCTCTTCTACTTTTCTGTAAATTCTGTTCAGATTTTGTCCAGACTATCAGAAAAAAAAGAAAGAAAGAAAGAAAAGAAAGAAAGAAAAAAAAAGGAATCAACAGGTCAGAGGCAAATAAGCATTTATTCAGGAATGGGGGTTGCAACCAGGCCCCAGAGACCACCACCCAAGAGGGACAAGAAAGGCTTATAGGAAATTTTTCAGATGACATAAATTACCAGATTATTTTATTGATGGATTAAGCAAAGAAGTTGTTAGTCATTAGTGGAAGGGTACATTTGGGTCAGTTAGGAAAAAACTACACAGACTGTCCCTAAAGATTAGGACCAGATTCCTTGTATTGTATATTGTCGAGAGCATGGTTGTTTGTGAGAGAACTGTTTTTCACAGTTCTTTGTGGGTCTCAAAGTCCACCACCCAATCTAGGCACAGTGGCTCACACCTAAAATCCTAGTACTTTGGGAGGCTGAGGCAGGCAGATTAGCCCAGGAGTTCAAGACCAGCCTGGGCAACATGGTGAAACTCTGTCTCTACAAAAAATACAAAAATATTAGCTGGGTGTGGTGGTGCACACCTGTCGTTCCAGCTACTCAGGAGTTTGAGACAGGAGGATTGCATAAGCCTGGGAGGTTGAGGCTGCAGTGAGCCACTGAGCCATAGTCGTGCCACTGCACTCCAGCGTGGGAGACAGAGACTCTGTCTCAAAAAAAAAAAAAAAAAAAAAGTTCATCATTAGTTCAGTCTGGGGTCAGTAGCCCAAGATAGAGTCCCCGATGTCAAGCGTAGAACAATGCTCTATTCAAACACTCAAATGACCTGTGACAGAGATTCTCTTCTTCACCAAACTCTACTCAGGTTCTCCTAAACTCTTTGTCCAGTAGGTTTCAACTTTTGGAGTTCCGTGTTGATAAAAAAAAAAAATTTCAGGCCGGGCGTGGTGGCTCACACCTGTAATCCCAGTACTTTGGGAAGTTGAGGCAGGTGGATCACCTGAAGTCAGGAGTTCGAGACCAGCCTGGCCAACATGGTGAAATCCCATCTGTACAGAAAATAAAAAAAATTAGCTGGGCATGGTGGTGGGTGCCTGTAATCCCAGCTACTTGGGAGGCTGAGGCAGGAGAATTGCTTGAACCCGCAAGACGGAGGTTGCAGTGAGGCGAGATTGCACCAGTGCACTCCAGCCTGGGCGACAGAGCAAAACTCTGTCTCAAAAAAAAAAAAAAGAAAAGAAAAGAAAAGAAAAGAAAAGAAATGGAGAAGTAGAGCACATGCTCAAAGCACCTTCTCCCTGAGGGTATGGTGAAGGGGGGTTTTTAAGGTCTCTTAGAACATGTAGGTGGAGACTGGGGGGTGGTGATTTATGGAAAAAGGTGGGACCTTCCAGGGAGAACTGGAGCATGCACAGTCTCCTTCTTTCTTTTCCACTGGCACTATATATGCCTAGCAAAGCACATTTCTCCCCATCCCAGGTGAATATTTTCATACAGCGAAAAAGCAAGGATTCAGGTCCGGGTAGCAGGATGGTAGTGTTTACTATACAGACTCAGACTTGGGAGCCACAGTTCTTATCCTGTGGCTCGTTTGTGGTTACTGACATCCGGCCTTCATTTCTGTAAGCAAGCACATCTGCAAGCACAGGTTAATGTCACAAGTTCTGGGGCTTTTTTTTTTTTTTTTTTTTTTATTCTTTGAACGGAGTTCCACTCTGTCGCCCAGGTTGGAGTGCAATGGTGCAATCTCGGTTCACTGCAACCTCCACCTCCCAGGTTCAAGCGATTCTCCTGCCTCAGCCTCCCGAGTAGCTGGGATTACAGGCATGCACCACCATGCCTGGCTAATTTTGTATTTTTAGTAGAGATGGGGTTTCTCCATGTTGGTCAGGCTGGTCTCAAACTCCAGGCCTCAGGTTATCTGCCCAGCTTGGCCTCCGAAAGTGCTGGGATTACAGGCGTGAGCCACCATGCCCGGCCTATTTTTATTATTTTCTTTTTGAGATAAGAGTCTTGCAGCCGGGCGCAGTGGCTCATGCCTGTAATCCCAGCACTTTGGGAGGCCGAGGCAGGAGGATCACGAGGTCAGGAGATCGAGATCATCCTGGCTAACGTGGTGAAACCCCGTTTCTACTAAAAAAATTAGCTGGGCGTGGTGGTGGGCACCTGTAGTCCCAGCTACTCGGGAGGCTGAGGCAGGAGAATGGCATGAACCCGGGAGGTGGAGCCGAGATGGGGCCACTGCACTCCAGCTTGGGCAACAGAGTGAGACTCTGTCTCAAAAAAAAAAAAAAAAAAAGAATCTTGCTCTGTCACCCAAGCTGGATTGCAGTGGTGCTATCTCAGCTCCCTGCAATCTCTGCCTCCCAGATTCAAGCGATTCCCCTGCCTCAGCCTCCCGAGTAACCAGGAGTACAGGTGTTTACCACCATGCCCAGCTAATTTTTGTATTTTCAGTAGAGACGGGGTTTCGCCATGTTGGCCAGGCTGGTCTGGAACTCCTGACCTCAGGTGATCTGCCCACCTCAGCCTCCCAAAGTGCTGGGATTACAGGTGTGAGCCACCATGCCAGGCCTATTATCTTTAAACCAAAATTAGGGATGCCTTTGCTCTCCAGATATCGGGATATCTGGACACTCCCAAGTCTGAGTCTGTTCGGTAAACACTATCAATCTGTTCCCTTAACTGTAAACATCTAGAGGCTAGGAATACCTTTCTGGGAATGCAGCCCCGTAAGTCCCAGCCTCATTTTCCTAGCCCTCACTCAAGATGGAGGCATGCTGGTTTTAAGGCCTCTGACAAAAGCAGTGGTTAGAATCTGGGCTCTAGGCCAGGTTGAAGCTGCAGTGAGTCATGATTGCACCACTGCACTCTACCCTGGGTGACAGAATGAGACCCTGTCTCAAAAAAATAATAATAGGCCGGGCATGGTGGCTCATGCCTGTAATCCTAGCACTTTGGGAGGCCGAGGAGGGTGGATCACCTGAGGTCAGGAGTTTGAGACCAGCCTGGCCAACATGGTGAAACCCCGTCTCTACTACAAATACAAAAATTAGCAGGGCCTAGTGGCGGGCGCCTGTAATCCCAGCTACTCGGGAGGCTGAGGCAAGAGAATCGCTTGAACTCAGGAGGCAGAGGTTGCAAAAAGCTGAGATCACACCATTGCACTCCAGCCTGGGAAACAAGAGTGAAACTTCATCTCAAAAATATAATAATAATAATAATAACTAATACATAAAAATTGGGGGCTCTATAATACCTAACTTAGCAGAGGACAGGTGGGAGGGGGCAGTGAAAGGGCATTTATGGAAAAGCAAATGACTTTTTGGAAGGATGAATGGGCCCTTATGAGAACAGATAGGAGATATGATGGTCTTGTGACAATGAGTGCTTGGGTGTGCTGGCGACTCCTCTCTGAGAAGAGTAGAATTGTTCCTGGGAAGGGGATTTATGACAATTGAGTTTCTTTGACTTATTTTAGGGGTTTTAGAAAATGAAATGCCTTCAGCTCAAAATAATTCTTATGTCAAAGTGGCATATTTTAGGGTAGCATGTCCTGATGCTCTTCACTTGGAATACAGGCAAAGAAGAATATGTGGGTTCTGGCTGGGCATGGTGGTTCACACCTACAATCCTAGCACTTTGGGAGGGCAAGGCAGGAGGATCCTTAAGCCCAGGAATTTGAGACTACCCTGGGCAACACAGCAAGGCGTTGTCTACAAAAAAATTAAAAATTAGCTGGGTGGCCGGGTGTGGTGGCTCATGCCTGTAATCCCAGCACGTTGGGAGGCTGAAGCAGGTGGATCACTCGAGGTCAGGAGTTTGAGACCAGCCTGGCCTACATGGTGAAACCCTGTCCCTCCTAAAAATAAAAAAATCAGCTGGGTGAGGTGGTGCACGCCTGTAGTCCCAGCTACTTGGGAGGCTGAGGCAGGAGAACCACTTGAACGCGGGAGGCAGAGGCTGCAGTGAGCCAATATTGCACCACTGCACTCTAGCCTGAGTGACAGAGTGAAATTCTATCTCAAAAAATAAAAATAAAGATAAAAAAAATTAGCTGGGTGTGGTGGCACATGCCTGTAGTTTCAGCTACTTGGGAGGCTGAGACGGGAGGATCGATTGAGCCCAGGAGTTGGAGGCTGCAGTGAGCTATAATCATGCAACTGCACTCCAGCCTGGGTGACAGAGCGAGACCCTGTTTCAAAACAAAACAAAGAATATGTGAGTTTCACCTTGAGAGGCCTTGAAGGTTACTCCTGTTGGTTCTCAGAACATGATACTCCGATATGTGGCATCTTGGCAACTGAAATAGCCTCAGAAGCAAGAAAGCGGCTCTGACCCTCCCCTACCTTTCAGTGTGAGAGCCGGCCATAAAGGAATTCTCTGGCTGATTGCAAGTGCCTTTGCAAAAATTATAACTGAGAAAATTATAACAGTGAAAGAGATCTGACCCAACCGACTCCATCTTGGTTCTCTCCTCCAAGCTGTCCTTGTTCATTCCTGGGCATAGGCTAAACTATGGGAGAAACTTAATTTATAGTTTAACTTAGAAACAAAGATGATAACAGCCTTTTCCCAAAACAAACCCCCTTCCGGCCTGGGGACTAGACTGCCTTTGCAGGACCAACAAACTAGCCACAAGATTAGAAATTATGGTTTAGGGGTCATGTAGCTAGAGGGTGCAAGATTCTGAACCTCTCCAAATTGCTCCTGGGGGTAACATCACTATCATAAAACGTAAGATCAGTGTTTGATATATTTTGCAGACCTTGTACCTGATGGATCAGCTGGTACCACCCAGATCGATAGACTGGCTCATCTGGTCTAGTGGCCCCTACCCAGTAACTGACTCAGCGCAAAAGGACAGCTTCCACTCCCTATGACTTCATCTCTGACCTAACCAATCAGCACTCTCCACCTTCCAAATGTCCACCCATCCAATTATCCTTAAAAACCCCAATCCCTGAGTTTCTGGGCAGCCTGATTTGAGTAATATTAAAACTCTGGTCTCTCGTACAGCTGGCTCAGTGTGAATTAAACTCTTTCTTTATTGCAATTCCCCTGTCTTAATGCATCAGTTTAAATTGGCTCTGTCGAGGCAGTGGGCAAGGAGAATCTGTTACACAGTTACATTACCTTGCCTGAAAGTAGGACCTAAGATCCTCATTCTGTCAGAGGCACTTGAACCAGAGCAACTCCATCTTAAATAGGAACTGGGTAAAATGAGGCTGAGACTTACTGGGCGGCTTTTGCAGGAGGCTAAGGCATTCTTAGTCACAGGATGAGATAGGAGGTTGGCACCAGATACAGGTCATAAAGACCTTGCTGATAAAATAGCTTCCAGTAAAGAAGCTGGCTAAAACCCAAAACCGAGATGGCGATGAGAGTGACCTCTGGGTGTCCTCATCGCTATGCTCCCACCGGCACCATGACAGTTTACAAATGCCATGGCAACGTCAGGAAGTTACCCTATATGGTCTAAAAAGAGGAAGCATGAATAATCCACCCCTTGTTTAGCATATCATCAAGAAATAACCACAAAAATGGGCAACCAGCAGCCCTTGGGGCTGCTCTGCTTATGGAATAATAGCTATTCTTTTATTTATTTTTTTTATTTTTTGAGATGGAGTCTCACTCTGTCGCCTAGGCTGGAATACAATGGCGTGATCTCGGCTCACCACAACCTCCGCCTCCTGGGTTCAAGTGATTCTCCTGCCTCAGCCTCCTGAGTAGCTGGGATTACAGGCACCCAGAGCCACACCTGGCTAATTTTTGTATTTTTAGTAGAGACGGGGTTTCTCCATGTGGGTCAGGCTGGTCTCCAACTCCCAGCCTCAGGTGATCCACCTGCCTTAGCCTCCCAAAGTGCTGGGATTACAGGCATGAACCACCATGCCTGGACCATTTGTTTATTTTTTTAAATTTTCCAGTAAACTTGCTTTCACTTTACTCTATGGACTCGCCCTAAATTCTTTCTTGAGTGAAATCCAAGAACCCTCTCTTGGGGTCTGGAAAGGAACCCCTTTCTGGTGACAATTCCAGAGAGATCCTGCTCTATGCCCAGAGGCCCTGCACCACCCCCAGTTTATTAACAGTAGATCATACTCTTCTTGTCAAATCATCTTTGTACACAACTGTTCATTTTCCAGTGAATCTCAGCATAAAAATACAGTTTCCTCTGGGTCTTTGTTTCTGAAGGCTCTCGTGTCATGCAAAATTTTGTTAAATTCATTTGTTATGTTTTTCTCTTATTAATCTGTCTTTTGTTGTAGGAGTGTTGGCAATGACCCTTGTAATGGGTGAGGATAACTTATTACCTTTTCACTCCTACGGTAGTTAATTATCCTCTAAATGAAGTTGAGGTACAAGGAGAGGATTAAGTGACCACTGATTGAGAAGAAGTGGCTGCATGTATGGCAGATTGACCTACACCCACCATTCCCTCCATAAAATCTCCTGGCTAAGCATGGTATACTGAATGCCACAGCTAGTAGCCCTCTGTACCCCTCAATGTTCTCATTTATAAAAGAGAATAACACTTTTATATCCAGCTAACTTCTGTATTTTTAGTGGAGATGGGGTTTCACCATGTTGGCCAGGCTGTTCTCAAACCACTGACCTCAAATGATCCACCCGCCTCGACCTCCTTAAGTGCTGAGATTACAGGCATGAGCCACTGTGGTTGGCTAGAGTAGTTGTCTTAAGGATTGACAAAGAGCCTCCCCTTGACCAAGCTTTAGGGAGATTCATCGAAATCCTCTTCCCAGTTAGGTCTCAACTCTTGGACTTCCATGGTGTTTTTTTTTTTTTTGTATCGCCCAATTTTAGCAAGAATCCTGCTAAGTCAGTTTAGCCAGAATCCTCAACCCTGGATATCTGATCACATTCCAGATCACCCTGGCTTACCTGCAGCAAGAGTCCTGTTAGGTCCATTTAGCCAGAATCCTCTTCTCTTACCACTAATGTTTCCTTTAGCTAATTTTCCACTCATGGATCCCTACCCTGTTTCTGGGCTATAAATTTCCACTTGTCTTTGTTGTATTTGCAATTCAGCCTATTTTTTTTTTCTTTTCTTTCTTTTTCTTTTCTTTCTTTTTTTTGAGATGGAGTTTCATTCTTGTTGCCAGGCTGGAGTGCAAATGGCACGATCTTGGCTCATTGCAAGCTCCACCTCCTGGGTTCAAGCAATTCTTCTGCCTCAGCCTCCCAAGTAGCTGGGATTACAGGCACACACCACCATGCCTGGCTAATTTTTGTATTTTTAGTAGAGACGGGATTTCACCATGTTGGCTAGGCTGGTCTCGAACTCCTGACTTCAGGTGATCCTCTTGCCTCAGCCTTCCGAATTGCTGGGATTACAGGCATGAGCCACCTCGCCTGGCTGAGCTGGGGTTTTTTTTTTTTTTTTTTTTTTTGGCTAGTGTATTTATTTTCATTTTAACATCTTTCTATAGACTTTGCTTTTGAAATGGCCACTACTGAATTCCTATGCACAGGCCAATATTTTTGTCTGATCATAGGGAGTTTCCACAGAAACTTTCCGAAACTGGGTATTGATAATGGTCATAACTGTAGATTTTTGTTAGTTCTGGTTTCTCTGTGCAAATATACCTGCAGGTAAAAAAAGATGGGTGGACCAGGGGAAGAGCTTTAGGGAGGAGAGAAAAAAATCTGTGACCCTGCCAACCAAAAAGTGAAATTACAAGTGCTAGCACTTAGAGAAATCACGGTTAGATTTACTCTGAGTCAAGTTGGAGGACTGAAGCCTGGGAACACATACTCAATATAGACCAAGAATCTGTCCCAATGTAGGTTGTGCAAGGCACAGTATATACACATTTTCAAACAGGAGGATGTGTGTGGCACAGAAGGTAGGAGAAGAGGGGAGAGAAGCAAGGGTTACATTTTTGTGATTCTCATTGGTGCTCCGTGACTGTATACATAAGATAAGGTAAAAGAGCAGTTGAGCGGGTCAGGAGAAAGGTTAGGCATCTTAGGGCCTGGTGGAGGGTGGCTGATTCCAGCCTGTCTTTGTTCTACCTCAGATAAACAAGTTTATACCCAGTACCTGTCAGTGAAATGTTTAACAAGCTCCAGTTACACAGGCACACAGGCAAGAGGTCAGCTTTAGTTTATAGGCATAGGGTTTTTTTTGTTGTTGTTGTTTTGTGACGGAGTCTCGCTTGGTTGCCCAGGCTGCAATGCAGTGGCATGATCTCGGCTTACTGCAACCTCCTTCTCCCAGGTTCAGGCAATTCTCCTGCTTCAGCTGTTGCAGTAGCTGGGATTACAGGCACCCATTACCTCACCCAGCTAATTTTTCTATTTTTCAGTAGAGACGGGGTTTCACCATGTTGGGCACGTTGGTCTTGAACTCCTGACCTCAAGTGATGCACCCACCTTGGCCTCCCAAAGTGCTGGGATGACAGGCATGAGCCACTGCACCCGGCCATATAGTCATAGGTTTATAAACCATGTGCCTAACTGTAGCTATTGTGGGTCACTGTTAACAGTTTCTTTTGAATTTTCCTTTTTCTGACAACCCCATGACCCATAAAAACACGAAAAGGAATACGGATTTTTTTTTTTTTTTAAAGACAGAGTCGGCTGGGAGTGGTGGCTTATGCCTATAATCCCAGCACTTTGGGAGGCCGAGGCGGGTGGACCACTTGAGGTCAGGAGTTTGAGACCAGCCTGGCCAACATGGCGAAAACCCATGTCTACTAAAAATACAAAAATTAGCTCGGTGTGGTAGTGCGTGCCTATAGTCCCAGCTACTTGGGAGGCTGAGGCAGGAGAATTGCTTGAACCTGGGAGGCGGAGGTTGCAGTCAGCTGAGATCAGGCCATTGCGTTCTGGTGACAGAGTGAGACTCCATCTCAGAAAAAAAAAAGAAAGTCCTTGCCTTTCCATGTGACCCCTGCTTTCGAAGCCTTATTAGAAGGGGTGCCCAACTTTATATCTTCTTGGTTCCCCCTTCTTTCAAGTTTCTTTCCTTAAAGCTGCTGAGAATGTAGCTCATTTATGTAGGGGCCAGCTGCTGTGCACAGGGTAAAATGGATAAAAAGCATGCCTCTGAGGATAACAAATGTGGTTGGCCTTGGTGAGATGGGAGTGGAGCAGATAAAGGCCCTTGGAAAAAAGAATAAGGAGCTGAAAAATGTCACATGTCTCTGGGAAAGGGAGAAATCATTATAGAACAAGAGAAGTAAACACTTAGAGCCTGGCTTAAAAGAGAAAACAACCAAGACGCCAGCCCTTGGGCAGAGAGAAGAGGACGTTGGAGGGGGGGGGCAGGTATGGTTCAAGGAAGAGCAACTGAGAGAGGAAGGAATGGGGGCTGGGGGTATGTAAGCCATGTCTGCAGCTGCTTCTTAGACCTACATAGCAAGGGCATGTCTTTACTCCCATCAGTTGGGAAACAGATGTAAAAGCCTTCCAAATTAATAACAAAGCTAAGGCTGAGCGTAGTGGCTCAGTCTTGCAATCCCAGAACTTTGGGAGGCCAAGGTGGGAGGATCACTTGGGGCCAGGAATTTGAGACCAGCCTAGGCAACATAGTGAGACCCTGTCTCTACAAAAAATGAACAAAATTAGCCAGGCATGATGGTGCGTTGCCTACAGTCCCAGCTACTCAGGAGGCTAAGGTGAGAGGATCACTTGAGCCCAGGAGGGTGAGGCTGCACTTAGTCAAGCTCATGCCACTCTGCACTCCAGCCTGGGCAATAGAGCGAGACCCTGTCTCAAATATACATACATACATATATATATATATATATATATAAAAATATAAAAATATATATATAAAAATATATAAAAATATATATATAAATATATATAAAATATATAAAAATATATGTAAATATATATGTAAATATATGTAAATATATATAAATATATGTAAATATATAAAAATATATGTAAATATATGTAAATATATATAAATATATGTAAATAAATATATGTAAATATATATAAATATATATATAAATATATATATAAATATATATACATATATATAAATATATATACATATATATAAATATATATACATATATATACATATATATAAATATATATAAATATATAAATATATATAAATATATATAAATATATAAATATATAAATATATATAAATATATATAAATATATAAATATATATAAATATATATATAAATATATATAAATATATATAAATATATATAAATATATATAAATATATATAAATATATATATAAATATATATAAATATATATAAATATATATAAATATATATAAATATATATATAAATATATATAAATATATATAAATATATATAAATATATATAAATAAATATATATATAAATATATATATAAATATATATAAATATATATATATAAATATAAATATATATAAATATATATATAAATATATACATAAATATATATAAAAAATATATAAAAATATACACAAATATATATATAAAATATATAAATATATATAAATATATATAAAAATTATATATATAAATATATATATAAATTATAGATATAAATATATATATAAATTATAGATATAAATATATATAAATTATATATATAAATAATATATATAAATATATATAAAAATTATATATATAAATATATAAAAATTATATATATATAAATATATATAAATATATATATAAATATATATAAATATATATAAATATATATAAATATATATAAATATATATATAAATATATATAAATATATATAAATATATATATATAAAGTGATTTTTCTTTTCTTGTTTTTTTGAGATGGTATCTTGCTTTGTTGCCCAGGCTGGAGTATAGTGGTGTGATCTTGGCTCACTGCAACCTCGGCCTCCTGGGTTCAAGTGATTCTCCTGCCTCAGCCTCCTGAGTAGCTGGAATGACAGGCATATGCCACCATGCCCGGCTTTTTTTTTTTTTTTTTAATTAGACAGGGAGTTTCACCATGTTGGCCAGGCTGGTTTAGAACTCCTGACCTTGGCCGGGCGCGGTGGCTCACGCCTGTAATCCCAGCACTTTGGGAGGCTGAGGCAGGCGGATCACAAGGTCAGGAGATGGAGACCATCCTGGGTAACACGGTGAAACCTCGTCTCTACTAAAAATACAAAAAATTAGCTGGGCGTGGTGGCACACGCCTGTACTCCCAGCTACTTGGGAGGCTGAAGCAGGAGAATCACTTGAATCCGGGAGGCAGAGGTTGCAGTGGGCCGAGATGGCACCACTGCACTCCAGTCTGGGTGACAGAGCAAGACTCTGTCTCAAAAAAAAAAAAAAAAAAAAAAAAAAGAAACAACTGTTATGATTCATTTATCAGAAAATATGTCTTTTAGATGTGGCAGGCCCTGGGGAGATTGCAGTGAACAAGACTGACTGGGTCTCCACTTGCATGGGAGTCCAATTCTACTAGGAAGGAAGGACAAAACGGGTAAGTGGTCAGATACATAAGATCCATTGTAACTGGGCGCAGTGGCTCACGCCTGTAATTGCCTAGCCAACATGATGAAACCCCAACTCTACTAAAAATACAAAAATTATCTGAGCATGGTGGTACACACCTGTAATCCCAGCTACTCAGGTGGCTGAGTCACGAGAATTGCTTGAACCCAGGAAGTGGGAGGTTGCAGTGAGCCAAGATAACGCCACAGCATTCCAGCCTGGGCAACAGAACAAGACTCTGTTTCAAAAAAAAAAAAAAAAAAACCATCATTATCATTTGGGGTAATTGTTATGATGAAAACAAGTGAGGAGCTGAGAGTTGAAAGGGGCATGGCCTGGGAGAAGACCTTTGCTGTGTAGGTTGGCATGGAAGGTCTTTCTGCAAAGGTGAGATTTCCTGCCACATGAGGGAGGAGTAGAAGTCAGCCAGGCAAGGCTCTGGGGAAAGAGCAACACAGGCAGAGGTCAGAGCTGTGCAGAGAGACAAAACCTTCCAATGGGAGAAACTGGTTCGGGGGAACTGGCACATGGTAAAACTGGCCCAAGAACTAGGAGCCGGATTATGCGATTAAGACAAATGCAGCGGAGACAGTAGTGATGGTTTTTTGTAAACAGGGGTGTGATATAGATATGCTTTATCTCATTGAAGATGACACTGGTTTCGGTATGGAGAATGGAATGGAGAAGAGTGGGATTAGACGGGTTTCCTGATTCTATCCGCACAGGAGACTGATTTCTTCCCACTTCTGCTCATCACATTGGCTGAACCCAGCAGATCACTGCCCGGTTGTCTGTCCTACAGAGGGAAACGATCGTCATAGCCACAAAGAAAACACAGCCCATTATCTTACCTGTGTCAATAGACAACAAAGAAACAGGTCACATTACACAATTTTCTGTTCATGGAGTGGACCTTTTCACATTGATTGACCTGGTACAATGTGGCCATTTTCTTAAAATGTCAGGGGCCATTGTCTTATCTGTGCAAGGCCCTGGGAAAGCTTCTTATTCTTGTGAGCAGTGCGTGAAGACTCTTTCTAATTATAGCCCTTCTGAATTCCTTGTCCTTTCCTTTAAATAAAGTGTCTAGCCATATGTTCAATGAGTAGTAATCTAAGTTTTATATCTTGCTTCATTTTCTTTGGAATCTGTTGGTGTCAGTGTTTTTTACAGTGTTACTGTAAAAATGTACTGAACTTTGGTTGAGAAAACTGGCTTTTCTGGAGATAAAGCAATTTTTAAAAAGAGGTTGTGTGGGAGTCTGTGTCCTGGTTGCAGAAATAGTGAAATCAGGCCTTTCAACTAATTCTCAACTTAGAATTTAGCTAGCTTTTTCAATGTTAACTGTTTTGCCTCGATTAAAACCCATTTGTTTGCAGTTCAAAATCATCTTGTGCTTATAAGTAAGGTCATGGAGTATCTCACCCAGAGATAGCCAGAGTTAGAGAAAAGCAGTGACTAAATAAAACACATTGACTATATATGAGAACAGAAACAGATGTAATTTTTTTTTTGAGACAAAGCCTGGCTTTATCGCCCAGACTGGGTGCAGTGGCACAATCTCAGTTCACTGTAACCTCTGCCTCCCAGGCTCAAGCGATCCTCCCACCTCAACCTCCTGAGTAGCTGGAACTACAGCCATGCACCACCATGCCTGGCCAATTTTTGTATTTTTTGTAGAGACGGGGTTTTACCGTGTTGCTCAGGCTGGTCTCAAACTTGTGAGCTCAAGCAATCTGCCCACCTTGGCCTCCCAAAGTGCTGGGATTACAGGTGTGAGCCACCATGCCTGGCCCAACAGACATAATTTTTTATTCCTGAATTAAGCCATACTGAGATCAGGAATACTTTTCAATATCCTTATATTAAATAATATAGGGAGCAAGCATAAAACTCTTAGCTGCCCATTCCAGGAAATCCTTGCCTTAGCAGGTGAGACTGTGAAATAGCTAAAATAGGTTGCTCATCAAGATTTGCTTCAAGGCTAAATGTGGTGGCTCATAGCTGTAATCTGACACTTTGGGAGGCCAAGGCAGAAGGATCACTTGAGGCCACCAGTTCAAGACCAGCTTGCGCAACTAAGCTCTAGAAAAATTAAAAAATTAGCAGGGTGTGGTGGCACCCATGTGTCATCCCAGCTACTTGGGAAGTTGAGGCAGGAGGATCACTTCAGCCCAATCATAGCTCACTATGGTCAAGTTTTGGAGTCATTGGTTATGCAGCAATAGCTAACTGATACATACAGCGGACACTGTTTATTATCTAAAAACATCCATTTCCCTCTCTTCTCAGCTAACAGAATTCAATCTTTTTTTTTTTTGAGATAGGGTCCTCCTCCATTGCTAAGGCTAGAGTGCAGTGGTGTGATCACATCTTACTGCAGCCTCGACCTCCAAGGCTCAAGGGATCCTCCCACCTCAGCCTCCCAAGTAGCTGGGACTACAAGTGTGTGCCACCATGCCTAGCTAGTTTTTAAAAATGTTTGTTTATTTATTTATTTATTTATTTATTTATTTATTTATTTTTTTGAGATGGAATCTCGCATTGTCACCTGGGCTGGAGTGCAGTGGCACAATCTTGGCTCACTGCAACCTCCACCTCCCAGGTTCAAGCAATTCTCCTGCCTCAGCCTCCCAAGTAGCTGGGATTACAGGCACCCGCCACCACGCCCAGCTAATTTTTTTGTATTTTTAGTAGAGATGGGGTTTCACTGTGTTGGCCAGGCGGGTCTTGAATTCCTGACCTTGTGATCCACCCGCCTGGGCCTCCCGAAGTGCTGGGATTACAGGTGTGAGGCACCACGTCCGGCTTAAAAATTTTCTGTAGAGACGAGGGTCTCCCTGTATTGGCCAGGCTGTTCTTGAACTCCTGGCCTCAAGTAATCCTCCTTCCTTGGCTTCAAAAAGTGCTGGGAGTACAGGTGTGAGCCACCATGCTCAGCAGAATTCAATTCTGTTGAGAGTATTTGACCTTAGGGCAGGTAGGTAGTGGCTAATTATATTGCCCCACATTGCGGGCTACACATAGGTATGGGCACATGGTCCAGCTTGGCTTCCCATGGGACCACCATCTAGGTGACTATGATAAGCTCAAAGATGAGCATGTGAATTGAGGTATGCCAGTGTGAACCCCACATATCTGAGGCAGGTCTCAGTCAACTCAGAAAGTTTATTTTGCCAAAGTTAAGGATGTGCGCCTGTAACCCAGCCTCAGGAGGTCCTGATGACATGTGCCAAGGTGGTCAGGGCAAAGCTTGGTTTAATAAATTTTAGGGAGACGTGAGACATCAATCAATGAATGTAAGATATATATTGGTTCCATCCAGAAAGGTGGAACAACTTGAAGCAGGGAGGGGGCTTCCAGGTCATACATAGGTAGATAAGAGACAAATGGTTGCATTCTTTTGAGTTTCTGTTTAGCCTCTCCAAAGGTGGCAATCGGACATACATTTATCTCAGTGAGCAGGGGGATGACTTTGAATTCTGTCTTTTGTCCACAAGGAAATTCCTTTTGAGGGAGGTATGTAGCCTTTTTTTTTTTTTTTTTTTTTTTTTTTTTTTAGGAGTCTCGCTCTGTCACCCAGGCTGGAATGCAGTGGTGAGATCTCAGCTCACTGCAACCTCTGCCTCCCGGGTTCAAGCGATTCTCCTGCGTCAGCCTCCCGAGTAGCTGGGACTACAGACTCGTGCCACCATGCCCAGCTAATTTTTTGTATTTCTAGTAGAGATGGGGTTTCAACGTGTTAGCCAGGATGGTCTTGATCTCCTGACTTCGTGATCCACCCGCCTCGGCCTCCCAACGTTCTGGGCCTCAAAAAGTGCTGGGATTACAGGTGCCAGCCACCATGCTTGGCCGGTATGTAGCTTTTATCTTTTTGAGGAAAACAGTGGGAGGCAGGTTTGCCCTATGCAGTTCTCAGCTTGACTTTCCCTTTGGCTTAGTGATTTTGGGGTCCCAAGATTTATTTTCCTTTCACGCTAATCAGTTCCTCTCTAGAGTTTTACATATGGAGGCGAGATGTGAGAAAAATTATGGCTGACATGGGGGCTAAGTCAGATTGATTTGTTTTAGACAAAAATGAATTTTATATCTGAATATTTTGGAGAAAATTCATGCAACTCCTATCTGCATAATAAATTCACTGCCACAGTGAACTTAAATGTCACCTTGGCCGGGTGCGGTGGCTCACGCCTGTAATCTCAGCACTTTGGGAGGCCGAGGTGGGTGGGTCATCTGAGGTTGGGAGTTCAAGACCAGCCTGACCAACATGGTGAAACCCCGTCTATACTAAAAATACAAAATTAGCCAGGCATGGTGGTGCATGCCTGTAATCCCAGCTACTCAGGAGGCTGAGGCAGGAGAATCACTTGAACCTGGGAGGCGGAGGTTGCGGTGAGCTGAGATCACACCATTGCACTCCAGCCTGGGCAACAAGAGCGAAACTCCATCTCAAAATAAATAAATAAACAAATAAATAATGTCACTTCCATCAACATATGAACTGCACTACAAGATAATAGTGAGCCTTTAGACTTTTGGGAAGAGAAATACCAAATAAAAATAAGATGATACATAATCATTTTTATGACTCCCACTGAAATTTTCTTTTTTGCCTGGATGAAAACAGTTGAAGCAATGGATTCTCATAATGAGTAAGAGAATCGGGTCAAATGAACCCGTCTCCAAGGAGATTTAAAATGCTTTTCAAACCCTCTTGATAGTAACCACGATTTATGCATTTTCTTTGAATTCTATTATTCTGGGCCCAGCTTGCCGGCTTGTCTTACATCATTATTTTAGACTAAAGCTCCATCTTCTGGAGAAGGAATGATATATAACAACTACTCAACACATTGACTAACAGTCAAACTCAATTTGGAAGTTCCTGAGATGGTGTCTTTCTTAGTCATCTCAACAATTTCTCATTGGCAGCTCATTTTTCCCCCTCTGGAAAGAATGTCATCTCAGTGGGGCATGGATGCTAGATGGAAGCTATTGATCACCTTCCCATTCTTGAGGGGAGATTCATAGCCTACTTCTATTTTTATGTTTATGGTTTCTGCAGCAGGAGACTGATTGGAATAATTCCCCTCCCCTCTGCATGTTCCTCGTATCATTGAATAGGTACCGGGTATTATTTTCATATTCTCTAGAGAAATCTATTTATCTGCAGCTCTTGCTATATTTTATTCATATGGTCTATTCTGAAGCTCCTTTTGAATGCAAATATTTTATTTTATTTTATTTTATTTTGAGACAGGATCTTGCTCTGTTGCCCAGGCTGGAGTGCAGTGGCATAATCAGCTTACTGCAGCCTCAACCTCCTGGGCTCAAGTGATCCTCCCATCTCAGCCTCCTGAGTAACTGGGACTACAGACATGCCATTACCCCTGGCTCATTTTCGTATTTTTTGTAGAGGTGGGGTTTTGCCATGTTGCCTAGGCTCCTGGGCTCAAATGATCCTCCCTCTTTAGCCTCCCAAAGTGCGGGGATTACAGGTGTGAGGCACTGTGTCCAGCCTGAATGTAAATATTTTAAGGGTTTAGGTTAATGGTATATTTTTGAGAGATTAAAAAATGGTCACTTTTTCCTTTTTTTTTTTTTTTTTAAACAAACTAAATTTTTTAAGAATAGTTTTAGCTGGGCACAGTGGTTCACACCTGTAATCTCAACACTTTGGGAGGCCAAGGCAGGTGGATCACCTGACGGCAGGAGTTTGAGACCAGCCTGGCCAACATGGTGAAACCCTGTCTCTACTAAAAGTACAAAAATTAGCCAGGCATGGTGGTAGCTCCCTGTAATCCTAGCTACTTGGGAGGCTGAGGCAGGAGAATCATTTGAACCCGGGAGGTGGAGGTTGCAGTGAGCTGAGATTGCGCCACTGTACTCTAGCCCAGGCAACAAGAGTAAAACTCCATCTCAAAAAAAAAAAAAAAGAATAGTTTTACATTTTACAAAAATTGTGAAGGTAGTACAGTGTCCTCATACATCCTGACTCAGTTTCCCCTGTTAGCTTACATTAGTGTGGTGCATTTGTTACAATCAACGATCTAATATT
Source organism: Homo sapiens (assembly GCF_000001405.40). Taxonomy (NCBI): domain Eukaryota; kingdom Metazoa; phylum Chordata; class Mammalia; order Primates; family Hominidae; genus Homo; species Homo sapiens. The sequence continues at coordinate 10,313,766 of NC_000016.10, read as the reverse complement.
GATGCATTAACTAAAGCCCATACTTTATTCGGACTGCCTTAGTTTTTACCTTGTGACAGATTTCCTGTTCCAGGATCCCATCAAGGATACCAATTACATTTAGTTGTCATGTCTCTTTAGGGTCCTCTTCGCTGTGACAGTTTCTCAGAATTTGTTTTTGATGACAGTTCTGAGAAGTACTGGTCAGGCAATTTGCAGCACGGCCCTCTACTGAGATTTGTCTGATGTTTTTTTTTCATGATTAGCTGAGGTTATGGATTTTTGGAAGAAAGATGATAGTGGTAAAATGCCATTTTTATCAAGTGATACCAGCGCATACTGTTGACATGACTTATCATGGTTGATGTTGGCCTTGATCACCTGGTTGAGGTAGTGTTTATCAAGTTTCTCACTGTACAGTTGCTCTTTCCCTCCCTTTGTGCTCTTTGTAAGGAAGTCACTCTGTGCAGTCCACACTTAAAGCATGATGAGTTATGCTCCACCTCCCTTTTTGTGTTTATTTTTAGAATCAAGGTTTCACTCTGTTGCCCAGGCTGGAGTGCAGTGGTGCGATCATAGCTCACTGCAGCCTTGGCCTCCTGGACTCAAGGGATCTTCTTTCCTCAGCCTCCTGAGTAGCTGGGACTACAGGTTCACACCCTGCAGGCTAATATTTAAATTTTTTGAAGAGATGGAATCTCACTAAATTGCCCAGGCTGGCCTTGAACTTCTGGGCTTGGGTGATCTTTCCACCTTGGCCTCCCAAAGCACTGGGATTACAGGGATGAGCCATCGCGCCTGGCTGATCCTAGCACTTTGGGAGCATCAAATATAAAATATATATAAAGAGAAACCCTAGTTGTTGTTTCATTCTCATGCAAACCAACGGCCTGTGGTGTGCTAGTAAATGTTTAACAACCTCAGTCTAGTCATGAGGAAACACCAAGTTAAGGGACAGTCTACAAAATAAAAGATCAATATTTCTCAAAAGTGTCAAAGTGGTGAGGAATAAAGGAAGACGGAGAAACTGTCACACATTGGAGGAGACCAAGAAGACATAACTAAATGTAAGGTGGGGTCCCAATTGGATTTTTTTTTTTTTTTTTTTTTTTTAGAAAGGGTCTCACTCTGTTGCCTGGGCTGAAGTGCAGTGGCGCGATCTTGGCTCACTGCAACCTCTGCTTCCTGGGATCAAGTGATTCTCCTGCCCCAGCCTCCTGAGTAGCTGGGATTACAGGTGCCCACCACCACGCCCAGCTACTTTTATTTTTGGATTTTTAGTGGAGATGGGGTTTCACCATGTTGGCCAGACTGGTCTCAAACTCCTGGCCTCAAGTGATTCACCTGCCTCGGCCTCCCAGAGTGTTAGGATTACAGGCATGAGCCACCATGCCCGGCCCCAATTGGATTCTGAAATGGGGAAGGGCCCCAGAATAAGCCAGTGTGGCATAAAAATTGTTTTGAGCCGAGGGCTTCTGACTTTCTGAAATCTCTTATCTGCCTAAGAGCAGAGCCTCCCAAAAGAATAAAAAAGAACTCTATTGTCATAAATCTTATCCCTGGGAACAACTCCAATCTTCTCTGAGACAGAAGTCAGCCACACACCAAAGCAGACAGTCACAAAATCTGTCATATCCCCCATCTAGTCTCCTAAGGGCTCATTTATCTTTCCAAAACCTCGTTTGTTTTTCCACAAGTGCTCTTTCTTCCCTTCTCCTTCATCTATTTTGTCTTTTTCGTTTCCTGTCTTTTTTTTTCGAGACAGGGTCTCCCTCTGTTGCCCGGGCTGGAGTGCAGTGGTACGATCATAACTCATTGAAACCTCGACCTACCAGGCTCAAGCAATCCTCCAACCTCAGTCTCCCAAGTAGCTGGGACTACAGCTATGCATCACCATGCCCAGCTAATTTTTTTTTTTTTTTTTTTTTGTAGAGACAAGTTCTCACTTTGTTGCCCAAGCTGGTCTTGAACCCCTGGGCTCAAGTGATCCTCCTGCCTCAGCCTCCTAAAGTACTGTGATCCTTCACCTATTAAGATGGATTATAAGCCCCAAATTCTATTTTTTTTTTTTTTTTTGAGACAGAGTCTCGCTTTGCCCGGAGTAGAGTGCAGTGGTGCATTCTCGGCTCACTGCAACCTCTGCCTCGTGGATTCAGGCAATTCTCCTGCCTCAGACTCCTGAGTAGCTGGGGTTACAGACACCTGCCACCATGCTCGGCTAATGTTTTGTATTTTTAGTGAAGATGGGGTTTCACCAAGTAGGCCAGGCTGGTCTCGAACTCCTGGTCTCAAGCGATCCACCGGCCTTAGCCTCCCAAAGTGCTGGGATTACAGGCATGAGCCACCACGTCCGGCTATAAGCCCCAAATTCTAACCACTCCTTTGAGTCACATTTTCTTTTCTGTGAACTCCCATGTGCATACATACATATGGAAATAAAACGTCTTTTCTCTTGCTAGTCTGACTTGTGTCAGTTTAATGTATGGACCCTGTCAGTGAAAATAAGGGAGCAGAGGAAATATTTTTCCTCCCAGAAGGCGGCAAAGGACATTAGTGGAAAAACCGGTGAAAAATGAATAAGGTCTGCAGTGAATTGTCCTAGTGCTAATTTCTTGGTTTTGATGATTGTAAGACCTTAACATCAGAGAAACCTAGGTGAGAGTACACAGGAATGATCGGTGCTATCTTTGCAACTTTCTGATAAATCTAAAATAATTTCAAAGTTTAAAAAGTTAAAAACAAAGGAAAATCATAGCAACAACACTATCAAAGACCATAGGCCTTGAAGCCAGCCTACACTGGATTTATTTTTATTTATTTATTTTTTTGAGAGGGAGTCTCGCTCTGTTACCCAGGCTGGAGTGCAGTGGCATGATCTTGGCTCACTGTAACCTCCACCTCCTGGGTTCGAGTGGTTCTTCTGCCTTAGCTTCCTGAGTAGCTGGGATTACAGGCCTGTACCACCACACCTGGCTAATTTTCGTATATTTAGTAGAGACAGGGCTTTGCCATGTTGGCCAGGCTGGACTCAAACTCCTGACTTCAGGTGATCCACCTGCTTCGGCCTCCCAAAGTGTTGGGATTACAGGTGTGAGCCACCATGCCCGGCCTGGATTTATTTTTATTTTTTATTTTTTTCTCTGGATACCATTGATTGGAATCTCATTCTGGATTTAAATCTTGATTATTCCACAAATCTATTGGGCAATAATGAGCTGAGTGAACCTAGGGCAAGTTAATCTCACTCTTGCAACCATCAGTTTCCTCCACCAACAAATAGATGGGACAGCGACGATATGACCCACCTCACAAAGGTGTGGTGATGCATTTGTGTATAAAGCTTGCAGTAAGTATCTTCCAGTGTTCAGTAGAACCATAACCATCACATCTGCTTTTTTGGCCTCTTCTATTTGTGCTGGGCTGGGGAGAGGCGCAGGGCCCTGTGGCCAGTCTCTGTCAGGGTTTCCTGCACCTAGAGGTCAACTTGCTCTAAGAAGAGAGGTTTGATGGAAATCTGAATTCTTGTCTCTTAAAACAGAGGCAGGGCTGTGCGAGGTGCCTGTAATCCCCCCACTTTGGGAGGCCGAGGCAGGCAGATTACTTGAGTTTAGGAGTTTGAGACCAGCCTAAGTAGCATGGCGAAACCCCATTGCTACAAAAAATTAAAAAATTAGCTGGGCATGGTGGTGCGTGCCTATAGTCCCAGCTACTTTGGAGGCTGGGGTAGGAGGATCGCTTGAGCCCAGGAGGTCGAGGCTGCAGTGAGAGCTGTGATTGTACCACTGCACTCCAGCCTGAGTGACAGAGTGAGACCCTGTTTCAAAAAAAAAAGAAAAGAGAAAAAGAAAAAAAGAAACCAGAGGAGGCGGTTCAGGCCAAGAAAATGGTGCCTTTTCTCCTGTTATTCTTCTTTCCGTACCCAGACAAAAATTACTCACCGTCAAGCACGTTTATCTGTGTTTATCGTATTCTTCAGTCTCTGTGAACTTGAACGGCTGTGTTTTTGGAAGGAGAAGGCCAGCACTCTGACTGCTGTCTGTCTTCAGCTGACTCTGCAGTCAGGCTGCTCCTGGCCCCAGCGGAGAGAAGCAGCCAGCATGATGGGCTCCATTTGATTCAATCTATTTTATGCAGCCATGGGGAAAGGATGACCTGAGAAGACAGTATAGAAAAGAGAATCAGGAAGCAAGAGTTGGGATTTGTCTCCAGGTTTGGAAATTCTTTTGTCTCAATCACCAGTATGCTAAAAGGTCCTTTGGGTATCTTTGAGGATGAAATGGAAAGATAACTTCAGAGTCAGGAAGTTTAGAACTCTGTTCTAAAGAGTTAAGAGGTCAGCAGGGCGCGGTGGCTCATGTCTGTAATCCCAGCACTTTGGGAGGCTGACGTGGGTGGATCACCTGCGGTCAGGAGTTGGAGACCAGCTTGACCAATATGGTGAAACCCTGTATCTACTACAGACACAAAAATGAGCTAGGTGTGGTGGTGGGTGCCTGCAGTCCCAGCTACTCAGGAGGCTGAGAGAGAAGAATTGCGTGAACCCAGGAGGGAGGCAGAGGTTGCAGTGAGCTGAGATCGTGCCACTGCCCTCCAGCCTGGCGACAGAGACTCTGTCTCAAAAAAAAAAAAAAAAAGAAAAAAGAAAAAAGAAAAAAGAATTAAAAGGTCTTGGGAAAGTTAGCAGCCTTTTCTGGACCTAGGGGGAGGTGATAATGAAAAATATTCATTAAATCATCTGTAAATGACTCATGTCACTGAATGAGCTAGATTACTCTATGAGGTAGACATTACACCAATAATCAAGCAACAACACCAATGGCAAGATTAATGACACCAGCAGCTATGTATGTTTTAAGTGTTACTATTGTTAGAGCGCGAAAAGAAGAAGGAATGGATGGAGGTGGCTCTACAGCAACACAGATCAAAGCCCTGCAGAGGGGGACACCAGCTAGTGCCGGAACCCACTCCCGCTTACAGACTTGGGTAATTACAGGTCAGGACGGGACAGGTCTTTGCTTGCTGCAAAAAGGGACAGGCAATGTGGCTAGCTGCTAAGGAGGGAATTTCCTGGGTTCAGGCGGTTAGGCCTGAACTTGTCTGGTAGGGTGTTTCTCACAGCCGAGACCCACTGGAATTTTCCACTCTGACTAGGGTTGCGAAATGGCAGGGGTTTACAACATGGTGCAGCTTGGAATAACAACTATGTGCTGGGCAGTAGAAATGAAAAGTGCCTAGACACATCCCTTGGCTGCTCGAAATCTAGAGGGGAAGAGACACAGACAAGTTGTGGTCTAATAAAAAAAAAATTGGTTTTTGGCCAGGCATGGTGGCTTATGCCTATAATCCCAGCACTTTGGGAGACTGAGGTGGGAGGATCACCTGAAGTCAGGAGTTCGAGACCAGCCTGGCCAACATGGCGAAACCCCGTCTCTACTAACAACACAAACATTAGCTGGGTGTGGTGGTGCGCGCCTGTAATTCCAGCTACTTTGGGAGGCTGGGGCAGGAGAATCACTTGAACCCGGGTGGTGGAGGTTGCAGTGAGCTGAGATTGTGCCATTGCACTCCAGCGTGGGTGACAAGAAACTCCATCTTGAAAAAAAAAGAAATATTTGGTTTTTGTCCCCAGTTCCTGGTACTGAGCTCCTAAAACGCTTAGAGTTTTCTGAGTGATGGGAGTGCCTTTTTTTTTTTTTTTTTTTTTTTTGAGACAGGGTCTCACTCTGTTGCCCAGGTTGCAGTGCACTGGTGTGATTTCAGTTCACTGCAAACTCTGCCTACCAAGCCCAAGCTGGTCTTGAACTCCTGGACTCAAGCAATCTTCCTGCCTTGGCCTCCCAAAGGGTTGGGATTATAGGTATGAGCCACTGTGCTTGGCCTGGAGTGTCTTTTGTTATCCATAAGGAGCCCTTTTCCATCACACCTGAGTTCATGCCAATAAGGTGACTTAGAGTAGTTCCCCTATATAGCTTCAGGATGGGGTTGGTCATCAGAAGACCAAGGAAGGCCAACTGCAGGGGCTTACACCTGTGATCCCAGTACTTTGGGTGGCTCAGGTGGGAGGATTACTTGGGTCCAGAAGTTCCAAACCAGCGTGGGCAACATAGGGAGACCGTATCTCTACAGAAACTAAAAAATTAGCTAGGCATGGTGATGCACATCCGTAGTCCCGGATACTCAAGAGGCTGAGGAGGGAGGATCATTTAAGCCCAATAGTTCAAGGCTGCAGTGAGCTGTAATTGTGCCATTGCATTCCAGCCTGGGCAACTGAACAAGACTTTGACTCAAAAAGAAGAAGAAGAAAAAAAAAGACCAAGTGGTTGGAGTGTTGAAATTTTTTTTTTTTTTTTTTAGATAAGAGTCTCGCTCTGTCGCCCAGGCTGGAGTGCAGTGGCACGATCTCGGCTCACCGCAAGCTCTGCCTCCCGGGTTCACGCCATTCTCCTGCCTCAGCCTCCCAAGTAGCTGGGACTACAGGCGCCCACCACCACGCCCGGCTAATTTTTTTTTGTATTTTTAGTAGAGACGGGGTTTCACCGTGTTAGCTAGGATGGTCTCGATCTCCTGACCTCGTGATCCTCCCGCCTTTTAACAACAGACATTGAGCTTGAGAAAAACTCTTGAACAATGAGGTCTGGGAAGCTTCTAGATGGGTGAACACACTGAAGTGCTGGGAGGCTGATGAGCCCAGGGAGTGCAAGAAAGCTTCATGCACGCGCCCCCATCACCCAATACCTGTCCCATGCATCTCTTCTAGCTGGCCATTCCTGAGTTATGTCCTTTTTTTTTTTTTTTTGAAACGGAGTCTTGCTCTGTCACCCAGGCTGGAGTACAGTGGCGCGACCTCGGCTCATTGCAACCTCCGCCTCCTGGGTTCAAGCGATTCTCCTACCTCATCCTCCAAAGTAGCTGAGATTACAGGTGCTCGCCACCATGCCTGGCTAATCTTTTTTTGTATTTTAGTAGGGACAGTATTTCACTGTCTGGCTGGTCTCAAAGTCCTGACCTCAAATGACCCGCCTATGTTTTTTTGTTTGTTTGTTTGAGACTGGGTCTCATTTTGTCTCACAGGCTGGAGTGCAGTGGCCTGATTACAGCTCACAGTAGCCTTGACCTCCTGGGCTCAAGTGATCCTCCTACCTCACCCTACCAAGTAGCTGAAACTATAGGCAGGCACCCACACGCCGGGCTAATTTTTGTGTTTTTTGTAGTGATGGGGTTTCCCTAGATTGCCCAGGCTGGTCTCAGACTCCTGAACTGAAGCCACCTGCCCACCTCAGCCTCCCAAAGTGCTAGGATGACAGGCCTGCTTACATATTTTCAATACATACAACAACAGTACAGGCAACTTTTATACTACAAGGGCAGAGTTGAATAGCTGTCACGTAGACTGTGTGGTTCATAAAGGCGAAATATTTACTGTCTGGCCCTTTATAGAAAAAGTTTGCCAACCCTTGACCTTATTACATTGTTGATGATGATGAAGTCATAAACAAATATGAAATAAAACATTTTTTAATAAAAAAATAAAAGCACCGTGTCTCCACAAAAAAATACAAAAATTAGCTGGGTGCAGTGGCACATGACTGCATTCTCAGCCACTTGAGAGGGTGAGGTGGGAGGATTGACTGAGCCCAAGAGGGCAAGGCTGTAGTGAGCCATGACTGTGCCACTGCACTTCAGCCTGGGTGACAGAGTAACACCCTGCCTCAAAAATAAATAAATAAATCAATAAAATAAATAAAACTGGCCAAGAACGGGGGCTCACACCCATAATCTCAGCACTTTGAGAGGCTGCAGTGGGAGGGTTGCCTGAATCCAGGAGGTTGAGACCAGCCTGGGCAACGAAGCTAGATCCTGTTTCTACAAAAAACGTAAAAAAAATTGCTGGGCATCACGGTGCACGCCTGTGGTCCCGGCCACTCGAGAGGCTAAGGCTGGAGGATTGCTTGAGCTCAAGAGTTCCAGACAAGCTAGGGCAACACAGCAAGACCCCGTCTATAAAAAATAATAATTTAGGTCGGGTGTGGTGGCTCACGCCTGTAATCCCAGCACTTTGGGAAGCCGAGGTGGGCAAATCACCTCAGGTCAGGAGTTCAAGATGAGCCAGGCCAACATGGTGAAACCCCATCTCTACTAAAAATATAAAAATTAGCCAGGCATAGTGGCAGGTGCCTGTAATTCCAGCTACTCGGGAGGCTGAGGAAGGAGAATTGCTTGAACGCAGTAGACGGAGGCTGCAGTGAGCCAAGATCGCACCATTGCACTCCAGCCTGGGGAACAAGGGCGAAACTCTGTCTCAAATAATAATAATAATTTTTAAAAAGTAGACAAGGTCTTGTTCTGTTGCCTAGGCTGGAGTGCAGTGGCATGATTATAACTCACTGCAACCTCTACCTCCCAGGCTCAAGCGATTCTCCCTCCTCAGCCTCTTGAGTAGCTGAGACTATAGGCATGTGCTACCACACCTGGCTAATTTTTAATTTTACACACACAGGGTCTCACTGTGTTTCCCAGGCTGATCTGAAACCGCTGGGCTGAAGCAGCATCCCACCTCAGCCTCCTAAAAATGTTGCAATTACAGGTGTGAGCCACCGCACCTGGCCAGGACATTTTGAATACAAATGTTTAGATCAGAATTATATCAACATGGCTGGCCGGGCCTGGTGGCTCATGCCTGTAATCCCAGCACTTTGGGAGGCCGAGGCGGGCAGATCACCTGAGGTTGGGAGTTCGAGACCAGCCTGACCAGCATGGAGAAATCCCCGTCTCTACTAAAAATACAAAATTAGCTGGGCGTGTTGGCACATGCCTGTAATCCCAGCTACTCGGGAGGCTGAGACAGGAGAATCACTTGAACCCAGGAGGCGGAGGTTGTGGTGAGCCAAGATCGTGCCATTGCACTCCAGCCTCGGCAACAAGATCGAAACTCCAGCCGGGCGTGGTGGTTCACACCTGTGATCCCAGCACTTTGGGAGGCCGAGGTGGGCAGATCCCGAGGTCAGGAGATTGAGACCATCCTGGCTGACACAGTGAAACTCCTTCTCTACCAAAAAAAAAAAATACAAAAAATTAGCCGGGCGTGGTGGTGGGCGCCTTAGTTCCAGCTTCTCGGGAGGCTGAGGCAGGAGAATGGCGTGAACCTGGGAGGTGGAGCTTGCAGTGAGCCGAGATTGCGCCACTGCACTCCAGCCTGGGCGATAGAGGGAGACTCCGTCTCAAAAAAAAAAAAAAAAAAAAAAAGCGCGAAACTGCTTCTCAATAAATAAATAAATAAATACATACATAAATAAATAAAACATGGCTGAATTATCAATGAGAAAGCATTATCCAAAGTAAACTCTACTAAGCCAGTTTAATTTTGTGATCAATTATCTACGTGGATCCATTAAACTATTCTAATTTTCCCCAAACTTTTTAAAATTTTAATTTACTGAAATTGGTGGCATGGAATCAATTGCTTTTCTTTATGTAATCTACTTTTTTCCCATATTGCACATACTAATTATAATTTACAACTGGTTTCATTGTGAGACCATTATTTCAGCTAAGTCCTATTTTCCTGGGATAAATTATCAAAGATACACATTTAGTGCAGAAAATTAGAATGTTTTGTCGATTTTTAGCTAGAAGCAAATTTGACCTTCTGAGATGTTTAGTTGTTTTTGGTGTTAATTTGTATTGATAATTTATAGCTGTAGTATTCATTATTATTTGAATCAAAGAATGATAGTTTGCATTTATTTCTTAGTTACTTGATGAGAAAATTGTAAGGTGTTTTGTTAGGTGGAGAGACTAGGAGAGATAGAAATGGGGAAAAATGGGGAAGGAGTGGGAAGAGGAGAGTGGAGAGAAGGAAAGAAAGAAAGAGGGAAGAGAGAGAGATGTGGAGGTCAAGTGGAAGCCAGAGAGGATGGAAATGGAACTATGTTGGCCAGGCGCAGTGGCTCACGCCTGTAATCCTAGCACTTTGGAAGGCCATGGTGGGCAGATCACCTGAGGTCAGGAGTTCAAGACCAGCCTGGCCAACATCGTGAAACCCCGTCTCTACTAAAAATACAAAAATTAGCTGGGTGTGGTGGCACATGCCCATAGTTCCAGCTACTTGGGAGGCTGAGATAGGAAAATAGCTTGAACCCAGGAGAAGGAGTTTGCAGTGGGCCGAGATCGCGTCATTGCACTCCAGCCTGGGTGACAGAGGAGACTCCATCTCAAAAAAAAAAAAAAAAAAAAAAGAAATGGGACTATGTTGAAATGAGGGACTGAAGAGAGATAGAAAGAGAAGGATACACTAGGGGCCAAAATATCCTCCAGGTCACAATGTTGGATTCAAACCTGTTCCCAGGTAGGATGTCTGGGATTTTAATGCTAACAGTCAGGATTCTCATTTCCTATCTCAGATATCTTCTTCTCCCTATATATATCAATTTTACTCTATTTGCATACAGATTAGCCATCTCTGGGAAGCTGGGATGTGCCCTCCACCCAACCACCAGTAACTTCCAGGCGCTACGTTTCATAGGCTACCATGTATAGCCATGCAAGTTACTCAGTGCACAACTCAACTTGCATACATTTACACAGTGATTCTTACTGTTCTTTCCCCCCGGTTCCAAATCATAAAGTTTTTTTTTGTTTTTTTTTTTTGAGATGGAGTTTTGCTCTTGTTGTCCAGGCTGCAGTGCAATGGTAAGATCTTGGCTCAGTGCAACCTCTGCCTCCCGGGTTCAAGTGATTCTCCTGCCTCAGCCTCCCAAGTAGCTGGGATTACAGGCATGTGCTACCACACACAGCTAATTTTGTATTTTTAGTACAGAAGTGGTTTCTCCATGTTGGTCAGGCTGGTCTCGAACTCCTGACCTCAGGTATCTGCCTGCCTTGGCCTCCCAAAGTGCTGGGATTACAGGTATGAGCCACCACGCCCAACCCCAAATCATAAAGTTCTAAGGAAGGACTCTGATTGGTTTAGCAAGGGCCACATGTCCATCTTTTGACCAATCTCTGTGGCCAAACAGTATGATATTATGGTTGGCTCATCTTGTATGAAGATGATAAATTCATATGGAAGGAAGTGGTGGTTCTAATTCTCTCAAGAAGAGAAAGAACAAGGAATAATAATACTTTGTTTTTGGGCTAAGCACAGTAGCTCATGCCTGTTATCTCAGTGCTTTGGGAGGCCATGGTGGGCGGATTGCTTGAGCCTGGGTGGTCAAGGCTGCAGTGAGCTATGATTGCACCACTGTACTCCAGCCTCCAGGGTGACAGAGCGAGACCCTGACTCTTAAAATAAACAAATAAATAAATAAAATGAATGAATGAATGAATTAATCAATTAAAAGAGAAGAATAATTTCTTCCTGTTAAATAGGCCTCCATAATAATCATTTATAAGGGAGAGCTGCAATGGCCCGATCTCCTCTCACTACAACCTCCGCCTCCCAGGTCCAGGTGATTCTCCTGCCTCAGCCTCCAGAGTAGTTGGGATTACAGGCATGCACCACCACGCCTGGCTAATTTTGGTATTTTTAGTAGAGCCGGGGTTTCACCATGTTAGTCAGGCTAGTCTCGAACCGCACTGGGCCCCAAATTGTTTCTTGGGCAAAATCAAAGACTTCTCTCGGGGTCTGGATTGGGACCTCTTTCTGGCAACAATCTTGCGAAGAAATGTTGGTTGTCCCGGTTACACTATAAGATTGGTTTTATTTTTATTCCCATTTCATGGATGAGACAAGTAAGGCTCCAAGCGGTTAAGAGACAGGCTCCTTGGCCTTCCTGGTTCTCCCAGTAGTTGGGAAAAGCTGCGGTGAGAGGGAAAAAGAACAAAAAAAAACTAAATTAAATTAAAAAATTTTTTTAAAGTGACATGCTCCTGATCACAGAGCTAAGAAGTGTTTAGACCCAGTGCTCAAAACCAGGCTTACCGCTGGGCAAGTGACTCACACCTGTAGTCCCAGCTATTCGGGAGGCTGAGGCAGGAGAATTGCATGAAACCGGTGGAGGTTGCAGTGAGCTGAGATTGCGCCACTGCACTCCAGCCTGGGTGACACAGCAAGACTCCATCTCAAAAAAAAAAAAAAAAAAAAAATGGCTGGGCGTGGTGGCTCACACTGTGATCCCAGCACTTTGGGAGGCCAAGGCAGGTGGATCACTTGAGTTCAGGAGTTCGAGACCAGCCTGGCTAACATGGTGAAACCTCATATCTACTAAATACAAAAATTAGCTGGGTGTGGTGGTATGTGCCTGTAATCCCAGTTACTTGAGAGGCTGAGGCAGGAGCATATCTCGAACCTGGGAGGCAGAGGTTGCAGTGAGCTGAGATCGCACCACTGTACTCCAGCCTAGGTGACAGAGCGAGACTCTGTCTCAAATTTTAAAAAATAAAATAATAAAATAAAGGGGCTCACATTCCTCATAAAGGCAGGCATTCACCTGTGCATAGCACAGACCCCAAATAGCAGTGGCTTACAAGAGCAAAGATGCAAGTATATTTCTCTCTCCTAAAGAAGTCCAACTACTTTTCAAAGTCCTACTTTGCAAATCTGTCAGGAGCCTAAGATCCTTTCATCTCATTGTGTCTTCATCTCTAAGGTGCTGGGCTGGTTCTCATGGTCCAAGGTCCACATTCCAACCTTTACACAGGGGAAAAAGACACAAGGAAGGAACACACCATACTGTAAGGCATCACTGAACTGGGAAGTTGTCCATGGCTCTTCTCATAGCCCATTGGACAAAATGTGGTCACCCAGACACACCTTATTACAAAGGAGGGTGGGTAATGTAGTTTTCATTCTGGGAAGTCGTCTATAATAAGAAACCGGTTGGTTTCTGATTTTCGAAAAGAACAGCTGGTGCATGGCTCACACCTGTAATCCCAGCACTTTGGGAGGCCGAGGTGGGCAGATCACTTGAGGTCAGGAGTTTGAGACCAGCCTAGCCTACATGGCGAAACCCCATCTCTACTAAAAATACAAAAATTAGCCAGGTGTGGTGGTGTGTGCCTGTAATCCCAGCTACTCGAGAGGCTGAGGCGGGAGAACTGCATGAACCTGGGAGGCGGAGGTTGCAGGGATCTGAGATTGCACTACTGCACTCTAGCCTGGGTAACATAGTCAGACTGTCTCAAAAAAAAAAAAAAAAAAAAAAAAGACTAGCTTTTAGAGAATGGCAAGCAGTTTGCGCTATGGTTAGGTAACCAAGTATTTCACAGTTTCCAGACCCGATGATTTTATTGATTATGCAGAAGCTTCTGTAAAATAATTTTTGTTTTTTTGTTTATTTTTTTGAGACAGAGTCTCGCTCTATAGCCCAGGCTAGTGTGCAGTGGCGCCATTTCGGCTCGCTGCAACGTCCGCCTCCTGGATGCGAGTGATTCTCATGCCTCAGTCTCCAGAGTAGCTGGGACTAAAGGCGTGCACCACGATGCCCGGCTAATTTTTGTATTTTTTTAGTAGAGATGAGGTTTTGCCATGTTTGCCAGGCTGGTCTCGAGCTTCCGGCCTCTAGTAATCAGCCCACTTGGGCCTCCCAAAGTGCTGGGATTACAGGAGTCAGCAGGCGTGCCCAGCTTTGTATTTCTTTTATAATAATGAGAACTAGTTAATAAAAATAAGTGAGCTTCTGGCCTTGATACAAAAGCATACAATTACAGTTGGAGAGATATTTAGAAGAAATTCAGCACAATCCAAGCCAAGATATATCATCAAATAGAAAAAAGAAAAAAAAGCAGTTGAAGATTCATTTGACTACTATGATACTGTTTGGGTTTTAAAATTATGTATAGGATATAAATATACCTATGTAGGTGTGCATATAGAAAGATAGAGCTACGTAAAAAGAGAAACAAATTAGAGAAGCACACATCAAATTGTAAATTGCAGTTATCTCTTGAATTTAGAAATGCGGAGGAGTTGCACTTTCTATTTTATTTATTTCTGTAATGATTTTATTATGATATTGACTCATATTTTAATAAGCAGAAAAAACAATGTAGATAAAAATGGAAAGATTCCAAGTAGTGTTTTAATTCCTTCTGTAACAGCTCTAGCACCCAGACTCTGAATAAATAATTTTTCTTTCTTTCTTTATTTTTTTTTTGAGATGGAGTTTTGCTCTTGTTGCCCAGGCTGGAGTGCAATGGTACGATCTCGGCTTACTGCAACCTCTGCCTCCCAGGTATAAGCGATTCTTCTGCCTCAGCCTCCAGAATAGCTGGGATTACAGGTGCCTGCCACCATACCCAGCTAACTTTTTTTGTATTTTTAGTAGAGATGGGGTTTCATCATGATGGCCAGGCTGTTCTTGAACTCCTGACCTCAGGTGATCTGCCTGCCTCGGCCTCCCAAAGTGCTGGGATTACAGGCGTGAGCCACTGCGCCTGGCCAATAATTTCAATAGAGAATTCATTCATTTCATACATGCTGGAGAAGCATGTACGAAAATACAGCCATTGTGCTGGGCCCTGGAGATACGAAGATGCAATACATCCAAAAAGGTCTTCATATTGGAGCCCCAAGTAGTGAAACTAGGGAAAGGAGGAAGAAGGAGATAGGCCAGGAGGAAGAGAATGAAGAAGAGAGTACTGTTACCAGCGCTCTCTCCTATCACTTTCATGGTTATAGCCCCAGCACTTTGTTTTGTTTTGTTTTTGAGATAGGGTCTTTCTCTGTCACCCAGGCTGGAGTGCACTGGTGCGATCTCAGCTCACTGCAGCCTCGACCTCCCAGTCTCAGGTGATCCTCCCACCCCAGCCTCTCAAGTAGCTGGGACCACAGGTGTGTGCCACCACTCCTGGCTAACTTTTTTTGTTTGCTGGTTTATTTTTTTGTAGAGACAGAGTTTCGCCATGTTGCCCAGACTGGTTGTGAACTCTTGGTCTCAAGCAATTGGCCATGCCTCAGCTTTCCAAAATGCTGGGATTATAGGCATGAACCACTGTGCCAGGTCTTGCCACAGCATTTTGGCTAGTGGCTGGCACATAGATGCTCAGTAAACTTGTTCAACAAATGAGTAACAGAGAAGGAAGAAATAGTGAATAATCTGATATGTCAGACGGAATGGTCATTCCACCAGCAATGTAAGGAAGAAACAGAGACAGGTTAGAGGAAGGCAGTGGCAATGTCAAGTAGAATTGTGGGGACGGAGGGCATGCAGAACTCAACCTCTGGGAGGAGAAATAGAAAAGAGAAGCTATAACTTCTCATTCTTAGGCTGCCCTTTCTTTTGTGACAGCCTCTATCTTGCACCTGCCACTCATTGGTACTTTGCTACATAAAGAAAGGTTTTATGCTGTTCTAGTGATTAGAAAGTTCATGATAATTATAATAATTTCCTTTGGTTCTCTTGAAATTAGTCTAGATATGAGATTTCATTTGGTGTACCTTTTATTCAACTATACCGAGCTGGCTTTGATGATGCAAAACACAAAATAGTTAATTATCAATTATAACAGGACATTTACATAATTACCAAGCAGACCCAAATTGAGTTCATCCTTTTAGAATGAACTTCAAAAGCTGGCTTTGAGTTTCCTCATGATTTTCTTTACTTCCCCAGTTTCCTCACAATAAAATTGTGTTACCCTTATAATGGCATTTTGAAAAAAATAGACCGAAAAAATAAATCAATGATATATTTAACTTTTTCTGTTCTAATCACTCTAAGAGTTTTGGGACAATTGAGTATCACCAATTGAAGAAAAAAAAAAAGAAAAAAGAAAAAACAAAAAAAAGAATTTCCCCTGTTACCACAAAAGAAAAGAGACCATATCCTCCTCCTCTTAGAGTATTCCTGAGAGAAACCTAGTGGTCGTAAATTCTTACTTTAATCTTTTGGTGTGTCTATAAATCTCTTCAGAGGCAAGTAAGCCTCTTGCCAGATTTACAACCCAGAAACATTTTTTTCAAAGGTCTTGGATTTATCCCCTTTGAAATGCAAATGTCTGAGGCAACTATATCTTGGTCACCCAGTCACTGTGGGCGCCTTTCTCTGAACTAGCGGAGGTGGTCATGAGAAAGGAGACCACTCCTCATGTTGTCTTATACTTAATTTCTTGTTTGCTGAAAAGGTAGAAGTTAAAAGAATAAGCAGAAGTGAAATTCATAGTCAGACAGCCCAGCGTCACATTTCGGGCCTGGTAGTTAAAATTCAACCCCTGACCTCACTGCTTGAGTTATCTATAGATTCTAGACACTGTATGAGGAAGCGTTGTGAAACTCCCTGTTCTGTTCTGTTTCGTTGTGATTACTGGTGCATGCAGCCGTCAGTCACCTACCCCTCGCTTGCCCAATCGGTCACGACCCCCTCTTCATGCAGTCCCTTTAGAGGTGTGAGCCCTTAAAAGGGACAGGAATTACTTATTCAGGGAGCTCAGTTTCTAGGACTTGAGTCTGCCGATGCTCCCAGAAGAATAAAGCTCTTTCCTTCCACAATCCGGTGTCTGAGAGGTTGTGTCTATGACTCCTCCTGCTACAGTTAAAGAAATTTTACTAACTTTCCAGTCCACTTCAAGCCCAATTTTTTCACCATTGTTGGGAGTCAGAAACCGATACCCCAAAATAGGGCACTCTGATGGGCCGAACTGAGGAAGACCTAAGGTCTCTCTGACCTCACCCACCTACTTCTCATCGCTCAGTCCTCCGTGTCTCCCAAAACACAGGATGAAGTTGTTCTCTGAAGTTCCCTTATCTACCTAAAGCCCGGACCTGAAAAAGAAGAAAACAATGACCCCGGTCCCTGAGTTTTCATTAGCTGAACTCACATCGCAGGAAGACTGACTGAAGTCTGCCAACACACCTGAACAGACTTGTCACAAATCATTTTCTGCTCTGCAGACCCAACAGACTTTGTTCTGAGCCACTGTGTGTTCTCTAAGCCCATTGAATTCCCCTAAAAATCCTTTGTGGCTGGGAGCTGTGGCTCACGCCTGTAATCCCAGCACTTTGGGAGGCCGAGGCGGGTGGATCACCTGAGGTCAGGAGTTGGAGACCAGCCTGCCCAACACGGCATAACCCCGTCTCTACTAAAAATACAAAAATTAGCTGGGCATGGTGGTGGGCACCTGTAATCTCAGCTATTCGGGAGGCTGAGGCAGGAGAATTGCTTGAACCCAGGAGGCGGAGGTTGTAGTAGGTGGAGATTGCGCCAGTGCACTCCAGCCTGGGCGACAAGAGCAAAACTCTGTCTCAAAATAATAATGATAATAAAAATAAAAATCCTTTGCTATTCTCCTAAAATCATTCACACTTTTCCATGATCCTCTCCCCTAAGAAGTCGGATATAGAAGAATCTGTATCCCTTTGGGATATTAGGCCATCACTCTGCGATCCTCCCCAGCACATGCTAATAAACGTGTATGCCTTTTCTTCTATCATTTACATTTTGTCAGTTGATTTTCAGGGAACTTTCAGAGGGCGAAGGTTTTATTCGAATGGATAATATCCCTTAACTCGTACATGATCTATTGGAATAAAAAAACTTTAGCCCCTAAACATAATGTCAAACTCCCACATAGTCAGTGCCAGCTGGATAGGAATGAGATTCTCTACTTTGCTTCTAGAGGTTGAATTTTTTTTTTTTTTTTTTTTTGGAGACAGAGTCTCACTCTGTTGCCTGGGCTGGAGTGCAGTGGCATGATCTTAGCTCACTGCAACCTCCACCTCCCAGGACCAAGCGATCCTCCCACCTCAGCCTCCTGAGTTGCTGGGGCCAGAGGTGCATGCCACCATGCCCAGCTAATTTTTGTATTTTTTGTAGAGATGGGGTTTTGTCATGTTGCCCAGCCTGGTCTCCAACTCCTGGCTTCAAGTGATCCACCCACTTTGTCCTCCCAAAGTGCTGGAATGATAGGTGTGAGCCACCACGCCCAGTCTCAAAGTTTCAATCTTTCAGGCAAAGATAGAGAAACCCTGCACTTGAGAATCCTAAGGTTTAACTGAGAACCAGGGGCAGTAGTTTCAGCCCAGCCACTGAGGAAGGGTGGGAACAGACCCTGAGGCACACTACCTCTCAAAGGTGATCAGTTTCATCCTTCAGGAAGAATTGGTTAATCCTTTCCATGTAAATTACCATCACATTCACTCACCCTTAGCTGGGCAGTGTTCCTGGGATCTTTTCTTCCCACTTCAAGAAAACAGTGGATCAAATCCCCAACCAACATTAATATCCTACAAATCTCTGCCAAAAATTTGATTAATTTCTACCCCAAAGCTCCACAGACAAATAGTGCAAGAAGAATGCCTTGGAGGGTTGCAACCACTTTAATGAAACCTCCCACTCCGGATCATGTCTTTTTGAATACACAAATAAGGCCATTGCACCAAATAGATGGCAGATTTCCTTTCTTGTGCAAAACCTTACATGGTAATTCTTGGCCAAAAGACTCAAAAAGAAAGAGTGAAAGGTGGCATCATTCAGATCACGTCTGCAAACCAGCACTTGGTGATAAGTGAGCTCATTAATGCCATTATAAATATTCATTGTGTTTCTGGAAAATCCAATTTAGGAGAAATACAAAAAAACGACAGTTGCTAAATTTCTTGACTCGGTGGTTTCACTTGGTCCGTGTGAAGAGACCACCAAACAGGCTTTGTGTGAGCAACAAGGCTGTTTATTTCACCTGGGTGCAGGCGGGCTGAGTCCGAAAAGAGAGTCAGTGAAGGGAGATAGGGGTGGGGCCATTTTATAGGATTTGGGTAGGTAAAGAAAATTACAGTCAAAGGGGGTTGTTCTCTGGCCGGTAGGGGCGGGGGTCACAAAGTGCTCAGTGGGGGAGCTTTTGAGCCAGGATGAGCCAGGAGAAGGAATTTCACAAGGTAATGTCATCAGTTAAGGCAGGAACAAGCCATTTTCACTTCTTTTGTGGTGGAATGTCATCAGTTAAGGCAGAAACCAGCCATCTGGAGGTGTATGTGCAGGTCATAGGGGATATGATGGCTTAGCTTGGGCTCAGAGGCCTGACATTCCTGTCTTCTTATATTAATAAGAAAAATAAAATGAAATAGTGGTAAAGTGTTGGGTGGCGAAAATTTTGGGAGTGGTATGGAGAGATAATGGGCAATGTTTCTCAGGCTGCTTTGAGCAGGATTAGGGGCGGTGTGGGAACTTAGAGTGGGAGAGATTAAGCTGAAGGAAGATTTTGTGGTAAGGGGTGATATTGTGGGGTTGTTAAAAGGAGCATTCGTCATATAGAATGATTGGTGATGGCCTGGATGTGGTTTTGTATGAATTGAGAAACTAAATGGAAGACACAAGGTCCGAATTAAGAGAAGAAGAAAAACAGATATTAAATGACTTAGAATTGGGAGGACCCAGGACATCCAATTAGACAGTGCTCAAGGGGGTTCAGCATAGCCTTGCCAGCAAAGATTACTTATTTACTTTAAGAGGGAGTTAAGAGTGGAGGTTTGGGGATAGCACCAGCAGATATCAGCTATGATGGCTTGGAGAAACAGTGTAAACCGGCAGTGTAAACAAGAGCAGGGCATTTATGAGTAGTTGAGAATGGTGAATAGGAGAATGACTAGACAGAAGATAGTAGGGATGACAAGTTTTCTGGGGCACAGTCCAAGTTGGTCTGGTGTCTGGAATGAGACTGGGGCCTAATAAAAAGGAGCGCCCATACAGGAGCTGAAATGGGCTGTACCCTGTAGCATTCCAAGGACAGGCCCAAGTTCTGAGAAGGGAAAGTGGTAAAAGTATTGTCCAGTCCTTTTCAAGTTGGTGGCTGAGCTTGGTGAGGTGTATTTTTAAAAGACCATTAGTTCACTGAATACCAAGATCCTGAGAAACTGCTTGGGTGATTTAACTAATAAAGGCCAGTCTGTTATCGGACTATATAGAGGTGGAAAGGCCAAACTGAGGAATTATTTATGACAGAAGGGAAGAAATGACCATGGTGGCCTTCTCAGACCCTGTGGGAAAGGCCTCTACCCATCCATTGAAAGTGTCTACCTAGACCAAGAGGTATTTTAGTTTCCTGACTCGAGGCACGTGAGTAAAGTCAATTTGCCAGTCCTGGGTTGGGGCAAATCCCCGAGCTTGATGTGTAGGGAAGGGAGGGGGCCTGAGAAATCCCTGAGGGGTAGTAGAATAGCAGATGGAACACTGAGAAGTGATTTCCTTGAGGATAGATTTCCATGATTGAAAGGAAATGAGAGGTCCTATGAGGCGGGCTAGCGGCTTGTAACCTACATGAAAGAGGTTATGAAATGACAACAGAATAGAATGGGCCTGTGAGGCTGGAAGGAGACATTTTCCTTGGGTCAAGAACCATTTGCCTTGTGTGGGAAGAGATTGATAGGTTGAAGTTTCAGCGGGGGAGTAGGTGAGAGTGGCCAGATGAGAAGAAGAAAAACTGCCATGAGGGATAGAAGTTGGAATGCTAGCTGCTTTTTTAGCTAACTTATCAGCATAAGCATTGTCCTGAGTGATGGGATCTGATGCCCTTTGATGGCCTTCACAGTAAGTGACTCCAGCTTCCTTTGGAAGTAAAGCGGCTTTGAGAAGCATTTTTATTAAAGAGGCATTAATGATGGAGGACCCTTGAGTAGTGAGGAAACCTCTTTTTGCCTATATAACAGCATGCTGGTGCAGGGTATGGAAGGCATATTTAGCGTCAGTATAAATATTGACGTGTAGTCCTTTTGCAAGAGTGAGGGCTCAAGTTAAGGCAATGAGTTTGGCTTTCTGAGAGGTAGTGAAGGGGGGCAAGAAAGTATATGCATCAGGTGTGAGGAAGAAAATATATTTTGGAAGTTACGAGAACTGTAGAGCGTGAGTTGAGCATAGTTTGTGATTTTGAGGGCCTCTAAAAAGTATTAAGGCAGTAGGAGCCACTGCATGCAGATAGGAAGGCTATGCTAAAACAGTAAGGTCAAGTTGTTTCGACAGAAAGGCTACACGGTGCAGTCCCAGCTCTTGTGTAAGAATTCTGACCACATGGTGGAGCCAAGATGGCCGAATAGGAACAGCTCCAGTCTATAGCTCCCAGCGTGAGCGACGCAGAAGATGGGTGATTTCTGCATTTCCAACTGAGGTACCAGGTTCATCTCACTTGGGAGTGCCAGACAGTGGGTGCAGGACAGTGGGTACAGCGCACCGTGCGTAAGCCAAAGCAGGGCGAGTCATCACCTCACGCGGGAAGCACGAGGGGTCAGGTAATTCCCTTTCCTAGTCAAAGAAAGGGGTGAAAGACAGCACCTGGAAAATCGGGCCACTCCCACCCAAATACTGCGCACTTCCAACAGGCTTAACAAACGGCACACCAGGAGATTATATCCCGCACTGGGCTCAGAGGGTCCTACGCCCACAGAGCCTCGCTCATTGCTAGAACGCCAGTCTGAGATCAAACTGCAAGGCAGCAGTGAGGCTGGGGGCGGGGAGCCCGCCATTGCCTAGGCTTGAGCAGGTAAACAAAGCAGCCAGGAAGGTGGAACTGGGTGGAGCCCACCACAGCTCAAGGAGGACTGCCTGCCTCTGTAGGCTCCACCTCTAGGGGTAGGGCACAGACAAACAAAAGACAGCAATAACCTCTGCAGACTTAAATGTCCCTGTCTGATAGTTTTGAAGACAGTAGTGGTTCTCCCAGCATGCAGCTTGAGATCTGAGAACAGGCAGACTGCCTCCTCAAGTGGGTCCCTAACCCTAGAGTAGCCTAACTGGGAGGCACCCCTCAGTAAGGGCAGACTGACACCTCACACAGCCGAGTACTCCTCTGAGACAAAACTTCCAGAGGAACGATCAGGCAGCAGCATTTGCGGTTCACCAATATCCGCTGTTCTGCAGCCACTGCTGCTCATACCCAGGCAAACAGGGTCTGAAGTGGACCTCCAGTAAGCTCCAACAGACCTGCAGCTGAGGGTCCTGACTGTTAGAAGGAAAACTAACAAACAGAAAGGACATCCACACCAAAAACCCATCTGTAGGTCACCATCATCAAAGACAACAGGTAGATAAAACCACAAAGATGGGGAAAAAAACAGAGCAGAAAAACCGGAAACTCTAAAAATCAGAGCGCCTCTCCTCCTCCAAAGGAATGCAGCTCCTCACCAGCAACGGAACAAAGCTGGATGGAGAATGACTTTGACGAGTTGAGAGAAGAAGGCTTCAGAAGATCAAACTACTCCAAGCTAAAGGAGGAAGTTTGAACCAACGGCAAAGAAGTTAAAAACTTTGAAAAAAAATTAAACGAATGGATAACTAGAATAACCAATGCAGAGAAGTCCTTAAAAAACCTGATGGAGCTGAAAAGCACGGCATGAGAAATATGTGACGAATGCGCAAGCCTCAGTCACTGATGTGATCAACTGGAAGAAAGGGTATCAGCGATGGAAGATGAAATGAATGAAATGAAGCATGAAGAGAAGTTTAGAGAAAAAAGAAAAGAAATGAACAAAGCCTCCAAGAAATATGGGACTATGTGAAAAGACCAAATCTACATCTAATTGGTGTACCTGAAAGTGACAGGGAGAATGGGACCAAGTTGGAAAACACTCTGCAGGATATTATCCAGGAGAACTTCCCCAATATAGCAAGGCAGGCAAACATTCAAATTCAGGAAATATAGAGAACGCCACAAAGATACTCCTCGAGAAGAGCAACTCCAAGTCACATAATTTTCAGATTCACCAAAGTTGAAATGAAGGAAAAAATGTTAAGGGAAGCCAGAGAGAAAGGTCGGGTTACCCACAAAGGGAAGCCCATCAGACTAACAGCTGATCTTTCGGCAGAAACTCTACAAGCCAGAAGAGAGTGGGGGCCAATATTCAACATTCTTAAAGAAAAGAATTTTCAACCCAGAATTTCATATCCAGCCAAACTAAGTTTCATAAGTGAAGGAGAAATAAAATACTT
The DNA here is from genome assembly GCF_000001405.40 of Homo sapiens. Lineage (NCBI taxonomy): Eukaryota > Metazoa > Chordata > Mammalia > Primates > Hominidae > Homo > Homo sapiens. The sequence goes on along the minus strand of NC_000016.10, from coordinate 10,290,940 downwards.
TACAGACAAGCAAATGCTGAGAGATTTTGTCACCACTAGGCCTTCCCTAAAAGAGCTCCTGAAGGAAGCACTAAACATGGAAAGGAACAACCAGTACCAGCCACTGCAAAAACATACCAAATTGTAAAGACCATCAAGGCTAGGAGGAAACTGCATCAACTAATGAGCAAAATAACCAGCTAACATCATAATGACAGGATCAAATTCACACATAACAATACTAACCTTAAATGTAAATGGGCTAAATACTCCAATTAAAAGGCACAGACTGGCAAATTGGATAAAGAGTCAAGACCCATCAGTGTGCTGTATTCTCATATGCAGAGACACACATAGGCTCAAAATAAAGGGATGGAAGAAGATCCACCAAACAAATGGAAAACAAAAAAAGGCAGGGGTTGCAATCTTAGTCTCGGATAAAACAGACTTTAAACCAACAAACATCAAAAGAGACAAAGAAGGCCATTACATAATGGTAAAGGGATCAATTCAACAAGAAGAACTAACTATCCTAAATATATATGCACCCAATACAGAAGCACCCAGATTCATAAAGCAAGTCCTTAGTGCCCTGCAAAGAGACTTAGACTCCCACACAATAATAATAGGAGACTTTAACACCCCACTATCAACATTAGACAGATCAACGATACAGAAAGTTAACAAGGATATCCAGGAATTGAACTCAGCTCTGCACCAAGTGGACCTAATAGACATCTACAGAACTCTCCACCCCAAATCAACAGAATATAAATTCTTTTCAGTACCACACCACACCTATTCCAAAATTGACCACTTAGTTGGAAATAAAGCGCTCCTCAGCAAATGTAAAAGAACAGAAGTTATAACAAACTGTCTCTCAGACCACAGTGCAATCAAACTAGAACTCAGGATTAAGAAACTCACTCAAAACCGCTCCACTACATGGAAACTGAACAACCTGCTCCTGAATGACTACTGGGTACATAATGAAATGAAGGCAGAAATAAAGATGTTCTTTGAAACCAACAAGAACAAAGACACAACATACCAGAATCTCTGGGACACATTCAAAGCAGTGTGTAGAGGGAAATTTATAGCACTAAATGCCCACAAAAGAAAGCAGGAAAGATCTAAAATTGACACCCTAACATCACAATTAAAAGAACTAGAGAAGCAAGAGCAAACACATTCAAAAGCTAGCAGAAGGCAAGAAATAACTAAGATCAGAACAGAACTGAAGGAAATAGACACACAAAAAACCCTTCAAAAAATCCATGAATCCAGGAGCTTGTTTTTTGAAAAGATCAACAAAATTGATAGACCGTTAGCAAGACTAATAAAGAAGAAAAGAGAGAAGAATCAAATAGATGTAATAAAAAATGACAAAGGGGATATCACCACCGATCCCACAGAAATACAAACTACCATCAGAGAATACTATAAACACCTCTACGCAAATAAACTAGAAAATCTAGAAGAAATGGATAAATTCCTCGACACATACATTTTCCCAAGACTAAACCAGAAGTTGAATCTCTGAATAGACCAATAACAGGATCTGAAATTGAGGCAATAATTAATAGCTTACCAACCAAAAAAAGTCCAGGACCAGATGGATTCACAGCCGAATTCTACCAGAGGTACAAGGAGGAGCTGGTACCATTCCTTCTGAAACTATTCCAAACAATAGAAAAAGAGGGAATCCTCCCTAACTCATTTTATGAGGCCAGCATCATCCTGATACCAAAGCCTGGCAGAGACACAACCAAAAAAGAGAATTTTAGACCAATATCCTTGATGAACATTGATGCAAAAATCCTCAATAAAATACTGGCAAACTGAATCCAGTAACACATCAAAAAGCTTATCCACCATGATCAAGTGGGCTTCATCCCTGGGATGCAAGGCTGGTTCAACATACGAAAATCAATAAACGTAATCCAGCATATAAACAGAACCAAAGACAAAAACCACATGATTATCTCAATAGATGCAGAAAAGACCTTTGACAAAATTCAACAACGCTTCATGCTAAAAACTCTCAATAAATTAGGTATTGATGTATCTCAAAATAATAAGAGCTATCTATGACAAATCCACAGCCAATATCATACTGAATGGGCAAAAACTGGAAGCATTCCCTTTGAAAACTGGCACAAGACAGGGATGCCCTCTCTCACCACTCCTATTCAACATAGTGCTGGAAGTTCTGGTCAGGGCAATTAGGCAGGAGAAGGAAACAAAGGGCATTCAATTAGGAAAAGAGGAAGTCAAATTGTCCTTGTTTGCAGATGATATGATCGTATATCTAGAAAACCCCATTGTCTCAGCCCAAAATCCCCTTAAGCTGATGAGCAAATTCAGCAAAGTCTCAGGATACAAAATCAGTGTGCAAAAATCACAAGCATTCTTATACACCAATAACAGACAAACAGAGAGCCAAATCATGAGTGAACTCCCATTCACAATTGCTTCAAAGAGAATAAAATACCTAGGAATCTAACTTACAAGGGACGTGAAGGACCTCTTCAAGGAGAACTACAAACCACTGCTCAATGAAATAAAAGAGGATACAAACAAATGGAAGAACATTCCATGCTCATGGGTAGGAAGAATCAATATCGTGAAAATGGCCATACTGCCCAAGGTAATTTACAGATTCAATGCCATCCCCATCAAGCTACCAATGACTTTCTTCACAGAATTGGAAAAAACTACTTTAAAGTTCATATGGAACCAAAAAAGAGCCCACATCACCAAGTCAATCCTAAGCCAAAAGAACAAAGCTGGAGGCATCACACTACCTGACTTCAAACTATACTACAAGGCTACAGTAACCAAAACAGCATGGTACTGGTACAAAAACAGAGATATAGACCAATGGAACAGAACAGAGCCCTCAGAAATAATGCCGTGTATCTACAACTATCTGATCTTTGACCAACCTGACAAAAACAAGCAATGTGGAAAGGATTCCCTATTTAATAAATGGTGCTGGGAAAACTGGCTAGCCATATGTAGAAAGCTGAAACTGGGTCCCTTCTTTACCCCTTATACAAAAATTAATTCAAGATGGATTAAAGACTTACATGTTAGACCTAAAACCATAAAATCCCTAGAGGAAAACCTAGGCAATGCCATTCAGGACATAGGCATGGGCAAGGACTTCATGTCTAAAACACCAAAAGCAATGGCAACGAAAGCCAAAATTGACAAATGGGATCTAATTAAACTAAAGAGCTTCTGCACAGCAAAAGAAACCACCATCAGAGTGAACAGGCAACCTACAGAATGGGAGAAAATTTTTGCAACCTACTCATCTAACAAAGGGCTAATATCCAGAATCTACAATGAACTCAAACAAGTTTATAAGAAAAAAACAAACAACCCCATCAAAAAGTGGGCAAAGTATATGAACAGACACTTCTCAAAAGAAGACATTTATTCAGCCAAAAAACACATGAAAAAATGCTCATCATCACTGGCCATCAGAGAAATGCAAATCAAAACTACAATGAGATAGCATCTCACACCAGTTAGAATGGCAATCATTAAAAAGTCAGGAAACAACAGGTGCTGGAGAGGATGTGGAGAATTAGGAACACTATTACACTGTTGGTGGGACTGTAAACTAGGTCAACCATTGTGGAAGTCAGTGTGGCGATTCCTCAGGGATCTAGAACTACAAATACCATTTGACCCAGCCATCCCATTACTGGGTATATACCCAAAGGATTATAAATCATGCTGCTATAAAGACACATACACACGTATGTTTATTGAGGCACTATTCACAATAGCAAAGACTTGGAACAAACCCAAATGTCCAACAACGATAGACTGGATTAAGAAAATGTGGCACATATACACCGTGGAATACTATGCAGCCATAAAAAATGATGAGTTCATGTCCTTTGTAGGGACATGGATGAAGCTGAAAACTATCATTCTCAGCAAACTATCGCAAGGACAAAAAACCAAACACCGAATATTCTCACTCATAGGTAGGAAGTGAACAATGAGAACACACGGACACAGGAAGGGGAACATCACACACTGGGGACTGTTGTAGGGTGGGGGTAGTGGGGAGGGATAGCATTAGGAGATATTCCTAATGCTAAATGGCAAGTTAATGGGTGCAGCACACCAACATGGCACATGTATACATATGTAACAAACCTGGATGTTGTGCACATGTATCCTAAAACTTAAAGTATAATAATAGTAATAAAAAAAAAAAAGAATTCTGACCACATTAACCATGCCTAGGAAGGAAAGGAGTTGTTGTTTTGTAGAAGGGATTGGGATTTGGGAGATTAGCGGACACGATCAGCAGGGAGAGCACGTGTGTTTTCATGAGAATTATGCTGAGATAGGTAACAGAGGAAGAAGAAATTTGGGCTTGACTGAAGTAATGGGGGCTGTCTGTGAAGCCTTGCGGCAGTACAGCCCAGGTAATTTGCTGAGCCTGATGGGTGTCAGGGTCAGTCCAAGTGAAAGCAAAGAGAGGCTGGGATGAAGGGTGTAAAGGAATAGTAAAGAAAGCATGTTTGAGATCCAGAACAGAATAATGGGTTGTGGAGAGAGTTATTGAGGATAGGAGTGTATGGGTTTGGCACCACGGGGTGGATAGGCAAAAACAATTTGGTTGATAAGGCACGGATCCTGAACTAACTTGTAAGGCTTGTCTGGTTTTAGGACAGGTAAAATGGGGGAATTGTAAGGGGAGCTTATAGGCTTTAAAAGGCCATGCTGTAACAGGTGAGTGATAACTGGCTTTAATCCTTTTAAAGCATGCTGTGGGATGGGACATTGGTGTTGAGTGGGGTAAAGGTGATTAGGTTTTAATGGGATGATAAGGGGTGCATCATTTGTTGCCAAGGAGGGAGTAGAGGTATCCTATACTTGTGGATTAAGGTGGGGAGATACAAGGAGAGGATGTGAAGGAGGCTTTGAACTGGGAGAAAAGGTGGCAATGAGGTGTGGCTGTAGCCCAGGAATAGTCAGAAAAGCAGATAATTTAGTTAAAATATCTCAACCAAAAAAGGGAGCTGGGCAGGTGGGGATAACTAAAAAGGAGTGCTTAAAAGTATGTTGTCCAAGCTGGCACCAGCGTTGGGGAGTTTTAAGAGGTTTAGAAGCCTGGCCGTCAATACCCACAACAGTTATGGAGGCAAGGGAAACAGGCCCTTGAAAATAAGGTAAGGTGGAGTGGGTAGTCTCCATATTGATTAAGAAGGGTATGGACTTACCCTCCACTGTGAGAGTTACCTGAAGCTTGGCGTCTGTGATGGTCCAGGGGGCTTCTGAGGCGATTGGGCAGCGTCAGTCTTCAGCTGCTAAGCTGAGAAGATCTGGGAAGGAGTCAGTCACAGAGCCTTGGGCCAGAGTTCCAGGGACTCTGGAAGTGGCTGCCAGGTGAGTTGGACAGTACGATTTTCAGTGGGGTCCTGCACAGATGGGACACAGCTTAGGAGGAATCCCAGGCTGTGGGCATTCCTTGGCCCTGTGGCCAGATTTCCAGCACTTGAAGCAAGCTCCTGGGGGAGGAGGTCGTGGAGGAAACCCTGGCAGCTGTGGTTCAGGTGTTTAAGTTCTTGTGTGCTGGAGATGTGGCTGGGGTTTCTCTGACAGCAGAGGCAAGTAATTGTAACTCAGAAATGCGTTGCCATCTGGCTGCCTCCTCTCTATTATTGTACACCTTGAAGGTGAGGTTGATTAATTCCTGTTGTGGGGTTTGAGGGCCAGATTCTAATTTTTGAAGTTTTTTTCTAATGTCAGGAGCTGATTGGGTGATAAAATGCATATTGAGAATAAGATGGCCTTCTGGCTCTTCTGGGTCTAGGGCGGTAAAGCATCTAAGGGTTGTTGCCAAACAGGCCGTGGACTGGGCTGGGTTTTTATATTTGATGAAAAAGAGCCTAAATGCTATCTGATTTGCGATAAAGAAAAAGGAGCATTAACCTTGACTATGCCTTTAGCTCCAGCCACCTTTTTAAGAGTAAATTGCTGGGCAGGTGGGGGAGGGCTAGTCACAGAACGAAACTGTAAGCCGGACCAGGTGTGAGGAGGGGAGGTGATAAAAAGATTATAGGGTGGAGGAGCAGAGGCTGAGGAAGAATTGGGACCTAGCTTGTCCTGCCGAGGAGCAGCCTGGGGAGGAGGGGAGAGGTCAGATGGGTCCACAGAAAAGGAAGATTCAAAAGACTCAGCAACACTTGGGGTTGGGACTGAGGGGACAGGCGGGAGGGAAAGAAGGAAGATTTGGGATGAGTTGCATTAGGAACAGAGACTAGGGAGGGACCGATGTGTAAAAGAATGCCTGGACGTCAGGCACCTCAGACCGTTTGCCCATTTTACGACAAGAATTATTTAGGTCTTGTAGGATGGAGAAACCTGAAGTGCCATTTTCTGGCCATTTAGAGCCATTGTCGAGTTTGTATTGGGGTGAAGCAGCATTGCAGAAGAAAATAAGGCGTTTAGGTTTTAGGTCAGGCGAGAGTTGAAGAGGTTTTAAGTTCTTGAGAACACAGGCTAAGGGAGAAGGAGGAATGGAGGATGGAAGGTTGCCTATAGTGAAGGAGGCAAGTCCGGAGAAAAGAGAGGGTAGAGACACAGACAGAAGGGGTGGGGGGTGCTTCCCCCTCAGGAAAGTGAGAAGGGATGGGGGGTGCTTCCCCCCGACGAAAGTGGAAAAGGGGCAGAGACATGGAAAGAAGGGGTGGGGGGTGCTTGCCTCCCGGGAAAATGGAGAAGGGGTGGAGACATGGGGAGAAGGGGTGGGGGATGCTTGCCCCCCAGGAAAGTGAGAAGGGGTGGGGGGTGCTTGCCCCCCAGGAAAGCGGAGAAGGGGTGGAGAAATGGCGAGGAGGGGTGGGGGGTGCTTGCTCCTCAGGAAAGTGGAGAAGGGGTGGGTAGAGACACGGAGAGAAGGGGTGGGTGAGCAGGTGAGCAGCCCTGGGCTGCAATGTGGGTGAGCAGCCAAAGCAGGCATCCCCGCAATTGACTTGCCACCAGTGAAATGTGGGTGAATAATCAGGCAAGCGTCCCCGCATGATTAAACACCAAGGGAAGACTGTCTTCCCGAGTCCGTGACTGGCGCCGGAGTTTTGGGTCCACAAATAAAACGTGTCTGCTTTGTCTCTACCAGAAAAGGAAAGGAACTGAAATTAAGAGAAGGGCGAGATTGAAGTGTGGCGCCAAGATTGTAAGGAGAAAGAGGTTGAGGGATAGTGAGAGAGGTTGGAGAAAAGAGTAAAAAGAGGCCACTTACCGGATTTAAAACTGGTGAGATGTTCCTTGGGCTGGTTGGTCTGAGGACCCGAGGTCGTAGGTGGAGCAAAGAGCAGGAGGACAGGGGATTGATCTCGGATTGTGACTCCCCAGATCCGAGTCACGGCACCAAAATTTCACTCACGTCAGTGTGAAGAGACCATCAAACAGGCTTTGTGTGATCAACAAGGCTGTTTATTTCACCTGGGTGCAGGCGGGCTGAGTCCGAAGATAGGGGTGGGGCTGTTTTATAGGGTTTGGGTAAAGGAAAATTACAGTCAAAGGGGGTTGTTCTCTGGCTGGCAGGGGCAGGGGGTCACAAGGTGCTCAGCAGGGGAGCTTTTGAGCCAGGATGAGCCAGAAGAAGGAATTTCACAAGGTAATGTCATCAGTTAAGGCAGGAACAGGCCATTTTCACTTCTTTTGTGGTGGAATGTCATCAGTTAAGGCAGGAACCGGCCATCTGGATGTGTATGTGCAGGCCACAGGGGATATGATGGCTTAGCTTGGGCTCAGAGGCCTGACAGGTAGGGGTGAGGAAAAACTTCCATTTGACCCTCTGAAGATTCACTGAAAATCAACTGACAAAATGCAGATTAATAGGAGAAAAGGTGGCCAGGTGTGGTGGCTCACACCTGTAATCCCAGCACTTTGGGAGTCTGAGGCAGGTGGATCATTTGAGGTCAGGAGTTCGAGACAAGACTGACCAACATGGTGAAACCCCGGCTCTAATAAAAATACAAAAATTAGCTGGGCATGATGGTACATGCCTATAATCCCAGCTACTCGGGAGGCTGAGGCAGGAGAATCACTTAAATCCAGGAGATAGAGGTTGCAGCGAGCCAAGATCACACCACTGCACTCTAGCCTGGGCAACAAAGCGAGACTCTGTCTCAATCAATCAATCAATCAATTTTAAAAAAGATTTAAAAAAATCAAAGAGGAATGTTATGTATGGTCCTGAAAGAAAGTTCATTGGCATTAGTAAAGCTATAGGGAGCTGACAAGCACCAATTGGTAGGTGAATCCTACGGGCAAAATTAGTCCTAGAGTTGCAGTAGGTTATCTCAGCAGCTATAGATAAAACTGGTTTCAAGTTACAACAGGCAGTTTCAGCCACTGGACTTGCAGAGAATAGCATTTCTAGAGAAATGTTAGGTACCCTGAGTGCTTTTTATCCCTCGCCCATTGACTCTGATTTAGTTGAGTATGACAAGAATGACCCAGTTTGTACAGCCAACTTTCAGATGACCTACAATCAAGCAAGGTAGGTCAGACAATTTCTTTATGGGCAGTTCTTACATGGAAGTGGAGTCGGGAGACGTAGAGTAATACCTATAGGTTTTATGGCTGGCTTTAGAAAGAAGGGGTTCTGGTTTCTGTGACCTGCCTTGGGGAAAAGGGAATCCAGTTTCTTTTTTTTTTTTTCTTTTTTAAATTGTAATAGAGGCGTGTTTTTCACCATGTTGGCCAGGATGGTCTTGATCTCCTGACCTCGTGATCCATCCACCTCAGCCTCCCAAAGTGCTGGGATTACAGACATAAGCCACCGCGCCTGACCGGGAATCCAGTTTCTATGGGGGAAAATGAGGGGAGAGAGACAGGAGGGCAGAAGAAGGGCAGAGAGAGACTTTTTTTCTGCGGCTGTTTGTAGGGCCTTCATTTTAGGGTATCATTTTCTAAGCCCCAACATCTCTTTCCTCAGGTTAGTGGTCTTTGTAATAAAAACCACAAATTGGCAAAAGAAATAAATAACAATAGGCTGGGCACAGTGGTTCACGCCTGTAATCCCAGCACTTTGGGAGGCCAAGGCAGGCAGATCACCTGAGGTCAGGAGTTTGAGACCAGCTTGCCCAACGTGGCGAAACCCCGTCTCTACTAAAAATACAAAAATTAGCCGGGCGTGATGGTGGGCACCTGTAATCCCAGCTACTGAGGAGGCTGAGGCAGGAGAATCACTCGAACCTGGGAGGCAGAGTTTGTAGTGAGCCGAGGTCGCACCACTGCACTCCAGCCTGGGCGACAGGAGCGAAACTCTGTCTCAAAATATTAAAAGCCAGTGCCCTTATGCAAAGGCTGGAATGTAACAAAAGCCCAAAGAGTTTTGCCTGGGTCTTCCTGGGCCTTAAAGCATGACAAAATAACGAAGGACAGCCTGGCCAACGTGGTGAAACCCTATCTCTACTAAAAATACAAAAATTAGCCTGGCCTGGTGGCATGTGCCTGTAGTCCCAGCTACTCAGAAGCCTAGGCAGTAGAATTGCTTGAACCCGGGAGGCGGAGGTTGCAGTGAGCTGAGATCATGCCACTGTACTCCAGCCTGTGCAACAGAGTGAGACTGTCTAAAATAATAAATAGATAAATAAATAAAAATAAAAAATATAACAAAGGAATTCTTAACAGGACCCATTTAGGATTAAAGAAGTTTTACTATGGATCTGAAGAAGCCTCCACAAATAAGTTTATTGGGGGTCTGAAGGAAGTCCCCAAACCTCTGTGATTTAGCAGGAGACAAGAAAAGGGTAATCACCCCAGGACCTGGACCCATTTAGATTAAGTAAATTTGCTAAGGATCCAGAGGAAGGTCTTAAGGACTGAGACTTTAGTTGCAGATTAAAGGAAGTTAGGCAGGGCATGGTGGCTCACGCTTGTCATCCCAGCACTTTGGGAGGCTGAGGCAGGCAGATCACCTGAGGTCAGGAGTTTGAGACCAGCCTGGCCGACATGGTAAAACCCTGTCTCAACTAAAAATACAAAATTAGCCAGGCGTGGTGGCAGGCACCTGTAATCCCAGCTACTTTGGAGGCTGAGACAGGAGAATTGCTTGAACCCAGGAGGTGGAAGTTGCAGAGAGCCAAGTGGAAGTTGCCACTGCACTCTAGCCTGGCAACAAGAGTGAAACTGTGTCTCAAAAAAAAAAAAAAAATGCACTGTCAACTAGTGAGAAATAGAACCAATACTGTGGAGCCACAAATAAAACAGACAATGTTTTAATCAGGGTTTTTAAACTGCAATTCAGGAGACACAAATCTAGCAAGTAGCTAAATTGTGTTTGGTCCAGGTGAGGTAGGCAGGGGTTTGTAAAGGTTTACTGCAAGTTTACACAAGTGGAAGATTTTAGCACAGCCCAGGATTGATAATAGCTGGTTGACAGCTTAGAAAGTCTCCAGGCCATGATCAGCTTAATTTGGTACAGCTGTCTCCTTGGGAGCTTCGTGATCCGCCCGGTGTGAGCAGCTCAAATCCAATGCAGCTGCTTCTCCAGGACGGTTGCGATTTGGCCCAGTTCAAACAGGTTAAATCCCATCTGGTCGTGTGCGTGATGCATGACTAGGGGCCAGCTTCCCCTGCCCTCCTGGCTCCTTTGTAGAGATCTCTGACATAATCATCTCCATTTCTGATTTGTTTTCATAGCAGCCACGCTCATATGTGCCAGGAATTGTGCGAGACACAATAAAGTGTAGAGCTCTCCCCACCCCCATTCCCACCTCCAACCCTCTCCAGGTTTCTCGGGTCTCCACCTGCAGAGCCAGTCATAGGAAATCTTTTCTAAGGCAACTCGAGGAGTAGAAAAGGAGGCGACACATTCAGCATAATGAAGCCCGGGTGTTGGGAGGTGCCCACATCTGGCCTCCTGAAAGGTCTCACTGTTGTTCAGATGCTTTCCCAGGAAATGGGATGGAGGCTTCTTTTCTTCACGGTCCGAGGGGTCCCAACTCCCCTCCACATCTATCCGGGTAGCCAGATGCCATGAAAGCAGTGAAAACTGGCCTAAGGCTGAGAACATATGGTCACAGGTAGGTCTGGGGAGCAGAGCGGGCAGAGGAAAGACTGCTGGATACACTGAGGTGGGTCATCCAGGACCAAGAAGCCAGGCCAGAGAGAGGGAGCCTCTGGGTCTAGATCTCAAGGTGAGTGAATGACAGAGGCTGGATTTGAATCCATTCACTGAGAGCGCAGAAAAAGGCAGAGAAGGGACTCTCGTCACCTTCCCTTGTCTGATTTGCACAGCACAACTGGGTCCTCTAGAAAAAAGTAGCTACTTTGCATTCTTTGAGACTTGAAAACACATTTTTTTTTTTTTTTTTTTTGTGATGGAGTCTCGCTCCAAAAGCAAGTACAAGTATTCCTCCCTATCTAACTTTATTTGCATAGCAGGTGTTTGGATAGAATGGGATACCAATTATCTGAAGTAAGACCAGCCTGAGTTCAAACTCTGGCCCTCCTACTTCTAGCTGGGTGATATCAGACAATGTATTCAACTTACCTGAGCCTTAGTTTCTTTATCTATAAAATGGGAATAAAACCTACCTCAATAAGATATTACAGTGAGAAAATGCATTTGAAGGGCCTGGGAAGTTTTCAGTAAATGTTAACTATGCTTACTGGGCTATAAGCTACTTAATATGACTACATGGGGCCAGCCTTAGAGTTCAAGCTGCAGTATAAGCTGCTGTCTGTTAGGAGACAGTTCTCCACGGGCCTCTTTTATGAAAAAGTACTGGCTTCCTTTTCAGAAGAGTTCTGAACTTTTTCTTTTATGAGAGAGGGTCTCACTCTGGCACCCAGGCCGAGTGCAGTGGTGTGATCACAGCTCACTGCAGTGTCAACCTCCTGGGCTCAAGCAATCCTCCCAATTCAGCCTTCTGAATAGCTAGGACTACGGGTGTGTGCCACCACACCTGGGTAACTGATAAATTTTTTGTAGAGATGGGGGTCTTGCTATGTTGCCCAGGCTGGTCTTGAACTCCTAGACTCAGTAATTCTCCCACTTTGGCCTCCCAGATTGCTGGGATTATAGGGATGAGTCCCTGCATCTGGCCAAGCTCTGAACTTTTCAAGGATGTTTGTGTAATGAATAACTTTGAAAAACAGAGACAGGGCCAGGCACAGTGGCTCACACCTGTAATCCCAACACTTTGGGAGGCTGAGGTGGGCAGATCATGAGGTCAGGAGATCGAGACCATCCTGACTAACACGGTGAAACCCCGTCTCTACTAAAAGTACAAAAAAGTAGCTGGGCGTGGTGGCGGGTGACTGTAGTCCCAGCTACTTGGGAGGCTGAGGCACTAGAATGGCATGAACCTGGGAGGTGGAGCTTGCAGTGAGCCGAGATCACGCCACTGCACTCCAGCCTGGGTGACAGAGCGAGACTCCATCTCAAAAAAAAAAAAAGAAAAAAAAGAAAGAAAAAGAAAAACAGAGACAGTATCTTCCTCCAGAGCAAAGTGTAGGCTTGCTTACTGCCTATTATAAAAGACTCAGGATCCCTAAGCCCAGGGTTCCTCTCCTATATTGCAACCTAGCATGTGTACAGCAATCACTGGACCCTTTTGGTGTTAGTCTTTGGAAACTGGGGCTTGGGGAACTGGCACAAAAAGTGCTGGCTACTGCTATTGCTGTGAGTAACAAACTGTCTTTTGTCTCTGACCCAGGAGGCTCATGTCTTTTTACCGACATCCATAGTCTACCCAGTAGGGCAGGCTAATTTGTTAACATGCAAGTAGGGCAAAATCTGAGATCCCTCACAGTCCTTGATGCTGTGTGAAAGGCAATGGAAGGGCACCGTGGATCAATAAGGCTGAGAGGCGAGACAAAGAGGGCAAAAATCTTCTTTATTGAGCTCTGGGGCGAGGTTCATTTGTCCGCAGGGGGAGGGCCAGGGAAGTTACGCTGTGCCAAAGGTGCAGCGTGACTTATATGGATGCTGGGTGAGGAGTGGGTGGGGTAGGGGTGGGGTCGGTTGAGTTTCGCGCTTCTGAGTGTGACACGCCCTAGTGGGCATGCGAGTTGGTCCGGGTGGCGGGAACAGGAAAGGTGAACCCAGAAATGCTGAGTCAGGGTATCGGAGGTGGCTGTTGGGATGGCGGGAATAAACGGCGGGAATAAGCGAAAATGCCAAGTCAGGGTGGCCAAGATGGCCGCTGGGATGGTGGGAACCGGCGAATCCGGGAATGCTGAGTCAGGGTAGCCAAGATGGTTACCGATGGCCATCTTGGAGCCTTCACCAGAGTCCAATCACTGTGATCATACTAGACAGAAGAAGAGGGGGAAGTAGGAGGGCAAATCTTCCTCTTCCTGTAATCTTTAGTCAATGCTATATTTCTCTTTCTAGAAGGCCCTGCTTTCTCTCCAGGGCCTGCAATTGTTCTGGAACAATTGGTGAGAGGGAGAATGAGAGATGTAGGACAATACATCAGGTTTTACCTTTGCATAGAAAAATGTTTCCTGGCTGGACAAGGTGGCTCATGCCTGTAATCCCAGCACTTTGGGAGGCCAAGGCGGGCAGATCACCTGAGGTCAGGAGTTCAAGACCAGCCTGGGTAACATGGCAAAACACTATCTCTATTAAAAATACAGCAATTAGCTGGGTATTGTGGCACACGCCTGTAATCCCAGCTATTTAGGAGGCTGAGGCAGGAGAACTGCTTGAACCCAGGAGGTGGATGTTGCAGTGAGCCGAGATTGCACCATTGCACTCCAGCCTGGGCAACAGAGTGAGCCTCCATCTCAAAAAAAAAAAAAAAAAGTTTCCCAAATGCCAGCCATTTGAGTACCACCTTGATTTTTATTTTTACCATATCTACCTATAATCTACATAATTACTTTCATAATGTTATTTTTAATGGACTTGCCCTTTTATTTATGTAGACAATTCTGAAATCTTTTTTGAGATAGGATCTCACTGTCTCAGGCTGGTCTCAAATTCCTGGGCTCAAGCGATCTTCCCACCTTAACCTCTTGAGTAGCTGAGATTACAGGCAAACGCCACTGCCTCCGGCCTAGATAATTCTTTTAGAAAGAAATCTCATATCACTGATAAATGGAAAACTTGCGATTACTCTGTAATTGGAAGACAACTTTGCAAACAAATGCCATGGAAATAAAAATGGTGCTACCAAATAATTGCCAGATATGGTTATCTGAAGACCTTGGTCCTATTCCTATTGTTACAAAGGGGCATTACCCAGGATTTGAGAAGTTTTGTAGATGGAATACCACCAACTTTCTCTTTGATGTAATGAGCAGCATTGGAAGATAAACGAAAAACTAGGACCTTCTTAATTATAAGGGGTCAGGGAAAACTTCCTCTTCACCCTCTGAAGGTTCATTGAAAATCAACTGATGAAAGGCAGATGAGGCTGGGCACGGTGGCTCACACCTGTAATCCCAGCACTTTGGGAGGCTGAGGCAGGCGGTTCATGAGGTCAGGAGATCGAGACCATCCTGGCTAACACGGTAAAACCCCGTCTCTACTAAAAATACAAAAAATTAGCTGGGTATGGTGGCGGGTGCCTGTAGTCCCAGCTACTCGGGAGGCTGAGGCAGGAGAATGGCATGAACCCAGGAGGCGAATCTTGCAGTGAGCTGAGATCGTGCCACTGCACTCGAGCCTGGGCAATAGGGTAAGCCTCCATCTCAAAAAAATAAAAAGGCAGATGAATAGGAGAAAAGGTGTATACATTTATTAATGTGCACAGGAGAGAATCACAGAGCAATGACCCTGCCATGCAGTGAGGTACAGGTGGTTATATACACTTCTTAGGGCAAAGGGAGATGGAGATGAGTGGATGATTTTAGGGGATAGTGGTAGTAAATGCATTCAAGGGGCTTGCAGAACATGCAATGGCCTGGGACAAAGTGTACTGGGCCTGCAGATCAGATGATGGGCTTGTGACAAAATTCTGTCCAGGAATGTTGATACACTTTATATACTTCAGTCTTTCTTCCTGTGATAAGAGTTCAGTTCATTAAAGCTCAGGGAGGGGACCAGAGGTCATTGTATCTTCTTTGGCAGGTCTGGACTTTAGGTAACTAAAGGAACTTCACTGAACGGCTTCATCCTGTGCTTTGGGAGGCACAGAGAAATGAGAGACAGGAAGTGGGAGGGAGGAAGTCAGAGGGCCCTCACAGCTGCTTCTTCTGTTCACCATGTCAGAGTGCCACATTTTGGGGTATCAGTTTTGTTTTGTGTTTTTTTTTTTTGAGATAGAGTTTCACTCTTGTTACCCAGGCTGGAGTGCAATGGCTCAGTGCAACCTCTGCCTCCTGGGTTCAAGCGATTCTCCTGCCACAGCCTCCCAAGTAGCTGGGCTTACAGGCATGTGCCACCACGCCCGGCTAATTTTGTATTTTTAGTAGAGATGGAGTTTTTTTTCCATGTCGGTCAGGCTGGTCTCCAACTCCCGATCTCAGGTGATCTGGCTGCCTTGGCCTCCCAAACTGCTGGGATTACAAGCATGAGCAACCACGCCTGGCCTGGTTTCCTTTTTTTGAGATGGAGTCTCGCTCTGTCTCCCAGGCTGGAGTGCAGTGATGCGATCTCAGCTCACTAGGTTCAAGCGATTCTCCCACCTCAGCCTCCCGAGTAGCTGGGATTACAGGCGCCTGCCACAACACCCGGCTAATTTTTGTATTTTTAGTAGAGCCAGGGTTTCACCATGTTGGCCAGGCTGGTCTCAAACTCTTGACCTCAAGTCATCTACCCGCCTCAGCCTCCCAAAATGCTAGGATTACAGGTGTGAGCCACCGCACCTGGCCTCACCCGGCTAATTTTAAATTTTTTTTAGAGATGGGATCTCTTTATGTTGCCCAGGCTGGTCTTGAACCCCAGCCTTAAGTGATCCTCCCACCTCAGCCTCGCCTTTCTTTGGAATTGTTCTAAGGGTAGCTGCAACCAGGCCCAGAGTACAAACCAACTCATCCAACCTTTACCCTTCAAGTCTTCAAAACTGCGTGCTGTAATATCCAGCAACTGAATTTGGCCAGAAAGCAATCCCCTGTTTGTTTATCCTGTGCAAAATGCTCTAATTGCTGGGAACTGAAAGACTACTAGCCTGAAAATAGAATGTTAATGACTGGAGGAGACACCACAGCAGAATAAACAACCCAGCAGACTGGAGGCCGCTTTCAGGCTGGGGAAAACAGTGATTTCCTCAGTGTTTGATTGAGTGCCCTTTGAGTCCTTTGGAGAGAGCAGCAGGGGCAGGTCCATAGTCTTTTAAGGATCAGGCAACCTACAGACTTCTGTTTTTTTGTTTGTTTGTTTGTTTGTTTGTTTGTTTGTTTGTTTTGAGACAGAATCTTGCTCTGTTGCCCAAGCTGGAGTACAGTGGGGCGATTTCATAGAGATGGGGGTTTCACCATGTTGGCCAGGCTGGTCTCGAACTCTTGACCTCAGGTGATCCACCTGCCTCGGCCTCCCAAAGTGCTGCCATTATGGGGATGAGCCACTGCGCCCAGTCACCTACTACTGGCTTCTTACATTGCGTGGTAAATATTTACAGAGCAACCACAGTGTGTGAGATGCTGTTGCTGGGGTAGAAATAATGGCTGGGCTGAAAGGAACCCTCCCTAGGTGACTTTCTCCTTCACCCGGAGGTTAAAAGTCCAGGATGTTTTCACAGCATGCTCTTATTCTGCTGTGTAACTAGTTCCTTATCCATTCCCCAAAGTTATCTGCACATTAAAACATTTCTTTTTAATTTTTTAATTTTTAATTTTTTTGTAGAGATGAAGTCTCTACAAGCAATCATCCTGTCTCAGTCTTCCAAAGTACTGGGATTAAAGATGTGAGCCACCGTGCCTGGCATATCTGCACATTTTTTTTTTTTTGAGGACAGCATTCGTACACCCTTGTATCATAACACCTTGTCAGATACATGGCAGATGCTCCATAAATCTTTCTTAGAGGCCAGGTGCGGTGGCTCACGCCTGTAATCCCAGTACTTTAGGAAGCTGAGATGGGTGGATCACTTGACGCTAGGAGTTCAAGACCAGCCTGGCCAACATGGTGAAACCCTATCTCTACTAAAAATACAAAAAGGCCAAGCGCGGTGGCTCATGCCTGCCATCCCAGCACTTTGGGAGGCTGAAGTGGGTGGATCACGAGGTCAGGAGTTCGAGACCAGCCTGGCCAACATCGTGAAACCCCATCTCTACTAAAAATACAAAAATTGGCCTGGCATGGTGGCATGTGCCTGTAGTCCCAGCTACTCTGGAGGCTGAGGCAGGAGAATCGCTTGAACCCAGGAGGCGGAGGTTGTGGTGAGCTGAGATTGTGCCTCTGCACTCCAGCCCGGGCAACAGTGAGACTCCATCCCCCCAAAAATAAAAAATAAATAAATAAAATTAGCCAGCTGCAGTGGCACGTACCTGTCATCCCAACCACTTAGGAGGCTGAGGTAGGAGAATTGCTTGACTCCACAGGGCGGAGGTTGCAGTGAGCCAAGATTGCACTACTGCACTCCAGCCTGGGTGACAGAGTGAGACTCTGTCTCAAAAAAAAAAAAAAAGTCTTTACTAGAGGAATGCCCGGAATTCTACCACTATTCGTTTATTCCATTTGGTTAAACATTGCATTCTTTCAAGAGGCCTCTTAAAATACAAACCACCTCAGTGACAGAACTATATTCAGGTCCTGGGTACTTAGATATTTAATTTTGTTAGTTTATTTAAAATAGGTGATTTATTTTCATGGTGCAAAGCTGTAAATGGATTTAGATAACCCAGCATCCTGATAATATTAGGTATCTATAAAAAAGGAGCCTGAAAGTAGAGAGAGACAAAACAGGGAAAGAGTTGGCTGGAGTACAAATGTATGTGCCTTTGTTATTTTGGTGTCTTTTGTTTTTTCTCCTACTCTCTGTCTCTGTCTATGTTATAGCATGTGGTTAAGTAAGTAAAAAACCAACAACACGTTTACTATCTTACCAAAAGTCATTGGTCTCACTACATGATTAGACATGGTAGGACACCTTTGTATTAGTCATATGTTTCTAAGTTGCAAGTAGCACAAATCCAATATTAAAAAGACACATAGGCCAGGCATGGCAGCTCATGCCTGTAGTCCCAGCTCTTTGGGAGGCCAAAACAGGAGGATAACTTGAGCCCAAAACAGGAGGATAACTTGAACCCAGAAGTTTGAGACCAGCCTGGGCAACATAGTGAGACCCGGTCTCTACCAAAAGAAAAAAAAATTTGCCAGGCACAGTGGCTCATGCCTGTAAGCCCAGCACTTTGGGAGGCAGAGGCAGATGGATCACTTGAGGTCGGGAGTTCAAGACCTGTTGGGAGCAAGCCCCCCAAAATCTGGCCATAAACTGGCCCCAAAACTGGCCATAAACAAAATCTGTGCAGCACTGTAACATGTTCATAAAGGCCCTAACGCCCAAGCTGGAAGGTTGTGGGTTTATGGAAATGAGGGCAAGGAACACCTGGCCTGCCCAGGGCAGAAAACTGCTTAAAGGCATTCTTAAGCCACAAGCAATAGCATCAGTGAGCTGTGTCTTAAGGGCGTGTTCCTGCTGCAGTTAACTAGCCCAACCTATTCCTTTAATTCAGCCCATCCCTTCGTTTCCGATAAGGGATACTTTTAGTTAATTTAGTATCTATAGAAACAATGCTAATGACTGGTTTGCTGTTAATAAATATGTGGGTAAATCTCTGCTCCGGGCTCTCAGCTCTGAAGGCTGTGAGACCCCTGATTTCCCACTTCACACCTCTATATTTCTGTGTATGTGTCTTTAATCCCTCTGGCACTGCTGGGTTAGGGTCTCCCCGACCAAGCTGGTCTCAGCAAAGACCAGCCTGGCCAACATGGTGAAACTGCATCTCTACTAAAAATACAAAAAATTAGCCAGGCAAGGTGGTGCATGCCTGTATTGCTAGCTAATTGGGAGGCTGAGACAGGAGAATCACTTGAACCTGGGAGGTGGAGGTTGCAGTGAGCTGAGACAGAGCCATTGCACTCCAGCCTGGGTGACAGAGGGAGACTCTAGCTCAAAAACAGAAAGAAAAAAAAATTATTTGGGCATGGTGGTTCATGCCTGTGGTCCCAGCCACTTGGGAGGCTGAGGTGGGAGAATTGCTTGAGCCTGGGAGGTAGGGGCTGCAGTGAGCTGTGATTGAGCCACTACACTCCAGCATGGGTACAGGCCCAATACACCTCCTCAATAAATAAATAAAAAAAAAAAGGCCTACATAAAAATAGCACTGACTGGCCGGGCGCAGTGGCTCATGCCTGTAATCCCAACACTTTGGGAGGCCGGGGCAGGTGGATCACGAGGTCAGGAGTTCAAGACCAGCCTGACAAACATGGTGAAACCCCATCTCTACTAAAAATACAAAAATTAGCAGGGCATGGTGGCGTGCATCTGTAATCCCAGCTACTCAGGAGGCTGAGGCAGGAGAATCACTTGAACCTGGGAGGTGGAGGTTGCAGTGAGCCGAGATCATGCCACTGTACTCCAGCCTGGGAGACAAAGCAAGACTCCATCTCAAAAAAATAAATAAATAAATAAAAAAGACTAGCACTGACTAACCTAACCAAAAAAAACTTTTTTTGAGATGGAGTCTCGCTCTGTCACCCAGGCTGGAGCACGGTAGCATGATTTCGGCTCACTGCAACCTCCGCCTCCTGGGTTCAAGTGATTATCATGCCTCAGCCTCCCAAGTACCTGGGATTACAGGCATGTGCCACCACGCCTGGCTAATTTTTGTATTTTTAGTAGAGACAGGGTTTCACCACATTGGCCAGACTGGTCTTGAACTCCTGACCTCAGGTGATCTGTTCACCTCAGCCTCCCAAAGTGCTGGGATTACAGGCGTGAGCCACTGCACCTGGCTTCTAACCAAAATGTTTATGAAGCTTCAGGCAAGGCTGGATCTCGGTGCTTAGGAAATGTAAAAATGTACTATCAGCCTTAGTCTTCGTGTTCCAGGCTGGGAAACCTAGAAAAACATATGTATTTCCCAATAATTTCATGAATAATTTCAAACCTGGGACTAATGTGAATTATTTCTGGTTGGCCAAGACTGGATCTTATGTTCATTCTTAGAGACAGAGCAAGGGGAAATCAGGATGCTGTTAGCAGAAGAAGGATGTGTTCTGGAAAGGCAAAACTACATCCTTCCATGACATCTTAACACTCATAAAACTCATCCAAGGCCTGGGTGAAAGCCTAACCATCCATTTGACTTTCAGTGTACTTTCTGAGCACTCATAGGTCAGACATGACTCAAAATTGCTGACACATCATTAGGAAAACTAAATTACAAATTCATAGTAGAGACAAGTATTGATTAAATAAGTTGATTAATTACCAGTAAGCCCAACTTCTCTTCAAATCAGAGCGTGGAAAGGAGGGTAGGGATATCCTGGTTGGATTCACTCCCAAACCATCATTCTACGGATGCCATTTTTACTGTAGATGTGTTGGTGTTTCTCACCTCCCTACTTTGTTTTCAGTCATTGCATCCCACTTTCCCTCTAGGGATCATACCCATAGTACACAGCCTTTTTGGCAGTTTCCTTGGCCATGTGTGGACATATGACTCACCCCAAGAGAAAATATTTTTTCTTTTTTTTTTTTTTTGAGACGGAGTTTCACTCTGATGCCCAGGCTGGAGTGCAGTGGCGCAATCTTGGCTCACTTGAACCTCCGCCACCCAGGTTAAAGCAATTCCCCAGGAGAAGATATTCTGACCCTTGTTAAAGAACAGTGCAAAAGTCTTTGTCCAAGAAACCACTGCAATGGGGTTTTGCAGTAGGAGAACGAGATTGGGATCACTTTCAAATACAACAAGGAAAAATGGGGGTTTATAGCCAAAGGGCAGGGTTGTGGTGGGAAGGATTAGTGGATGGAAAAGTACTATTAATTAGAGGATAGAGGAATTCTTGCTAAAAATGACCTAACAGGATTCTTGCTAAAGCCAAGCTAGGGTGGTCAGACATCACCTGGGGGTTGTGGGGAAGAAGACTTTGATTAAGTATTTGAGGATTGTCAGCTATAGCATGTGGGGATTCTGGCTAAATCAACATGACAGAAAATTTGCTAAAACTGGGAGATGCAAAGACAAACAAGGAAGTCCAAAGGTCAAGGCCAAGTTAGGAAGAGGGTTCAGAGGAGCCTGAGTAAAGTTTGGTCAAGGAGAGAATCTTTGTCAACAGCTCAGGGCAATACATTCTGAGGATGGTAATATAAAGTTTGAAATAAAAATAGGGCTGTAGAGCTGCTCTGATTTCTACTGTTTCGAGCCCAACTTCACAGCCTTTTTTTTTTTTTTTTTTTTTTTTTGAGACAGGATCTTGCGCTGTTACCTAGGCTGGAGTGCAGTGGTGTGATCACAGCTCACTGCAACCTCAACCTCCAAGGCTCAAGCCATCCTCCTACCTCAGCCCCTACCTCCCGCCTCTGTGCTGGGTAGCTGGGACTACAGGTATGTGCCACCATGCCCGGCTAACTTTTTTAATTTTTAGTAGAGACAATGTCTCACTATGTTGCCAAGATTGGGCTTGAACTCTGGGCTCAAGTGATCCTCCCGCCTTGACCTCCCAGGGTGCTGGGATTACAGGCATGAGCCACTGTGCCTAGCCACAGCCATTTTTTTTTGATTCTTCAAGTTACCTGATATCCTTGCCATTCATCCCTTTTCTTCACATGTTTGCTGGAACAAATTTCTGTTACTTGCACTCAAAGAACCTAACTAGTGTGATGCTGGCTTGCAATGTGATCTGAGCATGTTTTGTTAACTCTGTGTGTTGGCGTGTTGCTTTCTTACTCTATAAAATGAAACTATTAATTTCTACTTGAAGGGTTGGTGTAAGGATTCAAAACAAAATGGCTTAGTGCAATGACAGTATGTTTTCTATTAGTGAAAAATGTTTAAATTGGGGATCTGAGGGTGGGCTTCAGGTGTCAGTGAATCTACCAGAATTTATAGGCTGAATTATATTTATACGTGGGCATGTGCACGTATATGCATATGCAATTATTTAATTTTTTTTTTTTTTGAGAAGAAGCGCCATTAGAGTGTCCAAATGGTCCTTCATCCCACATTAGCTTAATCCTCCTAGCTCTGGGTGATTTGTCACCCAGACTCTTGTTTTTTTTTTATGAGACGGAGTTTTGCTCTCGTTGCCCAAACTGGAGTGCAGTGGCGCGATCTTGGCTCACTGCAACCTCTGCCTCCCTAGTTCAGGCAATTCTCCTGCCTCAGCCTCCCGAGTAGCTGGGATTACAGGGGTGCACCACCATGCCTAGCTTATTTTTTGTATTTGTAGTAGAAATGGGGTTTTAGCACATTTGCCAGGTTGATGTCGAACTCCTGACCTCACATGATCCACCCACCTCGGCCTCCCAAAGTGCTGGGATTACAGGCGTGAGCCACCGTGCCCGGCCGAGACTCTGTCTTAAAATAAATAAATAAATAAATAAATAGGAGAGCTGGCTGTTATCTCTGAAAGGCTTTCAAACTCCTGACCTCAAGTGATCCACCCGTGTTGGCCTCACAAAGTGCTGGGATTACAAGCATGAGCCACCATACCTGGCCTTCTTTCTTTCTTTTTTAAAAATATTGCTACGAGTTCTCGCTGTGTGGCCCAGGCTGGTCTCAAACTCCCGGCCTCAAGCGATCCTCCCCCTCAGTCTCCCAAAGTGCTGGGATTATAGGCATGAGCTACTGTGCCTAGACAGAAATGCCTTCATTTCTGACCTACAGTCCTGGGTATTGTATATCCCAGAAAAGGAAATTGGCATGCCTGAGAGAGCAAATGCCAGGGCTCCTGACCCCTACTCTGGTGTTCTTGCATCTATAGCACACAGAACTCTTCCACTTGGCCCTAAAGTCTTTCTTCCTTTTTTTTGAGACAGGGTCTCACTCTGTCACCCAGGTTGGAGTGCAGTGGTGTGATCCTTGCCCACTGTAACCTCTGCCTCCTGGATTCAAGGGATTCTCATGCCTCAGCCTCCCAAGTAGCTGGGACTACAGGCATGCGCCACCACACCTGGCTCTTTTTTTTTTTTTTTTTTTTTTTTTTAGACGGAGTCTTGCTCTGTTGCCCAGGCTGGAGTGCACTGGCACAATCTCCGCTCAGTGCAACCTCTGCCTCCCGGGTTCAAGCAATTCTCATGCCTCAGACTCTTGAGCAGCTGGAATTACAGGCACGCCCCATGACACCCAGCTAATTTTTGTATTTTTAGTACAGACGAGGTTTTACCATGTTGCCCAGGCTGGTCTCGAACTCCTGGCCTCAAGCGATCCACTCGCCTTGGTGTCCCAAAGTGCTGGGATTACAGGCCCGAGCCACTGCGCCCGGCCTATGTTTTGTATTTGTCGTAGAGACAGAGTTTACCATATTGGCCAGGCTGGTCTGGGACTCCTGACCTCAAATGATCCATCCTCCTCAGCTTCCCAAAGTGCTGGGATTACAGACATCAGCCACTGTGCCCAGCCTTCTTTTTTTTTTTTCTGAGACAGGGTCTTGTTGTCCAGGCTGGAGTGCAGTGGCACAATCACAGCCCACTGCAGCCTTGAACTCCTGGGCCCAAGCCATCTTCCCACCTCAGCCTCCCAAGTAGCTGGGACCACAGACATGCACCACTGAGCTGGGATAATTTTTTTTATTTTTATAGACATGGGGTCTTCAGCCTGTTGCCCAGGCTGAAGCTTCCACTCTTGTTGACAGTCTGGTTTCTCCAAAGTTGTTGCCAGGCATGATGAGATGGGTGATCAGCAGGTGCCTACAGATAAATCATTGGGAAGGCAGAGGTAGAGAAATGGCTGATAGACAGTTGATGCATTCTTCCAACCCCCTCCTAGCAAACGGCGTCCTAGTTTGGGGGGACTTGACTGATTGCTCTACCCCAGACTACGTAATTACCATTGCTACAGAAATGAGTGCTTTTATTTTCCACTGATCGTGGTGGTAAGGATGATACAGAGCCTAGCTTGGTGTCTGGTAGGTGTGAAGGCGGCACACTCATGCTCTGTGTGTATGATTGAAAGTGAAAATGTCTCTGAAGGGAGGATAGTTTGACAATATGAATCAGAATTTTAAGGATGAATACCTATTTTATTTTACTTTCAAATATTCAATTAATTTCAGAAAGATTTCTTTTACTTTCAAAATTTCAAGTAGTTCTCATTTGGGGGAAAATTTTTTAAAGAAAACTGTGTTGACACAAAGAATTGACATGTCAAATTAGATTTGTGAATCATGCATCTAATCTAACACTAAACCTAACCAATGATTAAAAATTACAAGCAAGGCTGGGCATTGTGGTTTATTCCTGTAACCCCAGAAGTTTGAGAGGCCGAGGTAGGAGAATCACTTGAGATCAGGAGTTCAAGACCACCCTGGGCAGCAGAGTGAGACCCCATCTCTGCAAATAATTAAAAAATTAGCTACGTGTGGCAGCATGCACATGTAGTCTCAGCTACTTGGGAGGCTAAGGCAGGAAGATCACTTGTGCCCAGGAGTTCAAGGCTGCAGTGAACCATGATCACACCAAAAAAATTAGCTGGGTGTGGTGGTGCACACCTGTAATCCCAGCTAGTTAGTAGGCTAAGGCACAAGAATTGCTTTAACCCGGGAGAGAGAGGTTGCAGTGAGCTGAGATTGCGCCACTGCACTTCAGCCTGGGTGATGAAATGAGACACTGTCTCAAACAAAATAAAGAGTTTTTTTATCCACTCACACATACTCTGAGCTCTTCAAACCATAGAGGTCAGGCTGTGTTAGGTTTTTGTCAACCTAAAATGATCAAAGGCTCAGGATCTAGTTGAAAGAGTTTATTCAAGTGCAAAGTGTGAGGGCACCATCGGGGACACAGACACCAAAGAACAGGGCTCCGTGTTCCAGGTGAAAAGTGAAAGATCTCTTACCCAGGCAAACACGAAAGTGCTGAACAGTTTAATGCAGAAAGATAAGGTAGGGTCTCTATCAGCTACACAGGGCCCATGCTCAAAAAGGCCCCTCACTTGGTTTAGTGTTCTGAGTTCACGATCTTGAGATTCTTTTTCTTTCTGTATTAAATAGAAACGAGATGTTGCTGTGGCTGTGTTGCTCAGGCTGGTCTTGGATTCCTGGGCTCAAGCGATCCTCCCGTCTCCACCTTCCAAAGTGCTGGGATTACAGGCATGGGCCACTGCACCCGGACCATCTTGAAATTCTTTTTTGTTTGTTTGTTTGTTTGTTTTGAGACAGGGTCTTGCTGTCACACAGGCTGGAGTGCAGTGGTGCAACCTTGGCTCACTGCAACCTCCACCTCCTGGGTTCAAGCAATTCCTGTGCCTCAGCATCGTGAGTAGATGGAATTGCAGGTACGCGTCACCACGCCTGGCTAAATTTTGTATTTTTGGTAGAGATGGGGTTTCACCATGTTGGCCAGGCTGGTCTTGAACTCCTGAGCCCAAGTGACCCGCTCGCTTCAGCCTCCCAAAGTGCTGGGATTACAGGTGTGAGCCACTGCACCTGGCCCATGTTGAAATTCTTAATAATTTTTGAACAAGAGGCCTCTTATTGTCCAGGCTGGAGTGCAATGGTGCAATCTTGGCTCACTGCAACCTCCGCCTCCTGGGTTCAAGTGATTCTCCTGCCTCAGTCTCCCAAGTAGCTGGAATTAGAGGCACCTGCCACCATGCCTGGCTAATTTTTGTATTTTTAGTAGAGATGGGGTTTGCCATGTTGGCCCAGCTGGTCTCCAACTCCTGACCTCAAGTGATCTGCCCACCTCAGCTTCCCAAAGTGCTGGGATTATAGGCATGAGCCACCGCGCCCGGACCCCTGCTTCATTTTCTTCATGCCATTTATCACTGTCTGAGAATCCTATTAGCTGCTATATTTGTTTCCTGAAGCTGCCGTAACACGGTACCAGGCACTGGGAGGTTTAAACAACAGAAATTTATTCCGTCACAGTTCTGGAGGCCAGAAGTCTGAGATCGAAGTTAGGAATGACTGCACTCTCCCGTGAGGCTCTAGGGGAGAATGTCTCCTTGCCTCTCCCAGCTTCTGGTGGCCCCAGCACTCCTCGGGGTTCCTCCATTTGTAGATGGGTCAGTCCCATCTGGGCCTCCGCCTGCACATGGGCTTCTCCTCCCATGTCTGTCTGTGTCCAAATTACCCTCACATATGTATATGGTTTTTTTTCATATTTATTTATTTATTTTTTCAGACAGGGTCTTGTTCTTTTGCCCAGGCTGGAGTGCAGGGGTGCTATCATGGCTCACTGCAGCCTCAACCTCACAGGCTCAAGCTATCCTCCCACCTCAGCCTCCCAAGTAGCTGGGACCACAGGTACATGCCACCACACCCAGCTAATTTTTTAATTTTTTGTAGAGACAGGGTTTTACCATGTTGCCCAGGCTGGCCTCGAACTGTTGGGCTCAAGTGGTCCTCCCACCTCAGCCTCCCAAAGTGCTGAGATTACAGGCATGAGCCACCGCACCCGGCCTCCTCCTTTTATAAAGGGATTCATCAGTCAGTGAATTTAAGGCCCACCGAATCCCGTATAACCTCATCTTACCTTGATTATATCTATAAAGACTTTATTTTCCAATAAGGTCACTGGGGGTTAGGACTTGAGCATATCTTTTTGGGGGACACAATTCTACCCATTCCAAATGTTAATTCGTTTATTTAATTTATCTTTTAAAAATCTTTTTTCCTGCCCCACTAGGATATAAGCTCCATGGAGGCCAACTTGGTCCTTTTTCCCTGGTCTAGCTCCAGTGTCAAGGGCAGTGTTTGAGACAAAAAAGTTGTTCAAAACCAGTTCATTGTGCCAGGCACAGTGGTTCACGCCTGTAATCCCAACACTTTGGGAGGCTGAGGCGGGTGGATCACGAGGTCAGGAGCTTGAGACCAGCCTGACCAACATGGTGAAACCCCATGTCTTCTAAAAATACAAAAATTAGCCTGGCGTGGTGGCGCACACCTGTAGTCCCAGCTACTCAGGAGGCTGAGGCAGGAGAATTGCTTGAACCCAGGAGGCAGAGGTTGCAGTAAGCTGAGATTGCGCCACTGCACTCTAGCCTGGGCGACGGAGCGAGACTCCGTGTCAGAAAAGAAAAAAACAAAAAAAGAATTTTAAACTCTGACTCAAATATCGAGATGAACGTTCTGGCATCGACACATGTCCAGCACTACTCTCACCTCCACAGTTTGGGACGAGTGCCCTAGAAAACAGCAGTGACCTTGTAAAAACCCTGGAAGAAAAGCTTCACCTAGGGAGTGTCACAAAGTTTCAGCCAGAACAAAAAATAGCTTGTAGCAGTCAATGCATTATTATTAGCCTTTCATGAGCAAGCATTGGTCACAGAGATTTTGTGTTTGAAAATGGCAAAATGTGCCTGTATCCAAAAGAAATGAAACCTGCAGAGAGGTTTTATGTCTGCACTTGATCAGTATTAATATGGAAAAAATAATAAACTTCTTTTTACATGTCACATTCTGGTTGACTGCAGGGATCCCAGAAACATTGCTATTAACACAATTCTTACAAGTGTTGGCCTCTCCACTGAGCCCCACCCATAGTGAAGTGCCATTATCTGCTCTTTTCTTCTCCTGAGATTCTTCACATTACGGCTCAAAGCGCTGATCTGCCAATCTCATCAACAGGCTGGATGCAGTTCAGAACAGAGGAAGTAGCTATTTAATTGGTCACAGTTCTCAACTAGCACCACTCAAGTTTAATAACATTTATACTATCTCCAGTTCTTTTTTTAAAATTAAAATGAATTTTTTTTTGAGACAGAGTCTTGCTGTGTTGTTCAGGCTGGAATGCAGTGGCACGATCTCAGCTCACTACAGCATCTGTCTCCTGGGCTCAAGCCGTCCTCCCATCTCAGCCTCCCAAATAGCTGGGACTACAGGCATGCACCACCATACCAAGGTAATTTTTGTATTTTTGGTAGAGACAGGGTTTCGGCATGTTGCCCATGCTGGTCTTGAACTCCTGAGATCAAGCAGTCCTCCTGCTTTGGCCTCCCGAAGTACTGGGATTACAAGAATGAGCCATGGCCTCCGGCCTCCAGTTCTTGTGAGGACATTGGAATATAACTGTTTTTTTGTTTGTTTTTCCTTCTGGGGCTTGGGGGATTTCTCTGGTGAAACCACCTTGAAATACAGAAGGCAGCAGAACCTGGAGATTTTGAAAACAGACGTGGTTCAGAACCCTCTTCATGTCCTTTACTAGGTGTGTGACCTTGGGCAAGACACTGAACCACTATGAACCTCAGTCTCCTCATTTGTAAAATGAGAACTAATATTTGCTTGTCAGTTTAAGCTAGGGATTAAATGAGATATTATAAGTGAAGTTCCTAGTCTAGTGTTTGTAAAGGGATCAAGCCATTTTTTATTTTTGATTTAGGGGTGGGCCTGGAGGAAGTGAGGGTGAGGATATTACTGCTTTGAATGTTGTTTGGAATCGATTCATTAGAATTATGCAAGTTGAGCTGGCATTGCAGTTTACTCTTTGTTTTAAACCTCTTCAGCAAATACAAGGAGCATGAAAAAAGGCAGTAAGAGGTATATTTGGAATAATACGGAATTGCAAAATGGTAGCTATTTCTTGCCTTTCATGTCGTTTAGTGTCCCAGGGTCTGGGACTTAAGTGCCTCAGGAAGGACTCTAATGTGTCTTGGGTGTAGATACTTTCTCCCTCCATACCTCCTATACTTCTACCAGATAATTCACTTTATGTTTTTACTTTTTATTTATTTATTTTTGAGACTGAGTCTCACTCTGTCGCCCAGGCTGGAGTGCAGTGGTGCGATCTCGGCTCACAGCAACTTCCACCTTTTTGGTTCAAGCAATTTTCCTACCTGAGCCTCTCAAGTAGCCAGGACTACAGGTGCATGCCACCATGCCTGGCTAATTTTTGTATTAACTACAGGCATGAGCCACCATGACTGGCCTCGTGATAATTAACTTTAGTATTAAAGTTATAAATGGATAACCAAAGTGCATATTAAAACTTCTTAAAAGTAGCATTGGTGATTACTGCAAATTATTGACGCTGTGGAGTGTAGCGTTAATGTGATACCCTACCTTGTTTTAGCCTGATTGACTGTCACTTAGCTGAGAGAGCCAGACAGACTCCGTTTTCGTTTCTTCACTTGCAGCCCCTTATCCTCCTCCCTTAAGGACATAACTGGTACAAGCTGACTCCAAGCACATCCAGGCATCCAGGAATGCACTTACTGATAAGATACTGAGGCAAGCTGTACCAGCAGCTCCTGGGAACTCGCTCGGTTGATGGTACCCAAAGCCCCTGCATTTATCTCTTTGTGATAGTTTAAGCCCCTGCACCTGGAACTGTTTATTTTTCTGTAACTGTTTCTGTAACCATTTATCTTTTAACTTTTTGCCTGTTCTGCTTCTGTGAAATTGCTTCAGCTAGGCTCCCCCTCCCCTTTTTAAACCAAGATATAAAAGGAAATCTAGCCCCTTCTTCGAGGCCGACAGAGTTTTTGAGCTCTAGCCGTCTCTCGGTCGCCGGCAGTAAAGGACTCCTGAATTAGTCTCAGAGTGTGGCGTTTCTCTATAACTCACTCGGTTACGACATTAAGACTATGATCCAATGCCAGCTCCCACCCTTACTGGCTGTGTGTCAAGGGTCCAGTCACTCTACCTCTCTGAGCTGCAATGTGCTCATCTGTAAGACAGGAATCATAATAAGATCCACCCCCTAATTAGATGAGTTTGCATGTGAGAAGTACCTAGAAGAGTATCTGACATGGAATGGGCACGTTGCAAATGTAAGCCCTCATTTTGGCTAAGGCTTTTCCCATTGCTATCGAAAAGTCTTTTGTGCCTCTTGAGTATGTTTTTCCACGATCACTTATTTTGCTTACTGTTCATCTGGATGGAAATTTTAGACGCAAACAAGGGGGGCAGTAGTCTAAACACATCCCTCAAAAATCAGAAACTGGAACTGAGTTTGCAATAGGCAATTTTCTTGACTTTTGCCATAAGCACCATCGGATAGAATCGTTACGGAATAGAATCATGACTTGAGAGAAATTTAATCTTTTGGGGTGTGGGAGCTACAACCTTAGACATTTCTTTGGATGTGAGGAGTGAGATTGATACCACGGTCAGGTCCCTGAGCCCAAGCTAAGCCATCGTATCCCCTGTGACCTGCACGTATATATCCAGATGGCCTGAAGCAACTGAAGAGCCACAAAAGAAGTGAAAATAGCCTTAACTGATGACATTCCACCATTGTGATTTGTTCCTGCCCCACCCTAACTGATACACATATTCTCCCCCGCCCTTAAGAAGGTACTTTGTAATATTCTCCCCGCCCTTAAGAATATACTTTGTACGCCTATCCTAAACCTAAAGAACTAGTTATAATCCCACCAGCCTTTGCTGACTCCATTTTGGACTCAGCCCACCTGCACCCAGGTGAAATAAACAGCCTTGTTGCTCACACAAAGCCTGTTTGATGGACTCTCTTCACACGGACGCGTGTGACAGTCACCTCTATGGAGGATGTTTGCTTCACCGCTTTACTGCACACAAAATGGCACCAGAGATTGCTATATTTCTTTTTAAAAAATAGAGTCTACTTGGTCAAGAATGCTTTTGCTTTTTCATCTCTTAGGGCTCATTTTGGAGCTGAATTAAATGTTTTAAATGAGGTCAGGCATGGTGGCTCACGCCTGCAATCCTAGCACTTTGGGAGGCTGAGGAGGGCAGATCACTTGAGGTCAGGAGTTCAAGACCAGCCTGGCCAACATGGTGAAACCTTGTCTCTACTAAAAATACAAAAATTAGCCAGGCGTGTTGGCATATGCCTGTAATCCCAGCTACCGGGAAGGCTGAGGCAAGAGAATTGCTTGAACCTGGGAGGCAGGGGTTGCAGTGGGCCAAGATCGAGCCACTGCACTCCACCCTGGGCAACAGAGCAAGACTCTGATTTAAAAAAAAAATGTTTTAAATTAATGAAGCCCCCGTGAAACTCAGATCCCAGAAATGTGTCCTGTCATCGTCCTTGCCTTCTGAGTCACTCACTTTTGCTTTACCATTCTGGGAAAGGGCTACATTTTCCAAAGTATATTTGTATATTTTTAAAATTTTTTTATTTTTTATTTTTGTCTCTTTACTTTTTTTCTAAAGCACATCTGTAGGGCTCTAGTCCTAGGGATCTGTGTAGTGCAGTGGTCCATAGAGCTTGGAAAACACTGGGTGAAACTCAGCTAAGCTGACTTCTGTAATTAACAAGTTTACTCATGTAAATATTCAGTTAATTTATTCATTTATTGTAGGGTCCAGTCCTACGGGGCTTATTGGGTGTT
This sequence comes from Homo sapiens, assembly GCF_000001405.40. Lineage (NCBI taxonomy): Eukaryota > Metazoa > Chordata > Mammalia > Primates > Hominidae > Homo > Homo sapiens. The sequence continues at coordinate 10,259,599 of NC_000016.10, read as the reverse complement.
CTCCCCGTGTGTGGAGACGAGAGATGATAAGAAATAAAGACACCAGACAAAGAAGTAAAGAGAAAAACAGCTGGGCCTGGGGGACCACTACCACCAAGACGCAGAGACCAGTAGTGGCTCCAAATGGCTGGGCGGGCTGATATTTATTCTATATAAGACAAGGGGCAGGGTAAGGAGGGTGAGTTGTCCGAGTGATTGATAAGGTCAAGCAAGTCACATGATCATGGGACAGGGGGCCCTTCCCTTTTAGGTAGCTGAAGCAGAGAGAGAAGGCAGCATACATCTGCATTTTCTTCTATGCACTTATCAGAAAGATCAAAGACTTTAAGACTTTCACTGTTTCTTCTACTGCTATCTTCTAAGAACTTCAAAGAGGAACCAGGAGTACAGGAGGAACATGAAAGTGGACAGGGAGCATGACCACTGAAGCACAGCACCACAGGGAGGGGTTTAGGCCTCCAGATGACTGTGGGCAGGCCTGGATAATATCCAACCTCCCACAAGAAGGTGGTGGAGCAGAGTGTTCCCTGAGTCCTCCAAGTAAAGCGAGACTCCCTTTCATGGTCTGCTAAGTCACGGGTGCTTTCCCAGGCACTGGCATTACCGCTTGACCAAGGAGCCCTCAAGCGGCCCTTATGCAGGCGTGACAGAGGGCTCACCTCTTGCCTTCTTGGTCACTTCTCACAATGTCTCTTCAGCACCTGACCCTATCCCCGCTGGTTATTCCTTTGTTATATCAGTAATTAAACAAACAGTAATATTAAAGGCTAATGATTAATAATGGTTATACTAATGATTGATAATGTCCATGATCATCTCTATATCTAATTTCTATTATAACTATTCTAATTGTAACTATTTTCTTCATTATACTGAAACAGTTTGTGCCTTCAGTCTCTTGCCTCGGCACCTGGGTAATCCTCTGCCCACAATTTATCACGTTCTTATTGAGTGTTCCTCAGCATTATGCTAGGAAGGGGGATACTGTAGTGAGTTAGACTTCACTCCTCATTTCCCAGAGCTTCAAATCGAGTAATGATGACTGCAGGCCTTCTTGGAGTCTTAATTAACTGAGTATACCTAATTTGCTCAAAAAGGAATTGGGTGTCCTGCATTTTCTGGCCTGAAAACCTTTTTAAATAAAACTACTTTTTGAGTTCATTATTCCTTGGAACACATCTTCGGGGAATTCTTGAGTTAGGCTGTAGTTGCTAACACTGAGGTTACCATAACCATTACTATCCCTTGTGTCCTCAGAGGCCTGGTGTTCATTGAGTGTTTACCTTGTGGCCTTCGCATTTGTCATTGTATTTATTATTTATTTTTATATTTTGAGATGGAATCTTGCTCTGTCACCCAGGCTGGACTGTAGTAGCACGATTTCGGCTCACTGCAACATCCATCTCCTGGGTTCAAGCAATTCTTGTGCCTCAGCCTCCTGAGTAGCTAGGATTACAGGGACCCGCCACCATGCCCAGCTAATTTTTAAATTTTTAGTAGAGACAGGGTTTCAACACGTTGGCCAGGCTGGTCTCAAACTCCTGACCTCAGGTGATCCTCCCGCCTCAGCCTCTCAAAGTGCTGGGATTACAGGCATGAGCCACCGGGCCCAGCCTTGTATTTATTTTTATTATTTATTAATTTATTATTTCTATTTTTAGAGACAAGGGCTTCCTCTGTTGCCCGGGCTAGAGTGCAGTGAATGATCATAGCTCACTGTAACCTTGAGCTCCTGGCTCAGGCGATCCTCCCGCCTCAGTCTCCTGTGTAGCTGGGATTACAGGTGCACCACCACACTTGGCTAATTTTTTTTGTTGTTGTTTTCTGTAGAGATAGGGTCTTGCTATGTAGCTCAGGCTGGTCTAAAACTCCTGGGCTCACACAGTCCTCCTGCCTCAGCCTCCCAAAGGGCTGGGATTACAGGCGTGCATCACTGTGCCTGGCTGGATCACTGTGTTTCATTCTTACACTGATGCTGATGTCAATACTTTTTAAAAATCCCTTCTTGATACATGAGAAAATGGAGGCATAGAGGAGTGACGTAGTCTGCCCAAGATCACCTACTTGGGAAGTGGCAGAGCCCAGATTTGGATCCTGCTAGAGCCTGCAGAACCCCTTTAACCCAATGGTTTGCCACTGAGGGTGATTTTGCTCCCACGGGTCAGCTGGCAATGTCAGGAGACATTTTTGCTTGTCACTAGTTGAGATGGAGGTGCATTGGCATCTTGTGAGTAGAAACCAAGGACGCTGCTAAACACCCTAACATGCACAGAACAACCTCCCACAACACAGAATTACCAGCCCCAAATGTCAACAGTTCCAAGGTTGAGAAACCCTGCTTCAGCTAATCATTACACGGGTTTTAGTTCTATGAGTACCCCACAATTCATTAGGGAGACAGGACAAAGGCATACATGAATTCTAGTACAAGGAAGAGGCATGCTACAGAAAGGGTATAAATCATCCTTATGGCCCTCATTAGACCTTTTAATTTCCTTATAAGCCCTTTATTGCCACGGCTAATCCTTGCTAACCCTGCTCAGGGCTGTTTTCAGCAGAGGAAAGTTACCGAGCCCGTCCCCGCCCCCCGCCCCGCTTGACGTCTGGCGCCTCCTGGTGGCCTCAGGAGAAACTCCATCTTCCTCAGATACCCCACAAAGTCCTTCCCCTTCACCTGCCCCAACTCCAACCTCAGCCGCATCTCCCTGGGGCCCCTCGGCATCCTGATATAGTCACTGCCTCCCGTTGGTGGTCACCTACTGGCCGCAGCCCGGGACCTCTCACAGGAGCTGCCCTCTCTGCCTGTGAGTTTCTCCATTCTTTTTTTTTTTTCCCAGCTTTTGCACTGGGTACACTTTTTTTTTTTAAACTCTCCACTATGTTAATGAGGACCATTTTTCTTCTGCTTTGCAAACCCTGCTCACCCCTTCAGACGATGCTTAAAGACCCTCTCCTCCTGGACATCTTTCTGATTCTCCCAGAAAAAGTGAATGGCAGGGTCTTTTGTGCTTTCAGGCCTGGGATTTATGGTTAGGTTATAACTTACTAATTTATGTCTCTTTGTTCGTCCATCTGTGTGTCTGTCCCTCCACCTGTGGCTTCTAAGCCTGACTACAAAATGTCCTGGAGGGATTGCTAAAAACAAAGAAAGAAACAAGCAAGCAAACGATCTCCATCACTACAGGCATTTGCGTATATTTTTACATTCCCAGGGGGTTCTGAAGTACCCTAACATCTGAAAACAGCTCTGTATTGTTGCTCTTCCTTGTTCAGATCTGGCTGAAATGTCACCTCCTAAAAGAAGTGTTCCCTGACCTTTTGTAGTATTAATGACAAGGTTGGAAGAGGTGGCTCGAGGATTTATCACTGGAGGCTTTGAATGCCAGGTTAGGCAAGACAACGGGACATGGCTCTGTGGGCTTCTTAGGGTTTTTACCAGAGGGAGGGAGGTGATTCCTGGTGAGTGTTGGCAGTGTTAGTCCAGCAGGTTGGTGCAAGATGGGTGCAGGAGAGGTGAGGGCTAGATGTGGGGAGTTCCTACTAAGAGTTCTTGTAGCAACTTGGGAATGAGGAAACCGGGGCTTGGGCTGGCTTGAAGGCTGTGAGCATGGAGCTTCGGGGAGAGGAGAGAAGGGGACAATGTCAACACGTCTTAGACAGGTCCAGGCACTGATTAGCTATGGGGATGGCTGTGATGAATGAGTCAGACATGGCACTCAGAGTTCTAGCCTTGGCACCAGAAGGCTGGTGCTACTGCCAGAGGTAGAAAAGGCAGGGGAGAGCTCCTCTCCTGAGGGTAGATGATGGATCAACACTGGGACCCACTGAGTTTGAGATCCTAAGAGGATCATCTAAGAGTGGACTGAGAGGAAGGTCAAAAGAGGGGAAACTAGAGAGGAATCCCTGGAAACACACGATGCCTCATTTCCTGAGTTCAAGAAATAGCTCTTCCGGCATCTCCTACGTGCAGGCCCCCACGCCAAGTGTGCGGGTGAAGTGATGGATTAAACGGGTGTGATTCTTGCCCTCATGGAACTTCCCCTGTAGTGAGGGAGAGAGAGGAAAGAAATGTACCAAATATTTTCCAAAATTAATAATGGCTGGGCGCAGTGGCTCACACCTGTAATCCCAGCACTTTGGAAGGCGGAGGTGGGAGGATTACTTGAGGCCAGGAGTTTGAGACCAGCCTGGGCAACATAGACCTCGCTAACAATAAAAAATATTGGCCGGGCGTGGTGGCTCATGCCTGTAATCCTAGCACTTTGGGAGGGTGAGGCAGGCGGATTGCCTGAGCTCAGGAGTTCAAGACCAACCTGGGCAACATGGTGAAACCCCACCTCTACTAAAATACAAAAAATTAGCCGGGCTTGGCGGCGTGCGCCTGTAGTCCCAGCTACTTGGGAGGCTGAGGCAGGAGAATTGCTTGAACCCGGGAGGCGGAGGTTGCAGTGAGCTGAGATTGCATTGCTGTACTCTAGCCTGGGTGACAGAGCGAGACTCCGTCTCAAAAAAAAAAAAAAAAAAAAAGCCAGGCATGGTGGTCTGTGTCTGCAGGCTAAGGTGGGAGGATTGCTTGAATCCAGGAGGCAGAGGTTGCAGTGAGCCGAGATTGTGCCACTGCACTCCAGCCTGGGTAAGCGAGACTCTGTGTCAAAAATAAATAAATAAAATAAAATGTTAGCCAGGTGTGGTGTCATGCACCTGTAGTCATGAGTCTCCTGAGGTGGGAAAATCCCTTGAGCCCAGGGGTTCGAGGCTGCAGTGAGCCATGATTGTGCCACTGCACTCGAGCCTGGGTGACATAGCGAGATCCTATTTCTTTTTTGAGACAGAGTCTCAGTCTGTCACCTAGGCTGCAGTGCAGTGGCACGATCTTGGCTCACTGCAACCTCTGCCTCCTGGGTTTGAGAGATTCTCCTGCCCTAGCCTTCCGAGTAGCTGGGATCACAGGCACCTGCCATCATGCCTGGCTAATTTTTGTATTTTTAGTACAGATGGGGTTTCACCATGTTGGCCAGTCTGGTCTCAAACTCCTGACTTCAAGTGATCCTCCTACTTTGACCTCCCAAAGTGCTGGGATTACAGGAGTGAGCTGGGATTACAGGAGTGAGCCACCACACCTGGCAAGACCCTGTCTTAAAACAATAATAATAATAATAATAATAATAATTGCTCTGAAAGAAACCAAGATAAAGAAAAAAAATGTATCTTAAGTTCCGTTCCCTAGAGGCAGTCTGAGATGGCAACTGTTGTGCCAGTGATTTTTTGAGGGGCTGCTCTCAGTGAAAGGAAAGTCAGAGAAGCCAGGTAGTTAATCCTTTAGAGAAGGTTTCAGGTATGAGCCCTAAGTAGCTGATACCTACAGCAGTTGGGGGTGGGTCCACTGGCCTGGTGACAAGGATCTGAGTGGGACATTGACAGTATCTCCTCCCTTGTGGTAAGGGAAGGCCTGAGGAGGTGGCATTGAAGCTGAGACCTGAAGGATGGGAAGGAGAGAAAACCTGAGGCACGTGGTTGATGGACAGAAGGCAGTGCTCTGCATTCCAAGTGGAGGGGGTGGCACCGCACTAGTCCTGATGTGGAAGCAAGCTTGATGTATTCGATATTAAATTTTAAATGAAATTATTTAGGTATTAGACATTACATTTTAAAGGAAATTATTTAATTTAGGTATTAGACATTAAATTTTAAATGAAATTATTTAATTTAGTACATTAAATAATTTACTCTTTATATTTTAATTATTTAAAATGAAATTTAATATTAAAGAAAGCCAGGGTGGCTGGGATTTCTGAACCAAGGGAAGCGTAACCCAACATGAGATCAGAGCATCGCCAGGGACTTGTAAACATCGTGCAGAGCCTGGATTTTATGCTAAGGGCAACGAGAAACCTTTGAAGAGGTTTTAGGCGAGCAGCTGCCGAGATCTAATTTATGTTTCAAGATCATTCTGGCTGCTGTGCAGAAAATAGAGTAGGGTGAGGCAGTCATGCAAACCACAGTGCTAAACACTTCACAGGCATTCACGCAAATCCCACGGTGATCCTCGTTTTCCAAGGGGTAACTGAGACCCAGCGAGGGTAAGCTATCTGCCCAAAGACACACAGCTAACAAGGCAGCAGAACTAGGATTAAAAAAAAAAAAAATTCATTTTTAGAGACAGGATCTCACTCTGTCACCCAGGCTGAAGTGCAGTGGTGGGACCATAGCTCACTGCAGCCTTGAATTCCTGGGCTCAAACCATCCTTCCACCTCAGCCTCCTGAGAAGCCAGGACTACAGGCGAGGCCACCATGCCGTGCTAATTTCATTTACATTTTTTCATAGACACAGGGGTCTCGCTATGTTCCCAGGCTCGTATCAAACTCCTGGGCTCAAGTGATCCTCCTGCCTCAGCCTCCCAAGTAGTTAGGACCACGGCTGTCACCATGCCCGGCTAATTTCATTTTAATGTTTTGTAGAGATGGGGTCTCGCAGAGATAGTTAGGGTTAGGGTTAGGTTAGGGTTAGGGTCTCGCAGCAAGACCCATCTCAACGAAAAATTTAAATGAAATTAGCAGGGCCAATTGGCCTCCTGGATTGCTTAAGCCCAGGATTTTTTGTATTTAAAAGAAATTTAATTTAATGAAATTTAAAGGCAAACAATTTAAAGGTTGGTGTCGAACTCTTGGGCTCAAGCAATCCTGCCTCAACTTCCTAAAGTGCTGAGATTATAGGCTGAGCCACTGCACCTGGCCAGGAGCTGGGAACGGATTGCAGGCCACCGAAGCTGCAGTCTGAGCCCCCACTGTAGGAGCTCACCGCCTCCTTCAGGGTCCGCCTGCTCCCCTTCAAGGCCAGCAACGTTCTGCACAGGGCAAGAGCTCCATAAATGCTCTTTGGGCGGAAAGGTGTGGGAGTGAGAGAATCTGGACAGGAAGGGCCCACAATGGAGTGGGGAAGGCACCGAGGGGAGCAGGCAGGGTCCGAGGAGGAGGGAGTTAGCGGAGGGAGTGCTGGTGGGGTGGTGGTCATGAAAATCAGACGTTCCCAAGCGACACACCCGGACCAGACCGTAGAGAAGATGCTGGACTTGGTGCGTGGGAATCATCAGCGACCCCGGCTAGGGCAGCTTCGGGCAGCGTAGGGAGGAAGCCAGATTGCAACGGATTAAGGAGTGAGGGGGTGGCGAGATTTGCTGTCCTGATTCAGCCGCCGCGGCGGCAGCCCGGGCTGGCTCTCCTCCCACAGGTGCGGGCTCCACATGCGACGGGAACACGTGTGCCCACTCGTGCCACAGGCATGCAGGTGGGTGGAGGGGGCGGCTGGGGAGGACTGAGGCCCGGGAGTGCGGACAGCCGGGGTGCACAGCCTGAAACGGAGAGCAGAGGGCTGTGGGCTGCCGCGGGACCACGCGCACAAGACCCCACGCGTGGGCTCCGCCTGGGGGGAGTGAAACAGAGCGGAAGGGGTTTGCTTGGGTGCTGGGATGCTTCTCTGTGGAGGTGGCAGAGAGAAGGAGGGAGTGAAATGAGAGAGAAAATGGTGAGCTGGGCAAAGAGGCCAGCCCCGTGTGGTTTTTGGAAAGGACATAGTAGGCCTGGCATGGTGGTGCACGCCTGTGATCCCAGTGCTTTGGGAGGCGTAAGCGGGAGGATCGCTTGAGCTCTGGAGTTCGAGGCCAGCCTGGGCAACATTGTGAGACCTTGTCTCTACTAAAAATTAAAAAAAAAAAAAAAAATGAAAAGCTTGCAGTAGAAGTAGTAATGAACAACAGCTGCCATTTATTGAGGGCCTGCTCTGTGCCCAGCGCTGTGCAAAGTAGGCTTAATCGTCCTGAGACTCTCACTCTGATGAAGAACATGTTAATGGTATCATCATCATGTTGTGGATGAGGACACCGAGCCTCAGGTTAAGTGACTTGCCCAAGGAGTGCTAGAATGGAACTTGGGCTGGACAGACCCAAAGCTCCTGCCCCTAACCCCTTTTTGGTGCTTCTGTCTACACCTTCCTGGAAGGGGGTGACACGTGGGGTTTTGAGTTAGTCAGACCTGTGTACCAGCCACTGCCCTGTGACTTTGGGTCATTTCCACCCCAGAGGGTTCAGTTTCCTTTTTTGCAAAGCAGGGATACGGAGAAACTTTGGGAAGGCTGAGGTGAGAAGCATCTAGATAAGGGCAATTCATTCGTTCATCCGTTCATTTGTTCGTTTAGCCACAGGTGTATTGAGCACCTGCTGTGTGCCTGATGCTATGCTATGGGAATCGATAGTCATGAGCTAGATGGGGTCTGTGATTTCATGGAGCTTAAATCCAGGGGAGAGATATGGATAATAAATGAGTAAATAAATTTACTAGGTAATTCTGGATCATAGTAGATGTTACAAAGGAGAAAATGCAGTGTAATGAGAGAGAGCGAGCATGATGGCTGAGGGCCTCTGCAAACTTATCCGCACAGCAAATGGCAGTAGCCAGTATGATGCTCCAATTTCTGCTCCAAACAGAAGGTTCCAGAAACCTTAGCCAAAAGATGCCTGGAATCACTGGGGAACCCAATCAAAAGGTGGATACCTGCGTATTTGGAATAAGACTCCCTGCCTTTCTGTTGGTTGTGTTATCCTTGGTGTGAAGAAACAGAGGCTCAAAGAGGTTAAGCAACCTGCCTGAAGTCACAGAGCTAATAAATGACGGGACCGGGATTTGAACCTGAACAACTGGATTCAGGAACCTGTACACTTCATCAGTAGGCTGCTGGAGAGTGCAGACACTTTTTGTTAAAATGCAAACACCAACCCTGGGAAGAGTAACACACAGGCTCTTTGTTGCTGTTACATGGAATTTCCGTGTATGAGGGCCCTTAGAGATCATTTAGAGGAGCGAAGATCAGAGAGGTGATGTCCCTGCCCAAGGGCACACAGCCAGGCAGCCACAGAGCTGGGTTAGGAGCCTGAGGACAGATGTCTCTAGAGGGTATGGCACTGTCTGTCTCCAGCCCGAAGCTCGTTTCAGGTGGTGCTTGTCAGCTGATCACCCTGGCTCCATCAGCCATGCTGGCACTGCACAGCAGCCGGTCTTTATGGGCACGGACATTTTAATGTCCTTTATTCAGGCAAAACTCATTCCAGAATTTGAGTAACTTTGCATCTGGGGACATGTTTCACCGAGCCCCGAGTGGCTGAGTTGGCTCATGCTGGGTGACAATGACTCACTTTTATTGCCCCGTTGCTTTTGAGCCTGTGCCCGCCACAGATAACCTTGCAGGAGGCTGCAGCTGCCCTGGAGGTAGCAGCTCTCCAATGCTCCCCCTCGCCTAGTTAGCAGCGAAGGTGCTGTGCAGGCTTCCCCTCCTGCCCTTCTCAGCTTCCCCCCTACCCACCTCTCTCTTCTGGTTTCTGCAATCTATCCCCTTGGGGAAGGAAACCTGCCACCATTTGGGCCCAGGATGAGTAATTGGTACTTAGAAGGAAAATAAAGATGCCAAACAGGTCTACACGTTTGTCTGAGTGGCTCTGGTGTTCTTTCAGACCCTGATTCCACATGGCCCGGAGCACCCTGACTTGCTTTCTCAAGCCCCATTTTCCACATTCCTTCCTGGGTTGGAGATGGCCGGGACCGAGAGAGACAAAGCGGACCCCTTAGCATTGAGGCACGAGATGATGAAGCTAAGCCGACAGAAGAAAAGCTGACCCCACAGAAGGTGATGATGTAGCCCAGATATTTAAAGGCAGCTTTGATTTCAGCTGTCCTCTGGGCATCTCATGTGTCACAGCCTCATTTGTTGGGATCCTGGTTCAGACAGTGCAGTTATTACCTACAGTCATTTATTCATTCAACAAACAAGTAATGAGCACCCCAGCTCATTGTTGGAGATGCTGCAGTGGGCAGGACATGCAGGGGGCAGCTGGCATGGAATCTATGGTCCGTGGAGGGAGATAATCCTTGGATGATGATACCAATTGTTACTGAATTACAGTTGGGACAAGTGCTATGCAGAAGGGTGGGGTGTATGTAATCCCCGTCTCCCCCTCCTCCCCGTTGGGAGTCTTCAGGGAGTGCGCCTCCATCCCCACTCTTTTCTGGGCATCTCGTTGACCCTACTTCCTTTTTCTGAATTGGAGTCTCCCTCTGTCACCCAGGCTGGAGTGCAATGGCGTGATCTTGGCTCACTACAGCCTCCACCTCCTGGGCTCGATCGATTCTCCCATCTCAGCCTCTCGAGTAGCTGGGATTACAGGCATGTGCTACCACACCCAGCTAATTTTTGTATTTTTAGTAAAGACGGGGTTTCACTCTGTTGGCCAGCTGGTCTCGAACCCCTGACCTCAGGTGATCCACCTGCCTTGGCCTCCCAAAGTGCTGGGATTACAGGCGTGAGCCACCGCGGCTGGTCGACCTTACTTTCTTTAGACATGTAACAGAGACAAATGGAAATAAGACCACAGAGTGACTTAACCACAGAGCCACTCCCCAGCAGCTCTTATGCCTGGTAAGTAATCACATTTTTCTCCTGCAAGATTGTGTAACTCAGCCAGGTGCGGTGGCTCAGGCCTGTAATCCCAGCACTTTGGGAGTCTGAGGTGGGAGGGTCACCTGAGGTCAGGAGCTCGAGACCAGCCTGGCCTACATGGTGAAACCCCATCTCTACTAAAAATACAAAAATTAGCTGGGTGTGGTGGTGTGCGCCTGTAATCCCAGGTACTTGGGAGGCTGAGGCAGGAGAGTTGCTTGAACCCAGGAGGCAGAGGTTGTAGAGAGCCGAGATTGAGCCACTGCACTCCAGCCTGGGCGACAGAGTGAAACTCCATCTCAAAAACAAACAAACAAACAAACAAACAAACAAAAAAAACAACTGTGTAACTCTACTGGGGATGTGCTTGGTCCTCAAAGTAAAGTGTGAGATGGCTTGAGCTGGAAGTTTCTCTGTCCTTGTTGTAAACTGGTGACTGATGGCATTGGAGTTACCTGTGTTTCTGTCTATCAATCAATCAAATATCTATCTGTCATCTACCTATCTATCTATCCATCCTTCCATCCACCCATTCATCCCTATTTTATCTTTCTACCTCTCCCCTGCCACACACTTAAAAAAAAAATCAAACATTGGGCACATTGGCTCATGCCTGAAATCCCAACACTTTAGGAGGATGAGGCAGGAGAATCACTTGAGGCCAGGAGTTTGAACCAGCCTGAGCAACATAGCGAGGCCCCCATCTCTACGAAAAATTAAAAAAATAGCCAGGCATGGTGGCATGCATCTATAATCCCACCTACTTGGGAGGCTGGAGTGGGAGGATTGCTTGAGGCCAGGAGTTTGAGACCAACCTGGCCAACATGGCCCTGTGTCTACTAGAAAATACAAAAATTAGCTGGGCATGGCTGTGCATGCCTGTGATCCCAGCTACTTGTGTGGCTGAGGCAGAAGAATTGCTTGAACCCGGGAGGCGGAGGTTGCAGTAAGCTGAGATCACGCCAACGCACTCCAGCCTGGGTGACAGAGTGAGACTCTGTCTCAAAGAAAAAAAAAATGCTCTTGATGATAAGATGCACCAATAATTTAAACATGGCCTTTGGTGGTTATGAAAAAGGAAGGGGCTTATCATGGTGGCTCATGCCGGTAATCCTAGCACTTTGGGAGGCTGAGGTGGGAGGATTGCTTGAGCTCAGGAATTTGAAACCAGACTGGGCGATATAGTGAGAACCTGTCTCTACAAAAAATTTAAAAATTAGCTGGATATGGTGGTATGCACCTGTGGTCCCAGCTACTCGGGAACCTGACATGGGAATAATCACACCACTGCACTGCAGCCTGGGTGACAGGGTGAGACCATGTTTCTTAAAATAAAAAAAAAAAAAGAAAGGAAGTCAGATTATATGAAATGTATATACCTGAGGTAGGAAATTTCAGAAACAGGAAAATATGGTAAACTTTGATTTGGAGGTAAGGGGCTGAAATATATGCCTAGACCTGCAAAAATGCAACATGATTAGCAGCAGTATCCCCAAAAGTACAGTAGCTGGGACCTTGTGAAAGCAGGTGTATTGGTTTCCTAGGGCTATGGTAACAAGGTGTGATGAGCTTGGAGGCTTAAAACAACAGAAATGTATGGTCTCACAGTTCTGGAGGCCAGAAGATCAAGGTGTTTGCAGGGCCATGCCTCCTCTGAATCCTCCCTTGCCTCTTTCTAGCTTCCAGTGGTTTCTGCAGCAATCTTTGGTGTTCTTTGGCTTGCAGCTGCAGAACTCCAGTCTCAGCCTCAGGACGTTCTCCCTGTGTGTCTCCTCCTTCAAGTGGCTGCCCCTTATAATAACACTAGTCATACCAGATTAGGGATGCAACTTACGCCACTATGACCTCATATTAACTAATTATATTTGCAGTGACCATAGTTTCCAAATAAGGTCACATTCAGAGGTATTGGGGGTTAGGACTTCCATATATCTTTTTTAGAAAAATTAGATTAAATTAAAAATAAATAGCCAGGCATGGTGATGTGTGTCTATAGTTCTAGCTACTCAGGAGGCTGAGGTGGGAGGGTCTTGCTCTGTTGCCCAGGCTGTTCTTGAACTCCTGGCCTCCAGTGATCCTCCTGCCTTGGCCTCCCTAAGTTCTGGGATTATAGTCATGAGCCACCACATCCCACATGCCTTTCGAATGGAGGTGGGGCAGCGTACACAATTCAGTGCTCATAACAGAAGCTATCTGTTGTCTTCTGTTGTTCCTGTTTATATTTATATCTGTTTCTCTGTCTCTCCTTTCGCATTGCTTCTTTTTTCACATCTCCTCTTTTTGTTTTTTGAGACAGAGTCTAGCTCTGTCACACAGGCTGGAGTGCAGTGGTACAATCTTGCCTCACTGCAACCTCCACCTCCCGGGTTCAAGTGATTCTCCTACCTCAGCCTCCCGAGTAGCTGGGACTACAGGCACCCACCACCACGCCCAGCTAATTTTTCGTATTTTTAGTAGAGACAGGGTTTTACCATATTGGCCAGGCTGGTCTCAAACTCCTGACCTCAGGTGATCCACCCGCCTCGGCCTCCCAAAGTGCTGAGATTACGGGCGTGAGCCACTGTGGCTGGCCTACATCTCCTCTTGCATGAATGTAACACAGACCCAAAATATCTTTTTATTCGCTATTTTGTGAAGTACAGTTTTATCTTAGGCTAAGAAGCCCATTGCGTTATTTTCCTTTTGTTGCTGTGACAAATTAGCACAAACTTAGTGGCTTAAAACAGCACAAGTTCATTGGCCCACAGTTCTGGAGGCTGGAACTCCAAAGTGAGTCTGAAAGGTGTTAGGCAGCTGTGGTGTCCTGTCTTAAAAAAAAAAAAAAAAAGGAGAGAGGCTGATAATTCTGATTCCAAATAACTGAGTGACTTAGAGCAATTTTTATTTAATTTCTGGGAACTTCAGCTCATCTACGAAAGTGAATGGTAGAGATATGTTTTATATTCTTCATAGATATTTTCACCTCATCCTCTCTCTCTCTCTCTCTCTCTCTCTCCATTTCCATCTCCATCCATCCATCTGTCTATTATCATTTTTTTTTTTTTTGGGATGGTGTTTTGCTCTTGTCGCTCAGGCTGTAGTGCAATGGTGTGATCTCGGCTCACTGCAACCTTCACCTTCCGGGTTCAAGCAATTCTCCTGCCTCAGCTTCCTGAGTAGCTGGGACTACAGGCATGTGCCACCACACCCAGCTAATTTTTGTATTTTTAGTAGAGACGGGGTTTCACCATGTTGGCCAGGTTGGTCTCGAACTCCTGACCTCAGGTGATCCGCCCACTTCGGCCTCCCAAATTGCTGGGATTACAGGTGTGAGCCAATGCACCTGGCCCAATCCATCTATTATTGAGAGGTACAGGTGAACAAATTGTTTGGCAGGGAGCTGAGTATAGTGGAAGAATTCAGATGTCAGAGGGGCCTGGTTTTGAATCATGATTCTGCTATTTTATCTTGTGTGACCTTGGGGGGAAGTTACTGAACCTATCTGAGCCTCACTTTACTCATCCATAAAAATGGAGACACTAATAGTACCAGAAGAATTGAATGGAATTTTATGTATATGAAGCACAGAGCCAAGACAGAGTAGCTGCTTTAAAAATGATAGCAACTAGCATTGCTATTATTAAAAGCACTGGACAAGATAAAGTCCATTGCAGATACTTTTTTCCCTTTCAGAGACCTGTTCTCAGGCAGAGCAATGTGGTTTCCTTCCTACTATCCTAAACTCCTTCTCTCCATCAGTTCCCTATTCCTCAGCGCTTGTTCTGTTCCGGAAACTTGGCAGATAGTGTGTGCAGTTATTTTCAGAGGAATGAGTGGGTAAAATCGGCAGCATTTCCCCCGGAGTGTCTGTGCCCAGGGAGCATGAGTTTATGGTGCATCTGCTTTGTGTATAAAAGCCTTGTCCTCCCCCAGCACCACCCCCTTGCCTCAGAGGCAGAGCAAGCAGGGACCTGGCTACCGCCTGCACTCCTCGTTTCCTGCCGGTCAGTGGAGTCTTTGCCGACCAGCCGCATGGTTGGCGGGGTGGTAAACAGCAACAATGGCTTTCCTTCCAGGTGTCTGGCTGGGCAGGGGAAAGTGGTCACTGCTGGAGGGCCAGCAGCTTTGGAGGGACTTGAGAGCAGAGTTCAGAGGATCCTTCACCAGTCTGCAGCCCAGCCTGAGATGATGATGAAAATGATAATGACGGCTGGGCATGTTGGCTCGTGCCTGTAATCCCAGCACTTTGGGAGGCTGAGGCAGGAGGCTCGCTTGAGCCCAAGAGTTCGAGACCAGCCTGGGCAACATAGTGAGACCCTGTCTCTACAAAAAAGAAACAAAATTAGCCAGGTGCGGTGGCGGACATCTGTGGTCCCAGCTACATGGGAGGCTGAGGTGGGAGGATCACTTGAGCCTGGGAGGTCAAAGCTGCAGTGACCCATGATAGTGCCACTGCATTTCAGCCTGGGTGACAGACAGAGTGAGACCTTGTCTCAAAAAATAAAATAAATAAAATAAGAAAGAGATAATGACAACAGTGATAGCTAATAGAATAGTAGCATCTCCTTCTCTCACTGTCCTAGCTCAGGATGCCTGCGTAGGAACCCCTTTACCCCCCTATATAGGGGTGGGCATCTTCCTCACTGCCCTACTTGGTGTTCAGAGGTTGTCTTGGGTCTTATGGTTGTCTGGGGTGGGAGGCGTGTTGTTGTTGAGGGAGGTTATGTGCTCTTGGAGCATCCGTACAATGGTGGGAATGCAGACCTTGACCATGGGGTAGAGCCTCTTCCCTCAATTGAGAAGGAGTGGTTTTCACCAGGAGAGCCTTTGGTGTAGCAGAGACCCGGGGCATGCCAGGAGTTCCTGTCTGCGCTCTCTTGACCTCTCACCTGGCATTTCCTGGGCATTGGTCTCATTTGAGATCTACACTCGGCTCAAGGCGTCTGGTGTTGAATTTCCTCTGTCTCCTCTCCAGCCTCTCCTTTCCACCCTAGTTTTTTCTCCCTCTACACCCCAGTCTTGCTAATGTCTTGTCTCTCGTAGTAGCCTTTATGGCAGATCAAGAGGATCCTCACTGACCATTAACAACAGAGCTAACTAACATATTGTTAGCAATAGAAAGTTCTTTCCTCTTTTCTTTTTCTCTCTCTTTTTTTTTTTCTCGAAATGGAGTTTCGCTCTTGTTGCCCAGGCTGGAGTGCAATGGTGCAATCTCAGCTCACCACAACCTCCGCCTCCTGGGTTCAAGCGATCCTCCTACCTCAGCCTCCCGAATAGCTGGGATTATAGGCATGTGCCATCATGCCCGGCTAATTTTTGGTGTTTTTAGTGGAGATGGGGTTTCTCCATGTTGGTCAGGCTGGTCTCAAACTCCCGACTTCAGGTGACCCACCCACCTCGGCCTCCCAAAGTGATGGGATTCCAGGCATGAGCCACTGCGCCCGGCCAGTTCTTTCCTCTTTTCTTAAGGGCAGGGAGGATTCTATCTTCAGAAAACACAGAACATCTAACTTCTACTTCCTGAACTTTAGAGCTGAGTTTTTAACTAAAAAAAAAAAAATCAGGTTGAATCATTACTTTAACCTGTTTTTTAAAATTTTATTATTATTATTATTCTTAGTCAGGGTCTCATTCTGTCACAGGGGTGTGAACATGGCTCACTGCAGCCTCGACCTCCCAGGCTCAGGTGATCCTCCCACCTCAGCCTTCCAGGTGGCTGGGACTACAGGCAGGCACCACCACGCTTGGCTAATTTTTGTATTTTTTGTAGAGACGAGACCTCGCTGTATTTCCCAGGCTGGTCTCGAACTTTTGGGCTCAAGCGATCCTCCTGCCTCAGCCTCCCAAAGTGCTGGGATTACAGGTGTCAGCCACTGAGCCTGACCTAACCTGTATTTGAATCTACTTCTTCATTTTGCAGGAGAAAAAACTGAAAGCTCAGAAGGGGAAGGAACTTCCCCAAGTTGGCATGTGGTTACTAAACAGTCACATCAAAACTTGAACAGTGGCCACTGGCGCTGAAGCCTGTTGGTTTAGCCACTGGACTATCCCACCTCTTCTGTGATTTTGGGAAAATCCCCCTCTTGGAGCCTGCGTTTGCCCTACTATTCTACGAAGATAAACACTTCTCTTGCAGGATGGCAGTCATAGTGATAGTTGTAGTAATAACGGATGATGGTGGTGGCCAGTGCTTACGTATTCCTATTTATCCCCTATGAAACGTCTTTTATGTCTTGATGCGCAGGCCTCTGAATGGGCACACTGATGACAGGGATTGGAGAGGACGCATGGAATGCAATTATAACAGTGTGTGACACACAGTGGGCTACAAGTGCTGGGTCTTATTATTATTACTGTTATTAGTAGGGACATGAAGTGATTGATGGTGGTCTTGGGGGTCTGAGAGGCCTCATGAAAGCCCTGCCCTCATCAGCAGCAGCTCCCATGTTTTGGAAACTTTTCTAGCATGTTCTCTCCACTTTGGCATTGCATTCTCTTGGCACCTTCCAAAAGATAGGCAGTCCTAGAGAGTTAGGAGAGAGAAATTATTTTTCTCTTTAAAGAATTCTGTTCTTCCTTTGGCTTTCCTCCCGTGTTGGGTAACAGAGTCTCTGAGGGCAGCATGAATCCGGGGTGGGTCCAGTGGATGACTGGTTTCTGCAGTGAAGGACCCTGGTGCTTCTCAATGGAGGAACCAGGGGGAATGGCTCCCCAGGGAGAGAGGAAACAGCCTGTGTGGCCCAGCCGCCTGCTGCAGGTCATGTTCTTGCCTCTGGCTCCTAGCAGTGAGGCCCTGAGCAACACATGTCTTCCCCTGGGAACTGCTGCAGCTTCCCAAAGCATCGGCTGCCTTCTGTAAGGGAGAAATCTGGCATTGGGAAGGCAGCATCTCACTGGTTTCTGAGTGCCAGCTGGCTCCCTGGGACCAGCTACAAAACTGAGTTCTTGTTTCCTTAGGATCAGGTGGGAGGGAATCTGGGCCTCCAGCACCAAGGCAATGGGAATAATAATAGTTATGTGGATGATGACAACAATAACAGCAGCAGCTACCATTTAGTGAGTGTCAGACAATCTGTCGTGGGCTTTGTGTTCATTGTCAGATTTTACCTGTAACAGCCCTACAAGGTGGATGTCATCCCCCCATTTTACAGATAGGGAGACAGAAGCTTAGAGAGCTTCAGGACACTGTGCCCAAGATCACACAGTGCTATGGTTTGGCTGGGTCCCTACCCAAATCTCACCCTGAATTGTAATAATCCCCACGTGTCAAGGGCGAGGCCAGGTGGAGATAATTGAATTATGAGGGCAGTTTCCCCCATACCGTTCTCATGGTATTGAATAAGTCTCATGAGAGGTTTATAAAACTGACGGTTTTATAAATGGGAGTTCCCCGGCACACTCTCTCTTGCCCGCTGCCGTGGAAGAGGTCCCTTTGTTCTTCCCTCCTCTTCTGCCATGATTGTGAGGCCTCCCCAGCCACATGGAAGTGTGAGTCCATCAAAACCCCTTTCCTTTATAAATTACCCAGTCTCAGTATGTCTTTATTAGCAGTATAAAAACAGACTAATATCCATGGCCACTGAGAAACCAAGCGAGGGTTCCAACCCCAGGTCTATTGATGACAGAACCAGGGTTCTCACTGCTACACCACGTGGCTTTAAAGGGTGTGTTGGTCCCAATAGATGGTAGCCATTGAGAGCACGCCACCTGTGTGTGAATCAAGTCTCTGCCACTCTTCTTTTTTTTTTTTTGGAGACAGGGTCTCGCTCTGTTGTGCTGAGTCATCATGGCTCACTGCAGCCTCCACCTCCCTGGCTCAAGTGATCCTCCCACCTCAGCCTACTGGGTAGCGGAACTACTGGTGTATACCACCATACTCAGCTAATTTTTGTATCTTTTGTAAAAATAGGGTTTCATCATGTTGCTCAGGCTGGTCTCAAACTCCTGACCTCAAGCGTTCTTCCCTCCTCAGCTTCCCAAGATGCTGTGATTACAGTCATGAGCCACTGCACCTGGCCTGTCTGGTACTTTCTTGCTGTATGACCTTGGGCAGTTTGCATACCTGAGCTTTAGCATCCTCTTTTGGAAAACAGGGCAATGGTGGTAATAATAGTGCCTCACTCATAACATCAGTATGGAGATTAAATGAGATAACACAATGCTCAATGCCTTGGAATGCAACAGAGTTTCTCAGCCTTGACATTGACATTTTGGGTGACATAATGCCTTATCGTGGGGGCTGTCCTGGCCAGTGTGGGATGTTTAGCAGCAATCTGGCCTCTGGCTGCTAGATGACAGTAGCAGCCTGCCCCCTTCCCCCCAGTGTGAT
The DNA here is from genome assembly GCF_000001405.40 of Homo sapiens. NCBI lineage: Eukaryota > Metazoa > Chordata > Mammalia > Primates > Hominidae > Homo > Homo sapiens. The sequence goes on along the minus strand of NC_000016.10, from coordinate 10,240,807 downwards.
ACACAAAAATGTGATAAACGTCCACAGGGCGTATGTGTGGGGGGATTGCCTCCCTTTGAGAATCAATGACACATAGTAAGTACCCAATCCAGGTTAGGCATTTTAGGATTATTATTCTGACAGGACCTTAAGCTGCCTCAAAACTGGTCTGATGATGGAAGTACTTTGCGGAAGTCTTTAACCATGCTCAAAGCTAGGAGGGCAGCCTCTTAAGGGAATCTGGAGTCGTTCCCTGGCTACGATTGTCTGAAGGGAAAACCATCCCAGACACAGACCTATACTTCCTCCTTGGTGATAATAAGCAGTTTTGTTCCCAGTTCCTTTAGCAGGGACCACTTAAAAGTGCCTGGGGCTTCTGCAGCACCATGACAAGTCATGAGGTCTTTTTAAAAACTAGTTCGAGTTTCCTATCATTTTATTAATCCAGGCAGCAATAACTGAGCACCTCTTGTATGCCAGATCTCGCAATATAAAGATCAACAGAGGCTGGGCGCGGTGGCTCACACCTGTAATCCCAGCACATTGGGAGGCCGAGGCAGGCGGATTACCTGAGGTCAGGAGTTTGAGACCAGCCTGGCCAACATGGCAAAACCCCGTCTCTACTAAAAATACAAAAATTATCCAGGCAAGGTGGTATGTGCCTGTAGTCCCAGCTTGGGAGGCTGAGGCAGGAGGATTGCTTGAACCTGGGAGGCAGAGGTTGTAGTGAGCCAAGACCATGCCATTGCACTCCAGCCTGGGTGACAGAGCAAGACTCTGTCTCAAAAAAAAAAAAAAAAAAAAAGATCAATATGATCAATAGCTAACACTTAGCAGGCCTTTAAAGGGTGCCGGGCTCTGTTCTAAGTTTCTAGCTGTGTCATCTCGGTTCAGCCTCTGTGATAGTTTTACATGTCGACTTGAGTGGATCAGGAGTGTCCAGATATGTGGTAGAACATTATTTCTGACTGAGAGTGTTTCCGGAAGAGATTAGCATTTGAATCAGTAGCCTGAGTGAAGAAGATCCGCCTTCCCCAGTGTGAGTGGGCAGCATCCGATCTGTTGAGAGCTCAAATAGAACCAAAGGTGGAGGGAGGAGGAATTTGCCCCTTCTCATTCCCATCTTCTCCTGCCTCCGGCTGGCATTCACTCTGCTCCTCTGGTTCTCAGGTCGTCCAGTTTGGACTGAATTACAGCACAGGCTTTTCTGAGCCTCCAGCCTGCGGATGGCCGGGAGTGGGACTTATCAGCCTCTGAATTACACGAGCCAATTTCTTCTAGTGCATCTCCTTTTTTACTTTTTTTTTTTTTTTTTTTTGAGGTGGAGTCTCGCTCTGCCGCCCAGGCTGGAGTGCAGTGGCGCGATCTCAGCTCACTGCAACGTCCATCTCCCGGATTCAAGCGATTGTCCTGCTTCTGCCTCTGGAATAGCTGGTGCCCACCACCATACCCGGTGAATTTTTGTATTTTTAGTAGAGATGGGGTTTCACCATGTTGGCCAGGCTGGTCTCAAACTCCTGACCTCAAGTGATCTGCCCACTTCGGGCTTCCAAAGTCCTGGGATTACAGGCATGAGCCACCTCGCCCAGCCCCCTTTTTTACATTTAACCTATGGTTCTCTTTCTCTGGAGAACCCTTATTAATATAGTCACAAAACATCCCGATTTTCTTTTTCTCTTTAGAGACAGGGTCTCACTCTGTCATCCAGGCTAGAGTGCAGTGATGTGAGCGCAGTTCACTGCAACCTTAAATTCCTGGGCCACAAGCAATCCTCTCACATGAGCCTCCTGAGTAGCTGGGACTAAAAGTGCACATCACCATGCCTGGCAATTTTAAAGTATTTTGTAGAGACAGGGTCTCACTATGTTGCCCAGGCTGGTCTCAAACTCCTGGCCTTAAGTGATCCTCTCTCCTCGGCCTCCGAAAGTGCTGGGATTACAGGCGTCAGCCACTGCACCTGGCCAAAACGCCTACATAATATTATCCCCGTTTTACAAATGAGAAAAATGAGGTACAGAAAAGGTAAAGCACTTTGTCTATGAGTACACAGACAGCAAGTGGAGGAACAGAAGTTCACACCCGGGTGGGTCTGGCTCCGGGGCCACTTTAATGATCTGAATTGGACAAGATGTTCTGCTCTTAGGGAGCCCATAGCCTGGAAGAGAAGCCAGAGGATGGTAGCAGAGGGGTGAGGATAAACGTAAGCCAGGTGAACTGTGGGGCCCGAGAGTGGAGGAGAAGCATCTGCGTCAGTGTCGTCAGGGAAAGCATCTTTCAGAGGGCAGGCTGGGAACTCAGCTTTAAAAGTGCAGGTGACAGGTGGGACAGTAGCATTCTGGCTGCAGGGACCAGATATCCAAAGGTCCCAAAGTTGGCTGGCTACGGTGGTGCACGCCCATAATCCCAGCTACTAGGAAGGCTGAGGTTGGAGGATCACTTGAGCCCAAGGGTTCGAGGCGCAGTGAGCTGTGTTCATGCCACTGCACTCTAGCCTGGGCGACAGAGCAATACCTCATCAATTAAAAAAACAAACCTCCCAAAGTCCAGAGCCATAGAGCACCACAATATACGTGTGGTGATCCACAAATGACTGCAGCCAAGAGTGTGAGGCAAGAATTGGGAGATGAAAACCAAGAGGTGCTTCAAGACCGGATCACAAAGGCTACAAAGCATAGGAACTAGAACATCAAAGAAACCCATTGCTTTGCGAAAAAATATCCAGGATGGATTGCGTTGGCAGGACCTGGTTAAAGTAGACGAATAGCAGGTATGCGTTTATTAAGTTGAAAGAGCGAAAAAAGCAAATGCCCTTAGAATTGTTGACCAAAAAACTCAGCACAGATAGAGTTGTCGTGAGCTCCAGGAGACCTGGGCATGAGTGATCTGGCTCGCTGTGTCAGGATTGCTGGATTGCACAGCTCCAGGGAGCACCATCCAGTTTGGGTCAGTGGCACTCTGTGGACCCATGCTGTCCACTACCCCTTTTTGCAAAGACAGACCTGTTCTGTTTGTGCTGTTCGTTACAATAGCCACTGGCCACACGTGGGAATTAAGTACTTGAAATGTAGCTAGTGTGACTGAGGAACAGAATTTTAAAATTTCATTTATTTTTAACTAATTAAAGTTTAAAGATAAATAGCTGCCTGTGCCTAGTGGCTACCATTTGGACAGCACAGCCCTGGAGTCTTGCAGTGCCCTGTCAGTGTGGCTGCGCACTGTGGCATTGACCTATATGCTCCTTGGGCAAATCGCTTGCCTTCCAGAACACTGTTATTTTTCTATGTGTCTTTGAGACTCTGCTACAGTGAAACATGAAACAGAACAAATTAGCAGGCATCTCAGAGATAATTAATGGTTTGAATGATGTGAAAAAGACAAAACCAACCAACCAACAAACCAAACAATAAACAACTCAAATGACCAGTCAGTGAGAAAGTTGGCTTGATATCCATGGAACAAAAAGTCTTGGCTGGGCTGGGTGCAATGGCTCACACCTGTAATCCCAGTACTTTTGTAGGCTGAGGTGAACGGATCACCTAAGGTCAGGAGTACAAGACCAGCCTGTCCAACATGGTGAAACCCCGTCTCTACTAAAAATTACAAAAATTAGCCAGGAATGGTGGTGAGCGCCTGTAATCCCAGCTACTTGGGAGGCTGAGCAGGGAGAATCTGGGAGGCAGAGGTTGCAGTAAGCCAAGATCGCGCCATTGCACTCCAGCCTGGGCAACAGAGTGAGACTCCATCTCAAAAAAAAAAAAAAAAAAAAAAAAGGTCTTGGGTGGGTGGTTTTGAAGGTGGAGTTGGAGGAATCTGTCTCTAACTGAATAAGAGGCCTATGAAGTCATGATTTCCAACTCACTACATGCAAGCGTCTTTCCACTAGGATAGTGACCTCTGGCAAATTGAGTGCATGGCTCAGTTTTTCATTCTTCTCTGTATCCATGATCTTTGACTTGTCCCCTTGCAGCTTCTGCCATTGGAGAGGCAGGATTGCCCCTTAATTTTGGGTTTGATCATGAGATTCACTTTTGCCTATGGGACGGCAGCAGGTTTGATGCCACCAAAAGCTTGAAAAGCACTTGCATGATGGGGCTTGCTGTCTTGTGCCTCTCTCATCACCATGAGAAGAACTTGGATGGGCACCTGCCCACTGGTCCCAGAAGAGGATGGGAAGCAAGTGGAACAAGACACTACACCACCCAGCCCAACTCACCTAGTCCCAGCCTAGCCAGAGATATGCCAGTGAGAGCTCAGCCTAGATTAGCCAGCTCCAGTCAATTACAGACACATGAGCTTTTTCTTTCATCAACTGAGATTTTGTAGTTGTTATGTAGCAGAGGTTAACTGGTACATGGCTGTTAATTTGATTTGAAATGTCATCGTTCTCCTGGAGAATTGAAACTGCGGTATGTAATGGTTTGTATTACCTTGTGTCTGCCCTTTCACACTCTGGTTTCTCTTGATGACATTTACAGGTTAAATATTTCTTTTTGGGCTTTTAAGGCCATTACATACTCATTTTAGAAAGTGATATGGAAAAACAAGAAAATTTAAAAATTATGTATAATATCGACCCCCAGACATAATCACTGTTAACATTTTGCTGCATATTTTTTCTGATATAAACCAAGATAGATACATACCTGTACATGCATATACAAACATTCACACATCTATAAATGGGATCATATTTTATAGAAAGCTGCATTCTGCATTATTTTACTTAGCTCAACATTACAGACATCAGCATTTCCCTACGTCCTTAAATTTCTCCAGGAACGTGATTCTTAGCAGCTTCATATTAATATTCTATGGTATGGCTGTATCATATTTTATTTAAGCATTTCCTACTTTTGGACATTTAAATTCTTTGCAATTTTTCACCATTACAAATGATGCTACAATGTTCATCTTTGTACATGAATCTCAGTGTGCTTCTGTGATTGTTCCCTTAAGCTGTGTTCCTAGAAGTGAAATTCCTTGGTGAAAGGGTTCAAACAATTTTAATAAGGTATTGCCAAAAAAAAACCAAGGCAATTTATCACCCTGCCAGCAGAGTAAGAAAGAGTCTGGTATTTATAATTTTAAAAGGCACATTGGGGACACTTTAAAGTGGATAGATTGGGACTGGGGTCTCTAAGTTTGTGGTTTACACAGGACCATCAACTTGGAACCATGTGAACTCCTTTAAATGTGACATTGAGGGGTGACCCTGAAATGAATCGTAGGACCCCAGCGTTCTTTTTTTTTTTTTTCCTCGAGACAAAGTCTTGCTCTTTTGCCCAGGCTGGAGTGCAGTGGCATGATTTTGGCTCACTGCAACCTCCTCCTCCCGGGTTCAAGAGATTATCCTGCCTCAGCTTCCTGAGTAGCTGGGATTACAGGTGTGAACCAACATGCCTGGCAAATTTTTGTATTTTTAGTAGAAATGGGGTTTCACCATGTTGGCCAGCCTGGTCTTGAACTCCTGACCTCGTGATTTGCCCGCCTCAGCCTCCCAAAGTGCTGGGATTATAGACATCAGCCACCGTGCCCAGTCAACCCCAATGTTCTTGACCTGCCCAGTCACTTCTAGCTGTGTGATTTCTGGCTAAAGCTTGAGTAGTGCTGTTTAGAGAAGGTAGACACAATCTGATTTTTAAAGTTAAGGAGTATGGCCCGGGAGATCTCTATGGACAGTTCCTGCCTCTGTTAAACATCCCAGTCACCTCAGAGCAAACTCTAGATCCATTCCTTTGTAACCTTGAGACTTTACCAATCCCCATATTTTCTCTGAGCACAGGGTTCGTTATCAGTAAAATGGGAGCAAAGCTATGATTTAAACTGGCAAATTATCTAGCAAACCCAGTCATTTCCGAACGGGTTTTTTGACTCTTGCATATCCCAGATGGAATTTTCATGGGGCTGTGAAAAACAATGATGTAGGCTACTATGAATGGAGAGACGTTTGTCTGTAAAGTCTTGTTCTGTACTATGACACAGGTTTGACTTTTCCTAAGAGCTAAACACCCTTTTAAAGAGAAGTGTGGAATTTTGCTTCTGATAATGGCCAAGTAGGTGCCTATTGGGGTGACCTTCCCTCAGATAACAAATATAATCCCTGAACAAAAAAATAAAAAAAACTCAGTTACCTAAAGGATGGGTGGTGGTGGCTAAAACTCCAACAGAAAACCTGCACTCCATCTGGCTGAACAGCCAGAGGACATAGTTGCAGACATCTGTTCTCATGGGAAAGGGAACTGGAGATGGCAAGGTTTAACTCTGTGTATAAAGTCTGCCCCAATCTCTGGGTGACCTCTGAAGTATCTGTGCACCAGGCAAACCGTAAGCAGCCCAGATAAAGCTAAAAGAGATGGTCTGAGAACTAAGCTGCTGCCCCACTGGTAGAGTTGCAGTTTGAGTCCAACCAAGTTAATTGCCTCCAAAAACAAATTAAAAAATCAACACTCTTGGGAGAAATAGCACAGAATCTGGAGTCTCTACAATGTAATATTCACAATATCTAGGATACAATCTACTCTAAATGCAAACAAATGGGAAATTTTGGCCCATTCTTGAGCAAAAAGACAATGAATGGAAGCTGACTCCAAGGTGACCCAGACGTTTTTTTTTGTTTTTTTTTTTTGTTTTTTTTTTTGAGATAGAGTTTCGCTCTTTTGCCCAGGCTGGAGTGCAGTGGTGTGATCTTGGCTCACTGCAACCTCCACCTCCTGGGTTCAAGCGATTCTCCTCCCTCAGCCTCCTGAGTAGCTGGAATTATAGGCACCTGCCACCATGCCTAGCTAATTTTTAAGTTTTTAGTAGAGATGGGGTTTTGCCACATTGGCTAGGCTTGTCTCCAACTCCTGACCTCAGGTGATCCACCTGCCTCAGCCTCCCAAAATGCTGGAATTAGAGGCATGAGCCACTACACCTTGCCTAGGCAAGAATTTTTAAAGCAGCTATTCTAACAATGTTCAGTGATGTAAAGGCAACTCTGCTCACAATAAATGAAAAGATAAGAAATTTCAGCCTCAAATAGAACAATAAGAAAGAAACAATGGGAACTTCTAGGTCTAGAACATACGATGTCTAAAATGAAACATTCACTGGAGGGGGTTGATTGCAGAATAAAGATGACAAAGGAATGAATCATGAATTTGAAGATGTCAATAGTATTTTTTGAAATATTCATTGATGTACTTTCTCCTTATTTTCCTTTTTTTTCTCCATGCTCCCTTTAGTCCCAATCTAAGCATTTGGCTGGGCTCATTGCATGAGGGAGGAGATGGGACTATACAAAAAAAAACAAAAAACAGAATAAAGTCTGCAAGTGCATGTCTTTAGTGTCCCAAAGTCTAAGTCCTTAGAAGAATTAAAAAGATTCGGAATTCCATAATGTTTAGAATTAGAATTACAGTTTGAGAAGAGTGAGGCTTTTCCCTAGATTGAGGGGAAAGGAGAGAAAGGAGGGAAAAGGGAGTTGAGCAGAAACATCAGTGCCTCCTGGAGAAAGACCATGCTATGCAGAGCTCTGGAGGGTCTTGCACTGCCACATAGATGCTGCAGGCAGGAGTGACACGGATCACTCTGCTCACAGCTCACTGAACAGAACTAGTCACATGGCCCCACTTAACTGCACAGGGCCCAGGGAATGGTATCCCATCATGAGCCTAGAAAACTGAAAATATTGGTAAGCAGTGCTGGTGATTACCGTGGTATGTATCTTTGGGACTCAAATCTTCTCCCACTGGAATGATCACAAATGCCTCCTGTATGGACTGAATGTGTACCCTGCTAATTCATATCTTGATGCTCCAACTCACAGTGTGATGGGAGATAGGGCCTTTGGGAGTTAATTAGGGTTGGATGAGGTCATGAGGGTGGGGCCCCTATGATGAGATTAGTGCCCTTGTAAGAACAGACATGTGAAAGCTTACTCCCTCTCTGCCATGTGAGGTCCCAGTGAGAAGGTGGTTATCTATAAACCAGGAAGCAGGCCCTCACTGGAAACCAACCATGCTGCACCTTGATCTTGGACTTCCAGCCTCCAGAACTGCAAGAAAACAGGTTTATGTTGTTTAAGCTGCCCAGGCTATGGTATTTTGTCAGGGCAGCCCGAGCTGACTAATAAACCTCTCCCAGGGTCTTCCTGCCCAGAGTCTCCTGAATTTTAAGCATCCTTCATCCAATCATCCTTCTCCAGAAAGCCATTATCATGGGAACAAACTAGGTAGTCTCAAGCAAGACAGCTTCACCTAACTCATTTGGTTTTCTTTTTGGATCTCTTTTGGGGTGAGCATGCTTCCTGGTCTGCTGGTCCAGACCCACAGTGGTCCTGAACTCTTTTTTTTTTTTTTTTTTTTTTTTTTTTTTGTGACAGGTTCTTGCTCTGTCACCCAGGCTGGAGTGCAGTGGCACAATCTCGGCTCACTACAAGCTCTGCCTCCCAGGTTCACACCATTCTCCTGCCTCAGCCTCCCCAGTAGCTGGGACTGCAGGTGCCCACCACCACACCTGGCTAATTTTTGTTGTATTTTTAGTAGAGACACGGTTTCACCATGTTAGCCAGGATGGTCTCAATCTCCTGACCTCGTGATCCGCCCGCCTCGGCCTCCCAAAGTGCTGGGATTACAGGCGTGAGCCACCGCGCCCAGCCAGTCCTCAACTCATCATAGGAAACAATTGTTCACTCTTTCTTTATCTTTTGCCTTCTTGGCATGTGGGAGGTTTCTTCCCTTGGGCAGCTACAGAGATTATTCTTCTCTTATCTCAGGAAACCCTGGAAAAAGCAAACCTACTCCTTCCTTCATCACTCAAGGAATGCAGGTGCAGAGGAGAGTTGTGGGGACCTGTCAAGTTGGCAGGGAAAACAGGGATAATGGAAAGCTGCATCCAAGTGTCCCATCTCCTTGCCTCTCCTACTCATCTCATGCCTTTTCTGTCCATGCACATTGTTCTCTTAGCATACCAAACAATTTGTGACTTTCCAAGGGCACCAGTATTTTCTGCCTTGAACTCTGCTGGGAGACAGGGCCTTTGGGAGTCAATTTGAGTTAGATGAGGTCATGAGGGTGGGGCCCCCATGATGAGATTAGTGCCCTTATAAGGAGAGACATGTGGCCAGGTGAGGTGTCTCATGCCTGTAATCCCAGCACTTTGGGAGACCATGGCAGGCGGATCACTTGAGGTCAGGAGTTTGAGACCAGTCTGATCAACATGTTGAAACCCTGTCTCTACTAAAAATATAAAATTAGCCAGGCGTGGTGGCACAATCCTATAATCCCAGCTACTTGGGAGGCTGACTCAGGAGAATCACTTGAACCTGGGAGGTGGAGGTTGTGGTGAGCCAAGATCGGGCCGTTGCACTCCAGCCTGGGCAACAAGAGCGAAACTGTCAAAAAAAAAAAAAAAAAAAAACATTGAGAGCTTGCTCCCTCTCTGCCGTGTGAGGTCCCCCTGGTGAGAAAGTGGTTATCTATAAACCAGGAAGGGGGCCCTTGTCAGAACCCAGCCATGCTGCACCTTGATCTTGGACTGCCAGTCTCCAGAACTGTGCAAAAATGCATTGTTTGGAAGGCGGAGGCAGGTGGATCACTTGAGGTCAGGAGTTTGAGACCAGCCTGGCCAACATGGCGAAACCCTGTCTCTACTAAAAATATGAAAATTAGCTGGGTGTGGTGGCGCATGCCTGTAATCCTAGCTACTGAGGAGGCTGAGGCATGCCCTTCTCCTCTGTCTTCTGTTTCTTCCATGAATAAATCTGTCCACAGATTTATTCACCAACAAATATTTACTGAGCCCCTACTGAGTGTTAGGCACCCACACTAGGCGCAGAGGATACAGTGGTGAAGAGGACAGACATAGTCCCTGCCCTCATGGAGCTTACAGGCTAGTGGGGGAAACCCAAAGAGTGGGTGCTAAGAATGACTAACATAGGATGCTTACAGAGAGATCAGCAAGGAGAATATTATTTGAATGACAGTGGGTCTGGGAATGCTTGACCTGAGTAAGTGGCATTTAAGCTGAAAACTGAAGTGTGGGCAGAAATGAGCCAGGTGAAGAATGAAGTGTTTTACAGAGAGAGAGAGAGAGAGAGAGAGAGAGGAAACATCATCTACAAAATCAGAGCATCCAGAGTCATAAGGAGCCTAGAGCTGTTGAGAAACAGTAAAGGCACCCTAAACAAGAGGAAGGCCACCCTGTCAAGGCTCAGCTCAAATATCCTCTCTTCTGTGGAACCTTCTCTGCCACCTCTGGGCTCTCACAGCCTTTGGTACACCCTTGCCTGATGCATACTTATGTCAACATCACTTGTTTGTGTCATCCAAATACCTGTTGGAGATCCCTTGTCTCTCAGGGGCTCATCGGGTCACTCTAGAAATGTTTGTTGAGTACCAACTATATGCCAGATTCTGTAGACACTTTGGTAAGTAGAATAAGGCTCCCACCTTCATGGGGCTTATGTTCTTGAAGCAGGGAGACAAAAAACACCTGAATGCATGAATCAACAGTTCAAGTTCAGGGGATGATAAGTGTTATGAAGAAACTGATGCAGGATCGTGTGATATAAATTGAGGCAGGGACTCGGTGTAGTGGCTCATGCCTATAATCCCAGCATTTTGGGAGGCTGAGGCAGGCAGATCACTTGAGGCCAGGAGTTTGAGACCAGCCTGGCCAACATGGCGAAACCCTATCTCTACTGAAAATAGAAAAGTTAGCCAAGCATGGTGGCACACGCCTGTAACCCCAGCTACTCGGGAGGCTGAGGCATGAGTATTGCTTGAACATGGGAGGTGGAGGTTGCAGTGAGCTGAGATCATGCCACTGTCCTCCTGCCTAGGTGACAGAGCAAGACTCTGTCTCAAAAATAAATAAATAAATAAATCGAGGCAGGTGCTAAAATTCACAGTGGTAAGGAAAGACTCGAGTGAGGAGATGATATTTGAGCTGCATAATGAGAAGGACCCCACCCTGTGAATATTGTGGTGGGGGTGAGAGAGTGGTCTAAGCAGAGCAAACAGCCAGTGCAAAGGCCCTGGGGTCAGAAAAAGATGGGTGTGTTCAGAAGATCAGAAAGACAGATCTTACAGAGTCCATGAAGGTGGGGTAAGAACTCTGGATTTTGTTCTAAATGCAATGGGAAGCTATTGGAGGATTTTATTTTATTTTATTTTATTTATTTATTTTGAGACAGAGTTTTGCTCTTGTCACCCAGGCTGGAGTGCAATGGCGCGATCTCGGCTCACTGCCTCCACCTCCCTGGTTGAAGCGATTCTCTTGCCTTAGCCTTCCAACTAGCTGAGATTACAGGTGTGCACCACCATGCCTGGCTAATTTTGTATTTTTTATAGAGACGGGGTTTCACCGTGTTGGCCAGGCTGGTCTCAAACTCCTGACCTCAGGTGATCCACCCTCCTTGGCCTCCCAAAGTGCTGGGATTACGGGCGTGAGCCACCACGCCTGGCTTTGAAGCTATTGGAGGATTTTAGAGGCACAAAATGACCTGGCCTCAAGAACTGAATACATTTAGGTGTCAAGACCTAGTTGCATTTTAAAGGCTCACTCTGGCTGCTGGTGGGGAGTCCGTAGTGTGGGAGGGGGCAGGCATAGAAGCAGGACACCATGTAGGAGGCTGCTGTAGTCTTCCTGGTGGGCGTGGGTGGCAGCTTGCAAACTGGCCTCAAATGCCCCTGATTCTCTATGGCTTGACATAGTCCAAATCCCTCCTTAAGATTTCTCAAGAGGACAGTTCCTAACCGTGTCTTCCATCTCCAGCCCCTGTGCCTGCATGCTGTTCACCACCTCACTGAAGATGAGAGGTTTCACATCACACCACACATGTCGTGGCCTCCCCTCCAGGTCCTGGCACTCCCCTTCCTGTTCTGCTCTGGGGAACAAACAAAGCCCTCTCATTTTCACACACAGAGCAGTTTCCTCCTTTTTCCTTGAAGTCTTGGCACCAGCAGCATTCATGCCCTTAGGGAATCAATTTTGTCCTCACTGAACTTGTTAAAACATCCTTCCAAACAAATACAGCACTTTCCCCAAAAGGACTGTATTTGTTTATCTGGCAAATGAAGCATTATCTGATTTGTGGCACATCAGCCTCTCCAGATAGCTGGAGAGCTCCCCGAGGGCAGGGCTGTGTATGGATAATAACAATGTCTGTGCCCCAGGTCAAGTTTTTCCAGAATCAGGCCCTGAGATGACGGTTCATCGGCAAGTGATTTATTAGGAAAGTGCTTCCAAGAGAAACTGACAAAAAGATCAGAATGGGCAGTAGCCAAGCAAGGGTGAGATTTCAGATCAAGTTCAGCCTCAGCCTGATTCTGCAGGATGCTCTGGGAGGGGGGTGGGTACCTGACACCTTAGAGTTTGTGCCACCTTGAGTCCAGGAGAAGCTGGGCTTTCCATCCCGCCTCTATGAGTCAGTGGTTAAAGACTACCCTGGCAGTGATGTAAATTCCCAGATATGAGTGGCGGAGCTTCCATAGCCCAAAGTCAGTCTTCAGAGAAAGGCAGCAGGTGTACAGAGTTGGGCACAAAGAACTCGCCAGAATAGTGCAGAGCCCACCTTATCCTCTCCAGTAAATATCCCCAGTTCCCAGAACGACTGATGCAAGGTGTGTGCTCAATGGTGTTTGTTGAATGAATCGGTGAATTTAGTGTCCAAGGCTACATACGGCCTATTATGGATTACAGTGAGTGTGAAGAGACTAGAAAGTCAGAAAACTCTTCCTGTAGAAAGCTCTTCTAAGCTTCAGGATCAGGATGCAGACAAGCAGGGCTTGGATTCCCAGGGATGATAGCTTACTGTTTCTGGGACAATACCCCTGGGACAAGACCCTGGTGGGGTCCCAGAGGTCATTGTGATGGTTAGCCATGTCCTATTCTCTGAGCATGTCCCAGTAGCAATCATGATGTTTGTGCAGTGTTTTGACATTGACAAGTTGCTTTTACATTTAATTTTCCCATGGGGCCCTTAAAACATGTTCATGTTTTTGGAGATGAGAAAACTGGGGCTCAGGGGAATGAACTCATTAAGTTTCATCTAGTGGAGGAGTAAGAATTGGGACTTGAATTTGTCCCTAAAAGTGGTTGATATTGACTAGGTTCCTAAGGATGCTTAAGATGATTATTTAATGCAGTTGCTCTTTGCTTCTTTGAGAGAGAGACTGCAAACCGTGGGCCCACATGCCAATTCCAGTTATCAGATGTGTTCTTGGTAGCACAGTAATATTTTTTCATTTCACAGATGTTTCACCATTGAATGATTTCATACGACTATCTGGATTTCTGGCTTCTCTTGAAAACTGAACATCTGGTTTCACCTTCCCTCCTGGCTGGGATTGTGGCTGCCATCCCATTTTAGATGGGTCACCCTTTCTCCGGTTTTCAACATTCCCCATCACTGCGTATAGCTGTACTGTTCAATAAGGTAACCACTAGCCATATGGGGCTATTGAGTCTTGAAATGTGGCTAGTCCAAATTGAGGTGGCTATTAGGGATAAGGGAATCTGGGAGGTATTTTTCTCCTTCTATTAGAAAATTCTTATGAGGTTCACATTGGATTTCTGTTGGACCCTAGTGGCTCATAGTCTTCACATCAAGCCAGCTTCTTGCATTTCTGCTCCCTGCCTGACCCTGTAGGCATAGGAGTTTGGAACCTCTGATGAATGGGAAGGAAGTGTGACCTGCAGTCAGGACGCCAAAGTTCAACTGCTGGCTCTGACACTTACTGTGTGACTTTGGGAGAGTTACCTCCCTCTCTGTGCTTGGTCTCTTCAATTGTACAATGAAGACTTTGGACTGAATTTCTAATTTTCTGCAATGGAAATACAATGGAAGACTTTGGACTTAATTTCCAACTTTCTACAATGGAAAGAAACTTCGCCTCCCACACACCTCTGAATTTACCCTCTTGTGGTGGAGCTCTGCTGCTGTCAGCTTTGATCTGAGCCTCCCCAGCTGGGCACCCCCTCCTCTTGCCCTGATTCTTTACACTCCAGCTGCTTCTATATCTCTGGGGAGCCCTGTCTCCATCAGGGGCCTCCCTCCTCATTCCACAGGGGGCTGCATGCTGGATCGTTCTGCTTGGCTTGCTGTTTACAAAACGAGAGGTTGACCATGTTTCCCTTTGCTTTTTCATTAATATCTGCAATTTGCCCTCATTTAATTCACATATTTTAGCTATTAGTTTCCTCACCTTCCGCAATTATTTTCATGCACCCTTGGGCTTGTAAACCATTGTTCCAAGTGGTGTGTTGCCTATTTTAAGAACTTAATTTGTTTATAATGTGCACATCAGCTGCATGATTTGTTTCTTGCTGGTAATTAACTTTTAAGCTGATGCCATTCCCCCGCCAAAAGTGAAACTCAAGGTAAAGTTGGTAAGATTAATCATGCTGGCTGCATCCAAATCTTCCGACATCTTCATCAGACTCAGCAAGTTTGGGGAAAATGATATTTTTTTCTTCTACTTCCATCTGTTACCCTGCCGATCTTGGAGCCAATCCATCCATTAGTGGGCTTGAGTGTTGGAGTTGGAATCTGAGACTTTTCAGTTTCTGTACCAAGACGAGCAAACTTTTCCTCCAAACCCTCACCCTGCAACTTGAACCCATCTCTTCCTTCCTGGGAGGGTCCCTGGATACTGATGAATCATGAAATGGTTGTATAATACCTCCCAGATTCCCTTAGCGCTATTGTGGAGTTAGTTGCTGGTTTCCACAGTCTTTTGCAATCAGACAGATCAGCAATGTCTTGGATTGATAATCTCCATTGGTGAGGTGGGGATGTTTGGGTTGTAAATAGCTAACTTTATTAATCTTTCTATTTAATGATTCTGTCTGTAGGTCATGGGTGAAATTGAAATTCCAGACCGCCCTTCTTCGTGGCAAACCTTTAGAAATTAGATTGTACTAGGTCAGTGCTTCTGAAACCTGAATGTGAACCCCTGGGTGAGATTATGATTCAGTTGGTCTAAGGTGGGACCCACAAATCTGCATTTTGACACGTGCCAAGAAGAGGCCAGTGCTGCTAGTCCGGGACCATACTCTGAAAGGTAGGCATTAGCCAGCCAGCTTCGTAAAGACTGGAATGATATCAGTCTTGTTTCTTTTTTTTTTTTTTCTTTTTGAGACAGAGTCTCATTCTGTCACCCAGGCTGGAGTGCAGTGGTGAGATCTCGGCTCAGTTCACTGCAACCTCCGCCTCCTGGGTCCAAGTGATTATCCTGCCTCAGCCTCCTGAGTAGCTGGGATTACAGGCATGCACCACCATGCGCGGCTAATTTTTTTTTTTTTTTTTTAATTTTTAGTAGAGATGGGATTTCTGCATGTTGGTCGGGCTAGTCTCGAACTCCTGACCCCGTGATCCTCCCACCTCGCTCTCCCAAAGTGCTGGGACCACAGGCATGAGCCACCGCACTAGGCCTTAGTCTTGTTTCTTATTGGCATGTGGACACCGGCAACTATTTGGAGACTGAATGAGTGAATGACTGAATGAGCTGCACTCAGGAATGTAGATAACGCTCTCCCAGATCGATCTTATTAGAGTGAGATGCCTTCCTTCTTATTCTCACGCTAGCAAAAAAAAAAAAAAAAAAAAAAAAAAAAAAGTAGTAATTTTATATTTTTCCAAATTTAGGAAGGGCTAAATGTCATACGCTGATTTATCTCCTCCATAGATATGATATTTATGTGTGTGTGCACACACATATGTTTGGCTTTTGGAAGTGAATTTATAGTAACAGAATGCTCTTCACCATGGATCTCTTTCTAACTATAGCCTGCCGCCTTCATCCGAAAGGGCCCGCTTCCAGAGAGCCCTGCAAATGGAGAAATCCTTGTTCCTGTTTTTAAAATTCTTCAGAGAGCTGCCTGGTTTTCCCTCTAAGGCCCTGTTTTTTTCCAGTGTTGTTTCCAGATTTCTGATCTCATCAATGGAGGAGCTTCAAATAAGTGCTGACTTCCTGTAACACTTCTCTTGAACACCTTGAAGCTTCTATCATTCTTCAGCTACCATGAATGGGTTGTCAATTTTTCATGAGGCCAAGATGGTAAATGCACACACAAACACACACATGTGCGTGCACACACCCACACGCGCACACACACACACACACACACACAGAGTATTTTTGAGACTAGAAGGTCAGTACATATGACCGGGATACTCATTTAAAGAGATAGAGGGGCAGAATATTTTAAATTGGATCCTTTCCCTAATATAGCTGTTTTCACATTTACACGGAATTTCGTGTTCTGTTACTGCAGGAGGTCCTCCAGACTGTTTCAGCTTCAGGGTCCTCCCAAACCTCTTCCTCCAAGACAGGCTGTGAATTTTCCTGGGTGTCCCCACCAAGTCCCCTGGACTACTGTGGATTTCTGGAGTTTCCTGCCCAGCCCCACCTGTGGGTTGTGGGAGGAAGCTGAAAGGAGAAAATGAGAGCTCCGAGGGTGTCATTTGCCCAAGGCTTTGTGGATAAGAAGTGGTGGAGGCCTGGCGCGGTGGCTCACGCCTGTAATCCCAGCACTTCGGAAGGCTGAGGCGGGCGGATCACAGGGTCAGGAGATCGAGACCATCCTGGCTCATACGGTGAAACCCCGTTTCTACTAAAAATACAAAAAATTAGCCAGTTGCGGTGGCGGGCGCCTGTAGTCCCAGCTACTCCGGAGGCTGAGGCAGGAGGATGGCATGAACCCGGGAGGCGGAGCTTGCAGTGAGATGAGATCGCGCCACCGCACTCCAGCCTGGGTGAAAGAGCAAGACTCTGTCTCAAAAAAAAAAAAAAAAAAGAAGTGGTGGAGACACCCCGCGAACTCTGACCGAGGGCTGACAGTCTTAACTATTATGCTCCACTGTTGTGCACCTCAAACTGAAAGTGCCCAGGAGTCTCCTGGGACCTTGTACAAATGCAGATTCTGATTCGTTAGGTCTGAGGTGGAGCCTGAGATTCTGCAGTTCCAACAAGCTCCCAGGCGATGCCGATGCTGTCCACCTGTCACCCACACTCTGAGAACTATTCATCTAGAGGGTCACGCCCCTGACTGCATTGAAATCACTGAGGATCTTTTAAAAACTGCCACCTTGGCTGCACCTCCAGAAATCTGATTGAATTGCAGCAGCCTGGGCATCATGAAGTTTGTTTTAAAAAAAATTCTTTTCTTTTTCTTTTTTCTTTCTTTCTTTTTCATTTTTTTTTTTTTTTTTTTTTTTTGAGACAGAGTCTCGCTCTGTTGCTCAGGCTGGAGTGCAGTGGCATGATCTTGGTTCACCGCAACTTCTACTTCCCGGGTTCAAGCAATTCTCCTGCCTCAGCCTCCCGAGTAGCTGGGATTACAGGTGCACGCCACCACGCCCAGCTAATTTTTGTATTTTTAATAGAGACGGGGTTTTGCCATGTTGGTCAGGTTGGTCTTGAACTCCTGACCTCAGGTGATCTACCCGCCTTGGCGTCCCAAAGTATGGGATTACAGACGTGAGCCACCATGTCCAGGCAAAAAAATTTTCATTTTAAAAATAGAGATGGGGTCTTGCTATGTTGCCCAGGCTGGTCTTGAACTCCTGGGCTTAAGTGATGCTCCCATCTTGACCTCCCAAAGTGCTCGAATCACAGGCATGAGTCACTGTGCTTGGCCTGATCATGAGTTTGAAAAATTCCCTGGGTGGATCCAGGTGCTAGCTGGGCTGAGAACCACTGTTCTAGGGCTCTTGTTGAGACCTCATCTGTTTCAGGACCCCCTGAGATTCCTGCCCATCTGTTCTCCTGCAGAATAGTCCAACCTCCACCTCTGGCATAGGGGAGACCAGACTGGGATGGACTTGGGGTCTCCCTTGACCCTCTGTCCTGTCCTGAGCTAGTTTGTTGGACCAGAGATGCTCTGGGTACCGCACCAGTTGGAGTAGGCAGGTGCAAGGCTACATCTGGCAGGGTACAGCACAAGGAGAGGAACAAGGTCTCCTCTGGGGGTCCAGGAGACACTTCCAAGCTGCTCTTTGCTGAAATGTTCAGCTGCTAAGCTGAAAATAACTTCGGCATTGCTGAGGAGGCTACCTGGGATTCCCCTCCTGCCAGGAGGAGGGGAAGTAGGGGCCCTGGAATCCCAGGGAAGCTGATACCACCAGTCTGGGCTGTGTCACCAAGTCCCGGAGTACTGAGTGTCTGCCACCAGCTGTGCAAGAAAAGGGGTAGAGGACAGACCTAGTGACTCTCAGCCCCTTCACGATCCACAGTGATGAAGCTTGTCTAGCCCAGCTGTGCTTCAGTGATGTAGGGCTTTACTGGAGATGCTTCAGAGGGTGCATTATTTTCCTCCAGCTGTTGTAACAAAGGACCACAAACTGAGTGGGTAAAAACAACACAGATTTATTATCTTCCAGTTCTGGGGATCAGGAGTCCGGCACAGGTCTTAGTGGGCTGAAACCAAGGAATTCTTTTCTGGAGACTTTGAAGGAGAATCCATTTTCTTGTCCTCTTCAGCTTTTACAGGCTGCCTGTATCCTTGGCTCGGGGCCCCTTCTTCCATCTGCAATTCTAGCAACAGTGGTGTGAGGTTTTCTCACATTACATCACTCTTCTGCCTCCCGCTTCCACTTTTTTTTTTCTGTTAACTTCTCATTCCATAAATATTTGTTAGACATCTACGTGGCGTCAGGCACTGTTGTAGGCACTTTGGATCCAGCATGAGTGAAACAGACAAAATCCCAACTTTTATGGAGTATTTTCCAGGGAAGAGGACAATAGAAACAAGCCATATGTCGATATGTTGCCGGGCACCATGGCATGTGCCTGTGGTCACAGCTACTGGGGATACTGAGGCCGGAGGACTGCTAGAGCCCAGGAGTTCTGAGCTGCAATGCACTGTGTCTATTGGGTGTCCGCACTAAGTTCGGCATCAGTATGGTGACCTCCTGGGAGCAGGGGACCACCAGGTTGCCTAAGGAGAGGTGAACTGGTCCAGGTTGGAAATGGAGCAGGTCAAAACTCCCATGCTGATCAGCAGTGGGATCACGCCTGTGAATAGCCACTGCACTCCAGCCTGGGCAACACAGTGAGACACTGCCTCTAAAAAACTAAAAAACAAAACTTAAGTGTACATATTATAAAATATATTAGAAGATGAGTTCTATGGAGGAGAAAATGTAGGGAAAGTGGATAGGGAATACTAAGCCACTCTCTTCCACTTTTAACAACCTCTTCTGATTAGATTAAGCCCACCCAGATAATCTTATTTTAAGGTTAGCTGATTAACAGCCTTAATTTCCTCTGAAGACATAATTCCCCTTTGCCAGGTAACGGAACATGTTCACAAGGTTGTGGGATCAGGACACGATGTCTCTGATGGAGTTGTAATTCTGCCCAATTCACGGATTTCGGGGTGAATCTGAGTCTGAGACTCCGGTTGTCCCATCCTTTCTGAACCCTGACTTTAATCAGAGCAGTTTTGTTAAGTATCTGTTTCCATGCAATATTTCCTTTGTAGAAAGTATTGCAAAGCTAACAAAAGCTTTTCAACCAATGGTCTAGTCCCTTTTCCTGGACCAGCAGCAAGAGAACCTGGCAGCTTGCTAGAAATGTCCAATCTCTGCCTGAGCCAGGGTCTACATCTTAGCACAGACCAGGATGATCTGTGCCTACAGTGAAGTTTGAGAAGGACCTGGGAGGAGAGGGGGTAGTTTCCTGCCACCATGGCTGTTCGTTGAAACCACAGAGAGCTTTGAAAATATATTGAAGCCTGGGTCCTACCGAAGATTCATTGGCCTGGGGGTGCCAGCTGGGTGCTGGAGTTTTTTAGATCTCCTGGATGATTTTAATGTGCAGTAGAGTTTGAGAACAGCTCGTCTGGTCTATCCTCCCAGAAGAGGAAACTTCACAGGGAGTGAAAATGACTTGGCCAGGGTCACACAGAGGGTTGCTGGCCATCCTGGGAGAGGATTCAGGTCTCTTGACTTTCTGGATTGAGGACTTTTGCTCCTACCAAGAAAATAAAAACAATAGCAACAACAACAATTTGGGTGGAGAGACAGGAGAGAGGAAGAGGCTTTTCCCCTGTCTTTATTCTTCCTTAAAGTTTGAATTGTTTTTAATGTCAAGCATGTTGTAATTTTAACACATAAAAAATATTAAGGACTGGTTGATATGGTTTGGCTCTGTGTCCCTGCTCAAATCTCATGTCAAATTGTAATCCCCAGCGTTGGAGGAGGGGCTTGGTGGGAGGTGACTGGATCATGGGGGTAGATTTCCTCCTTGCTGTTCTCAGGATAGTGAGTGAGTTCTCATAAGATCTGCTTATTTAAAAGTGTGTGGCACCTACCCCCTTCTCTCTTCCTTCTTCTCTGGCCGTGTAAGCCATGCCTCCTTCCTCTTCACCTTCTGCTATGATTGTAAGTTTCCTGAGGCCTCCCCAGCCATACTTCTTGTATAGCCTGCAGAACTGTGAGCCAATCAAACCTCTTTTCCTTATAAATTACCCAGTCTAAGGTAGTTCTTTATAGCAATGTGAGAATGGACTCATACACTGGTTAAAAAATAAATAATAAAGAAAACCCAGGATTCTAATAATAGTGACTATTTTATTGAGGCCCTTTCATGTGCTAGGAACTCTGTACACACTTGTTCATGCTATCCTCACTGTGTCTCTCCAAGGTGAGAAATTATTGTTCCATTTTGCGCTTTTTTGGGGAGGATCTCCAGGATTCTATGGTTTAGGCACTGGAATCTTGCTGAACGCAGAAAACTTGGATGACCTGTGGTTAGCACTTGGCTTGGCCCCTGTTAGGAGGTGGGCAGTGTGTGTGTGTGCAGCAGCCCTAAAGATCTTATCATAATTTCCTGTTTTCACTTATGGCTTGCTCTGTGGATCGCTGAACTTTGACCAGGAGCAGAGAACCAGAAACAAGGTGATATGTGCCCCTGCTTACCTTCCCCTGATCTCGCATCTCCTTCCTTCCCTTTTCTTCCCCTTTCTTTCCCTTTCCTTTCCTTCCCCTTGCATTTCCTTCCCCTTCCCTCCCGTTCCCTTTCTCCCCTTTTCCCTCTGATCTGGGTGGAGACAACCCACCTGCCTTTCCCTTTTTCATTTTGTTTCCTGAATCATTATACAAAAAGATACCTGCACCCATATGTTTAACCACAGCACTATTCAGAACAGCAAAGATATGGAATCAACCTGAGAGGCCATCAATGGAGGACAGGATAAATAAAATGTAGTATATATACCTATATAAATACACACGCAATGGAATACTATTCAGCCGTAAACATGAATGAAAATTTTTTTGTAGCAACACGGATGGAACTGGAGGCCATGATCATAAATGAAACATCTCAGACACAGAAAGACAAATGCTTGTATGTTCTCACTTGTAAGCAGGGGCTAAATAATATGTACACATGGAAGCAGAGTGTGGGGTGATGGACGGTGGAGACTTGGAGGTGTGGAGGAGGTCAGGTGCGCAGGCAATAGGTGGTTGCCTGGTGGGTATAATGCGTGTGGCTCCAGTGATGGACGTACTGAAGGCCCTGACTTTAGCACAGTGCAACACATCAGTGTAGCAAAAAATAAATTTGGTTCTGACATAGTCTTGCAGCCTAACTATGCACTATAGAGGAAATGATTAAAAATGTAATTATTATTTTCATTTTTCAACAAGCCCAATGGATAATGTTTGCCTACTTTATTAGATTAGATGTAAAGGCGATAAAAAAAATAATAAATAGTTAATAGCATTTTTTGAAGCTTACTCCTTCCAGGCTCTCTCCTTGACCTGTTTAAACTCATTTAAATCTCACAAGTCTATGAGGCATAGCCTCACAGCCCCATTTTGCAGATTGGAAAATCGAGGCACAGAGATGAAATGAGCTGGTGCTTGGAAATGGCCCAGTCTGTGGCTGCCAGACATCTGGGAAGTGTGCGTTCATGGGTTTCCTCTTACTCTCTCTGACAGCTGTCTAATCAAATCCCAGTGCTTGCTGTGAGGACGCCCTGCAAGCCTTCCTTGGCTGAGGGTCCTTAACAAGGGAGATGTCGCCCCGTCGCTTCACCTCAGTTTCCCCTGCTCGGCTCTGCCTTTCTCTCCGAGGTGCTGGGAGGATTCTGTAAATAGTTCCCTCGAGGTGCTGGAAGCACTGGGTGGAGAAACTCACTATAAATACCCGGCACTTATAATTAGCCTTCATGGCGGCACAGTTCTGCATGTGGGGGAGGCGAACACCTGCAGGGGCAGAAAGTCAAAATGCAGGGGCCCAGGTCTCTCCAGAACTGCTTCTTGGCACCACCTGAGCCAGAGAAGACCCATGCTGAGTGAAGAATCCCAGATAAGAACACAGTGGCCCCCCGCCCCCGATCTTGCTGCAGCTGCAGACAAGAGCATTAAGGGCTGGTAGGAGCTCCTGGCTCCATTACTCCCTGTGAGACCTGCAAATTAGTGCAGTCCTCTGAGCCTCAGTTTCCACATCTGTAAGCTGGTGTAGTATACGATAAAAGACATCTGGTGGCTATAAGATTAATGGTAGCCATAAAACCCATCCGAGCATCTTGCGGGGCTGACACTACCTGTCACTTAGTATGATGCAGCCTGGCCCCGGGATTTCCAGGAGACAAAGTTAAATCGGCACAGATATAACTTTCATAAATCTTAAAATAAAGCTTATCCTCACAAGAATAGCTTAAACTCCTTTTATGTAAGAAACACCTGGTAAGGGACCTGGACTGAATATGGATAGAAGGAAGGGGGAAGGATCCCTCAAACTTTGATAATGGTCTCTGGATGGACACCCTCCCGGTCAGTCCGTCATCTGACCCCTGGCTGTGTCTGGCCATGCCACCAGCCTCCTGCTCCCACTGTCTGTCTCATAAGAAGATGCCAGAATAAGCTCCTTAAGCATCAGACTTATGTGCTAAGACTCATCTTTGGCATGGATCAAATGGAAGGAGAGAAGTTACCCCTGGGGAAACTTGTCAACTAGGACCACCTGAAACCCCTGATCATGACGGTTGGAGATAATCACTCCTACTGTGAATAATTAAAGATACTGTGTATAAAGCTCCCAGTATTGGTGCATGGAGTAGGTACTTGACACATTCAAGGTTCTTGTTCCCTTTGTGTGCACAACAGGGCAGACAGCATCTAAGGTGCAATCAGATGGCCCTCTCCCACTTAAAGACTGTCTTAGGCTCCCCATTGGTGGCAGAGGCACCCCATGCCTATGTCTTGCCCCCATGCTCCTCCTCTGTGTTGATATTAACTTCTTCTTCCTCTTTTTTTTTTTTTTTTTTTTTTGAGATGGAGATGGAGTTTCACTCTTGCCACCCAGGCTGGAGTGCAATGGCATGATTTCGGCTCATTGCAACCTCTGCGTTCCAGGTTCAAGCGATTCTCCTGCCTCAGCCTCCTGAGTAGCTGGGATTACAGGCATGTGCCACCATACCAGGCTAATTTTTGTATTTTTAGTAGAGACAGGATTTCACCATGTTGGCCAGGCTTGTCTCGAACTCCTAACCTCAGGTGATCCACCCATTTTAGTCTCCCAAAGTGCTGGGATTACAGGCATGAGCCACTGCGCCCGGCCGCTGATAGTAACTTCTCACTCCACCTCAAGAGTGTGCCTTGAGTCTTTCTGCTTTCTGCCTTCAGGTCTTCTTGGATGCTGTTGAAACCTGCTTAGTCTGTGCAAAAGTCTAGCCCAGAAGTACTGAGTTAACAGCCCGGGAGGCGATCATCAAGATAAATGTGCCACTATCCCTCCTTCAGGTAGAAAATTCCAGGAGGCTTCCTGCATGCTTTTCGCGAGGTCCTTGCAGCACAGAGCTTCTGTTGTTCTCAGTGGTGACCTTGATGATGGACATGTATATTGGTTTGTCTCCTAAATCTTTTCCTTTCCTTGTTCCTGCTTCCAGAAATCAACTTCCAAATCAACCACCTGCACCCAAATCCTGTCTCAGGCTCTGCTTTTGGAGAAGTCAACCCATGAGATCATCACATCTGGAATAAGTTCCAAATTCCTTGCTGTGGCTGCAGGGCCCTGCACAACGCTCTTCTGCCATTCCAACCTCACATCTGCTACCACTCTTGCCCACACCTGCCACATCCAGCCACACCGGCCTCCAGTCACTTTTCTTTAACTTGCCAAGCAATCCCTCCTCAGGGCCTTTGCACATGCTGTTCCCTCCCCCTTCCCCTTCTTCTATGTTAATCAGTCCTTCCTACAGCTCTCAACTTAAATACCAGTCCCTTAGAGAGTGTCGCTTCCTCCTCGCCTCTGATCTCTTGCGGGTTCCAACACCATTTATTCTCTCTCACAACAAATTGTTTCCTTTTCCTTGTACTATTTGAAGTTGTGTATTCATCTGAATGTTTATTTGTTAATTACCTGACTCCTTTTAGACTGTAAACACCATGTGAATAGAGATGACTTCTGTCTACTTCCATGAGCTCTAGAGCATCCACAAGCTCCTTACACATGAGACGTGAGTATTCATTGAATGAAGGTGGGATTCAGGTTGGTCAGTTTCTCCTGCATCCCAAGCTTACTCTACTCTGTTAGGCTATGGGATATTGGCAGAGGACTTTAAGGGAGGTGGGGCATGGGGGAGGGTTAAGAAGTAAGGGAGGCAAGAAAAGCCAGTCTCCATCCTCACCTTCCTTGCTCCCACTTCTCCAGGATCAGAGCATCAGTGGCAACTGAATGAGACATGCCAGTTTGGGCTCAGGCTCCAAGAGGACACATCCAAGTACATCTCCACGACCAGGAGGTTCATGCGCTTGGTCCTCTGTGCGTTAAGGGAGCTTGGGCATTTATCCATGACTTTGCACACCTGGTACCCAAGCTGTGATTTCAGGATTCTAGGTCTTCATCTGGAGCAAAGCTGGAGTGTGACTCCAGGGGCCCAGGAAGGCCAATCTTCATCCTAAGCCTCTGTAAGAATAGGGCCAACTTGAAGCTAGTATGTGTAACTCCGTGCATTTTCTCCAGAGACGCTGGAACCATAGGCTTGGCCAAAAAAAGATGGGATGTACTAATCAGTGATTTATAACATGCTGTCAGAAGTCCAAAGCTGCCTGGAGGTGCCCTGTACCAACTTGCTACATAGTTTATTGGAAAAACATAGATGGATGGTTGGCACCTGGTTTCAGTTATTATGCCTGGTTACTTAGACTGGTTTGGGCTATGTGACCAGAGGGAAATAAGATGAACATATGCCTTGGCTTCCCTGAGGCCCAGTTCTTCCCCATGCACTAGGGGGTTCACGATGCAGAGGCCGAACCAGTCCCGTGCGACTGAGGGGGGCCTTAGCAACTGCTCGTGGATGCTGTGGATCTTCCTGAAGTTGCTCCGAGTTTTCTTACTCTTATTGTTCTGTATCCTTTGCCTGTAATAAAACCATTCAGGGCCAGGTGCGATGGTTCACGCCTGTAATCCCAGCACTTCGGGAGCCCAAAGCAGAAGGATTGCTTCAGCCCAGGAGTTCAGAACCAGCCTGGGCAACATGGCGAGACTCTGTCTCTCTTTGAAATATAAAAAAAAAAAAATTGAAAAGAAAAACCTTTCAGACCTTTTACTTTGTTGGAGTCTTGTGAGTCCTTTTGATGATCTGACCCAGCATGATTGCTGCAACCTCTCTTGATGCTCGGCTCTAGTTCCTGGCAGTTTCCTCTTGACATCCAGACTGTAGAATCTTCAGGGCTCATGGGCTCTGGCCCCTGCTTCTTAAGGAGGAGAAGGTGGAGCCATGGGGACCTAACCCACATCTCATGGAGGTGACGGCAGGGCAGTGGAGCCTCAGCCTGAAGATGAATTGCCTATAATCACTGAGCAAGTTAGACGGGAAGAAAATAAATATGACTTATAAACCCATTACCCAGAGACAACAATGGCCCGCATTGTAATACACCATCTTTTAGCCTGTTTTCTCTACATATATATTTACATATAATTGAGATGTATTGAACACACCATTTGATATCCTACTCTTTACCTCAACTTTGCATTATAAGCATTAGCTGACGATTTTTATAAAGACTCCATTTCTTCATTTGTAAAATGAGAATAATAGTAATAGTGATGATGATGATAATACCAGTACCTATATTATGGGTTATTGTGGGGATTAGATGAGAAAATGTGTGGAAAAGGTTTTAGCCCGCTGTGTGGAATATACTAAGAGCTTAGCAAAAAATATTATAATATAATACTTTAAAATCATAAATGGTTGCAGAGTAGTCTATTGAGCGAATATGTCGTTATTCATATAACTATTCCTTTATTGAACTTACAGGTAATGTTTGAGAATCTTGGTATCTTAACTATTTTTTCTTTTTTTGAGATGGAGTTTCACTCTTGTTGCCCAGGGCTGGAGTGCAATGGTGTGATCTTGGCTCCCTGCAACCTCCGCCTCCCAGGTTCAAGTGATTCTCCTGTCTCAGCCTCCTGAGTAGCTGGGATTACAGGTGCCTGCCACCACACCTGGCTAATTTTTGTATTTTCAGTAGAAACAGGGTTTCACCATGTTGGCCAGCCTGCTCTCGAACTCCTGACCTCAAGTGATCTGCCCACCTTGGCCTCCCAAAGTGCCCAGATTACAGGCATGAGCCACCGCACCCGGCCTTGATATCTTAACTTTTAACTCAGTGTTTTTTTCTATAGCGCACCATATTACCTTCTAGAAATGCAAAATGTCAACACAGAAGTCACCAGACTCCATGTGGTTATTGATAATGATCACAACTGCAATAAAAATAAGGGGTGTCCTGAGCTACTTGACCCTCAGGTGACCAGGAGACTGTCTTGGCCTGTGAACATCTCGGAGCTGAGTGGGGCACGAGCTCACAGACGCACTGTGACAATAGGATATGATGTGTCTATCATGCAGATGTCAGCACCAGAGAGTGGACAGAGCAGGAGAGGCAGGATCAAGTCGGCCTGGAGGAGAGGCCAGCAAGGGCATCCTGGACCAGGTAGAGAGGTGGTGCTGCCAGGTTTATGTCCTAGTTTGAATTCTTCTGATATTGGAGCCTGGGACAAGGACATGGGTGCAGGTGTTTTATTTGGGAGGGGACCCCAGTAGGCAGGAGTGAGGGAGCAAGTAGTGTAAATCTCCGAAGGTGAAGAAGCCAATAAAAGGCATGTTATTGAGCTGTGGGAAACTGGGTCTCAGTGCTTCTGGGGACCTGGAGAAGCCACCAGAATAAACTTCAGAATTGTTCCTCTGCGTGTCGAGGGAGCTTGGGCATTTATCCATCAATGGTTGAAGGTTGTCCAGGGCGTAACTCTGCAATTCTAGGCTGCCTTGTGCGTGGAGACCCAAGGGAGTGAGATTCTGTAGTTCTGGAAAAAGCCCCAAAAGAGAAATGTAGAGGGACTTGGAAGGCTGTGGAGGAACTGTGTCAGGCGCACGGGGACCAGACACACAGCTGCAGCTGAAGCTGTTGGGTCAAGGGAAGCAAGAGTGGACGAGAGATTTGCTTCAGAAACGAGGATGACACAGTGCTATGGTGCCCTTGTCCTGCGATTTCACATCTTCCACTGTGGTCAGAAGTTTTCCCTTATTCTACAGTGAATTTTGCTTGCTGCATTTTCTTCCTGCTTCTCTTCTTGCTAGCCCTAAAAGGAGGTGCAGAGCAGCTGGCCACGGTCAGAGGGAAATGCTACAAGAGCCACACTTCTTGGCAGCCCGACCCTGCCAGGCTCCTTGCAGGCTAAACCAATGCTTTTTCTTTCCTCATTCTCATCATGTCTTTTTTCATTTCTTTTCTTTTCTTTTCTTTTTTTTTTTTTTTTTGACAGAGTCTTGCTCTGTTGCCCAGGCTGGAGTGCAGTGGTGCAATCTCAGCTCACTGCAACCTCTGCCACCTGGGTTCAAGTGATTCTCATGCCTCAACCATCTGAGTAGCTGGGATTACAGGCATGCACCACCACATCCAGCTAATTTCTGTATATATTTTTAGTAGAGTTGGGGTTTCACCATGTTGGCCAGGCTGGTCTCGAACTCCTGACCTCAAGAGATCTACCCACCTCGGCCTCCCAAAGTGCTGAGATTACAGGTGAGAGCCACAGCCTCATCACGTCTTAATCCACTTACACAGGTTGTGAGCCCAGGCCATCGCTAGATTATTGCTCTATCAATCAGGTGACCCAAATGCTATTGTCTCCCCTTGAATGATAGCTATGACTGGCATTAACTGTTTCCTGTAAGCCAAGTCCTGTGCTAAGTGCTTACCTTGTTTCACTTAATTCTAACAATTGCCCTTCATGGTAGGTTCTACAAACACTCCCATTGTGTGGATAAGGAGACTGAGGCTCAGGGTATGCCACCTTCTAGCATGACACGGAACTGGGCTCCAGTATTTACCACATCACTACTTCCCCTCTTTGAGCAAGTGTGCATTCATCTCTTTGTAATGTGACTTGTACATAGAAACTCAAGGGGCCACCTCAGGTGTCTTCTTCTGTTTCTTTTTTTTTTTTTTTTTGAGACAATGTCTGGCTCTGTCACCCAGGCTGGAGTGCAGTGGTACAATCACGGCTCACTATAGCCTCGAGCTCCCAGGCTCAGGTGGTTCTCTCATCTCAGCCTCCTGAGTAGCTGGGACTTCAGGTGTGTGCCACCATGCTGGGTGAATTTTTTGTATTTTTTTTTTTTTTTTTTTTTTTGTAGAGATGAGGTCCTGTTATGTTGCCCAGGCTGGAGGTTTTTTCTAATAACTTCACTAGAGGTTGTTTCTTGAGGGCCCTTTACTTACCTGCTTGGTCTTGAGTAGGAGACAACTCTTAGCACTTGTGAAAATGATAAAGTAATAGCAGGAGTTACTGAACCTTGGATAACTACTATATGCTTGTCATTTCTGTATCTGTTCGATGCCCATTGGACAGATGAGGAAACCAGGCTCAGTGAAAAGAAGTGGAGATTTACCCAAGCCACATAGGTGGTAAGTGTGAGAACCAGGTATGGAATTCAGCCTACTTGTTTGCAAAGCCCATGAGCTTCCCCTCTAGCCTTTACAGGGTGCAGTTTATAGAGTGGCCGTAAAGTCCAGTGATGGTGGTGACCATGCATCACAAATGGTTTATTGATATTAACATACATGACCAAATGTATGGTGCCAGCTGTTATGGCCCCCCTGTACGTGCCTGGTGTGGGGAGGGATTGAGAAAAGACTCATGATCACAGGTGACTCTGACATAGCCCTGGGTGGTGAAAATGATGTTAGGGGCAGAGGGAAGTCTGCACCAAAGTGCCAGCCTGGAACTGGGGGAGAAAGAGGGTGGGGCAGACTGAGGGTGATGCAAATTTGTTTTCTTTACGCAAGACATGTGCCTGCCAGTTAGAGAAAATTTGGCTCAAAGGACCTGAGCTCCTCTGTCACTTTAGAGATGGGGAAATGGAGGCCTGGAGAGAAGCAATGAACAGTCCAAGGCCCTGCCTCTTTTCAAGGCTGCGCCCACTGAATATCTGCTCTCAGTGGCACATGCTCACCACTCTGCCTGTGCCCCACCTCTTGGGCAACTCGGAGGATACCAGGGAAATGCGCGGTGACCTGTGCAGCTTCCCTCCTCCACTCCAGTGCCTCAGCCTCCCCCCACCCTGGTTTCTCCAGCTCTCTGACTAAAAGAACCCCTGAGGCACCCCACCCATCTGTCAACCCTCACCCGCCCCCTCTCATTTGGAGCCCTCAGGCCTGTGAGCTGTGGCTCCGAGGAGAAGCAGGGCCGTGGGTGGGGCAAGCAGGATAATTATAATCTTGGAAGGTTTGACTCTCAGGCTGAGAAGCAGGGAGGCAGTTCTTCCTGGCTGGTTTGGGAGCTAGGTCTGAGTCAGAAACCATCTCCCACAGCCCAACCTCCCATGGGTCTGCAGCAGCTGGTCCCCTCTTACCCTGGCACCACATCTTAAGCCAATTCATTCATTCATGCAAGAATTTGTGCATTCATTCATTTACAAAACGCTGATTATGTACTTACTGCATGCCAAACTCTGTGTGGAGCCTGGGGACACAGACAGGGGTGTGGCAGGGGTGATATGGTGTGCTGTGTCAGTCAAGCTCCATCAGTTGCAATCTTGCCTCCACCATTTACCAGCAATACAATTTTTTGTGCATCATTTAAGCATTCTATGCCTTGCTTTCCTTATCTGAGAAATGGGTATTATCTCCCTTATAACATAAAGGGGAGAATACATATAAACAGCTCAGCACAGCCTTTGACATGCTTCAGGCATGTTAACAGTTAACAAAATGTTGCTGTTAGTATTGAAAATTTTTCATTAAAGAGATGAATCCTGTACAGTTTCTGCTCTGGAAAAACTCCTAGTCTTGAGTAGAGATGGCATAGGGGTTTCATCTCACATGTCAGCTCTGGATAGAGGCTGCTTGGAATACTGTATCAAGAAAGACTCTGAGAATCAGTTTAGACCCACTAGGAAAAAGAGAATGATTGATGAGAATTAGGTTCTAGAGAAGGTAGAGGTGGCACATATGCCTAGCATCGAGTATCGTTACTGATTTAGTCCTGGAAAGGAGAAGGGATGGGAGTGGCAAGGGTAGTAAGGAATTTAGAGGAGTACAGAGTCAGTCCTTATGAGGTATTTGGGGCAAATGTTGGAGGAGTCAGGGCTGCCTAAGAGCTGTTCCTATGGGAATTTTTTTTTTTTGAGACGGAATCTCACTCTGTTGCCAGATTGTTGGCACAATCTTGGCTCACTGCAACCTCTGCCTCCCCTGTTAAAGCGATTCTCCTGCCTCAGCCCTCCCAGTAGCTGGGACTACAGGCATGCACCACCATGCCCAGTCAATTTTTGTATTTTTTTTTTTTAAGTAGAGACAGGGTTTCACCATGTTGGCTAGGATGGTCTTGATCTCTTGACCTCGTGATTCACCCTTCTCGGCCTCCCAAAGTGCTGGGATTACAGGTGTGAGCCACCATGCCCGGCCCTATGTGAATATTTCTAAGCATATGCAAGGGAGATGGATGGTCCCTGCTCTACACTGGCAAGAGAGTTTTATTAGAAAATACAGATTTGAATCTTGGCTCTGGCACTACAGGCTGTGTGGCCTTGGGCAAGCAATGGACCTATCCTAGGTCTCAGCTCCCCCTTCCGAATCCCCCCACCATCTCCCTGGATTTTGATGAGGATTAAATGAGATAGCACAAGTTAAGAAATTAGACACGGCAAAGGAAACCACCAATACAGTGAAAAGGCAACCTACCGGATGGGAGAAAACATTTGCAAACCATATGTCTAATAAGGTGTTAATATCCAGAATATGTAAAGAACTCCCACAAGTTAGCAATAACAACAACAGCAAAAAACAAATAACTAGATTAAAAAACAGTCAAAGGATTTAAATAGACATTTCTTCAAAGAAAATATATGAATGGCCAACAAACATAGGAAAAGATGCTCAACATTATAATCATTAGGAAAATGCAAGTCAAAACCACGATGAACTACCACCTCATGCCTGTTGGGGCCATTATCACAAAACAGAAAATAACAAATGTTGGTGAGGATATGGAAAAATTGGAACCCTGGTGCACTGTTGGTGGGATTGTAAAATGGTGCAGCCACTATGAAAAAAGTACAGAGGCTTTTCAAAAGATTAAAAGTAGAATTAATAGGCCAGGCGCGGTGGCTCACGCCTGTAATCCCAGGACTTTGGGAGGCCGAGGCAGGCAGATCATGAGGTCAGGAGTTCAAGACCAGCCTGGCCAACATGGTGAAACCCCGTCTCTACTAAAAATACAAAAATTAGCTGGGCATGGTGGTGTGAACCTGTAGTCCCAGGTACTCGAGAGGCCTAGGCAGGAGAATCACCTGAACTCCGGAGGCGGAGGTTGCAGTGAGCCGAGATCACGCCACTGTACTCCAGCCTGGGCTACAGAGTGAGACTCTGTCTCAAAAAAAAAAAGTAGAATTAATATATGATCCAGCAATACCACTTCTGGGATTACAGATGCTCCTTGAGTCATAATGGGATTATGTCCTGATGAACCCATCATAAATTGAAAATATCATTAAGTTGAAAATGCATTTAATACACCTTACCTACTGAATGTCATAGCTTAGCCTCGTCTGCCTTAAACATGCTCAGAACACTTATATTTGCCTGCAGTTGGGCAACATCATCTAACGCAAGGCCGATGTTATAATGAAGTGTTGATTATCTCATGTAATTTATTAAATATGTTATTGAAAGTGAAAAACAGAATGATTGTATGGATACTTTTAGTACGGTTTCTATTGAATCTATACTGCTTTTGCACCATGATAAAGTTGAAAAATTTTAAGTTGAACTATCGTAAGTCAAGGATTGCATACCCAAAAGAACTGGAAACAGATCTCAAAGGCAGATTTTCACACCCGTAATCACTGCAGC
Organism: Homo sapiens; assembly: GCF_000001405.40. Lineage (NCBI taxonomy): Eukaryota > Metazoa > Chordata > Mammalia > Primates > Hominidae > Homo > Homo sapiens. The sequence continues at coordinate 10,208,466 of NC_000016.10, read as the reverse complement.
ATTATTCACAATAGACAAGAGGTAGAAGCAACCTAAATGTCCATTGATGGATGAATGGATAAAGAAAATGAGGTATATACATACAATTGAATATTACTCAGCCTTAAAAAAGAAGAAAATCATAGGTCACAACATGGATGAACCTTGAGGATGTTATGCTAGTTGAAATAAGTTAGTCACAAAAAAACAAATATGCCACCACACCTGTAGTCTCAGCTACTCGGGAGGCTGAGGCACGAGAATTGCTTGAACCCAGGAGGTGGATTGCAGTGAGCCGAGATCATGCCACTGCCCTCTAGCCTGGGCGACAGGGTGAGACTCCATCTCAAAAAAAAAAAAAAAAAAGACAAATATGAGTAATTCTGTTTATATGAGTGTCTTAGCCTGTTTGTGTTGCTATAAAGTAATACCTGAGGCTGAGTAATTTATAAAGAAAAAAGGTTTATTTGGCTCATGATTCTGCAGGCTGTACAAGAAGCATGGCACAAGCATCTGCTCAGCTTCTGGTGAGGCCTCAGGCTGCTTCCAATCATGGTGGAAGGTGAAGGGAAGCTTGGCATGTGCAAGATTACAATGTGGGGGAGGAAGCAAGAGAGAGTGGGGAGAGATGCCAGCCTCTTTTTAACAATCAGCTCTTTCAGGAACTAACAGAGTGGAAACTCATTACCATGAGGATAGCACCAAGATGTTCATGAGGGATCTGCCCCTGTGACCCAAACACCTCCCATTAGGCTCCACCCCCAGTCTTGAGGACCAAATTTCAACATGAGATTTGGAAGACAAACATCCAAACTGTAGCGTACGAGGTATCTAAAGTAGTCAAGCTCATATAAATAGAAAATAGAATGGTAGTTCCTGGGGACTGTGGAGAGGGGCAAAAGGGTTGCTGTTGTTCAATAGAGTCTCCGTTTTGCAAGATAAAAAAGTTCTAGAGATTGTGCATGTGAAATGTATGACAATATGCATATAGATAGTGCTACTGTACTGTACACTTAAAATGATGAAGATGGCCGGACATGGTGGCTCATGCCTGTAATCCCAGCACTTTGGGAGGCTGAGGCGGGCGTATCACGAGATCAGGAGTTTGAGAACAGCCTGGCCAACATGGTGAAACCCCATCTCCACTAAAGACACAAAAAGTTACCCAGGCATGGTTGCATGTACCTGTAATCCCAGCTACTCAGGAGGCAGAGGCAGGAGGATCGCTTGAACCTGGGAGGCAGAGGTTGCAGTGAGCTGAGATCACGCCATTGCACTCCAGCCTAGGCAACGGGGAGACTCCACCTCAAAAAAAAAATGATTAAGATGGTAAATTTTATATTATGTGTTTTTCATTTTTACCATGATAATTTAAAAAACTTAGCACAGTGCCACATGAAGCACTCAAAAAATAGTGGTTAGTCATCAATATTTTGTTTGCCTGAAAGAACTGGAAGGTGAGACAGAGATTTCTTTGTAGCCAATTATTAGTCAAATAGTTCCACTATTTGTGAAATCTGGAAAAAATCAACAATTAGTTGGAACAAATTGTTAAAAAATAGAGGATTAGTTGGAAAAAGCTTAATACTTCAAACAATTGGTGAATTGCTCAAATAAGTTGTGGTAGGTTATACAACATTATGTAAAATGTGATCCCATTTTTATGAAAAAGTATTAATTCACATAAGACCAGAAAAAGATTTGGAAATTTGAACACCTTGGAGTTAACAATGATCCTTTCTGAGTAGGTGGGGTGTGGGTGTACCCACTGGGATTCTTAACAAAAGCCAACTTAGGCTAATTAAGCAGAAAAGGAGTTCGTTAAAAGGATTTGGGGGAGACCCAGTCCTCAAGTGGATGTCTCTGGGTTTGGGAACATTACCTGAGCTTGTCTTGTGAGGGAACCACTGTCACCACTGGCAAACCCCAGGGCTTCAGCTTGCCCAGCGCCCTGTGTGTACTGGAAACTCAACCCTGAAACCACCATAATTTCTGAATATAATTAGCTCAACTCTGTACCTGACATAGGTCCAAGACTAACCATCCTTATGACTAAGTGATCAGTAGTGCTGAAGAATGTACAAATAAGTCCTTCTTTCAATTCTGAGTCATATCTTCCAACTCATGGAGTCCACAGGTGGGTAGATCCTCCATCTGGCTCACCTTGGCCCTTGCTTCCTGGTGGGCAGGTTCTGCTGGCTGAGTGCCTGGGGCTTCCCACTATGGTCAAGCCTCTTCATAGTCATTAGGAAATAATGTCCCCCAGCCCTTACTGACCGCTTTGGGCCCTTTTACTCTTCTTGCTGGCCTCTGATATAGGCTGTCTTTCTTTGATATCCAACCAGTATCAAGACCATCAGACTCTTCCACTATGCAGCGCATTTTAGCATGAAATGGTTTTGAAGGAAGGGTTTTATGGGGCAGTGGTCCCAACAGGGACCACTTCAGGGTGAGCCTAGAAGTCTTCGTGGAGGAGGAGGTTCTGAGATGAACCACAAAGGACAATTAGGATTTTCACCGGCATGGATAGGGAGAGGGAGAGAGAAGAACAATGTCACTCGGTGACTGTGATGAGTCAGACAAGACAAAACCACTCCACAGTCATGTCAGAACAGAGACAAAACATGAGCATTGTCCAAACCTCAAAAATAACCAAACAATCTTCATCCTGGCTCCTCTGAGTGATGTCCACTTATCCACCAATTACAGCTTTAGCCTTACTTCCTTCTTTTCTTGCTAGCATTTATTAAGATAACCCGGTTAAAGGCCGGGCGCGGTGGCTCACACCTGTAATCCCAGCACTTTGGGAGGCTGAGGTGGGCGGTTTATGAGGTCAGGAGATCGAGACCATCCTGGCTAACACAGTGAAACCCCGTCTCTACTAAAAATACAAAAATAAATTAGCCGGGAGTGGTGGTGGGTGCCTGTAGTCCCAGCTACTTGGGAGGCTGAGGCAAGAGAATGGCGTGAACCCGGGAGGCGGAGCTTGCAGTGAGCCGAGATCACGCCACTGCACTCCAGCCTGGGCGATGGTGTGAGACTCTGTCTCAAAAAAAAAAAAAAAAAAAGAAAAGAAAAAAAAAAGATAACCCAGTTAGAGACTTATCTCCTGCTTCCTGATAGCATTCAAACCAGAACAAAGCCCCATTTTTGTATGTTTTTCTGAGACAGGGCCTCACTCTGTCACCCAGACTGGAGTGCAGCAGCACAATTATAGCTCACTGCAGTCTCCAACTCCTGGGCTCAAGTGATCCTCCCACCGTAGCCTCCTGAGTAGCTGGGACTATAGGCACCAGCCACCGAACCCAGCTAATTTCTAAATTTTTTGTAGAAATGGGGCCTTGGCTATGTTGCCCAATCTGGTTTTGAACTCCTGGCCTCAAGGCATCCTCCCGCCTCAGCCTCCCAAACTGTTGGGGTTACAGACGTGACCCACCACACCCAGCCAAAGCTCCACTTTCTTTTTTTCTTTTTTTTCTTTTTGAGATGGAGTCTTGCTCTGTCGCCCAGGCTGGAGTGTAGTCACGCAATCTCCACTTACTGCAGCCTCCGCCTCCTGGGTTCTAGCAATTCTCATGCCAGGAGTTCAAGCCCCACTTTCTTAAACCCTCCTCCAAACTGACTAACAAGAGTCCAAGTTCTATAAGTTCTTTCTAACATGCCCCTACAGAGATGCCCCACGTGGTGTATGTTACCCTCTTTACAACAAGCCAACAAACCCAGTTTTGTTGAACTCTAGGTGTCTTCTGGTGGTCTTTGGCTGGAGGGCATCCATACTTCCCTTCCATCATTCACAACCCCACATCTTTCATGCCTCCAGGGATATTGCCTTTTTGGGGGAATGCCTCTTCCCTCCTCCTTCACTTGACTACCTCTTCCTCCTCCTCCTCCTTCAAGATGCATAGTAGTTGGCTGGGCACGGTGGCTCAGGCCTGTAATCTCAGCACTTTGGAAGGCTGAGGCAGGTGGATCACTTGAGGCCAGGAGTTTGAGACCAGTCTGGTGAACATGGTGAAACCCCATCTCTACTAAAAATACACACACACACACACACACACACACACACACACACACGTACACACACACATAAAACTGGGCATGGTGGCTCACTCCTGTAATCCCAGCTACTTGGGAGGCTGAGGCATGAGTATTACTTGAACCCTGGAGGTGGAGGTTGCAGTGAGCCGAGATTGTGCCACTGCACTCCAGCCTGGGTGACAGAGCAAGACTGTCTCAAAAAAAAAAAAAAAAGTCATAGTGGTAGCTACTGTCTTTTGAAGTTTCTCATGCACCAGGTACTGCACTTTGTGTTATAACTTGTATTAAGATCTGTATGTTTATCCCCATTTTGCAGGTTAAGAAATTGAGGCCAGAGAATTTAGGTAACTTACTCAAGGCTGCACAGATTTAAGATGGCGTGTTTATAACCAGTACACTGACATTTCTCAAATGTTAGTGCATGTAAGAATCACCCAGGCATCTTATTCAAAATGTTACATCCTGGGTCCTATCTTTAGAGATTTGGATTGAGCTGGTGTTTCTTCCTTCCTTCCTTCCTTCCTTCCTCTCTCTCTCCCTCCCTCCCTCCCTCTCTCCCTCCCTCCCTTCCTTCCTTCCTTCCTTTCTTTCTGTCTCTCTCTCCCTCCCTCCCTCCCTCCTTCCCTCTCTCTCTCTTTCTTTCTCTCTCTCCCTTCCTTTCTTTCTTTCTTTCTTTCTTTCTTTCTTTCTTTCTTTCTTTCTTTCTTTCTTTCTTTCTTTCTTTCTTTCTTTCTTTCTTTCTTTCTTTCTTTCTTTCTTTCTTTCTTTCTTTCCAGAGTCTCGCTCTGTCACCCAGGCTGGAGTGCACTGGTGTGATCTTGGCTTACTGCAACCTCCACCTCCTGAGTTGAAGCAATTCTCCAGCCTCCTCCTTCCGAGCAGCTGGGATTATAGGCATGTGGCACCACACCTGGCTTGCTTTTGTATTTTTAGTAGAGATGGGGTTTCACCATGTTGGCCAGACTGGTCTGGAGCTCCTGACCTCAGGTGATCCACCTGCCTCGGCCTCCCAAAGTGCTGTGATTACAGTCATGAACCACTGTGCCCGGTGTTGGTATATTAATTTCTATTGCTTCAAAACAAGTCACCACAAAATTAGCAGTTTAACACAACACCCATTTATTGTATCATAGTTTCTGTGGGTCAGGATTCCAGGTGCAGCTTAGCTGGGTCCTCTGCTCAGGGTCTCATCAGGCTGCAGTCAGGGCATTGGGTGGTCTGTGTTCTCATCTGGAGGTCTGACTGGGGAAGAACCAACTTCCAGACTCATTTAAGTTGTTGGCAGAATTTATTTGCTTGCAGCTGTATGTATGATGGAGAATCCTAGAATTTTACTGGCCGTATCAGGTAGAGGCCACTCTCAGGTCCTGGAAACATCCTGTAGTTCCATGCCATGTGGCCTTCTCCATAGACAGTTCACACCATAGCTGTTTGCTTCTTTGGGGCTGGGAAAAAAGTATCTCTACTATGTTAAGACCAAGACTTATAAAATGAAAGGTAATCATAGGTGGAATGCCCCATCACCTCTGTCATCTCCTATTGATTAGAAGCAAGTCTCAGGTTCTAATTGCATTTACGGGGAGGGGGTTATACCAAGGTGGAACACCAGAGGGCAGAGCTCATGGGGGACAGCTGAAGATTCTGCCCACCATGGCAGGTCTGGGGCAGGCCTGTTAATCTTTATGTTAATGCACTCCTCTCCCCACCCAAGTGATTCAGATGTAGGTGTAAGGTAAAGACCTATATAGGGGACAGTGTTATGTGGTAGAAAGAATGTGAACTCTGCCTGGTGCAAAGCCTCTCACTTGGGACTTGGAGCAAGTTACTTAAATCTTGTTTTTTATTTTATTTTATTTTATTTTATTTATTTATTTATTTATTTTGAGATGGAGTCTCACTTTTGTCACCCAGGGTGGAGTGCAGTGGTGTAACCTTGGCTCACTGCAACCTCCGCCTCCTGGGTTCAAGCAATCCTCCTGCCTCAGCCTCCTGAGTAACTGGGATTACAGGCACCTGCCGTTATGCCTGGCTAATTTTTGTATTTTTGGTAGAGACGGGGTCTTACCATGTTGGCCAGGCTGGTCTCGAACCCCTGACCTCAAGTGATTCGCCCGCCTTGGGCTCCCAAAATGCTGGGATTACAGGCGTGAGCTACTGCGCCTGGCCAAGTTACTTAAATTTTATGTACTTATTATTATTTTTTAAAATTGGATTGATTGATTGATTGATTGAGACAGGGTCTCACTCTGTTGGCCAGACTGGAGTGCAGTGGCGTGATCATAGCTCACCACAGTCTCAAACTCCTGGGCTCAAAGGGATCCTCTTGCCTTAGCCTCCTGAGGAGCTGGGGCTACAGGCATGTACCACTATGCCTGGCTAATTAAATTTTTTTTTTTTTGTAGAGACAAGTGTCTCACTGTGTTGCTCAGGCTGCTCTCGAACTCCTGGCTTCCCACCTTAGCCTTTTCCCACCTTAGCCTCCCAAAGTGCTGTGATTATAGGCATGAACCATGACACCCAGCAAACTTCAACTTTAAAAGTTCAGTGCCCCATAATAGATGTAGGAGTGATCACCTTCATTATCATAACTACGCCATAGGGCTGTTTTGAGGATTAAAGGAGATAATACCTGTAGACCACCTGGAACAGAGAAGGCAATCAACAAATGTAAAGTACCATCGTGTTGTGTAAAACCTTCTCCGAGCTCAAATGGAAAGGCACCCTTCCCCCAGTCCTCCCTGGCTAGATCTGGTGCTGGTCTTTGGGACTTCGGAAGCCCCTATCACAGTCCTTCTCTGCTGATTACGTTTTCCCATTGGGCCTAGAGTGGGTTAAGGCAAGATGCTGTGCCAGTTACAACAGGCTAGGTTTAGCTACCGTAACAAACAACCCCCAAGGTTCCATGGCCTCTGACAGCAAATGTCTATTTCTTCCTCATGTTGCACATCCGTGGTGGGTTGGCAGTGCCTCTGCTCCATGCCTTCTTCACTCTGGGACCTGGCAGATGGGAGAACCTCTAAGTGGAACATTGCCAATCTCATGGCAGACGAGAGGAGAAAAGACATAGTGAAAAATGTGTTGGCTCTTAAATCTGCTGGCAAGTGACACGTGTTAGTTCCACCTGCCGAGTAGTGACCCAAAACAAATCACATGGCCCTTGTTGAGTTCAACAAGGTGGAGATCTAAAATCTTCTTGCAAGGAGGTATTCCAGAATATTTGGCAAACGGCTTTAAAATCAACCGTGGAGACCTCATAAAATTCATTTTAGGAGAAACAGTAACAATGGTGCTAAGAGTAGCAAAACATCAGGTACTGTTCTAAGTTTTTTACATAAATGAATCCATGTCATGTTATCTTCATAACAAGCCTGTGAGGAAGGGGCTATTATGAAGCCCATTTTACAGATGGGCAAGCTGAGGCACTGAGCAGTCAAGTCCCAGGTCCAAGACTGCACAGCTTAGGTGGAACCTGCAGGGCAGTGCAGCTATGATGAAAATGAAGTGGTGGACCTGGAAACAGCCACAGCACAAAATTCCCAGATCCAGTTGTTTCCATCAGGCTTCTCCCTCCTCTGGCTGCTCCTCAGTGACCTTCTCCTTTCCCAGGGGCTCTGTAGAGCTCCTCCCTCCTCCTATCACTTTTATCCAGCTTCCTAGCTGAAAATCTTGCGTTCGGACCCACTGAACACCATAAAAATGTCAATTAAGTTGATTTAAAAATGCTCCTAGTCTCATTAACAACAAACTGTTTGTGCCAGTGCAGCCAGACAGGGCTAAGAATAAATAATATGAATATTAAAAGGTTTTTGGTGTCATTAATTATCAATAATAAATTATCACTACCCCCCACCCCTTCTCTGGCTGCCAGGGATGCTTTTTTCCTGGGCAGGATGAGTTATTACTAGAAGGCTGAGATGTGGCTTTCTCATCTGCTGTGGAGAAGAAATGCAGGCACTGTAGACCAGGGCCCTAGGAATCACGGCTCTTGTGGTCTCTAGTCTGACAATCTTTTTTTTTTTGAGATGGAGTCTCACTCTGTCGCCCAGGCTAGAGTGCAGTGGCGCAATCTTGGCTTACTGCAACCTCAGCCTCCTGAGTAGCTGGGATTACAGGCACCCACCAGTACGCCCGGCTAATTTTTGTATTTTTAGTAGAGACAGGGTTTTGCTATGTTGGCCAGGCTGCTCTTGAACTCCTGACCTCAAGTGATTCGCCTGCCTCGGCCTCCCAAAGTGCTGGGATTACAGGCATGAGCCACTGCGCCTGGCCTAGTCTGACAATTTAAAATCATTAGTGTCCTGCAGCAGTGTGAACTTCTGGGGTGAGTCACAACCCAGTCCAGCATCTGACTTAGGGCAGGCGCCCTGTCAATGTTTGGTGAATGAACAAATAAATGAAAGTAAAGGCATGGGCTTACATTTGTACCTCATAGCCTGAGTGGGGCCTGGGCTCTGCTACTCCCTAGCTGTGTGACCCTAGATATGTCACTTAACTTCTCTGAGTCTCATTTTCTTCTTCTGATAATAATAGTAGGTATTAGCCAGGCATGGTGGTGTGTGCCTGTGGTCCCAGTTACGTGGGAGGGTGAGGCAGGAGGATCACTTGGGCTCGAGGTTGAGGCTGCAGTGAGCCATGATTGCACGACTGCACTCCAGCCTGGGCAACAGAGTGAGATCCTGTCTCAAAAAAAAAAATCATAGCTATCTCACATGTTGTGAAGATGAAAATAGATAATGCATGTTAGAGCTCAGGCATGTAATAAGTGCTCAGTGAATATTGGCTATCATCCTCTTCATCATCATCATTTTAATTATAATTGCAATTCTGTGGTAGAGGAACTTATGACTGCTCCATTTTATCTCCTCAAAGGAATATTCTGCAGCCATTAAAAATGATTGCATTTTTTTAATAACAAGGAAAAATGTGTATAAGTTAAGAAAAAGTAAATTGCAGAATTTTTTTTTTGAGACAGAGTTTCACTGTCACCCAGGCTGGAGTGCAGTGGCGCCATCCGCAACCTCCACCTCCCAGGTTCAAGCAATTCTCCTGCCTCAGCCTCTCGCGTAGCTGGGATTACAGGTGCCTGCCACCAAGCCCAGCTAATTTTTGTATTTTTAGTAGAGACAGGGTTTCACCATGTTGGTGAGACTGGTCTCGAACCCCTGACCTCAAATGATCTGCCCCCATCAGCCTCGCAAAAGTGCTGGGATTACAGGCATGAGCCATGGCACCTGGCGTAAATTGCAGAATTTTATGTGCCTTCTGATTGCAGTAAAGTTAAGACAATTAAAACTTGGAAGGAGATACATCAAAACATTATTGATAATTTTCTCCTAGGTGGTAGAGTTACTGTGTTTTCTTTGGAATGTTTTCTGCAACTTTAAATTTTTACAATAAACATGTTTGTTTACTATAAACATTTTTCCACGTACACAAAAGTGGAGAGACTAGTATTATGAACACCCACAAACCTATCACTTAGATTTAATGATTGTTAACATTTTGCAATATTTGTGTCATCTTTTTTTCTTTTCTTTTGGGTGAAATATTTTAAAGTTACTAACATCAGGATATTTTATCCTTAAATTTCAGTATTTGTCTCTAAAAAAATATTTTCCTACCTAACCACAGTATTATGATTACATCTGACAAAATTAAGAATAATGTCTTAAATGTTATCTAATACATTGTTCATATTCAGATTTCCCCAATCGTCCTTCAAAATGGTTGTGTTTGTGTGTTTGTCTGTGTGCTTTGAGACAGGGTCTGGCTCTGTTGCCCAGGCTAGAGTGCAGTGGTGTGATCTCGGCTCATTGCAACCTCTGCCTCCCTGGTTCAAGTGATCCTCCCAGCTCAGCCTCCTGAGTAGCTGGGACTACAGGCACGTGCCGCCATGCCTGGCTATTTTTTGTAGTTTCTGTAGATATGGGGTTTTGCTATGTTGTCCAGGCTGGTCTCAAACTCCTGAGCTCAAGCAATCTTCCCACCTTGGCTTCCTAAAGTGCTGGGATGCCAGGCGTGAGCCCCTGCACCTGGCCCTGTTTTTACAAAGGGCTTGTTTGAACCGGGATCCAACCAAGGACCACGCACTGCATTTAGCTATTGTGTCTTCTAACTCTCTTTAAATCTAGAACAATATACCTCTGCTCTTCTGTCCATCACATGGACTTGTTGAACTGACCATGCCAATTATTCCATAGATGTCCCCGCTTCTGCCTTTTGCCTTTTCTTTGTGGTTGCATTGCTCGTATAATATGAAAACAAGCAATACAAATTTGCCCCTATCATTCCTAGCCACTCTCCTGGCCATATAGACGATAATTGTAACTACAACTTCCACAAGCCAGGTGCTGTTCTAAGTGCTTTATTTTCACGATCTTATTTAACCATTTCAATAAATCCATGACATAGGGACTCTTTTTATCAATGATGGAAATGAAATACACGGGTGAAAACTTGCCAAGGCCATATAGCCAGGCAGACCAGCTCTCAAGCCAGCACACCTAACCACCGTGCCATATTGAAAGAGTAGAAAGAGAAGCTGCAAAGGAAGGAAGACAGGGAGGTCAACCCTGCCTTCCTTTGGGGATACTTAGTGAAGAGCGAAGACCAGATTCTCTGTGGGGTCCAGGGAGTGTCCTGGAGGAGGTGATGAAGTGGTGGCACCAGTGATGGCATCTGTTCTGCCGGACCATGGAGCTGTTCTGGGCCCTCTCCAGGGTTTCCTCCTGTTTCCTTTTCTTCCATTCTCCGCAGGTTGGAAAGGTCCCTAAGAAGCCTGTGCTTTTCCCTCTCTGGGCTTGAGAGTCCCTGGGTCTGCTATTTATAGGCAAATAGACATCAGAGCCAGAAAGCCGCCTCAAGGGAGGTGCCTGCATAGCTACCAGGGTGGGAGACACATGGGCCCTACCAGTGATTATATTCTTGGGTCTTCATTGATGAGCATTCTGGAAAAAACAAATATGCAGTGTGTTTTGGGAAAGACCACTGGAAGAGGTTAAGTGTGGTGGTGCATGCCTGTAATTCCAGCACTTTGGGAGGTTGAGGCGGGAGGATGGCTTGAGCCCAGGAGTTTGAGAACAGCCTGGGCAACATTGCAAGACCTCATCTTTACCTAAATAAACAAACAAACAAATAAATAAATCAGCTGGGCATGGTGGTGTGTGCCTATAGTTGCAGCTACTTGGGAGGCTGAGTGGGAGGATCACTTAAAGCCAGGAGTTTGAGGCTGCAGTGACTTATGATTGATTGCGTCACTGCCCTCTAGCCTGTGCGACAGAGCAAGATGATCTTGTCTCTTTAAAAAAAAAAAAAAGATAGAGAAAACACTGGAAGAGAAGTTAAAACACCCAGGTTCTTAGCTGGATTTGCCTCTGCTATGGACAGGCTGTGACTTTGGCCAGGGCACCCAGCTTCCCTGAGCCAAAGGACCCTCTAAATCATGTTGGATTTAAGGCTGACAGCTGTTTCCATTGTAAGGTTGTTATAAGGATTATATGAAGATAAGAATGGAAGTGCTTTGCAAAATAATGAGAGAAATAGAAAAGCTTCCCTTTAGGGTATACTGCAGAAGTTGCAAATTCAGATGTGCAGACTGGCTAGGTAGGTAATACATGGTTCCCATGAGAGCTGCTGTGGTCTAACATGGCCCCATCGCAAAGCCATGGCTGATTGGTCATGGAGTTGGCAACTGGTCTACACTAGGCCAATGAATCCCCACCTTGGGATTTTTGGACTTGGGAAGGGAGGGCAGTCAGTCATTCTTTCCCGTGGGTTTAGGTCTAAACTGTGAAATAGGAAGCATTAGTATGAATGTTCCCTGAGTGTGGAGTAAGACAGTTTGTGAGGGAGGGTGAATGCAGCAAGCAACTGAAAGCAAAAGAGGGGGAGAGAGAAGTGAGACCCAGACTCCAGCTGTTCTTGGAGTCTAGCTGCATCCGTGGGATTTGACCATTCAACCACAGGTTTGGCTTCTCTGAGCCAACTATTTCTTATTTTTGGCTTAAACCTCTTTGGGATTTTTTTTCTACCATTTATGTCTAGAAGAGTGTCTTGTATTAGGCAATAGGACACTCTTAGCAGTCCAAAGAAGGGAAGAGCTGGAGTGAAATTAGCTGGGTACGGTGGCATGCGGCTGTAGTCCTAGCTTGAGCCCAGGAGTTTGAGGCTGCAGTGAGCCATGATTGTGCCACTGCACTCCAGCCTGGGTGACAGAGTGATACCTTGTCTTAAAATAAAATAAATAAAAATAAAGAGACCCAGCAAGTTAGTGACTTAGGCAGCTTAGAGAGCACCTCCTAATCCTTCCACCTCAGTTTACAACTAAAGTTCAACATCATCAACTACCTTGTCTCAGGTATCCAAATGATATGGTTTGGCTCTGTCCCTACCCAAATCTCATCTTGAATTGTAGCTCCCACACTTGTGGGAGGGACCCAGTGGTAGGTAACTGAATCATGGGGCAGGTCTTTCCTGTGCTATTCTTGTGACAGTAATAAGTCTCACAAGCTCTGATGGTTTTATAAAGGGGAGTTGCCCTGCACAAGTTCTCTTCTCTTGTCTGCTGCCATGTGAGACGTGCCTTTCACCTTCCACTACGATTGTGAGGCCTCCCCAGCCACGTGGAACTGTGAGTCCCTTAAACCTCTTTCTTTTGTAAATTGCCCAGTCTTGGGTATGTCTTTATCAGCAGTTTGAAAACAGACTAATACACCAAGTAAGTGAATTGGTGGCAAAACCAAAACAAGAAATCAGATCTCCTGACTTCCATCCCAGGGTCTTTTTCACCTCTATGATTTGCCTCTTTTTATATCTGGGCAGCATATAATCACACTGCATTAAAAAAACAATAACTTTTACTATTTATTGAGTACACATTAAGTTTCTTCCTGTATAAGACAGTTGCATTACCTTAATAGTAACCCAGTAAAGAAGCTCTTACTGTTCTCATTTTGCACAGTGGAAAACTGAAGTTCAGAAAGGTGAAGCAACTTGCCTAAAGTCACGCAGCTAGTAAGTCATAGACTCAGGATTCAAATTCAAGTGGCCTGACTCTTGAGTCCTCCTGTTTAATTATGATACTCTGCACCATCTTTGGCTTTCTGCTCTAGCACGAGTGACAGTGCCCATGCACTCTTTCAAGCTGGGACCTTGCTGAGTCTTTGAGTGAGACGGAGAAGTCCTAAGAGATCTGTCATTTCCTGCACTTCTTGGCTACTGGCATGGGAATATCGTTCTCAGACTTGTGTTATTTACCCAAGAATTTGCAAGGCTGCACCTTGCTTAAGTAGCAAACACCTCTGCAAATATGGATGGGAAATTGGATTTGCTTATGCGGGAGTGGAGAAGCCTTCAAGTATTCTTGGAAAAGGGGTTGGTGCAAACATGCATGGGTGCCAAAGATGCTCAGAGTTGATTGGGTTTCACTTATCAACACAATGGGGGAGGAAGGAATTCTTTTTCAAAAAATTAGCTTTACTGAGGTATAATTGCATACAAAAATAACTACACATGTCTAATGTATACAATTTGATGAGTTCAGATTTATGTACATACCTATGATGCCATCACCACAATCAAGGTAATAAGAGTCCCATTCCTCTGATGGATGGGACTCTTTTTTGTTTTGTTTTGTTTTTTAGAGATAAGGTTTCACTCGTCACCCAGGCTGGAGTGCGGTGGTGCAATCACGGCTCATTGCAGCCCCTAACTCCTGAGCTCATGTGATTCCCCTGTTCCGCCGCTTAGCCTCCTGAGTAGCTGGGACCACAGGCATGCACCACCACATCTGGCTAATTTTTTAATCTTATTTTTTGTAGAGTTGGTGAGGGCGAGGGGTCTCACTGTTTACCAGGCTGATTTTGAACTCCTGAGCTTAAGCAATCCTCCTGCTTTGGCCTCCCAAGCTGTTGGGATTATAGGCATGAGCCACTGCTCTCGGCCAGGGAAGGGGACTTTTGAAGTCTCTCTGCACACTCGGCTTTGGTGCTTATAAACAGAAACTCTGCAATGTGAGGGGCAGAAATAGTTAAGTAATGTTCATTCCACACCCACAAAGATCTGGCAAAGGGCAGTCTACTCCAAACTGTAGACTTCTGATCACCTGTGATAGAACCACCTGGCGAGGCTTGTTAAAAATGCAGGGTATTGGTTATTTATTGCTGTGTAACACATTGCTCCAAATTGTAGTGGCTTAAGACAACAGCAACTAGTCTCCCAGTGAATCTTCAACTTGGGCAGAGTTCACCAGGACTGCCTTTGCTGGGTCAGCTCAACTGGGGACTGGAGGATTCTCTTCTGAAATGACTCACTCACAGGGCTGGCAGGTTGGTGTACTTGTTGGTTGGGAATACTGCCGGGGCTGAGGGCTGCGGGCCTTGGTTCTTCTCTATGTAAGGCTCTCCATAGGATGCTTGGGCTTCCTCACAGCATGGTGGCTGGGTTCCAAGAGAACAAGGTACAATTATGTCGCACTTTTCTAATATACATCTCTGCTGTACTATATTGGTTGAGGGAGTAAAAAAGGCCCACCAAGTTTCAAGGGTTCATAAATTCATCCTCTTGATGGAGAAGTGACAAGATTCAGGAAGAGCATGTGGGATGGGAAGTATTATTGTGGCCAGCTTTGGAAAATACAATCTGCCACATAGCAAATTCCCATGACCCCACTGCAGAGCTGCAGGATCAGAATTTATGGAGGCAGGGGCAAGGAATCTGCATTTCAATCTCTTCCATATAATTTCTGTTGACCACTAAATTTTGAGATTCCCTAAGTGAGGATTGACATGCAACCTCCATAAGACAGTGCTAACATAGCATGTAGGTGTAGCTGACTGGAAGCCAGAAAACAGGCTTTTGTCCTGGCTAGGCAGCTGGATTCCTGTGAGACTTTGGGAAAGTAACTTACTATTTCAGGGTTCATTCTCCTTAGCTGTAATAATTATACACAGCTCAGAGGGTCATTCTCAGGACTAAATACTACGAAACCCAGAATATGCTTAGCCTAGTACCTGTTGCAGAGTGAGTATTCAATGAATAGTATCATACTCAAATGACATTATTATGACTGCTAAAGTCTTTGTAAATTTAAAGTGCTCTTTTATTATGATTATCATAGCTACTGTTTGTTTACAGCTCTCTCAGTGCGAAGCCCATTATTACTTAGAATTTGCAGGTGTCACTAACCCCATTTCACAGAGAAGGAAACTGAGGTTCAAAAAGATTGAATGAGTTGCCCAAGGAATGGGAGGAACTAGGATTTGAACTGATTGTAATTTGGTTCCAAAACCCCTACCTCTACCATATCACTCTGTCCCTTGCTATGTGATAACAGAAGCCATTTTAAAAAATTAAATCTGTCTTATTGCCTCATCTTGAAAATGAGGTTTATAACACCTTCTGTGCCAGAAGGTTGGTGTTGGGTTTTATTGTCCTTCTAATATCTTGTCTTCTGAGACAGTGCTGAGATCCACCCCGGTGGTTAAACCCCTGGCTGCTGGCCTCCATTGGTGGTGGTGGGAATGCAGTTCTGGGAGCCAGAGAAGAGAGACGCTTCCTATCCCCTCCCCATTCAATGGAGCCCCATCCACCTGCCAAAAACCAATGTGACCATCTTGCAAGGAGGCAGTAGCTTCCTCACAGCCTGATAGCTGTGACATTATGAGGCTCAGTGGGTTGAACTCCAGAAGCTTAAGCTCAAATCCCAACTCTACCACTTAGTACCAGTTCAACCTTGGGTAAATACTTAGGGAGCACTTTACCACTCTGGGCTTCTGTGTCCTCCACCATAACAAGGGGATACCAACTCCAACCTTGTGGGTTTGCTCTGAGGATTAGATGAGCTCAAGTAGGACAGGCATCTAAGAAACGATTTGGTACACAGAAAGTTGGGTGTGTTTTGCTGTCATGGGGGGCCGTCAGCCCCTTGCAGACAGCTGGATCTCTTTCAACTTGTAGAGGTGGATCAAGTCAGGCAGAGTGTAACTCTGGGGGCTCAGCCCAAGGCCCTGCCATGGCTGTGGGGGCTCATTCTTCTTTGCTTCCCATTGCAGTTGTTGGTTGAACTGTGCCCTGACACCTGGGGGCACACCCAGACACACACGAGCACACCCACTCACTACTCTCTACCATCTCAGCTTTTTACTCATTCTTTAAGCAGGAAGGTAATATATGTGCATGCCAAAAACAAATCATGCCTCACAGTGAGAAGGAATCCACCGTCTTTTACCTGTCTCTCTCCACTTTCTCCCAGTCACCTGTGTTCCCTCGCTGGCGGCAGCCATGATTGCTAATTCCTTGGGTATCCTTCCAGAGATATTCTACGCATAGATAAGCATATAGGTCACTTTCTTAAGCATATATTGCTTTTTGTTTTTTCAAATAAAGTTTTTATTTTGGAATGTTTTTAGATTTATAGAAAAGTTGCAGGGATAGTACAGTGACTTTCTATAAACACTTTGCCTGGTTTTCCCTAACGTTAACATCTTACACAATGCAGGTAAATTTGTCAAAACTAAGAAACTAACACTGGTACACTGCTGTTGACAAAACTTCAGGCTTTATTGGGATTTACAGGGTTTTCCACTAATGTCCTTTTTCTGTTCCAAGACTCAATTCAGAATCCCACATTGCATTTAGCATATATGCTTTGTCATTGATGGAAATTACACAATTCCTTCACCCTTTTGCAAAGAATAAAACAGAAACAAAACCCCAAAAGACCACCACAACAAGTCCCACGAATACCTCACTCAACCAAAAGGGCTGTGAACGTAATAATTCCTACCATTTATTAAAAACTCAATTTACACAAGATGTTTTATCTAATTTCATTCTCACAACAACCCTGATTTTGCAGGCAAGGAAATTGAGGCCTACGAGGGTAGAATGACATGCCCACAGTCACCCAGCAAGAGAGATGGTGCAGAACTGAGGTCTCAGCCAGGTCTGTTGGCTCCCACATCTGGTCATTGAACTAGTCTTTCTTCTTCTCCCTACACCCTGAATCCTTGGGCAACTTTGCCTAATTAAGAGAAATGCTTTTATGCAATTTGGATCTGACCGCTGGACTTGGTGACAATTTATTTTGTGGCTTCTTACTACAAATGGAGTTCTTTTTTAGGAACAGTGACTCTCAGAGGGCAGAGCCAGGAATTTTAATTGGGTGAGAGGCAGCAGTGAGTAGCAGAGTGAGTACCAAGTGGCAAGTCAGAAAATACCTATTTCAATGCTAACCTGCTCTGTGACCTTGGGCATTCATATCAATGCTAATTAATCATAATAATCACCTTTACCTATTGATTTCTTATTATGTATCAGGTGCTATGCTAAGCAACTCGTGTGCATCACCTGATTTAATGTTCTCAGCAATTTTGTGGGAGAGGCACAAGGAATCCCTCATTTCTTTTCTTATTTATTTATTTATTTATTTATTTTTATTATTTTTTGTTATACTTTAAGTTCTGGGATACATGTGCAGAATGTGAAGGTTTGTTACATAGATATACGCGTTCCATGGTGGTTTGCTGCACCCATCAACCCATCATCTACATTAGGTATTTCTCCTAATGTTATCCCTCTTCTAGCCCCTTACCCCCCGACAGGCCCCAGCATTTGATGTCTCCCTCCCTGTGTCCGTGAGTCCCCCCATTTTATAGATGAGGAAACTGAGGCTGCACCATGCCCAAGGCCACACAGATAGGAAGAGGTCCATCACAGATTTGAACCTGGGCAGAGGGGCTGCAGAGCCTGTATTTTTGCTACTGCTATAATACCAATACAAATATGAATGTCCTACTGACATAGGGAATAGCTAATATTTATTTTCTACGTGGTGCACATGATTCCAATCACTGTGTGCAATATATCATCGAGTCCCCACAGTGACTCTATTAAGTCAATACTATTATTTCTATTTTTTTTCAAATGAAGAAACTGATTTCTTATTTGTTCAGTGAAGCAGTCATTTCCTTTCTGCTCCATGGTTGTTTTCTAAGAGCTGTCACTTTCAGAAAAAGGGTTGAGACAGGCAAGGACTCAGGTAATGTGGAGAAGGGGCTGACTTTTGACTAAGTCCCTCCGTCTCCCTCTCACAGAGAAGCCGTGGGAGCCATAGGAGCTTGGGGAGGCGGCCGGACTAGTGCCTCACCTGCGCCTTCTCTGGAGGCTGGAGGCACAGTCCGAGTTCCCTGGGGCTGGCCATGCCTGCTGTCCATCAGTCCAGGCTGGGCAGGCTGCCTCCTTGGCAGAGCAGGCTACAGCTCAAGGCTCCTGAGCACTGTGTGGCTCAGTGAACTGTGCGGGGAAGGGAGGCTGCCAATATGTCACTGGCCAGCACCCCCATGGGCACCATCTGGGACGCACTGAGCTGGAGAACTAGGCCTGACCAATGGCTGCCCCCTCTGCCCTGCAGACCACACCTTCCTGAACATGCACCAGGAGCACTTGGCCCAGGAAAGGTATCTGAGCATCAGGGGACAGCAACATCTCGGTGGAACCCTCAAGGGCCCTATAAGACAATAATAAGCATACTAATAACTGATATTTATTAAACCCATGCTATTACTGGGCACTATGCTAAATGTTTTATATGTATTGCCTCTTTCAATTTAGCCCTTAGAAACCCCTAAATGGCAAGTACTGTTACTATCCCCACATTATAGATGACGAAACTGGAGCACAGACAGGCTGAGAGATCTACCTAGTATCAAGCAGCCAGTAAGTTTCAGAGCCAAGGTTCAGATGCTATTTTTAAAAGCCTGGTTGTCCGTGATGAGTCCTGGATTCTAATCTTTGCTCCATCTCTAACTGATGAGTAATTCTGTTCAGTCTCTTGCTCTTTCTGGTCCTGTTTCTTCTTCTGTGCCACACAGAGATTGGACCACATTTTCAAAATGTGTTCATCAGAGTCCCAGAGTTCTGTGATGAGCTTTGGTGTGAGTGGGAGGGAGGCTAGGGGTGAGAAGTTAAGGAGCATCGGACTCCAATCTCTTACCCACCTTTTCACCCGAGATCAAAGCTTCACTTTTAGCTGCTTCCTGTACTGGGGCAATGTAGGGGAGTTCGCTTATGAAAGGGGCTCTGCTGATTGAGGCAAGCTTAAACACAGGAATTGCTAATCTGACATTCTTGCATCCTAAGAGTGAAGAAAAACGAGCCCGAAAGATGTTAAGTGACCTATCTAAAGAGGCCCGGCAGGCTGGGCACAGTGGCTCATGCCTGTAATTTCAATACTTTGGGAGGCTGAGGTGGGAGGATTGGCTAGAACCTAGGAGTTCAAGACAAGCCTGGGCAACAAAGCGAGACCTCATCTCTACTAAAAATATTTTTAAAAAGCAGTGGTTCATGCCTGTAATCCCAGCATTTTGGGAGGCTGAGGCGGGTGGATCGCTTGAGCCCATGAGCTTGAGACCAGCCTGGGCAACATGGCAGAACCCCATCTCTACAAAAAGTACAAAAAATATAAAAAATTAGCCTGGCGTGGTGACATGTGCCTGTAGTCGTAGCTATTTGGGAGGCCGAGGTGGGAGAATTGTTTGAGTCCAGCAGGTGGAGGATGAGGTGAGCCAAGATCAAGCCACTGTACTCCAGCCTGGGTGACAGAGTGAGACTGTCTCAAAAAAAAAAAAAAAAAAAAAAAGCTGGGCATGGTAGCATGCACCACCTGTAGTCTCAGCTACTTGGGAGGCTGAGGCAGGTGGATCAGTTGATCCCAGGAGTTCGAGACTGTAGTGAGCTGTGATGATGCCACTGTACTCCAGCCTGGGAGACAGTGCAAGACCCTGTCTCAAAAATAAATAAATAAACAAGTAAAATAAAATAAGAAAAATAAAGAGACCCAGCAGGTTAGTGACTTCGGCAGATAACATCAAATTGGTTCAGACTGCAGGTTCTGGAGCCAGACACAAATGGGTTCAAATCCTACCTCTGCTAATTACTAGTCGTTGGGCAGAGTCAGCTCGTGACTGGTAGACCAGGCCTGTTTTACTACCACTAAATGCTCTCAGTAAGATTGCTAATGTCCTGAGTCATTTTTCTGATGGAGAACTCAGTAAATGACTCATCTTTCCTTCCCCTCTTCACCCCAATCCCAATTCCCCTCCCAAAGAGCACAGGGCACCCAAATATCTTTTGACCTGCCCAGCTATGCTGCATATACCAGGGGCACCCAAGGACAATCACCTCTTGAAGAATAATTTGCTGTGACTTTCTACCTGGCAACCTCTACTGGAAGTCACATCCAGTGGAGGAGTCTGTGTTCATGAATAGGAAAAGGGCTGTGCTTGTGACCGGAATGTATGAAAAAGAGACCATGTGTGACCCTTAGTAGCTATGTGACCTTCGGTGCCTTGTGCCTTGGAGTCTTTTTTTTTTTTTTTTTTTTTTTTTTTTTGAGAAGGAGTTTCACTCTGTCGCCCAGGCTGGAGTGCAGTGGTGCGATCTCAATTCACTGCAATCTCCATCTCCCAGGTTCAAGCGATTCTCCTGCCTCAACCTCCTGAGTAGCTGGGACTACAGGCACATGCCACCATGCCTGGCTAATTTTTGTATTTTTAGTAGAGACGGGGTTTCACCATGTTGGCCAGGCTGGTCTTGAACTCCTGGCCTCAAGTGATTCGCCTGCCTCAGACTCCCAAAGTGCTGGGATTACAGGCGTCATCCACCGTGCCTGGCCATAGTCCTCATTAGGAAAAAAAAAAAAAAAAGCAGCATTGGGGGTTGGTTTGATCATCGCCAAGGGCCTCCACAGTTTCAAGATGGCATGCCTCAATGATCCCAGGTACCAGGAAACATGACCTCTCTCCTTAGCATCCAGACATTTCCCTGAGACGCTTTTCCCATAGGCACAGACTCTGACAGAGTATCTGTGGAGTGAATGATGAGACTTTTGGGCACTCCTGGCCTTGGGAAGTTGGCCTGACATGGTCTGACTTCAGGGCCATCAAAGCACTGTCTTGAGGGACTGCTCTGACCAGTCACAGCTGAGTGACAGAGATTAAGTTGGAGCCAGCTTCCCTGTGCAATGGTGAGTGAGCCTACAAGAAAGACATTTCCTACAGGAGACGCCTGGCTTCCTCTGGACATGGAAGCTGCCCTCCTATGGTGAGTGTGAGAAGGGGCACCCAATGTGCTTCCTCTTGGGGTGCAGCGGTGTGGCCGGCCCAGGTATGTGGAAGAGCTGCTCCTTGTTCTTTCACTTAGAGAAGTCTTTGTCGGTTCTGTTAGCCAGGGTTCTCTAGAGGGACAGAACTAATAGGATAGATGTATATATAAAGGGGAGTTTATTTTATTTTATTTTATTTTTTATTTTTTTTGAGACGGAGTTTTGCTCTTGTTGCCTAGGCTGGAGTGCAGTGGAACAATCTCAGCTCACTGCAACCTCCGCCTCCCAGGTTCAAGTGATTTTCCTGCCACAGCCTCCCAAGTAGCTGGGATTACAGGTGTACACCACCATGCCTGGCTAATTTTTTGTATTTAATAGAGCTGGGGTTTCACCATGTTGGTCAGGCTGGTCTTGAACTCCTGACCTCAGGTGATCCACCCGTCTCGGCCTCCCAAAGTGCTGGGATTACAGGCATGAGCCACCGTGCCCAGACTAAAGGGGAGTTTATTAAGGAATATTGACTCACATGATCACAAGGTGAGGTTTCACAATAGACTTCAAGCTGAGAAGCAAGGAAGCCAGTCCGAGTCCCAAAGCTGAAGAACTTGGAGTCCGATGTTCCAGGGCAGGAAGCATTCAGCCCCAGGGGAAAGATGGAGGCCAGAAAACTGAACCAGTCTAGTCTTTCCATATTCTGCCTGCTTTTATTCTGGCTGTGCTGGCAGCTGATTAGACGGTGCCTACCCAGATTGAGGGTGGGTCTGCCAGTCCACTGACTCGAATGTTAATCTCCTTTGGCAACGCCCTCACAGACACACCCAGGAACAATACTTTGCATCCTTCAATCCAATCAAGTTGATACTCAGTATTAACCATCACAGTTGATATAGCTGCTATGAAGAAGTTTTTCTTATCATCTGAAACTCTTTGAGCAGCAAAATTCTGCTTAGCATCCTAAGCTGCATTGAGAATTAAGCTTGGCAGCATAGATGGAGTAAGGCTGTCATGATCTTATACACGCTGTCACAGTCTCTGCATGTATGGTGAAGTTCCAGGTGCCTGACACACGATGTGCTCCACCCTGGTGACATGTCCACCCCAGTGCAACTCCAGCCTCCTGTGCCTATGTTTAGAGGCACAGTGTCCCTTCCAATGAAGGGCTGCCTTCTTTCTCTATTCAAAAGAGGCCGTATCAGTTTGATTTATCTTTCTATAAGTCTGATCATGAATAACTTAAAACCCTGAATACCAGTATTTTTCAAGAAAGACAAATCCAATTTCAGGGTCAGCATCAATTTATGAGAATAGCAAGTGCAGAGGCATCATCAGAATCCCCTATGGATCTAAAATAACTGTCCGTGCTTGGCCCCACACCTGGAGATCCTGATGGAGTAGATCTAGAGTGGGCATAGGCATCTGTGTTTTATTTTCTTTATTTATTTTTTTTGGGACAAAGTCTCACTCTGTCACTCAGGCTGGAGTGCAGCAGTGTGAACACTTGGGTTGTCATCATGTTGCCCCGGCTGGTTTCAAATTCCTGGGCTCTCATCATGTTGCCCAGGCTGGTTTCAAACTCCTGGGCTCAAGTGATCCTCCTGCCTTAGCCTCCCAAAGTTCTGGGAGTACAGGCGTGAGCCACTGCACCCAGCCACATCTGTATTTTAAAAAGTCCCATAGATAAAACCCACATATCCATTGCAGGAGACTGGATACACAAAGTGTGGCTTATCCATGCAATAGAGAGCTAGCTGCTCAACAATAAAAAATAAAAAAGCTGTTGATACATGCAACAACACAGAGGAATCTTCTAGACATCAGGGTAAGTGAAAAAAGCCAGTCACCAAAGAATACATAGTGTAAAATTCCACTTATATGAAGTTCAGAAAAGGGCAAAACTAATACATGGTATTAGAAATCAAAATTGTAGTTTACACTGAATGGGGGGAGTGGGATTGACAACAAAGGGACACAAGAAAACTTCCTGGTGGTGATGAAAATACTCTGTACCTCATTTTACGTGACGGTCTATGTGGATACACACAATCTCAAAAGTAACAAACTGGCTGGGTGCAGTGGCTCACACCTGTAATTTCAGCCTTTGGGAGGCCAAGGCCAGAGGATTTCGTAAAGACAAGAGTTTGAGACCAGCATGGACAACATAGCAACACCCAATGGCTACAAAAAATAAAAAATTTGCCAGATGTGGTGGCATGTGCTAACCACCACAAGTCCTAACTACTTGGGAAGCTGAGGCAGAAGGATCACTTGAGCCTAGGAGTTCAAGTTAATAGTGAGCTACGACCACACCACTGCACTCCAGCCAGGGCAAGAGTGAGACCCTGTCAAAAAAACAAAACAAAACAAAACAAACAAACAAAAAAATAAAAAAACACCAAAAAACCTTCACAAATGAAACCCTTGAGAGATATGCATTTTATTGTCTATAATTTATAACTCATTTAAATAAAATGGCCTAACTTCCCCTTTAGACCCCAAGCCAGAGTCTTGCATGGGTGCCAAGGAGTGGCCTAATCAGTTCAGCCCAGCCATAGACTCAAGAAAGGAAACATTTTCCTGTTCCCTGCCTTATATTATACAATCCCCCATTTTAATTTACTTTCCAGCATTTCCCTCACGCTTTCTCTGTCTTTTGGATTAAAAAAAAAACAAAAACAAAAACCCAGGAAACCCAGCATAGAACAACCAGCTCAATAATGAATCCATTTGTCTCCACACACTGTGCCCCTCTCCTGTCTCCATTTCAGCAGCCACATCCACATTCTTGGAAGAAGTTCCCCTGCTTCCAGGCTACTTCAAGGTGCATGATGTTGATTGAGCATCTACTATGTGCCAGACCTTGTTGACCCCTTTATTAAGGCTACTTCCTTTTCTTTTCAAAATAATCCTGAGAAGTAGATGTTTTTACTGCCCCCCATTTCCAGATTAGTGATCAATAAAGGGAAGTAATATAATGTCCAAAAGTGATATTTTAGTTTGATCCAGGTGCCATAGCAAAACATCATCAACAGCAGAAGTTTATTTCTCTCACTTCTTGAGGCTGGGAGGTCCAAGATGAAGCAGCAGCAGACTCAGTATTTGGGGAGGGCCTAGTTCCTGTTCATAGGCCGATGCCTTCTTGATTAAGTCTCACTTGGTGGAAGGACCTAGCTGACTCTCTGGCATCTCTTTTATAAGACCACAAATCCCATTTTACTCTCATGAAGCCATGAAGTCACCTCCTAAAGTCCCCACCTCCTAATACCATCACCTTGGGAGTTAGGATTTTATCCTATGAATTTGGGGGTGGGAACACACACATTTAGACCGCAGCAGGTGACATTAGGTTAAGTGGAGGAGGCAGGGTTGGAACAGTCATTGCAAAACCTCTTAGAATTTAAGACCCCTTTCCTTCCAAGGCCTGAAAGGCAGACAGGCGTTGGAGATACAGGTGAATATAAAAGGGGCAGAGCTCCTCCCTTGACCATGTATTTCATGCCCAGTCGCTAGAATTCAAGTCAACCAAGCCCTCACACACCCGGGCCGTCCCATGTTCTCTGGCTCACCTCTTCTGGTAGCTTAGAAGTGGCAGCCTCAGGGAGGCTTCTGTTTGGTAGAACTTAGAAGGAAGCATGTGGGAAATGCAGATGTCTTTGCTTTTAGGATTCTGGCTCCCTGAGATCAGAGGAGTGGGTTCCCGTACGGGGGTGGCGAGGCACAGGGAGAAGCATTGGAGCAGACTCTGTGTGTGTGTGTGTGTGTGTGTGTGTGTGTGTGTGTGTGTCGGCGCGCCTGTGCGTGGAGGGGGATAACTGTACCCAGCGCGAGGCACTGGGGGAGGAGGAAGCGGTAGCAGAGATCTGAATAATTGATTCTTCAGCCGCACCAGACGCCCGGGAGCGGGCGGAGAGCGTGGTTCCAACACCACGGACAGCAGCGCGCGCCGCCGCAGGCGCCCCCGTCGCCAGCCAGCCACCTATCCTGGCCTTATTTGCCGCCGTGCGCTCTCGGAACGGGTGGCCGCGCTCCGCGTCGCCGCCGAGGGACTGCGGGGTCTGTCTCGACCCACCTAGGAGAGAGGCTGCGGGCAGGAGACGCTTTCGCCCGCCGGAGCTCGAAGCCTCTTGGGCTTGAGCGGGGGCTACTGCGTCTCGCCGGCTGAGAACAAGTCCCTAAGTTGGTGTGGAGGGCGCCGCTACCTTCCTTCTCCTCTTCCTCGGAGGCGACCGCAGCAGAAAGACGCCCCGGGAACCCGGCTTTGCCAGTGCTGTGAACCAGGGTGTCCAGGCGCTCACCGGACTCCCGCTGGGAAGTGGGGAGCCGAACGCCCGGCGCGGAGCTGGCCCAGCAGCGAAGGGCCCGGAGGGAGCTGCCTTTCCCCGCCCGCGCCTCTCTCGGCCGGGGACCGCGGGGATCCCCGGCCACACGCGAGCGCGCTCCCACACTCACACACACACTCGCCCTCAAACACACCAGCCCGGAGCTGGGTTGCGGAGAGGGTGCTCCGGCGCGCTCAGAGGACCGGGCAGTTGCCGTCCGGAGTGGGGCAGGAAGCGGAGCTAGGGATCTTGGAGGGGAGCTCCTAGGGCTTGGCCGGATCATGGGACCGGGTGAGCGCTGAGAATCGCGGCCGCAGCCATCAGCCCTGGAGATGACCAGGAGCGGCCACTGCTGAGAACTATGTGGAGAGAGGCTGCGGTGAGTGCTAGCGCGGGACGCCGGGCCTGGGAGGCCCCCTTGGGAAGGGGGGAGGTGGGAGGCCTGAAGAGGGAGGAAGCGGCAGGATCACAAGAGGGTCGCTGCGTGGGAAAGATCCACCTCCCTCGGGGAACCGGGACCGCGGGAGCCCGCGTCCTTCCCTCCCCCTCTCCTACTGCTGGCTCGTCACAAACTCAGCCAGCGCCCCCCCACCCTCGTTACCTCCTCTTTCTCTCCCTACCTCCCTCGCTCAGCAGCTCCCGGTCGCACAACTCCCAGCAGCCGGCGCTGGGGAGGTGGTAGGGGGTGCGGGTGGAGGTGCCCAGTTAGCTTCTCGTGGGTGGCCAACCTGGGGCTCCCATTCTCCTGTGCACCCTGGAGTGGAGCTCCCGCTATCAGCCACAGGGGCTGAGGATCCGCACTGGGGGCGTCGTGGGCATCGGGCTTCAGCTTCCCCCCTCTTGTCTAGCCCCCCTGGGCGCATAGGGGGGCTTGTGAGCACTGCAGACTGCAGCCTTCCCCTCAACCCTCCCTCCCCTCGTTGGTGGGCTGACCCTGCCTCTCCTTCTCTCCTCCGCCCCGTTAGAGCCCTGCTGCAGAGCCTCCGGCTGGGATAGCCGCCCCCCGTGGGGGCGATGCGGACAGCGCGGGACAGCCAGGGGAGCGCGCTGGGGCCGCAGCATGCGGGAACCCGCTAAACCCGGTGGCTGCTGAGGCGGCCGAGATGCTCGTGCGCGCAGCGCGCCCCACTGCATCCTCGACCTTCTCGGGCTACAGGTACGTCCCAGAGGGAGATCAGGGCTCCTTGGGCCGGGGAGGAGGGAGACTCGACCGGAGGGAGAGCGGGAGAGGGATCAGGCTAGAGAGGGAGAGGGAAAGCGGGAGGGAGCCCAGCGGCGAAGTGCAGGAGGGGCACCAGGGGGCGCTGCGGCTCCGCGCTCCGCGGCGCTTACCCAGGAACGTCGAGGCCTCTTGGAGTTCGCCTCAACTTCCCCCGGCTCCAGCAGCGTCCGTCCCGAGAGGCGCGCGTCAGGGCACGCGTGCACGACCGTGCTGGTATTTGCAGGTACGCAGGGCTGTGCACCTGCCGCAGTTCATGCGTGTGCACCACCTGAGGACATGTGAGGACTCCGGCTGGCCGTGGGCACCGCTACAGCAGTCTGAGGAAGTGCGCAGAAAAGCGCGCGTGCCTATGAGCGTGTGCGGCCCACTGCCCACGTGCACCTAGGACTTGGCAACAGCGCCCGCAGTAGAAAGGCTAGGGAGGGGCTGTACAGTCCACGTCCGTCTGGGAGCTTCTTGGGAGCCTACCTTTCCCCCTACGCACGTTCTTTGCCAGCTCCTACGCGCTGGCCCGCGGGGGGACGCGCCTACTCTCCAGAATTCAGCATTGCACACGGCGCGCGTGAGAGAGGGTGTGTGTGTGTGAACATGTGTGTGTGCGTGTGTGTGTGCACGTGTGTGTGCACGCGCGCGTGTAGGGGTGAAGGACTCTCCACGGCCCCTTGGCTCGAGGTGGGGCGAGCCCCAAGTTCCCCAGGCACAGCGGAGCCTGGGCCCACCAGGCAGCGTCCTCACTCCCAAGCACTTGGGGTGTACTCTGACTGAGAGGAGCCGGGTCTGTAGTTGGGGCTGGGCGTAGAGCAAAGTGTGTGGTGCACACGACGGGCTCGTAGGGGGCGGGGTCAGCCAACTAGCTGAGCTCTCAAGCTGGGACGCGGGGTCTGGGTGCCGCCTCCGCACGCCCTGCGGGGTCTGTAGTTCGCTCCGCGCCAGCAGGGGGCGGGGTTGATAACTTGGTCCTCTCTATCCCAGGTGGGAGGGGTTGGATGGAGGGTTTATTCTGTGCACCTAGGAGCTTGGTGGGGTACAGAACACGCGCGGCGCTTAGGGTCTGTGGCCCGCGGCGAACTTGGGGAATGCGGTGGGGGATATGGACAGAGATGGGGATGGGGAAGTGCCTGGAGACAGGGGATGAGGAAGCTGGATGCGAGAAGGGGCTGGGGGATGGAGAATTAGCTCGAATTGGAGTTGTGGATAGAGTTAGAGATGGATCGAGGGATGTGGATGGCGTCGGGGACTCGGAATGGAGTCCGTGATCCCAGCAGCCTATCCTGCTGCTGAGTTCCATGCCTGGCTCCTAGAGCAGGAAGCCAAGTTGGTAATCCCTTTCTTCTGGTCGCCTTGCTCACCGCGGCCCTGCCTCTCACTCTTCACCTTGCAGGGACCGTCAGTGGCGACTATGGGCAGAGTGGGCTATTGGACCCTGCTGGTGCTGCCGGCCCTTCTGGTCTGGCGCGGTCCGGCGCCGAGCGCGGCGGCGGAGAAGGGTCCCCCCGCGCTAAATATTGCGGTGATGCTGGGTCACAGCCACGACGTGACAGAGCGCGAACTTCGAACACTGTGGGGCCCCGAGCAGGCGGCGGGGCTGCCCCTGGACGTGAACGTGGTAGCTCTGCTGATGAACCGCACCGACCCCAAGAGCCTCATCACGCACGTGTGCGACCTCATGTCCGGGGCACGCATCCACGGCCTCGTGTTTGGGGACGACACGGACCAGGAGGCCGTAGCCCAGATGCTGGATTTTATCTCCTCCCACACCTTCGTCCCCATCTTGGGCATTCATGGGGGCGCATCTATGATCATGGCTGACAAGGTAAGGCCGGAAACTGATGCCCTGCCAGGACCTGGGAAGCCACCAGCTGCATGGCAGCTGCTGCAGGTCTTCGGACGCCCCTAGAATCTGTCTTGATGTGAAGTGGGGGTGGGGGTGGGAGGGTCGTGGCCACTGGCCCTGGTGAGAACCAGGTCTTGCCTCTCCAACCCAGAAATGAATGGAAATGCCTTTTGCCTTGTTTCTGAAAATGGTGTACACAGGAGCACTTTGGTGTGTGTGTGCCAGGAAGCGCTCAGAAAACTGAGAAGTAGGCTGTGGGGTGGTGGTGGTGGCGGTGGTGGCATGTTTGGAGATTTACGAGTACCATGGGGCACAGAGGTGGGCCCAGGAGCACTGGAGACATATGCTTCCTATTTTCACAATGCCAGTTTTACCTGATTGTTTTGTGGGAAAATGTCCATTTTTTCCTCTTATGGTAAGTGACTAAAACTATTTCTAAAAATTATTAAATGTGGGTAGGTTCTGGAAGAAAATGCAAAGTTTTTAGGTAAAGCACAAAAGGGCAGAAAAAATGTCATGCTTCCTCTGACTCTGCAGTTAGAGGAACAGAGGTGGGGAGTTTGAGAAGCCCTGGGCCAGAGGAGCGGAGGAGAGACCCGTTCCTCAAGGGGAGTGGGTGGGAGTGGAAAGAATTAACTCCAAACCCAGAGCATGGAGGGCCTGGCATTTTCCTTACGTGTTCTTTGTCTGGGGCTCCAAGGCCCTCAGATGAAGGAGTTGGCTCCTGAACAAAGATGGGTCTTGGTACTAAAGTTGGAGAGTCTCAAAATGCAAGAAAGAGTGTACAAAAATCAGTTGGCTCTGAATGAGAGGGAGGGTCTTTTTTGTGGACAGCCTGGGAGCTTTGGTTTGGAGAAGAAGGGAGAGAGATTTGAAGATTTGAAGGCGATGTTATGACAGCCTGGTTTGGGAATTACACAGAAGTGGAGGGAAGGAAGAAGGCTGGAATGAAGAAGTAAAGTGAGGAATGAGAAAAAAGGGAAAGATTGGAGTTGTGTGTGTACTGTCCTCTAAGTCCTGAGAAAAGATTGGGAGTTCAGAAGGCGAGGAAAGAGTAAGTGTACTTGTGTGCCATAGCCTCTAGCCCTGAGACCTTCTTGGAGAGTGTTCCTTAGATGGCAGGAGATATTCTAGTGGAGTGAGCAGACATTCACTGTAGCGCTTTCCTTTTGATGCTCTCAAAGCACTTTTATATTCATCACATCAGCTTTTGCTTCTGTTTCAGCGATTCCTACCAGCTCCTTTGGTAACCGTATTAATTCTTTCAGGTCTCCTGGGCTGCAGCACATTCAGCTGTAGCACACAATTGATGCAGTGTCTTATTAAACATTCATTTTAAATGATTTGCAGGCTAGCAGAATTCCTGTGTGTAGCTGAGCATTTTCCCAGTCACTTCTCAGTTTTGGGGGGCTCCTGTCTGGGAAGAAGAGAGTAGGGACTAGCCATGCTCTGCCACCACTGACAATTTCAGAACTGGAGAGCATCTTAGGGTTTCTTGGAGCATGCTGTAACTTTCAGATGAAGTGACTGAGCCATAGGGGAGTTAAGGGAATTTGCCAAGACCACATAGTGGCTGATGTAGCTAGGTAGCTGAATTTCTGATCCCAAGGTGTGATCTTCCATTCCACTAAATCAAGCCCATACTTTAATGATGTCATCCATCTTCAGGAGGGACAAGGGATCAGTTTCATTTTGTGGGAGGGGCTGAGCATGGAGAGCTATGATGAATCACAGCCTAGAGGGCTTTTGTATGGGAGGGGCCAATCTTCTAAAGAAGGCATTGAGGGAGAAGAACAGCCAGTTTCCAGCCACGCCTTGGAGTATGATTTTGGGATTTAAATATTACCACGGATCCCTTCTTCCTTCTTGAGTTTTTCTAAAGGAGTGATAGACTGGAAACAGTAACCATACTGAAAGTGAAATTTCTGGATCCATGAGGGTTTGGCACAACCCAATGGAGAAATCTGGGAAAAGCTGAATTGGAAAAGGTGGTGTGAGACTGGGAGGTTCCGGGTAGGCTTTGGCTCTTACTTCTAAGTCTCAGTCGATAGGTGTGTGGCTCAGGCTGTCATGTGACTCATTCATCCGAACGTAGGCAGAGAGAAGCCGGAAGAGTGTAGGGTCATGGAAGGGAACCCCCTTGATAGGCAGTGACCCTGCCTGCTAGTGAATCTTGACCCAGTGAATGGCAGGTTGTGACCAACTAGACCAGCAACTGTTCTTCCCTTGAAGGGGGCATTAGAAAGAAAGTTTTGAGAAGTCCAGGGAGTATGGGTGGAAACATTCTTCTCTCCTTTGGGATGAAACTGCGTTTTGGGGATGTGGACCAAAATGTGACCTCACTTAAGAGTAAGAAGAGAAAAGGAATCAGGAAAGGGCAAGAGGAAGATGAGAAAAGACATTTCCAGAGAAATAAAGAATAGAGACTTAAGAGGGGTTGGAGAGAAGAAGAATGAAAGGGTCCATTGGTTCAAAAATGGAGGAGGGGATTCGATACTCCTGATTGTTGTTGGGACTTTCAGAGTTGGTCTTGGAGACATTGGCCACTCTCTGTGATTCTGGTGGAACTGTAGGGAGATGAGGCAAGGTGGCAGGGAAGCAAAGAGCTCAGTGGAGGTAACATCGGGGTATATGTCTGGTCCCCATGTGGAACGGTGATATTGAGAGGAGTTGGGTGATACCAAGAGAAGTTGGTTTAAAAGGTCGTATTTTGAGAAACTGGGGATGTATTTAGAAAGGAGATTGTCTGAGAGGTGAACAGCCCTTCCTTCCATTAGTAACATATATAGATGGCTTGTGCTTCTGCCACATGTTTCATTTAGAGCTGAACATTGAGTTTATTTGTCTCCAAAGAAACAGTCACGGTGCATTGTTTAAAACTCTGCCTTGCCTCGCTTGCAAATGGTATTATGACTACAGCCTCAACCTTCCTAGATTGACAAGGCCTCTGCCTCCTGTTAAAATGATGTTGATTTGGTAAAGTCATCCAGAACACACGTGTGTTATATTTACTTCTACATTGGCAACATGATAGTGCCCCTGCTGGTAAGAATAGTAGTCAATTTGGTTATCAGTTAAAATGAACACACACACACACATTTTTTTAACTTTTTTTATTTTTATTTTTATTTTTACTTTAAGTTCTAGGGTATATGTGCACAACGTGCAGGTTTGTTACATATGTATACATGTGCCATGTTGGTGTGCTGCACCCATTAACTCGTCATTTACATTAGGTATATCTCCTAGTGCTATCCATCCCCCCTCCCCCCACCCCATGACAGGCCCCAGTGTGTGATGTTCCCCTTCCTGTGTCCAAGTGTTCTCATTGTTCAATTCCCACCTATGAGTGAGAACATGCGGTGTTTGGTTTTTTGTCCTTGCGTTAGTTTGCTGAGAATGATGGTTTCCAGCTTCATCCGTGTGCCTACAAAGGACATGAACTCATCCTTTTTTATGGCTGCATAGTATTCCATGGTGTGTATGTGCCACATTTTCCTTCTGTCTGTCTACTTGACCATTGAAGAAAATAACAAAGCCTTATAACAATTGAAATGTCATGCAAATGTGGTGGATTTTTGTGGTGTTAATTTAATTTACAATGGAGGTGCTAATGTTTTGCTCGCATCATTGGGTAGTCTTGCAATATAACTAAATTAGAGGTGAAAATAAGGCTGAGCGAGGTGGTTCACACCTGTAATCCTAGCACTTTGGGAGGCCAAGGCGGGTGGATCACCTGAGGTCAGGAGTTCAAGACCAGCCTGGCCAACATGCTTAAACCCCATCTCTACAAAAATACAAAAATCAGCTGGATGTGGTGGCAGGCCCCTGTAATCCCAGCTACTCAGGAGGCTGAGGCAGGGAGAATTGCATGAACCTGGGAGGTGGAGGTTGCAGCAAGCCAACATCATGCCACTGCGCTCTAGCCTGGGTGACAGAGTGAGACTTTGTCTCAAAAAAAAAAAAAAAAAAAGAAGGAAAATTAAAATCAATAAATAAGAGGTGAAAATAATGCTCGATGTAGATGAAGTTCTAATCTTATCTTGGCTTGGCCATTTTGACCCTGTCTAAGTGAAATACACTCCAGCTGCAGTAATAGTCCCTGGTAAGCCCAGAATATGGGCTAGATCTTTACACTTCTGCTCAGTGTCCTTAACCCTCTCACCCCCCATCACTTCTCCCCATATTCCTAATTGCTCCATGCAGGAAAAGACGAGGCTCAGATTTTAGCTATATCCATCCATGCCAGTTATCACTTGGGTTTCGTTTTCTATGTTATTCCTATGCAAGCCTCATGTCTTCTGCCAGAGTGTAAGTCGTTTGAGGGCAGATTTTTAAAAAAACTGTTTATCTGTATATGTGTATTTGACATGACAAATGCTTCTCTCCTCCGCAGACATATAAAAATAATGCCTTTTCATTGTAGAGCACTTAGGAAATACATTGAAATTTAAAGAAGATAAAAATCTCTCTCCAAATCCTATCACCATGGGTAAACATTACTGACACTTTGGTGTATTTCCTTTTATCTATTTAGTTGCATGCTCAGGATTTTATAGTATATATGGTTTTTCTTATTGTGCTTTGCCCTCTGTGGACTTTCTTAGAGGATTCAAGATTTTCTTTAATTCTGGAGAAAATCTCAGCCGCTATCTGTTGGATTCTTTCTTTCCATCATTCTTTCTATTCTCTCCTTCTGAATATACATGCATATGTATAGTCATGCGTTGCTTCATGGTGGGACACGTTCTGAGAAATGGATCGTTAGGTGATTTAATCGTGTGAACATCACAGAGTGCACTTACACAAACCTAGGTGGTATAGTCTGTTACACACCTAGGCTATGAGCTATAGGCTCTTGCTCCTAGGCTACAAGCCTCTACAGCATACTCTACTGTATGAATGCTATACTAAATATTGTAAGCAACTGTAATACATTGGTGAGTATTTGTGTATCTAAACATATCTAAGCACAGAAAAGGTACAGCAAAAACTTAGAATATAATCTTATGGGACCAGCATTGTGTACTTGTGGTCCATTGTTGACCTAAACCTCCTTATGCAGCACATGACTGTACTATATATATATGTGTAATTTCTCAATCAATTCTCCATGTATCTTGTTTTTTTTTTTTTCCAGTTCTCTGTTTGTGCTGTGTTTGGGAAGGTTTCTTCAATTCTATACTCCAGTTAACTACATCATTTCATTTGTGTCTGGTCTATTATTTTATTTTAGAAAGAAACAGCATGGATGGTCTATTATTTTGACTATCTGTTGAGTTATAGATTTCAACAAGGATATACTTTATTTCCAAGATAATAATTGGTTCCTCTTTACACCTCCCTGTTTTTTTGTGTTATAAATAATGAAAAACTCTTCTCACTTTGTGCATGTAACTCCCTCCCCTGTCCCTTCAAAGATTAAAAAATATGTATTATAAAGTTCTTCTCTGATTGCTCTAGCATCTTTCCTTCTTCAGTTGTGAAGTCCTTCATTTGTAGAATCAGTTAGTTGGATGTTCACATATGTTCTTTAATTTTTGTTTGTGAACTTATTTTCAAGGCAACTTTATGATTTCTTATGCCCTGTATCTGTGAGGGTGTGTATTTTAAGCCAGAGCCCATGTCAGCAGCTCAGGTTTGTACTCTCTTCCCATTCTACGTGGCCTGTGGTACAGGCTTAGGAGTCCATCTCATGTAGGTGACTTCATTTTGGCTCCTTGACACAGATAGGGTCCTGCTTTTTGGCTGTGACTAATGGTGGATGGTGCAGATGTTCCAGCACCATCCACAGCTAGCAGCCTGATTCTAGGTCCAGTTCTTCCCCTTTTTCCCTGGATGGACATTGACACCTCTGTTCTCATGGCTCATATTGGACCTATCCTCCATGGATTATGTGGCTTTGATTCCTACTTGAAACCCTAGAGTCCCGTCTTTCAGTTCATTTATTTTTAGGGATTACTCTCTATTTTTGATCTGTGATTCTCTTTTCTTATTTGCAAGCAATACTATGTAAATTTAAAAATAACTAAAGGTTTCTTTAAAAATTCTATGTCTTAGGAGCAGAAAAGGAAGGTTACTGAGTGTGTTCACTCGGATTTTGACCCCGTTTTATTTCACAACCTGCTTTTATATATTTTTTTAAACTTGATTATGTATTCTTGGAATTTTCCTTTATCACTACATAGACTTCTTAAACTTGATTTTCAATGGCTGCAGAGTGTTCAGTTCATACCACAATTATTTTAACAATTTCTCTCTTTTTCCACCATTAATAATATTCATTTGTGCTCCATAGGGGCATCCTTTTCAGTACCTCACACTTGTCCTGCCCTTTGCGTTTGTTACACGGTAAATGTTTGTTGATTGAATGAATCTAGTCATTGGCTCCGATGCCAGCTTGTTGGAGCTTCCGGATGAACATATCACAATATGGTTCAGGGCATTCGTGCAGTGTTTGTTCCCTCAATGCTGACTGATTTCATAGGTGTTTGCCAATTTTTCTCTTCTCTCTAGTGGGCAGATAATTACCAGCCATCCTGAGGATTAGCATAAATTGGGGGGTTACATACGAAAGGCCTGTAGAGAACTGCTGAGTAACAGCTCATCAGCAGGAGGTGGAAGTTGGTGCTCTTGTAACCTGGCAGCTCCAGAGTTTGGATGCGAGTGATGGGCCTTCCCATTAAACACTGAGAGCTCTCGAAAAGGGCAGACGCACAGATCGGAATGTTGGTGGAGCCCACTCAGCTCCTGCTAAAGAGGCATCAGGTAGTTCCTGGGAGAGTGGGGAGACCTATCTTTAGTCTTTTCCATGAGGCATGTCAGATGCGATCATCAACACCTCCTCACTTAAGTCATCAGAGACCAACAGGCGTCCTCCCGGTAGCGTGACTCACACTCCAAGTAGCCCTCAGGGGTTGCTGACAATCGTTTGGGCCCTGAAGAGCTGTGGTCTGGTGGGTTTGCAGCGGTGTTTATCTTCTTTCTCATAGCCTCAGATGGAAAATGCTACTGTAGGCAGAGTGAGTGGGGAAAGAGAGAGAAAGAGGGCTGTGCAGAAGAGAAACAGGAACTGAATCTCTGGTTTGTAATAGAGAGTTGGTAGCCTCTGATAAGTCATCACATAAATGAGACATTATAAGGTTATTAATTGGTGTCTTTTGTTTGTCCTGCATCCCCCATCCTTGATCTTTCAACTTCTAATTCTTTGCCAACATTTTAAAGTTGGAAGACATCCCATTGAAAAGAAAATCCAAACTTCATGCTGCTTTGAAACAGTCAGAAGGCCTGGCCATACTGGCCCCGATTCCCCCTATGGCAACAGTTGGCTGGAGATGAATCTCATCCCCCAACCCCACCTGCCACGATCCCTGCCCTCCCACTGCCATCCTGGGACAGGACAGGTGCCCCTCCTTTCTTAAATTCCCCAAAGTCACTTCACTTCACTTCACTTCACTCATTTATGTTACATACACAGTATCCTGAAGGCACTTGGCTGTGAGGCCTATGATGTAGGTGAGGGAAGTAGCTCTTCCAGGGGCTGCTCCTGGATAAGACGGCAGATCTATGGCATGTATGCAACCATGGATGCCATGTTCACTGCTGCCATCATTAATCTCCTATAACACCTGGCCCTGTTGAGCCCACTGGCCTTAAGGCCTTCTCAACACAGTACTCCAGGCAGCCATGATGAATCAACTTGAGTTGGAAGATCCAAGAAAACCTTGGACAAAGAGTCTGAAGAATGAAATTCAATTTTCAAAAATACCTGTGTGACCTTAGAAAAGGCCCTTCACCTGTCTGAACCTCTGGTTCTCCTGCAAAATGAGGATTTGGGACAAAATTATCACTAAGATCTCTTCCAGCTCTGAAAATTTTGTGCCTCATCAAGGAAAGACTGGCAACAAACATACCAAAATATGAATAGCAGTTATCTTTGGGGTGGTAGACTCATGGCTGCTTTAATCTTTTAAAGAATGTCATTATCAAGTGGTTAATATATTGTACTTTGAGTTAGATTGCCTGAATTTAAATTCAGGGATTCCACCTCTTACTGGCTGGGTGATCATGGGGAAGTTCTTAATATCTTGAGCCTCAATGTCTTCATCTCTAAAATGGGAACAATAATAGCATCCACTTTGTAGAGTTGTGAGATTTAAATGACATCATGGATATTAGTCCATGTCTCAGTGCCTACCTTATAATAAATGCTTATTACAGGAATGCTATTGTTATTGTGTCTGCATTTTTTAGTTTTTATTTTTCTCCAGTGTACATGTACTTTTTAATAACCAGAAAGAGTGATTAAGGATGATGTGGTTACATGAGGGTATGCTCTGAAAGAAACTGGGAGTGAATCCCACAGAACTGTCAGAAGTGGAGGGTCTAACATGAAATGATTTGTATTTTCTTAACTGAGACAATCAGAAGCTTCCTTTGCCTTTGTAGGACTTGCTGAGAGCTTTATCCTGGCAAACGGAAGCTAAATGTGGCCAGCATGAAAGTGATCGCAGGAGAAGACTATCTCATTGACCTTTGCACTAAATGACTCCACCAACTGGACCATATGTTTGCACGAGGCTTAGGGATTTAGAGTGTGGACATATATAGTTTCTCATTTTATCTCTGCCAAGGATTAATAACTCAGTGATAGCCTGGGAAACCTGGCAGCTCCAACGGTATTTGTTTAAAGAATCTCTATTTTCAGATGAGGAAATAAAGGATCTGGGAGTTGCAGTAATTTGTGCATTGTTCAAAGCTGTAACTAGAACCTAGGGCTTTGGGTTCTTATTCTTTTGCTCTTATTTTATTACCCTTTCAAGTTAATGACTACGAATACATTTGATTTAGGGAAGGGGCTCAGATGCAAGACAAATAACAGATTTTGATGTTCATATTTTGGTTGTCTTGACTAAAAGGATTAAGATGTTGGATGATGGAATTAAAATTCAAAACTTCAGATTGAAGTGATGGAGTCACTCTAAAGACTGCACTGGAGGTTCCCCCCATACCGCACTCAGCTTTAATGAGGTTAACTGACAAAGAAAAATTGTATATATTAAAGGTGTACAACACAATTTTTTTTTTTTTTTTTTTAAAGAAAACAGTGTTTCACTCTGTTGCCCAGGCTGGAGTGCAGTGGCATGATCATAGTTCACTGCAGCCTCAACCTCCTGGGCTTAGGTGATCCTCTCATCTCAGCCTCCCAAGTAGCTAGGAACACAGGCGTGTGCCATGATATCCGGCTAATTTTTAAATTTTTGGTAGAGACGGGGGTCTCACCATGTTGCCCAGGCTGGTCTTGAACTCCTGGACTCAAGCAATCCTCTTCCCTTGGCCTCCCAAAGTGCTGGTATTACAGGCATAAGCCACCGTCCCCAGCCCCAAATGATATTCTGATATACAAGTAAATGTGAGATGATTGTCACCATCAAACTAATTAACATATCCATTACCTCACATGGTTACATTTATTGTGTGATGAGATTACTTAAGATGTGGTATCTTAGCAAATTGCCTGTATACAATATATTTTTGTATTGTCACCATGCTATCACCAGTCACCATGCTATACATTAGGTCTCTAGAACCTATTTACCTTACAAGTGGAAGTTGGTGCCTTTTGACCAACCTCTCTCAATAGTTTGAAGAAGAATTTTCACTATTGCAGAAAGGGGGATGTGAGACTTTGCAACTCACTTAGTCATAATGTGGCTGCCTCTGTTCCAACTATCACATCCAACTCACTTGGGAATGGTTTTTGCAAGGGTCATGAACCGGTGTACTGCACGCTGAATCTGGCTCATAGATGCATTTTGTTTCACCAGTACAGCATTTTTAAATGCTTGAATTTTAATGTCTTTAGACAGCATGCATTTTCAAATTCACTACAGCTGTCCCCACTCTGTTATCCCATATCTAGGGTGATTCATACATTTATGTTAATGATATGGTTTCTGTGAGTATTTGAGATCATGGTGCTCAAATACAGACTTTTTATTTGTTTGTTTGTTTATTTTGTATTGACCAGAAGCTCAGCAGATCCTAAGTGGGGATATGTGGAGGCCACATATCTAGAAATATATGTGGAGGCCACATACGTTGTGGCCTTATAAAAAGTGGAGGCCACATTTATAGAAATATAATGTTTAAATCAAGGGAGGTGATAGCTCCATTATACCTCTTCTGTTGTTTGGAGTGCTTTCAGGTGCAAGTAACAGAGTCTTTGACCAACAGTGTCTTAAACCATTAAAGACATTCAGTTTTTTGCTTAGTAAGGAGCCTCAGATCTAGCTTAGTGACTTAATGTCACATTGAGGACTCAGATCCTTCCCATTCTTCTACTTTGCCTTCCTCAGCTGCTGGTTTATCTGAGTCACAATATGGCTGCTTCTGTTCCAGCCATCACACCTTCACCTCCTAGCATTCAAAACTGGAAAAAAAGGGAGAGAAAAATAAGCCTTCTTCTAGGGCCTCTATCCTTTCATTGGAGTAGACTTCCTCTTACATGTCAGTGGCCAGAACTGGGTCACATTCCCACTGCTCAAACAACAATGATAGAGATCCAGGATTCCTCTCTGAGAATGGGTAATTGCCACTGAGCAAAATTGCTTCTGTTAGCAAGGGTGTGGGGTGATGCTTCAGTGGTACAACTGGTGATGTCTCCAGCAACACTAACACCATTATATGTAGCATTGCACTTAGTTCCGAGGAGTGATATCTAAAGATGGACGTTGAAAAATTGCAATGCATGCAGAAAAAGGGCCTTTAGGATTGCGTAGACTCTAAATGAAATATATTAAGAGTTTCAGAAGAAGTATTTAGGGATGTTTAGCCTGGAGAAGGGAAATCTCAGAGGGGATATGGGAGAAGTGTTCAGATACTCCATGGGCTGTTACAAGGTAGAAGGTTAAGTCTTAATTTTGTTATTGTTCTGGGGACAGACATAAGAGTGAAATTATTATTATTATTATTATTATTATTATTATTATTATTATTATTGTTATTATTTGAGACAGAGTTTTGCTCTTGTCGCCCAGGCTGGAGTTCAATGGCACGATCTTGGTTTACTGCAACCTCTGCCGCCTGGGTTCAAGTGATGCTCCTGCCTCAGCCTCCTGAGTAGCTGGGATTACAGGCACCTGCCACCACCATCAGCTAACTTTGTATTTTTAGTAGAGATGGGGTTTTACCATGTTGGCCAGGCTGGTCTTGAACTCCTGACCTCAGGTGATCCACCCGCTTTGGCCTCCTAAAGTGCTGGACTACAGGCGTTAGCCACGGCACCTGGCCAAGAGTGAAACTATAAGGAGTAAAGTTTCATCTTGATATGAGGAATAAGCTTCGGCAATTAGGTCTCTAACAGAAGACTGTGAGGATTCATGGAATAGGAAGGCTATATCAGGATATGATTGAGCTAACAGTGACTGTCTGTCCCTCAGGAATGAGGTGGAAAATTGGGCTTGCAAGGTTGGGTTGGGTCACCTCTGAGGCTCTTTCTTATTCAAACACTCTGTACCTCTCAAATCCTTGATTTTTAAAAAAAGATCTCCAAGCCTTGGTGCTTTAGGCCAAGCATTTGGCTGAAAACCAACATCCTCACTTTTTCCAAGTGTGTGAGTAATTCAGTATAAATTTGCCTGGCATGGAGGAGGAATTTATAATCCCTGCATCATCACCTCAAGTTCCCAAAAGACTTTACATTATCCTGAAGGTAGAAGATATTTGAAAAGCAGACAACCTATGTATATATCAACTCACACACACATATATAAATAAAAACATAAGTAGGTCAGCCGGCCTCATATTTACTAGTGAAAATGTTTTTGGCTAAGAAGCTCATCTACAGAAGACAATGTTTAGAATAATTGCCAATGATCTCGAAATGGGGTGTTTTTGCACTTGTATCAGGTTAATCATTATTACTTAATAAAGTATATTCAGCTTGTTTTGCACATCTTACTGTAGTAATATGTTTGTATTCTAAAGAGCCAGCCAGACTCCTCTCTGGTTTTTCAGTTGACAAATTATTCTTTTTAGTCAGTTGTATTCTCCTGCATTTGGAACATCTGCTTATGGCAGAAAATACTCTAGATACTATTCTGTTGTTTATCCACTTCTCCTATTCCCCCACATCCCCCCAAAGAAAAACGAACCTGAAATTGCTTTCCAAATGCTTTCACTTTCTGTTCAAATTTTGGAACTTTCCATGGGATGGCAATTGATATATTGTCTCCATTTTTTAAACTTTGAAATAGATGTTGATGTACAGAGCGAAAAAACCTAAATAATACAATAGAGCATTCAGAGAAAGAATATTTGCTCCATTAATGCATCGTAGATCTTCGAACTCAGGTTCCCTTCCATGGAGGTGGCTATGTTACCCATTTCAGGAGGGAAAATATTAATTGGAATGGAAATTTCTTTCTGTTTGTGATTTTTTTTTGCTGAAGTCGGCATATGGAAAGGATCTTCTCTTAAACTACAATCCCTGACTTGAAAACTACAATCCCTGACTTGA
The DNA here is from genome assembly GCF_000001405.40 of Homo sapiens. Lineage (NCBI taxonomy): Eukaryota > Metazoa > Chordata > Mammalia > Primates > Hominidae > Homo > Homo sapiens. Next base: position 10,167,456 of record NC_000016.10, on the reverse strand, counting down.
AAAAGGTTAATTGTTTCCATTGGTCCCTAACAGTGACTCTTTTGCCAAAACAAAAATAAACTCACTCTAAAATGTAAGTTGTGATTTCCAAAAATCACTGACACCTTGAAGCTTGGCTCACAAACTCACTCAAAGAATTTAAGATAATTTGGGGTGATTTTGGGGGGAGTTGGGGACCACTTTAAAATCTAATGAAGGCTACGGACCCTTCCAGAGGAGTGCGTGTTCATAAACATGCAGTCAAAATTATGTGCAATTTCAGGGGATCACAGACCCTCTGAAACCCTTTCATAGACTTCCTTGGATTTGATTTATTTATTGGTTTATTAAACACAGTTGATCCTTGAATAATGCAGGCGCTAGTTGCATTAACCCCCATGCAGTTTAAAATCCATGTATAACTTTTGATTCCCATAAACTATAGCCCACTGTTGATCAGAAGCCTTACCAATAACATAGACAGTCAATTAATACAAATTTTCTATGCTATATGTATTATATAGTAGATTCTTAAGTAAGCCATAGAAAAGAAGATCATAAGGAAAATCGTAAGGAAGAAAATATGTTTGCTATTCAAGTGGATGTGGGTCATCATAAAGGTCTTCATCCTTGTCTTTACATTGAGGAGGCTGAGGAGGAGGAGGAAGAGGAGGGGTTGGTCTTGCTGCCTCAGGGGTTGGCAGAGGGAGAAGAAATTTGCGTATAGGTAGACGCATGCAGTGTGTTGTTCACAGGTCAAATGTATGTTCATTCTTCATACATTTCTTGGCTTTGTCCTTGGACCAAAATGCTTTGTGGATGCATCTGTTATCAATTTGTTTCAGAATCTAGCTGGAGAGACTCATAATGCAAGTGCAGTATGATTGTATTCACGGGACCATGGGAATGCAGAGGAGGGACAGCTTCATCCACAGGTCTGAGGGTAGGGATCTGGGGTCAAATTGGAGAGCTGGTCTGGAAGAGGCTTGTGTCCTGGGTGCCTGCCCCTACAGGTTGTCATCCCCCACAGCTGAAGATGAGCTGTAGAGGGAAGGCTGGCTCATGGAGGAGCAGAATTGAGTTCACAATCTAAGCCTTCCTCTCCTCTTAACCTGTTCCTCAAGGCTGCCAGTCTTGAGTGGTCTTGAAAGCTTCCAAATTCTCCTCTGGATGGCATTTCTTACCATCAAACATTGAGCTTTTTGCAGATTTCCGTTTTGTTGTCACAAATGGCTGAATGTCTCCTGCTCTATCTTGTCTCTTCAAATTAGGAATACCTGCCCAGGAAGAGTGAGTGGCATTTGAAATCCATATCGTCTTGCTAGTCTGCTGTCCTAGGGGTGAAAGAAAAAGACATATTTTCCTGGCGAATTGTTTTAATGCTAAGATATCTGTAGGACTGAGGAAATGTAGTATTAACTGACTTGGGTGAGTAGACTCAGAACGATGTGAAGAAGCTGTGGAGCTGTGGAAAAAGGCAGGCTTGCTGTAGTTCTGGTGTTAGGGTGTGTGCATGGCTTCCATGAATGGGATTTTGAAAATGGCAGGCCTTGGGTGAAGACCTTCATGGTCAAATTTGCACTTTAGTTAAAAACAAATTTGCTATTGGTTTTGCCTTGGTTAATTGATACTAGTTTTTCCTCTTCTCTTCTCCTCTCTTCTTTTTCTCTTCCCTCCCCTCCCTTCTCCACTCCTCTCTTCTCTTCTCCTCTCCCCTCCCCTCCTTTCTCCCCTCCCCTCCTTTCTCCCCTCCCCTCCTTTCTCCCCTCCCCTCCTTTCTCCCCTCCCCTCCCCTCCCCTCTCCTCTTCTCTCTCTCTCTGTCTCTGTCTCTCTCCTGTTTAGCAGCATTGAAAGAAATATTTTTATCATGGACCCACTGCTGGATCATTTTAAAGCAAATCCAAGACATCATTGTGTTCATCAGTAAATATGTCAGTATATATATATACATATATATATATATATGTATATATATATCAAAAATATAAGAACTTTAAGAACTGTTGAAAAAAATCACAGCTAATATACAAGTAATCTATACATATGTATTTTAGAGGATTTTGTGAGAATCAGGGCAGTATAAAGAAAATAAAAATCACCTTTACTCTCAGCATCCACAGACAACTGCTATTAACATTTTGGTTTATTTCCCTCTAGTCTGTTTTCCTATACCTTATTTACAAATACACACTATATAATTTTATAGATAGCTTTTAATTTGCTTAACATTTTATCATGAGGCTTTCAGATTACTTGTAAACATTTTTATCTTCTATGTTTTCTATTCTGTGGATATCTCATGATTTACTTGATAATTTAGATTTTCCCCAATTTTTTGCCATGAAAACCAATACCTTGTTTAACATCTTTGTAATGAAATGTCTACATCACAGATTATTGGCTTTTAATAGAATCCATTACTGAAATTAAAGAATTTTAAAACTATCAATACAGAACCAATTAAGGTTCCGTTAATTTGTTCCCAGAAAGATTGAATCACTGGACACTTCTAATAACTATGTCTTAAAGTATCTCTGTCACTTAACTCTGGCTGGCTCTTGAAACAGAAATTTTTCTGATTGGCTAGACAAAAATATTAACTCATTGTTATAATTTGCATCTCTTTTAAGACACCTGCCATGGAATATATTTTAATTTAAGCATCGCTTTTATATTCCCTAGGTATTGCATATTTTAACTGCTTTGATATTTCTCATTGTGTAAATGGAAAACCTCAGACAATGATGGCTTCCAATATAACATACAGTGGAGTAATTTGAATTTCTAAAAAATAATAAATATTTTGAAGCCTGGCGGGGAGTTCTATGATTATTCATTCTTCATCACCAGGCATTGCTCACCCATTGTCTCTGTATCAGTGTTGTTTCAATCATTGCTTTAATATGTAAAATTTCTCAGCAGAAAATCATTCTGTGGGACCCCACTGTTATGATTTGCCAGGAGTCTAGGTAGAGACTCACGTCCAATTGGGCTGGAGTCATGTTCGTGTCCCAGGCTTTGTGGGGAACGGTAGGGATGGGAAGCCCTTGTTTGTTCCTTTCTCTAAAAAAGCAGAGGCAGGGTGAGGTTTTGCGGGGTCCGTCCCGCAGACCCTGACCCAATGACAGATGAATAAAGTTCCCTGACGCACAGATATTCTGCTTTGCCAGTCTAGCTGAGTGTCCGTGCCACTTACAGACACCAAGGAAGGTTCTGTACAGAGTCAGTGGCCACGGCCTCGACTTGCCAGTGAGACTCACATTTATTCAGTAAATATTAATTGACAAAGGTTGTGAGTAAACACATTGGTGGGTAATTAACCTGGTTGCCCCTACCCCGGAGAGAGCCATCATGCACTCAAGAATGATCAAATATTGGTCTTAAGACCACGTGAGTAAACAAGCTAGTTAGATAAACTGCTCTGCCTTCCTTTGTACCCACTTCAAGCTATTTACTTAAGGTAAGGATTAGGTTGCCTTAAGCCATAAACTTATTCTCAGACTTTTGCAAAAACCTTCAGGCCTTCCAAGAAGGTTTGTGGCTATTCTCTATAACCAAAATTTTTCCCACCAGTCTGATTGAATCCCCACAAGGTTGTAACAAGAACTGCCTTGTGATAGGAAAGGGATATTGCCCAGGTGGCAGGGGGCAGTAAAATGAGTTTTAAACAAAAGTGGGAGAGATTTATGTTTGATATTAACAGCTGTGAGGAATACTCAAAATATTTAACCACTACAGCATTATCACAGCTGAATCAGAATAGACACTCACTTTGTAGAATTCTGGAGCACCTGTTATGTGAGGTGTTAATCCTTTAGTGGCTGGTTATGGGGAGGTAGGGGGTTCCCAAGGGAGGGGCTGAGTGGCAGGGGGCACTTGGGGTTCCTGGAAGATGTGGCTATTCACAAGCAAAACGGAAGCATTTCAGCCTTTAAATAACCAGTTCTGCTGCACCAGTGCACACCAGCCAGGATATCAGCGAGATCTCACGTGTCATTTATGCCAACGTGTATGCAGAAGTTTTCTCAGGGAACTGTTTAGAAAAGGACACAGGATGGCTGTCTCCTCTGCCATATATTAACCATGCCCTGAAAAAGGGAGGTAGGGCTGAGAGCATTTTGAAGATCTCTTTCCTAAAATATGAAAACAGAAATGTGCTTCCTTCTAACCTTCCACCTTCTGAGCCTGGTGCTTTGGCTTGTCTCTTGTGGGTTAATTTTCTAGCTGTCTATCATAAGCCTGCCTTTCTCCCATGAAAAGCACAGGAGCTGAAGCCAGCTGTCCATGCCACCGCCCACTCCCCACTCCCATGTTCCCTGTCTTCTAGGGCAAGAGATTCCCAAACAATTCCTGTTTTCATTGGGGTTGAATGAAGAGGGCTGTTTTAGTCTCTGGTTTTGGGGTGTGATGTGCTCATTTGCAGAAGCATAAAAATAATCTTTTAACTCACCAAAAAATACTCCACAGCCTAAATTAACTTTGTTAAAGATCAACTTTCAAAAGAGAGCCTTGGATGTGCCTTCGTGGGATCATGTGCTTAGTTTACTTGTAGAGTCTGTGGCTTCCTTCCCTCCTCCGAAATAGGAAATCCTCCATCCCTGTCCTGGTTCATGGAGGTTTTCAAATGGGCTTCAGGAGAAAGAAGCACGTCTCTGGTTTCATCCGAGGGTAGGAGAACCCTCTGATATGTTGTTTATTGTTGAGAATGCACTGAATTGTATCTCCCTAAAAGTCATATATTGGGTCCTAACCCCTAGTATCTCTGAATGTGACACTTTGGAGCTGGAGTCTTTAAGAGTAATTATGGTAAAATGAGGGCATATAGGTAAGCCTTAACCCAACATGACTGGTGTCCTTATAAGAACAGGAAATTAAGACACAACATAAACACACAAAGGGAGGACCATGTGAAGACACAGGGAGAGGATGGCCATCTGTATGCCAAGGAGACAGTTTTCAGAGGAGCAATCCTGCAGCTCCCTTGTCTTAGACTTCTAGCTTTGAGAACTGTGAACAAATTACATTTCTGTTGTTTAAACCATCTTTGCTGTAATAAAGACTGTGATCCTTTGTTACAGCAGCCTGGGAAAATGAATACAGAGAGGTTGGGAGGTAGTTAGAGCTTAATTCCAAGGCTTCTCCTCACTCCTCTTCTGTAACTGAGCCTCAGTGGAGTCAAGACACCTCAGCTCAGAACCCAGACCTCCACCTGCTCTAACACTGACTTTGTTCTTCTCATGTGGGCTCCCTTTCTGGACACTAGGCTCCTGCTTTGAGGAACTGAGTCCCTGTCTTAGAATCCTTCCTAAAACCCTTCTAGGACTTCTAGGTTCAATGCTTCTCAGGAATTTTTACTCAAATAGTCCTAGGGGGTGTGGTAGGCAGAATCATGTCCCCACCACCCCCTCTTCCCCACCCAAAGACATCCACATTCTAATTCCTGGAACCTGTGAATACTAACCTTATATGGCTAAAGGGACTTTGCAAATATAATTAAATTAAGGATCTTGAAATGGAGAGACTGTTCTGGATTAGCCTAGGTGAGTCCAATTTATAATCATTCCTTATGAAAGGGAGGCAGGGAGGTGAGAGTCAGAGAAGCAGATGTGGCAACAGAAGCAGAGATTGGAGTGATGCACTTTGAAGATGGAGGAAGGGGCTGTAATCCAAGGAATGCCAGCATCCTCCAGAAGCTGGAGAAGGCAAGGAGATAGGTCCTCCTCTAGGGCCTCTGGAAGGAATGCCACCCTGCCAGCTGCTTGACCCACTTCAGACTTTGGACCTCTGGAGCCATAAGAGAAAGAATCTGTGCTGCTTAGAGCCACTAAATTGGTGGTAATTTGTTAGAACAGCAATAGGAAGCCAATACAGGGACAGCGTCTGATAAACACACGCTCTGCACATCAGGCTGTGCCCTTTGTGGCCTTTTCTCTGAATTTGATCTTAAAAATTCATGCAGATTTTGGTTCCTACCTCATAATGTAACTATGTTGGTACTAAGGCGAAATAATTTAAAATGACTTAAAAGATAAGTGTGTCCATTTTTCCCTTCATCAAATAGTTAAGTTGTATTAGTTCGTTCTCACACTGCTAATGAAGACGTACCCAAGACTGGGTAATTTATAAAGGAAAAAGGTTTAATTGACTCACAGTTCAGTGTGGCTGGGAGGCCTCCGGAAATTTACAATCATGGCAGAAGGGGAAGCCAACATGTACTTCTTCATATGGCAGCAGCAAGGAGAAGTGTGAGCAAAAGGGGGAAAAGCCCCTAATAAGACCATCAGATCTTGTGAGAACTCACTCACTATCATGAGAACAGCATGGGGGTAACCATTCTCATGATTAAATTACCTCCCACCAGGTCCCTCCCACAACACGTGAGGATGATGGGAACTACAATTCAAGATGAGATTTATGTGGGGACACAGCCAAACCATATCACAAGTAAAAGCAATGCTCTAGGAAGTTCTACTGTATTTGTGCTCTGCACGTGTGTTCTGCTGGGCTGTGTGTGCCTCTGTTTGAGAACCCTGGGGTGGTATGCACTTTGAAACCCGAAACCCCAAAACCTGGCTCCACGAACGTGCCTCTGCGAAATTCTTCCCAAGCAAAGTTTCCTTATCATTTTTGTGCCTGGAGGGGAGAAGAGACAAGAAATTCAGGATAGCTGGAGAATACAGAAGGAGGAAGAGCAAATTAACAGTGAGCTTTCTGTTCGATTGAGCATTTGTCCACAATATATTGAGATCAAGTTTTGTTTCTTAAACAAATCTGTTAACTTTTACGGTCAATTTGGGGCGGTGCAACCGGTTAGAAGAATTCATTAAAACAGCCAAAATCTCTGGCTCCGCTGAATGTGGGAAAGTCTCTGATGCCCTCCAAGCAGTTGTATGAAAAAGATGAATCATCAACAATGCAGAGATGACATGAGAGATGCAGATGGGGCTTTGATCCTTCTTGTTACCAAAATCCTACTTAGAATGTGTTGTCATGAGGTCCCCACTTCATGCTGCCATATCGTGGTTCCTAAAGCCAGGTCTGGGGTACTTGCTGGGGTGGAATTTAGAAGCTAGAAACGAACTTGCTCAAGTCTACAACCCATCCACAGTTCACATGCCCTTGGTCCACGCCCACTTGTGCTGTGTGCTCCTGTTCTCTTGGTTTGGGGAGACCATATCCCGCTTGTATTGATGACTTCATCATTCTATACTTCCAGCACTCAGAACATTGTTTTGAGGGAGAGTAGGTACTTAGTAGATGTTCAAACAAAATAGTGAGTTAGGAGAAGGGGCTAGGTCCAGGATTGTATTAGTTTACTACAGCTGCTGTAATAAATTATCATCACAAACATGGTGGCTGAAGGAAACGCACTTTTACCCTCTTACAGCCCTGGAGGGCAGAAGTCTGAAATCAGGTTCCCTGCACCAAAATGAAGGTGTCAGCAAAGCTGTGCTCCCTCTGGAGACTCTGGGGAAGAGTCTGTTTCCTTTCCTTTACTAGCTTCCAGAACTGCATTCCTTGACTTGCGGCAAACTCTGAAATTCAGTTTCTCCTGCAAGTAAGAAAGTTGGGCTAAATGCTCTTACAGCTTTAATATCTGGCCTTCTTTGGGTGGGTTCCACATAATGAGAACGATAGTTTGTATTGCAAAAATGTGGAGCTTTGAGTTAGGCGATCTGGGATGGAATTTGAGCTTTCATATTCTCTCTCACAAAGAATAATATATTTGTGTATCATTTAGCTATCTATAAAATAATATATATTATCTATCTAAAATAATACCTTTATAGTGTATCTTCTTCCTTCCTCTCTCCCTTCTGGACCTTACCTTTCCTCATCTGTAAAATGGGATTGGGCTAAGGTCCACTCCTTGACAGACTCCGCTGCTTGTTGGAAGTCAGGAGTCACTCCAGCCTCATTGATGATGATCTGCCTTTTGCATGCTTGGGGGACCTACACCTCTGTACAGGCGAGAGCCCTCCAAGCATCCCATCAGCTCCTCTTCTCTAGATATAGTCCTTAGTAGTTGGAGCTTTGCAGATGCCTCCACAATCTACAGTTGTAGCCTCAACCTCTTGCCCTGGGTTCCTGACCTGTTCCCCTAGGTGCTTGGTGGGCTTCTCTCCTTGACATGGCCATGGGTGCCTCATACTGAACCTGCCCAGGCCTGTCCTCTTTGATTCATGCTTATTCTGGATTTCTTCTCTCTGTCAATGGTATTCCTGTTGTCCAAGCCTTCCTTGCTTGGAAGGAACATGAGGGACGGATGTATATTGAGCTCCCTGATGTGCAGGCAGAGTGTTGCAGGCAGGGATCCGAGGACCACCACCCTCATTGTAGAGAGGAGGAAAGTGAAGCCCAGGGAATCACAGAAGCTTATTTTTGGTGACACTGCTGGTAGGCAGGTAACAGAGCTGGGCCCTGAACTCAGGTCTCCTGACTCCACAACCTCTGTTTTTTTGATCAGAAGAATTTCTTAAGTTTTGTTTCCTTCCATGGCACCTTCACAACATTTTGGCCACTTTGACTAATTTTTTATTGTGATATAATACACATAACATAGAATCTGCCATTCTAAACATTTTAAAGTGAACAATTCAGTGGCGTTTAGTACGTTCACAATGTTGTGTGACCAGCACCTCCATCTAGGTCCAGAACATCATCACTCCAAAAGGAGACCAGTAACCATCAAGCAGTTACGATCTATTTCCCCACCCCTCCAGCTCCTGGAAACCTTTAATCTGCTTTCTGTATCTGTGGATTTACTCGTTCTAGATGGGATGGGATCGTCTGTTATGTGACCTTTTGCATCTGGCATCTTTCACTTAGCATAATGTTTTCAAGGTCCATCCATGTCGTAGCATGAATCAGTACTTTATTCCTTTTCATGGCTGAATAATATTCCATTGTATGGATATACTATATTTAATTTATCTATTCAACCATTGATGGGCATTTGTGCTGTTTCCATCTGTTAGCTATTGTGAATGGTGCTGCTATAAACATTTATGTACAAGTTTTTGTTTGAACACCTGTTTTCAATTCTTTTGGATTTATACCCAAGAGTGAAACTGCTGGGTCACATGGTAATACTATGCTTGACTTATTGAGGATAGATATCCCCCTACTCCCACCACCAGAATACTTTTCTTTACATCTTAAAATAAAATGATGCCAGATACAGTGGCTCACGCCTGTAATCCTAGCACTTTGGGAGGCTGAGACGGGTGGATCTCTTGAGCCCAGGAGTCTGGGACTAGCCTCGGCAATATGGTGGAATCCTGTCTCTACAAAAAATATGAAAATTAGCCGGGTGTGTTGGCACATGCCTGTGGTCCCAGCTGCTCGAGAGGCTGAAGTAGTAGGATCACCTGAGCCCAGGAGGTTGAGGCTGCAGTGGGCTGTGATTGGGCCACTGTACTCCAGCCTTGGTGACAGAGTGAGATCCTGTCTCAAAAAATAAATAAATAAATAAATAAAAATAAATATAGTTTAAAAGAGAATGGTATATCACTGCCAATAATGAAAACCAGTTTCACTTATGATAAGCAGAAGATAACAGCAAACTAACAATCAAATAAACAAACAAAATCTTGCCACTAGTAAAAAAACCAAAAATAAAGATTACAGTAGTAATATTAAAATATAACAAACTACTGTTCCTGCCAAGTCTCACTTAGCATATGATATGGTTTGGCTCTGTGTCCTCATCCAAATCTCATCTCGAATTGCAATCCCCAAGTGTTGAAGAAGGGAAGTGATTGATCGTGGGGGCTGTTTCCCCCATGCTGTTCTCATGATAGTGAGTGAGTGAATTCTCATGAGATCTGATAGTTTTATAGATGGTAGTCTTTCCTGCATGCTCACACTCTTTCCTGTCTCCCCGTGAAGAAGGTATTTGCTTCCCCTTCATCTTCTGCCATGATTGTAAGTTTTCTGAGGCCTCCCCAGCCATGCAGAACTGTGAGTCAATTAAACCTCTTCCTCTATAAATTACCCGTCTCTGGTAGTATTTTTATAGCAGTGTGAGAATGGACTAATACAGTATATTATTGTCTCCTTTAAATAATTAGCAAGTGTTAGAAAGGTGTTGAAGACCTATTAGCACCAAGATGAGACTTCCTCACTGACTAATTAGAAGGATTGAAAGATAATCAGAGTTTTATCCTGCATACTTTTAATATTATTTTGTGTCTCATCTAAGTAAGACATAAAACAATCTCTGACACTATACCTGGCCCTCTGGTGTTTTCCATTCTTCCACTGCCCAACTCTTGGTTCGTCTCCATCCCTGGCACCTGGTCCTTATCACCTTCCACCTGAGCTTTGATTCCAGTCTTCTGAGTTTCCTGCTTATACGGGAAGCTCTCCTACTCAAGGGGCGCATTGGACATGTTACTCTCCACTCTTAAAGCTTTGGTGATATCAACATTATATTCAGGGTAAATTCTAAACCCTTAGCCAGGCATCCAAGAATCACCTCAGTCTGCCCCCCATCACCACCAGGCTCTGTCTCCCACAGTGCACCCATCAGGTGAATTAGATAACTTGTTCTTTCTTTCACGTGCCCATAGTTCTAGCTCCATCGCTGAGTTCTTCCTCCCACCTCCATCTTTACTTTTGGAAAGCACAGTTGAAATCTACCTCTCAGGGTTCTTATTAGGATCGAATGAAATAAGGTGTATGAAAACCCTGAAAACTGTAAGAAGAAATACAAGTGTGAAACATGTCATTGTTAGTCCCGCTTTGCCTTTAAGTCCTTTAAGTTTTAAGTGTCAAGTTCTCCAAGGTGCCTTTTCCATTTCTTAGGCTTGAAGCAATCGCCTTCTGCCTCCTATGCACTCAGTCTTTTTTTATGCCAGAAGACAGACAGAATGGCCTCCCCACATGACTGTGAATTTATTCCTCTTCTATACCCTTGCTGTAGCCATTTTCATCTTCCTCCCCTCAGTGCCCAGTATACGTGGGTTGAAAGAGCAAATCTGTGCCTACTTGCAGGAGAAACCATCTTGTCGTCAATCAGAAGTGGAGAAAGCTATAGCCACACTGCCTCTGTCAAACATACTTTCTTTCCTTATTTCTCTTCCCTCATTAGTTGCATCTTGGAATGTGCTTTGTCTAATAGGAAGTGACAGTTTAATCGTTTGGGTTTTTAAAATTTATATTCTGCTACACAGCTGACCACATGCGATGATCAGGCAGCCCAGCATTATGGCATGAGTCCATTCCACTTTTGCATCAGAAGATTTGGGTGGAGCCATGAAATGGCTGACCTCATGCATAGCAAGAGAGTTGAAAATCACTGTGGGGGACAGGAGCTCTTCTAGGGAGAAAGAAGTCAGGTATGCGTGCAGGTGCAGAGTGGGCAGATGGGCAGGAAGCCTGACAGTTTTCCTGGACCCTGGGCTAGATCACCCTTTTCATCGTCCAGGGTCCCTCCTACCACTTAAAGTGGATTTCTGTGCGATTATTTATTCTTGCCCCTTCTTTTGAAGTCCTTTGAGCCTTTGAACTTGATATGGTTTGGCTGTGTCCCCACCTAAATCTCACCTTGAATTGTAGCTTCCATAATCCTCATGTGTCCTGGGAGGGATTCAGTGGGAGGTAATTGAATCATGGGGGCAGGTCTTTCCCGTGCTGTTTTCGTGATAGTGAATAAGTCTCACAAGATCTGATGGTTTTATAAATGGGAGTTCCCCTGCACATGCTCTCTTGCCATGTAAGATGTGACCTTGCTTCTCATTTGCCTTCTGCCATGATTGTGAGGCCTCCCCAGCCATGTGGAACTGTGAGTCCATTAAACCTCTTTCCCTTATAAGTTACCAGTCTCCGATATGTCTTTATTATCAGTGTGAGAACAGACTAATACAGAGCTCTTTCAGTGGAAAAGATAGTACATTAAATCGTTATACCAAACATTATAATCATGGATGGTATTGCAGTCACATTATCTGCCAGGAGAATTGGCAGGGACTGTAGAAGGGATGTCCACTATTTAACTTGAACCATCATACAGATGTGAAATATGAGGCTCAGAGAGGCTCAGGGACTTGCTGAGGGACACACTGCTTCCTGAGTACCAGTCCCATGGGTCTCCTGGCCCATCAGATGTTGATTACTGGTGCTGATGAAAAGACCAACAAGGATATTCATTTTCTGTGATGGGGGATGGTAATAAAACTTCTTCCTGCAAACTCACCATGTGCACTGCATTGCCTTCAGATAAAATGTAAACTCCTGGCTGCACAAATCCCTGATTTCTGACCCCTGCTGACCTTTTGAGCTTCAACTCAGTTCTCTCCTCATTTTGCAGTTTGCTCTAGACTTTCCCAAAGAGGGCTCTGAGGAATATGACCCTACAGAAAAAAGTTTAAGCCAAAATAAATTTAAGAGATGCTGTACATCATGGGATCCTCAGATATTTACAATGCACATGAGCCTCTTCAAAGCTCTGAGAAGTCCTGCGCTACAGACACGGTTTAAACTTATTTCCTGCTGTTTGAACGAATGTTTCCCAAATCTATTTGATCAGAAGACTCCCCTTCTGTTTTTTATACAACACTTGTTCTTGTTGGCTTGATAAAATATGACAAAAACCATTGCCCTGATTGCTAAAATATAACAAAAACCCACATTGCTCTAAATGTGCCTCTTTCACATTTTCTGGCACTTGTCTGTGCTGCTATTTCTGTCTGTCTCATATCCTTCAAAACTCATCTCAGAAGCCATGCCCTCTGAGAAACCTTGGACTGCTGTCCCCCACAGGATTAGGTGCCGTTCCTATACTTTTGTAGCTCCTGCATTCTGATAATTTATTTGTTGATTTAGCTTCCCAGCTGTCCTCAGTGAGGACAGGAACAGTGTCTTATGTGTTAATGTGTTCAGTGAGTCATTCCATAAACATGTACTGAGCCTCCTCTACCCAGGCACACAGTTCAGGGCACTGAGGATGCTGGGGGAACAATGTCCCTGCCCTTATCAAACTTATATTCCAGGGGATGGGGACAAAATATAAACACGGTAAATATATAATGTTAGATTGCATTAAGTGCCACAGGCAAAGCAGGGTAAAGAGACTGAAAGTGACAGGAGATGCCCTTTAAGATAGGGTTTCAGGAAAGCTGGATCAGCTAGGATGGATGAGGCCCTGCTGCACAAACAGCCCCTGTATCTTAATGGCTTATAACAATAAAGGCTTATTTCTCGTTCATGCAACGTGCCCACCGAGGGTTGGCTACGACTTCTGCGCCATATCGCCTCACTTGTGGGCCCAGATGGAGCATGGCTGGTTGTTGTGGTGTAGGTGGGGAGGGGGATGTGGTGAGTCATACGCTGGCTCTTAAGGGCTTCAGCTCACATTTGATTGCCACAACTGATTCAAGGGGCCAGGAAAGGGCTCTCCTGCCATGTGCCTGGAACGAGAGGAAAACTGGACTGTGGGGTGGACAGCATTAATGAATGCACAGGAACCCTCTCTGACATGAGGACTTTTGCACAGAGACCTTAATGCAGAAAGGAGGGGAGCCTTGTGAATACGTGGGAGGAGGGTGGAGGAAACAGCACTTGCGAAGACCCCGATGCCCCTCCAGCATTCAGCACGGGGTTTGACATGAAGTAGGTGACCAGGCAGTGTTTGTTGAATGAATATCTTGAATTCCAGGACATGCTGCATTAAGGAGATCTTTCCGTCTCAGTTGTCCAAGTGGCAGGTCTAGATGAGGTGAGTGTTCATTTGTAAGAGTGGAAAATTCTAACCAGCCCAAACAAAGATTGTTTGGTATTGGAGTCTCAATTATAGGACTTAGAGTCAGTATACTGAACTTAGCTCTGGCTACAAAATTTATTTTGACTTGTCCTCTGACTCAAGGCCAGGATCTTATGTTCTAGCACAAGAAACAAGGCAGAAATATGTAAAATCACCCTAACTATAGTAGAGTGTTTAGAAAAATGTTTATAAAATACCTATAAAAATGAAAATTAGCTTTTCTCCTTGTGTATACCTGATGGGTTTATCATATTTGAAATGACTTCATCACTGTCCAGATTCCCTGCTAAACTCCACCTGGGCAGGAGCATATCCCCTTCGTAGAGTCCCCCCAGCACCTAGATACTGCCTGGCAAGTGATGGATGGCCAATATATCCAGTACTTGTGGACTGGTTGGCAGAGGGAGGGAAAGCTATGCAGCATTTTTCAGACTTTATTTTTAAGAGCAGTCTTAGGTTCACAGCAAAATTGAACAGAATGTACAGAGATATCCCAAATACCCCCTGCCCTACACATGAATAGCCATCCCTGTGATCCACATACCCCACCAGAATAGTACCAACTTGTAACAATATTAATTGTTACAACTGATAGGCCTACATGGACACAAAATTATCGCCTAAAGTCCATAGTATACATTAAAATTCACCCTTGGTGTTGTACATTCTATGGGTTTGAACAAATGCATAATGACTTGTATCCACCACTATAGTGACATACAGAGTAATTTCATGAAAAAAAATCATCTATGTTCTACCTATTTATTCTTCCCTAAGCCCCTACCTCCTGGCAACCACTGATCTTTTCACTGTCTCCATAGTTTTGCCTTTTCCAGAATGTCATATAGTTGGAATCATACAGTATGTAACCTTTTCAGATTGGCTTCTTTCACTTAGAAATATGCATTTAAGGTCCCTCAATGTCTTTTCACGGCTTGATGTCACACTTCCTTTTTGCGTTGAATAATATTCTATTGTCTGGATGTACCATCTTTTAGGGTATGGCTATGGGGAGAGTTCTGACCTCAGCACTATTGCTTGTCAAGAAGGTGACATGGATTTAACTAGCGGAAGAGTGGGTTTATCATTAAAGGCAATGGTGAACTGAACATGAAACCAAGAAGGGTGATCAAGCTAGAGAAAAATCAGCTGAGGCTCCTGGAGAATGAACCAGGTCAGAGTGAGTGATGGTTGGGGGGAAAACGGACTGGACTCAGTGGATGTATAGAATTTCAATAGTGGAGCTGGGGGAAGATTGGCACATGGGATCCATGGAGTTGAACCATCATTATGTCCACGTTAAATGCTAACTTTGGCAAAAATAAACCATTTCCATGAGCTTCTCCAGCCGGAGAAAACAGCATGAATAAAGACACGTAGGTGGCCAAGTACATGGTGCGTATGGACAGCCATATGCAGATCGCTTTGGTTGGAGCATGGGGTGTTTGTATTTTAACCCTGACTCTTCCTAACTTTGATGCTAATTTTGAGCAAATGGAAATGGCACTAGCCACATTCTTGGATCTGTCTGGTATCTGGATTTTTGGGTTACACTGCTTGATTTTTTTGCGCAGTCCTAGGTCCTCCCTTACTGAGACCACTATTGTACTGGCTTCCCTGGTGGCTGCTGCCAGGGGCAGGGTGTCTGAGATGGGCTCCTTCAGGCACACTGTGTCTCCTTCTCAGGACGAAGGACAAGAGCAGCATCTCTGTAGACATGGTGCTAAGTCAGCAGAAGGTTCTGATTGTGCAGATTCAGCATTTCTCTTCCTGCTGGTTTGAATGAATATCTCACCTGCAGCTGCCTTGGGAAAAGCTGTAGTGTCAGATGAGGAGGGTCGGAGGTCAGACAGAGGCTGGGCTGTTTTGGTGACTCAGATTCTTTCGTTTATAACACGTTGGTAATTCCACTTGGGGAGCCTTTAATGCCTCGAACTCGGAGGCCTTGGTAGAGACTAAGTTAATGGATTTGAAATTTCTTTGAAAAGCTGAAATTACTGGACAAACACAAGATGGTAGTGGTTGTTATAGTAATTATGATAAAAATGAGAGGAAACTTTTAATTTTCCAGCCTGATATGATTTGAAGGATGCAAAAATTGAATCTGATGTTGGTCAAGCATTGATCTTGCAGAAAATGTCCTGTTTTCCTATAGCAAAGAGATGTCCTAAAAATGGCCCTGTAACTTTTGAATTGAGTCCCTAGGGAACCATGGAGTTTTAGGGTAATATGTTTGCACCTTGAAGGAACATTTGATTTTCATGCCCCATTGTTTCCCATCGCTTCATGCTTCAATGCCTTGGTGCAAGTTGTTACCTCTGTCTAGAATGCACCTCCCCACCTAACTGGCAATGTCAGAAACAGTTCTTCACTTGTAAGCACCAGACACATTCTCTGGCTAGCTAAAGTTGAAAAGGAAAAGAGGGGGAACTCACAAACTTGAGAGGTTGAGGGGACTAGGCAGGACTCTGAGGGCATGCTACTCAAAATTAAAAAGCCTGTTGGACACAGCTTGCATGTTGCATCTCAGCTCTCGATCAAGCAAGTGCATTTAATAGACTCATCAAGATGGCGGACAGGAAGAGTGAGCATTCCCCGAGGGCATTGATGGCAGTAGTGGTTGCTATGCAGCCAAAGAAATTAACACATGCCTGTTTCATCATTGTTTAGTCCCCAGCTCAACAGTCATCTCCTCGGGAAACTTTCTTTGACTTCTTCTGGGTAGGGTCATTCAACATGCATGATATTCAACAGATATATTAGTATCTACCATGTGTCAGGCATGTTCAGGGCACAGGTTGCAGCCATAAACAAGATGGACATGATCTCTACCATCAGGAAGTTTACCTTTCAGAGAAGCAAGATGATAAACAGAATGAAGAAGCATATAAGTTAATTTTAGGTAGTGTTAAGTACTAGACAGGGAAATAAAGCAGGGAGAGGTAAGACAGAGAGTGCTGTGGATGGATAAAGGTGGAGTATTTAAGAGAGGCTGAGCAGGAAAGGTCTCTCTGAGGAGGTGAGGAAGTGAGCCGTGTGGAGTATAGGCAGCAGGTGACTGCAAGTGTCTAGACGCTGGGTGGGTAGGGGAGGGTGGGCTTGCCATGTCTGGGGAATAGTAAGAAGACTAGGATGGCTGCAGGAGAGTGATCAGATAGGAAGTGGGAGGAAACAGGTTCTGAGAGGTAGAGAGAGGGCAGCTCTCATGGGACTTGGCCATGAAAAGACTTTAAAAACAAATAGATCTTAAAATAGACCTGGTTTTGTTTTTCTCCTGAAAACAGGAGATACCAGGTCAAGAAGGTTCCTTCTACTCTAACCCTTATAAAAAATAACCTGAAGCCCTTGTTCCCACCTTATAAAACCCACTGCTATTTCCTAGTGGGATTTGAAACCAAATAGTGACAGAGTGATGCCAGTGCCTAAAGTTTTGGTCAGTCTCTCAACTGAGAGGTTGATCAAAAGGGGGAATTATTAAGTTTAGCGAAAAGCTGCCTCTTTACATACTTTAAAGGTTTCTCCATAAGTAGTGAACTGCAACCTAACTGGATGTGTAAACAGACTGTAACCCACTGTTGTCCAAACAACCGAGTTTCAGCCAATCAAGGGGGACCAACTGTTCAAACTGGGCTCAAGTAGGGCAAATGCCAAGCTGTAATGGATCCAGCTGTTTCTGCACCTCGCTTCCATTTTCTGTCTGCCACTTTCCTTCTCTGTCCATAAATTTTCTTTGTGGTAGAAATGGAGCCTCTTCACACCTGTTCTGGTTCGAGATCTGTACAATTCTTGAATCATTCTTTGTTCAATTAAACACAATTAAACTTTTTAAAAGAGCAGTTTGGGTTTTATTTCAACTGTGATGGAAAACCACTGGAGGGGTCTGAACAAAGGATTGACCTAACTTTATTTATGTCTTTAAAAAATACTACTCTGGATGCTGCATGGATAGTAGGAGTTCTGGAGTGAGGAGGGGATAGGGGGCACCAGGGAGGCCAGTTAGGAGGATATTACAATAATCCAGGTGGAGACAGGACAGGATGGTTACTTGGGTGAGGAGGTACTGGTGGAGGTGGTGAAACTGACCAGTTTGGGGATGTGCTTGGAAAGTGGACTGCTCTGTACTTGCTGATGGATTTGATGTGCGGAGTAACAGAAAGAAAAGAATGAGAGAGAAAGAATGATTCTTAGGGCTTTTATTTAATCAACTTTAAAATTTGAGGATAATTTTAGAGTTGTAGAAAAGTTGCAAAATTAGTACAGAGAATTTCAGTATATGCTTCACCCAGGTTGCCCCACTGGGCAAAGTCCTAGATTTCTTTCTTAAATTTTTAAAATTGTTAATTATTGTGCATACATAGTAGGTGTATATATTTGTTAGGTATATGGGATATTTTGACAGAGGCATGCAAATGTGCTATAATCATATCAGGGTAAATGTGATATCCATCACCTCAAGCATTTGTCCTTTGTGTGACAAACAATCCAATTATACTCTTTTACTTACTTAAAAATATACAATTAAGTTGTTATTAACTACAGTCACTCTCTTGTGCATTCAAATACCATATCTTATTCGTTCTTTCTATTTTTTGAACCCATTAACCATCCCTATTCCCTGCCCTCACACCCCCAATACCCTTTCCAGCCTCTGGTAACCATTGCACTACTCTCTCTGTCTGTGGGTTCAACTGTTTTCATTTTTAGCTCCCACAGATGGGTGAGAACATGTGAAGTTTGTCTATCTGTGTCTGGCTTTTTCCACTTAACGTCATGACTTCCAGTTCTATCCATGTTGTTCCAAATGACAGGATCTTATTCTTTTTATGGCTGATTAGTACTCCATTGTGTATATATACCACATTTTCTTTATTCATCTGTTGGTAGACACTTAGGTTGTTTCCAAATTTTGGCTATTGTGAATAGTGCTGCAATAAACATAGGAGTGCAGATATCTCTTTGATATACTGATTTCCTTTCTTTTGGATATGTGCCTAGCAGTAGGATTGCTGGGTCATATGTTAGCTTTATTTTTAGTTAGAGTTTTAATATGGTATAGTTAACGTGCTGGATGGAGTTGACATTTGTTGAGATGGGGAAGACGCAGAGAAGAGGGAGATATCTCTAGCTCTGCTCTGGCCATGTCAGCAAATCATTTCACATTCAAGTGGAAGCAGATATCAAACAGGTTGGCTAGATCTGTGAACACGGAGCTCAGGAGAGAGCCTGGGTTGTGGGTGCAGCTGTCGGCATTTAGATAGTATTTAAGGTCACAGAATGCTCCACTCTTTTATATTTGGTAATTTTCGTAATAAAAAATTCATTTAAAATGGAGTCAGTTTAAGGAAATATGATTAACTGATAACTTAGGTCATACTTTTCTACAAATGGCCAGTAGAAAATGTTTTAGGCTTTGCAGGCCATAGGATCTGTTGCAACTACTCAACTCTGCCGTTTTAGCACAAAAGGAGCTCTAGATAATGCATCAATGAATGGGCATGGCTGGGTTATAATGAAACTCTATGTACAAAAACTGGGTGGTGGACTGGATTTGGCTCACAGGCTGTAGTTTGCCAATTCCTGGGCTCTACAATGTTGAGAGGTTGGGAAGGTGATGACAAACCATCAAGGAGGCTGACAGGGAGCAACCAGTAGGGTAGCAAGAAAACCAGGGCAGTGGGAAGCTCAGGAAGGCAAGTCCAGGAAAGGAATTCTCCATTATGTCTGATGCTGGTAGGACAAGGAATGAGAATTGTCCTGTGGATTTGACAACACAGAGGTTGCAGGATACCTTTCAGTAGCACCGTCGTGGCCACACCTGACCAGAGTTCGTAGAGGAAAGAATAGCACAGAAGTAGGCAGGGTGGTTATAGCCAACTCTCTAGATCATTTTTGCTATAAAAGGGAACAGAGAGAAATGGAGAATTATCTACAGAGGGACACGAGGTCACATAAGGGTTTTCATTTCTGTTTTTAAGGTAGAAGCTATGCTTGTATTTTGGGGTGATCCTCCTCATGATTTTGCTATGGTTGGACCCTGTATACACTTCTTCTTCTTCTTCTTTTTTTTTTTTTTTTGAGACAGGGCCTCACTGTGTTACCCAGGCTGGAGAGCAGCGGTGCAATCTCAGCTCACTGCAAGCTCTGCCCTACCAGGCTCAAGAGATCCTCCCACCTCAGGCTCCTGAGTAGCTGGGGCCACAGGTGTGTACCACCATGCCTGCATGCCTGGCTATTTTTTTTTTTTTTTTTTTTTTTTGTATTTTTAGTAGAGACGGTGTTTCACCATGTTGCCCAAGCCTGGTCTCGAACTCCTGAGCTCAAATGATCTGCTTACCTCGGCCTCCCAAAGTGCTGGGATTACAGTACACTTCTACAATTAATTCTTTCACATTATCATTTCTTTAAAATCTGTGTCTTCTTTTAGCAGGGTTTCTCAGTCTTTGAACGTGACGTTATGGGCCAGACAATTATTTGCTGGGGGGAGGGCAAAATTGCTGCTCGTTAAGCTCCTAGAGTGTGGGACTAGATTTACTCTTCTTGTTCTCCCTGGTCTTTAATACTATGCCTGGCATACACAGGGGGTGCCATAAGTATTTTGCTGAGTGAGTTGGTGAATAGAAGTGTTCCTTTACAAAGTACTGTTTTGATCATCTCATAAGAAAGTCACATGGTACCTGGGTGGCCTGAGGGAAAAGCAAGGCAGGTCTCCAGGGTTGAGTTTAGCATGCCTGATCTTTGCTGAGATTCAGGATTTCCAATTGCACTGGAGAGGATTGTGTAGGTAGTAGCAAGAGGGTGGCTACATTTAGCTGACGTTTCTCATGCGGCTTCTGGACTATCAAGGTCTCTTGCTTCATGCCTCCTCATCTGCTTGGGAATGTTGCTTATGTAGTTTCTCCAAAAGCAAGTGGACATGAGGGATGGGGAAGCTCTTTATCTCAAGCATGATTATTACACGTGGATTCCATTATTTAGGCAAATGCTGTCTACAGACGCTCCAGGAGCCACCTCCCAACACCTGTCTTTCACCTCTTGCCAGAGACTCAAAGATGAGTGGGCTTTCAGAGTCATAACAATAATAATATTAATAGCTGTCACTCTGAAATAGACATGGCAATTTATACTCTGTGGGGGAGTCTTTAGTCCCTCACTGGCTAAGCACAGTGGAAGGGCACCTGTATGTGAGGTGATCTCAGTGGGAGATGAAGATGGTGAGGAATAGGCTAAGTACCTCCCTCCCCTTGTACCACCCTCTGATGCAAACATGACCTCCACCTTTAGGGGATTCTATAAAATGTTGTTGAATGGGCTGGGCGTGGTGGCTCATGCACTGTGGGAGGCCGAGGTGGGCGGATCACCTGAGGTCAGGAGTTTGAGACCAGCCTGGCCAACATGGTAAAACCCTGTGTCTGCTAAAAATATAAAAATTAGTCGGGCGTGGTAGCACACGCCTGTAATCCCAGCTACTCAGGAGGCTGAGGCAGGAGAATTGCTTGAACCCGGGAGGTGGAGGTTGCAGTGAGCCGAGATCGCACCACTGCACTCCAGTCTGGGCGACAGAGCGAGACTCCATCTCAAAAAAAAAATGTTGAATAAATGGATGAGTGGATATGCATCCGTGCTCCCATCTTGTTCCTGTCTTCCTTTTATTTGTGTTTCTACCTGGCACCAAGGGTGTCCTATAGCTGTCTCTGAGTAAGACTGAATTCATAAGAATTTATTAATTTCTCTAAAGAGAGGAGACTCAGGGTCCCAGTAACTGAATGCTGTTCTTATTTCAGTCTTTCCTGTATCACCTTCCTGGATTTTGCCATATCAAGGTATCACCTACTTTACGGATCTATAAACTATGGCCTGCCACCTGTCTTTGTAAATAAAGTTTTATTAGAACAGAATTGCACCCATCTGTAGATGTGCTTTCTATGGGTGCTTTCGTATTACAACAGCGGAGTTAAGCAGTTGCTATGGCGACCATATGGCTCACAAATCCTAAAACATTTACTATCTGGCCCTTTACAGAAAAGCATGCTGGCCCTTGAAGTACATTATTATTTAATCAATTTTTCTTTAAATTGACTCAGTTTCAGAATAAACTTATTGCTATGGAGATTAGCAAACATACAAGAATAGAGAGAATGTGTAATGAACACTCATGTACCCTCAATTCAGCTTCAACTCATGGTCAATTTTTT
Organism: Homo sapiens; assembly: GCF_000001405.40. NCBI lineage: Eukaryota > Metazoa > Chordata > Mammalia > Primates > Hominidae > Homo > Homo sapiens. Next base: position 10,145,519 of record NC_000016.10, on the reverse strand, counting down.
TTTTTTAAAAACAGCTGCATTGACATCTAAATAATATTAAAAACTGCGTGTGTTTAATATACATAATTTGATGAGTTTGGATGTATGCATGTGCCTGTGAAACCATGGCCACAATCAAGGTAATAGATATATCTTTCACTTCAACAGTTTCCTTGTGTCTCTTTGTTTTGTTTTTGTTGTTGTTGTAGTGAGAACACCTGAGATGAGATCTCTCTTAAGAACATTTTAAGGGCAGAATACAGTTTGTTAACTATAGACACTATGTTGTCCAGCAGATCTCCAGAACTTATTCATCCTGCATAACTAAAACTTTATTGAACAGCAGCTCCCCATTTCCCTATGCCCCCAACCCTTGGCAACCACCATTCTATTCTCTGCTTCTATGAGTCTATTTTAGATATCCTGTATGGGTGGAATCATGCAGTTTTTGTCCTCTGTAATGGTCTTATTTCACATAGCAGAATGGTCCAGGTTTTTCCATGTTACTGCAAATAGCGGACTTTTTTTTCTTTTTTTTTTTAGGTTGAACAATTTTCCATTGTATAAATATGTCACATTTTCTTTATTCATTCATCTCTCTTTTTTTTTTTTTTTTTTTTGAGACAGGGTCTTGCTCTGTCGCCCAGGCTGGAGTACAGTGGCACGATCTCAGCTCACTGCAGTCTCCGCCTCCTGGGTACAAGCAATTCTCCCACCTCAGCCTCCTGAGTAGTTGGGATTACAGGGGTGTGCCACCACACCTGGCTCATTTTTGCACTTTTAGTAGAGACCAGGTTTCACCATGTTGGCCAGGCTCCATTCATCTCTTGATGGACATTTAGGTTATTTCCGTATCTTGGCTGTTCTGAATAATGCTGCAATGAAACTTCTGCGAAGCAAAGGAAACAATCAACAGAATGAAAAGGTATCCTATAGAATGGGAGAAAATATTTGCAAATTATATATCTGATAAGGGGCTAATATCCAAAATATATAAGAAATTCCTATGACTCAGTAGTGAAAATTATTAAATGGACAATTAAAAAATGGACAAAGGACTTGAAATATATGATTCTTCAAAGAAGACATGCAAATGGCCAACAGGCATTAAAAAGGTTCTCAACATCATTAATCATCAGGGAGATGCAACACAAAACCACAACGAGTGACTGTGAAATTATCTCACACCTGTTAGGATGGCTATTATAAAAATGACCAAAGATAACAAGTGTTGGCAAGGATGTGGGGACATTGGAACCCTTGTACACTGTTGGTGCTAATGTAAAATAATGCAGCTGATATGAAAAACAGTATGGCGGCTCCTCGAAAAATTTTTAAATTTTTATTATCGGTTGGTGCAAAAGTAATTGTGGTTTTTGCAATTAAAAGTAATAGCACCAGCGTAATGGAACTATCTTATGATCCAGCAATCCCACTTCTGGGTACATATCCCAAAGAATTGAAATCAGGATCTCAAAGAAATATCTGTACCCTCATGTTCACTCATGTTCATTATGGCATTATCCAAGAGAGCCATGTTGGGGACAATCTTATTTAAAAAAAAAATTTTTTTTTGAGACAGAGTCTCACTCTGTTGCCCAGGCTGGAATACAGTGGCGTGATAGTGGCTCACTGTAACCTCCATCTCCTGAGCTCAAGCAATCCTCCTGCCTCAGCCTCCCTAGTAGTTGGTACTACAGGTGTGTGCCACCATGCCTGGCTCATTTTTGTGTTTTTTAGTAGAGATGGGGTTTCACCATTTTGCCCAGGCTGGTCTCAAACTCCTGGGCTCAAGAGATCCACTTGCCTTGGTCTCCCAAAATGCTGAGATTAAAGGCATGAGCCATCGCACCCTGCCCAATCTTGTTTTCTTAATACTCCCTCCTCCCTAATACCTTACCAACCCCCTGATTATTTTAATGCAAATCTCAGAACTTATATCATTTTAATTTAAAGTTTCAGTAAGTATATTAAAAGAACTCCTGTATTGACTATAAATACAATTTTATTATTCCTCTTAATTAATAATTCCTTAATATCATCAACTATCCTTAAATAACTCAAGGTTTTTAAACATAAATACCTACTTAAGCTTCATTTCAAGCAATAATTTGCTTGAAATTATGGTTCAGATATGCTATTTATATTTTTTAATATAGTAGAATGGCTCCTGAATTTTTGAAAATTTAAGAGGAAAATGTATCCCTGCACCATCTAAAATGATCTTGTACACCATCAGTATACCACACACTGGAATACACCACGTTAAGGAGGCCCTTAGCGGAAGGCGTTGTCCACTTTCTTCTTTGAAAGGTATGAAAGGTCTTACAGTGTCCTTGTTTTCACAACCCAGACAGAGTTAGTCAGTGCCTGGAGCAAACACCAGCGACATGCATACCAACCATGAAATCTGAAGGAACAACAACTTCATAGTCATCTTCACCAGCTCAACACAATTTATAGTACAATTAAGACCGGCAAATCTAATTGGATAAACAGAAAATAGAATTAAGGTAATCTATCCTAAGTATACCAAATTCCTATAATGAGTTGCTTTCAGCAGTTGTGGAAACATATAATTACCAAACAAATTACATGTTATTTTTATCTAAGAAGCTAATTAAGTGTTCTGTGTAAATTATTATGTGGTGGCACCAGGATCAGAGTTGTATTAAATACCTAATTGGAAAAGGGATGAGACCCGAGAATTTTACATGGGAATGTGACTGAGAGAGATCATAGCAAGAGGGTCTGATTCAGAGACAGGGACTTGAGAGAAGCTAGGTGGAAATGGGAGAGGGTTAGGGTGTCTTTGGTTGGTTTAAATTTGTTTGTGTTTTTAGAGACAGAGTCTTGCTCTATTGCCCATACTAGAGTACAGTGGCATGATCTCAGCTCACTGCAGCCTTGAACTCCTGGGCTCAAGCAATCTTCCCTCTTCAGCCTCCTGAGTAGCAGAGACTATACTCACCACCGCACACCACCATGCCCGGGTAATTTTTAAATGTTTTGTAGAGACAGGGTCTTGCTGTGTTGCCCAGGCTGGTCTTGAACTTGTGGCCTTGATCCTCCTGCCTTGACCTCCCAAAGTGTTGGGATTACAGGCATGAGCCACTATGCCTGGTCACTTTCGTTGGTTTAACTTGAGCCTGGATGGTTGAGGTTAAGTCAGGGCTCTGACGTGTATGGAGCCTTAGTCTTTTTAATTTATCTGTTCTTTAAACTTATTCGTCTCCCTAAATGTAAGCTGCAAGTCTCTGTGTGCTGCAGCTAACCTTAACCCTGGGTTTTTTGAGTGTGTGTGTGTGTGACCCTTATATAACTTCCTTACTTTGCTCTCATTTCCTCATTTCCCTGTGGCTCAGTAAATCTTCCAATATCTTCTTGTGGGTTCGTGCTCTTTTGTACCCTGGAATGGTAGGACATGGGCGCTTTGGGATATTTCCTATAACTCAGAACAGGTAGCCTGGAAGAATTTTGCAATGAAGCTTTGAGCTGGCATCAGCCTCAAGAAACATATCCCTGTTGAGTGTGATAGGAGAGGCAGAGGCTTCTCCTAAGTTGAGGCAGGTGAGGATTGAAGTTGCTGCATTTCCACCAGGTTAGACATAGTGCTGTGGTGGAAAGCACTCTCAGCTGGAGTCATAAGACCAGATTTATTGTCCCTGTCCTGCTGTTGGTGAGCAGTGTGACCTTTGGCAATGCATCATTCCCTTCTGAGCTCTGGTATCTCATTTGTAAAATGTGGAAAATAGCCCTTGGCCTATTTACCTCACAGAGGTGCCCTGAGGATGGCATGCCATAGTGTAAATGAACATCATCTGTAAAATCTCAATTTTTACAACAGAAATATATGAAAAGGTCTGGCATTATGGTTGTTTTTAACCAATGGCAGCTGTAGGAAGTCAGACAAGGTGGGTGATGTAACTGAAAAGAGCAGGAATCTTCCAGCCTGGCTAGATCCAGGTGTCATTTGGATTTGGTCTCTCCTGCTTTTCCCCTTGATTCTTCTCTGTATTCATTGTGTTTTTATTTTATTTTATTTCATTTTTTTAGATGGAGTCTCGCTCTGTTGCCCAGGCTGGAGTGCAGCGGCATGATCTCGGCTCACTGCAACCTCTGCCTCCCGGGCTCAAGCAATACTTTTGCCTTAGCCTCCTGAGTAGCTGGGACTACAGGCACATACCACCATGCCTGGCTATTTTTGTATTTTTATTAGAGACAGGGTTTCACCATATTTGCCACGTTGGTCTCGAACTCCTGACCTCATGATCCGCCCACCTTATCCTCCCAAAGTGCTGGGATTACAGGAGTGAGCCACTGTGCCTGGCCTATTTTTTATTTTTTTGAGACAGTGTCTTGCTCTGTCTCCTAAGATGGAGTGCAGTGGCACGATCTGGCTCACTCCAGCCTCACCCTCCGGGGTTCAAGCGATCCTCCCACCTCAGCCTCCTGAGTAGCTTGGACTACAGGTGCATACCACCATGCCTGGTTGCTTATTTTTATTTTTGAAGAGATGGGGTCTCACTATGTTGCCCAGGCTGGTCTCAAACTCCTGGGCTCAAGCAGTCCTCCCACCTTGGCCTCCAAAATTTCTGGGATTACAGGCAGGAGCCACCACACCCAGCCTGTATTGACTTTATTCAGGGAATGTCTCCCCACCCCAACTCCCAGTGTGGCAAGACAGTCACTAGCAGAAGTGTTGCATCTTTATTCTGTCAGTTAAGTGACTTAGGGGAAACAGAGTGCAGAGTCCACTTCCTGGTCGCTTCATCAGAAGTCCCAGGGCTAACTCTGATTGGACTCCTCTTCCTCACTTGCCCATAAATCAACCAATCACATTGTTCAGGATAGGAATACACTGACTGACCAGGCTGGTCATGTGCATATCCTGAGAGCTGGAGATGCTGAAGTTGCCCCACTTGAGCTACATGGAATGAAAAGTGGGGACAGTTGGTTCCCCAAAAGTGCCAGAAGAAAGAGTGTTTTCTGGACTAGAGAAAACCAAAGATCTCATTCTCCCATAGGCTACCTATTTGAATTATAATAGAAAAATTTACTAGATTGAGAGTCAGGGAAGACTTGGATTCTAGTCTTGACTGTGTCACTATCACTCCGACCCTGGATGTGTCAACTCTCTTTTTGGGAACCCAGTTTCCAAATCTTTGAAAGAGATTTGGGCCTGAATTCTTCTGAAGTTCCTCACCTTTTCTTCACCAGGGACTCTTCTTATCCTGCGGCTTTTTATCGTCATGGTATACTGTGTGTTTTGCCGGCAAAACAAAATACATTAATTAAGTACTAATCGATTTTATTTAAAAAAATGAATTAACAGCATACAATCAATTGCCACTTAGAAATGCAGATCAACAGAACATAAGGTAACCAGTGGAACTACACTGAGTTATATATATTCCAGCCCAAAGCAAATAAACTTAAATATTTCTTTAATCTTGCCTGTGTTGCCTGGGACAGCCTGATTACAGGGCAGAATTTGAATTATGCCAGGCCTTATGAAATGTTCAGCAGGGCTATAGATTCCTATTTCTCATTTACTGGATCTCAGGTGCCTGTAATCCCAGCTACTCTGGAGACTGAGGCATGAGGATCACTTTAACCTGGGAGGCGGAGGTTGCAGGGAGCCAAGATTGCGCCACTGTGCTCCAGCCTGGGGGATAGAGTGAGACTCCCTTCAAAAAAAAAAATTATTTATCTCATCTCTCTGGGTTCTGCACATATTTGAATTTGCTGCACCTGATACAGACCAAATCAGTGTTTCCTAAACCTCTCTGATATTAAAAATAACCTGTGAGCTCTTTAAACTTACAACCTCTTGGGTATTCCCCCCACCCCACTTTGATTCAGTATGTTTGGGTAAGGTTGCATACTTGCCTTTTTAACAAGGTATCCCCAGGTGATTCTTATCGTAAAGAAAGTCTGGAAACACTGGACTAAGTAACATCCAAGGCCTTACTACTCTAAGTGTGAGCAGCCACATCTGTATCCCCTGGGATGTCTTGTTTAAATTGCACAGGCCAAACCCTACAGACAGACAACTGGAATCTGGATTTTAACAATGGAAGCAGATTGGCTTTTGTTTTTAATTGGCTTTTAATTTGATCTATTTTCTGTTTTCATTGTAATGAGGCTTTCAGCTGCCCCTCTTGCCCTAGGCCTCTTCAGAAGAGACATTTCCCTCTCCTCTCCCTGCCTCCCCACAGGGTATAATAAACACCTGTTGGGGTTTGGTGGGGAAGCTCACCCTGACCTCCCATCACTGAGACACGAGGTGCAAAAGTGTTCTGCACACAGCCTGAGATCTTGCCTCTCAAAGCAGACTTGACCCCCAAGCTTCCACCCCTAGGTCTCAGGAAGAAATGGCCTCAGCAGATTCCAGGCCTCCAGGGCTGTCTGTTTCATGCTCTCAATTTTTACTTGGCTTGATCCGTGCTGTCTCCATCCGGTGTTCTGAGGCATTTCACACACGACTGGTCTTCGGCAACTGGGCCAAGCCTGTTCTGTTCTTTTTCAGTTTTCTTAATTGCAAGGCTTTTTGTTTCCCCACTGGAGAACTCCCATACCAAGAATTCTGAAATCTAGGTACTCAGACCTTAGTGGATGATGTTCTCTCAGCACTTAATTCACTCATCATTCAATAAACTATCCTCAAGCAATTCTATATTCAAAACATTCTGATAATGATGGCATAGTAATAATGATAATGATAATAGTTGGCATGTATTGAAATTTTATTATGTGCAAGAAACTATGCCAGGTACTTTAAATATCTCATTTAATCCTCACAGTAAGTCTGGGATGCTGGCACTATTCTTACCCCTGCTTGACAGATGGGAAAACTGAGGCTCATAGAAGGAAACAGAGTGCACAGTGTCTCTGATATGGTTTGGCTCTGCGTCCCCACCCAAATCTCATCTCAAATTGTAATCCCCACGTGTCAGGGAGGGGCCTGGTGGGAGGTGATTGGATAACGGGGGCGGATTTTCCCCTTGCTGTTCTCGTGATAGTAAGCGAGTTCTCACGAGATCTGATGGTTTAAAAGTGTGTGTCAATTGCTTCTTTTCTACCCATCCCCATCCTTCCGCTGTGTGAGATGTTCCTCGCTTCCTCTTCGTCTTCCACCATGATTGTAAGTTTCCTGAGGTCTCCTTCCCCAGCCATGCCAAGCGGTGAGTCAATTAAACCTCTGTTCCTTATAAATTACCCAGTCTCAGATAGTTCTTTACATTGTGAAAATGAACCAATACAGTCTCACAGTTGAATAGTGATCGAATGTGGTTTCAAACTCAGCCCTCTCTGACTTCTGAGTCTTCAGTGTTAACCATCTCACACACTTATATGATTTAGGCTTGATGGAAACAGCCCACTTTTCATGAAGCATTATCTACAGAGCCTTTAATTTCTACTAATGCCAAGAGGAAAGTGCCATGCCCACCTTGGTGATGACAGAACTAGGGTCTAGGAGTGGATTCATATGGTCAGAGTCTCATGGCCAGGGATTGGTAAAATCCAAATTTGGAATCTGGCTTCTGGCTATAAGCCCAAGGTTCTTTCTGTCATCCCAGACTGTACAGCCCATTATCTCAAGGAGCTGGCCCCTCAGAGGCAGAGAGATCATGTTCAGTATCTAGGAGTTTATGACAAGTACTATGTGGTGCATCCCAGGCTCTGAGGATAAAGTCATGACTCTTGGGTGAGCTCATAATGCGGGCTTGCATTGCTTCAGCCCTTACTTTGTGCTAAGCATGTCACACTCTCTCATTTAATGCTCTTAACCCTACAATTACCCCCATTTTACAGAGGAGGAAACTATAGTGTCTCACACAGAATAGGTGCACAGTGAATTTTTATTGAAAAGAAGAAAAATGGCACGTGAGTTGAATTAAGGAAATGTAGGCCAGGGCTGGGGCAGGAAGGCATACAGTGGCCATACAGCCAGCTGACGGGAATAATCGAGTGCCTGAATATGGAGTTTGAACTTCGTCCTCCGTTTTGTAAGTAGCTAAGGAAGGGAAATGAAATTGTCCATAGTGTGCAGGAAGGACTGGAGGCAGGTGAAAGCATTAGGTCATTGCAGACCTCCAGGTGTGGGTGATATGGCTCAAACTAAGATGGAGAAAATAGGAACACCTGTCAGCATGTGTAGGGGGCAAGAATGTGACTTTAGAGTCAGGCCTGCTTTCAATCCAGCCTCCTCATTTAAGCAAGTTACTTTATCTTCTCTGAGCCTCATTTTTGTTCTCCTTTTAAATGAGGGTGGTACCACCTACTTATTAGGGTTATGTAGCATGTGCTGTTGGGGCTTTCCCATATGCCCCCAGTCCTTGCCTCCATATACTGAAGCTTGCTCACTGTGAACCCCTCCGACTCTGTCTTTTCTGGCTTTGGAAGCAGGTTTAGCCCACCTGCAGGGGGAGTGAAGGTGCTGGAAGCAGCCAACGGTAGGGATTTGTGGATAAGCACTCCAGTCCGTTGTCTTGTAGGCAGGATAACTGTGATGTAGAGTAGATATTTCATGCTATATCCCAGATGTCTCTAGTGATCTTAAGGCCCAGTTGCCTTAAGCAGTCACTTAATTTAAAATTTACCATTTATTGTTTCCTTTTACTTCCCTGTCTCACTTCTCTTTCCTCTTACCAGTGTTTCCTGGGATCATTTCTCAAACCACTGGGAGCTCAAATTCTTTTTCAGGGCCTCAGGTCATAATAATGATAAAACGAAACATTGTATGTTAAGTGCTTAGCACAGTCGTGAGGCCCAAGGTCAGTTCCCCCATAAATGGTAGCTGCTATAAACATCATCATCATTACCATCCTTGTGAAGGTGGAGTGAACTTATTCTTTCAAGACATTTCCACTGACAGATAAATTCATCCAAAATATGAAGAAAAATGGGGGAGGAAAAGGTCACCTAGAATATGCAGAGCAAAATATTGCAATGATTTCTTTTTTTAATGAGATAGTTTATTAATTATTAATCAGTATCTTTAACCTTTAGTCCTTGTTTAACACCATGGATAACAGGTCTACAATTGAGTATAATTAGCCAAATGCCTCTTGCATCCTAAATTGGCTATTCTGAGTTACACAGTTTGATTTTCTTGGAAGGAGGACCTGGTTTCATTAGCACCTAGTTGCAAATGAATCTCCTCCTTGAAGTTTTTGTTGCTATTTGAGCTTGTTTTTAGCTGGAGATTTACTCTTGGATTTTAGTTGTTTTCGCCTTCATCTGTTGAAGAGGTGGGATGATATTGCGTGTGTGTGTGTTTGTGTGTGCTGGAAGTTATGCTTCCAATATTTACAATATTGGCTTTCCAAAGCAGAAGATGATGGGCTTTCTGGGAGGGTGGTTCAATAGGAAACCTTCAGAACCAGTGGGGTTGGATGGTGGAGCAGAGTGTAAAAGGGAGAGTGATGAAAAGTAGAGTGATTGAAAGGATAAGCACATCTGCTTTTAGACTTGCTCACTTAACTTACATGTGCTTATCTGGACCTTGGCCCCAGGGGAGGAGATAGAGGAATGCGTGAGAAGCTGTCTTGAGTGTTAGGGACGGAGTATGATGAATGCAACAACTGTCAGTTCTGTGTCAACTTGGATGGGGCTACAGTCTGTACTCAGTCAAACTCTAATGTAGGTGGGTTGTGAAGGTGTTTTGTAGGTGTGATTAAAGCTTATAATCAGTTGACTTTAAGGGAGGTTATCTTAGATAATCTGGGTGGGCCTGATTCAATCAGTCAGATGCCTTAAGAGTAGAGCTGAGGCTTCTCTGAAGAGTAAATTCCACCTGAGGAGAGAAGGTTTAGCTCATGCCCAGAAGTTCCAGCCTGCCCTGTGGATATTGGACTTACCTACCCATTCCCCACAATCATGTAAGCCAATTCCTTGTCATGTATTTCTTAATATATGTCTCCCGCTCATCTGTTCCTTTAATTGAACCCTCAATAATACAGATTTTGGTGCCAAGAATAGGGCTCTGTTGTAACAAATACCTTAAAAAGTGGCAGTGGCCTTGGAATTGTGTGTTGGGCAGAGGCTAGAATAATTTGGAGACACATCAGAGAAAAAGACTAGACATCCTTCAACAGACTGTGAGTGGAAATACGAATGCTAACAGTTCTGTTTCTGGGGACTCAGAAGTAAGAAACATGTTAGAGAAGGCATACATCATTTTAGAGACTACCTAAATCATCATGAACAGACTTTTGGTGGAAATATGGACGTTAAAAGCATTACCAGGGAGGGCTACCTACGAAGGAAATGTTATTGAAAACTGGAGGAAAGGACATCCTTGTTATATAGTGGCAGAGCATTTATCTGAATTATATGCTACAGTTGTGTGGAAATCTGAACTTGCAAGCAATGAACTTGGTAAAGTGTTGAAGGGGCAGCCTGGTTTCTTCTTGCTCCTTTTAGTAAAATGTGAGAGGAAAGAGATTGAAGCAAGAACTGTTAAGCAAAAAGAAAGCAAGATTTGATGACTTGGGAAATTCTCAGCCTATCTGGATTGCAAAAGATGCTAAAATTAGGAGATTTACTATCAGGAAAGCATGTTAGGAAAGGGTATGGCTGAACAGTTTTTTTTTGCTAGTTCGTTGGAAAGATAAAAAGTCCCAGTATTCAGCCACACAGAGTGCTCTTTGAAGAGATTAGGTATGAGACTCATGTACCCCTTGGCCATCAAATCAGAAGCAAAGAATAGATATTAGGATTATCTAGGAAAGAACTGTGAAGAACCATTTTTTGTCTGATGGAGTGAATCCCCATGACATACTCAGGAGACCCATAAGGTTTTTGAAATTTCCTACCAGCATAAACATTGGCAATTTGGACAGAAGGGAACAGAGAAGATAAAATGAAGGAAGGCCATTACACTCCCTAAATTTTTTTTTTATTATTATTATACTCGAAGTTCTAGGGTACATGTGCACAATGTGCAGGTTTGTTACATAGGTATACATGTCCCCTGTTGGTTTGCTGCACCCATCAACTCATCATTTACATTAAGTATTTCTCCTAATGCTATCCCTCCCCCAGCCCCCTACCCCCTGACAGGCCCCGGTGTGTGATATTCCCCGCCTTCTGTCCAAGTGTTCTCATTGTTCAATTATCACCTATGATATACTCCCCAAATTCTACAGGCAGGAAATGACGGTTAAAACTCTTAGGCTGGAAACACATATTACCCTTCATGAGAAAGGACTGGTTACTCAGAGGGTAGAGCCTCAAGCTCAAAGGACAGAGATGGGAGAGGATTATTTCTAGGCTTTGAAGCCTAATGTTTGCCTAACTGAATCTCTCCTCTCCATTTTTTTTTTTTTTTTTTTTTTCTGGAAACAGTGTCTCACCCTGAAGGCCAGACTGGAGTGTGGTGATGTGATCACTCACTGCACCTTCGACTTCCTGGTCTCAAGTGATTCTCCCACCTCAGCCTCCTGAGTAGGTTGGACTACAGGCATGCACCACCATACCCAGCTAATCTGTTTTTGTATTTTTTTTTTCTTTTTCAGAGGTGGGGTTTCACCACGTTGTCCAGGTTGGTCTCCAATGTCTGGGCTCAAGCATTCCAACCACCTTGGCCTCCCATAGTGTTAGGATTACAGGGATTAGCCACTGCATCCGGACTGCCTAACTGAATTCCAAAATTGTTTGGATGTGGTAACTTGTTTTTTCTTTTCATTGATTCCTTTTTTAATCAAAAACCCCTGTAACTGATATCCCATGCCTGTTCCACAATTGCATCTGGGGAGCAGATAATCCGTTTTCTAGTTTTACAGGTCCACAGTTGGAGAGAAACTTTGACCCAGGAGGGATCATGCTCAGATTCTTATAAGTACTTGACTTAGGTGATTGAGATAAGATTTTAGACATCTGAGCTCATGAGATTTATTTATTTATTTATAATTATTATTTTTTTTGAGACTGAATCTCACTCTGTCAACCCAGGCTGGAGTGCAGTGGCATGATATTGGCTCACTGCAACCTCCACCTCCCGGGTTCAAGCGCTTCTCGTGCCTCAGCCTTCAGAGTAGCTGGGATTATGGGTGCACAGCACCGTGCCTGGCTAATTTTTGTATTTTTAGTAGAGACTGGTTTCATCATGTTGGCCAGGCTGGTCTCGAACTCCTGACCTCAGGTGATCCACCCGCCTTGGCCTCCCAAAATGCTGGGATTACAGGCATGAGTCACTGTGCCTGGTCTGATGAGATTTTGATGAAAATTTTGGACTTTGACACTATCGTGAGTTAGTTTTGGGGAGATGGAGTGAATCTTTCGGAGCAAGATGGTGGCCTGGCAGGCAGAACTACGACCTCTCAAAGATGTTCACCTTCTAAACTCTGACTCCTGTATAAATGTTATGATTTATGGCAAAAGGGATTTTGAAGATGTGATTAAGTTATGGATCCATCTTGAGATGAGAGCCTCATCCAAAATTATCTGGTGGGCCCAATATAATTGTGACTGTACTTATAAGAGGCGGGCATGGAAGAGTCAGAGAAGGAGATGTGACCATGGAAACAGAGTTAGAGTGATGTGGCCATGAGCTAAGGAATGTGGGCAGACTCTACAAACTGGAAAAGGTAAGAAATGGATTCTCCTCTAAAGCCTTAGAAGGAAGCACTAGGAAGGCCTGCTGGTCCATTTTAGGTTTCTGACCTCCAGGACTTTAATACATTTTACATCACTCTAAGCCACTAACTTTATGGCAATTTGTTACAGCAGCAATGGGAAACTTATAATCTGTTAAGTGCCAGGTCTTCTGCTACACTGCTTAGACGTATTATTTTGCTTCTTTCTGCAGTCCTTTAGGACATACGTACTAAATTCCCATTTTGTGGTTGTGGAAACCGAGGCAATGAAAGTTCAGATAGCTTGCTTAAAATGACAGATCTAGTTAGTGGTGGCTCTGGGATTTAACCCCATGCCCGAATGATTCCAATGCCTATGGACTAGCTCTTGCATGATAAATGTCAAGGGACATGAGGAGTTAGGTCAGAAAGCCATCACGACATAGCTCAATGTGTGGCTTTACATTTGACGTAGGATGACCTAGTGGTAAGTGGTATAGCACCTGTTTAGGTGCACTGGAGACATGTTGCATGGCCCCAAATCCAGCTTTGCCACCCATTACTGGCTGAGTTTACTTTGGACAAGTTATTTCACATCTTTTTTTTTTTTTTTTTTGAGACGGTGTCTTGTTCTGCTCATTCTGTTGCCCAGGCTGGAGTGCAGTGGCACAATCTCAGCTCGCTGCAACCTCTGCCTCCCGGGTTCAAGCGATTCTCCTGCCTCAGGTTCCTGAGTAGCTAGGATTACAGGCATGCACCACCACGCCCGGCTAATTTTTGTATTTTTAGAAGAGATGGGATTTCACTATGTTGGCCAGGCTGGCCTTGAATTCCTGACTTCAAGTGATCTGCCTGCCTGAGTCTCCCAAAGTGCTGGGATTACAGGCGCGAGCCACCAAGCCCAGACTATTTCACATCTCTGAACCTCAGTTTCCTTACTTATAAATGGGGATTATAATACTTTTTTTTAGGGATATGGAGCTTAGAGGAGAATAATGGTGGTAAAATGCTTAGTGCAGTGCCTGACACATCATAAGCGCTCATAAGTAAAATAATAACAGTAGTAGTAATAATAACAATAATAACATGCTAATAATAATGGCGAATTACTCTTCCTGTTTTGCCACTCTAGGCAGAGGGATATTAGTGAAGAGAATACAAGATCCATGGTGGGTCAGGGGCACAAGTGTGTTACAAGCAAAAAGAACAGCAGGCACTCAGGCCATTGCCTATGAAATGTTCTTCCCCACCTCTTAAACTGGCTAATCCCATTCAAAAGCCATGTCTCCCAGGAAGTCTTCCCTGACCTTCTTGGCTGAAACAGACGCCCTTTCTCTGAGGGCCTATCACAGAAGGTACTTTCCTACTCTAGTCTTGTCAATGCATTTGAAGCCTCTCTCAGTAGCCTGGAAACTCCGAGAGCAGAGGTGCTCTCTGTCCCTCTCTTATTTATTGTTATACCCTGAGCATTAAAAAAAAAAAAAATGGGATAAGTGGTGAGAAGAGACTGGAGCGGCAGGCCTTGGCCATGCTAGGAGGGACCCTTTAGCTTCCAACTTCCCGATGAATTTCCCCCCGAGTTGGTTTGCTTTGTCTTTGTAACTGAGAACAGCCTAGGGAGAAGCATGGACATGGGGGACCTGCAGGCATGAGACTGGTTGCTTAGCATCTCCATGGCCCCTCACTACTACAGCCCACTCTACATGCTGTTCTGGGCCTCATTAAAACCTGTTCTCCACTAGCCTCGGTGTTTAATATTTATCGATCACCCACAGCATGCAAGCTGGTCAATAAGTGTTTTCAGAAGCCTCACTCCATGCCATCTTGATCAGCCCCTGCCGCTATTTTCCATCATGCCAGCTCTTGAAATCTTGTGGATGTGCCTTGAATTTTTTAAGTGCTTTTCTAACAAAAGTCCCGACTGCAGAGATGCAGAAGCTTAAGTTCCATTTCATTTGCCTCCTGAACCTTGAGGGCACTGGTTTTTATATTGCTGCCTCTGTCCCTCTTAGTCCTCAGTCCCCACACTTCTCAGGATAGCTGAAGAGATGAGTCTGTGTTTGGCTCTGAGTTCCAGCTCCCTGGCAGCTATGGATTATATGTTAGCACAATCCATTTTACTCCCCCAGCTGTTTACTTTCCTGGGGACCTGCTTGAGTCAGGCTGCTCCCGAACTCCCTTAATGAAGACATGACAGTGGGTGGCTGGAGACGAGAAGTTGCAGGAGAAGCGAGAAGGAGAGAGAGAGTCCCCTGGGTTATATCCCTGTTACTCAACATTGTTGAATTAGATCCTCAACATTCCATCATGTGATGTTTGGATGCTGGGAGGGGAGTTAAATATAGAATTCCTCCTTTTGGCATTTCAGAAGGTTTATATAATGTCCTGTTCCTTTTGACAGTGGGGAGAAAGTGAATAGGATGGCTTGGAAGATGGGTCTGTGTCCGGAGCTCCATTTAAAGTCTACTCAGCAGCCTGACCCATCTGCCTACTCAGGGGATGTTCGGTGAATCATGTTTGCAAAGGCACAGATGCCCTTTTGAGCCCAAAGATCTGCTCAGCTCGAAAATTCTATTAATTCTAAGATTCTACAAGTAGCCTTCACAAGAGTGGATGCTGAAAATAGATCAGCCACGTGGTATGCCCTGAATTTGCCTGGATTACTGATTTGATTTTCCCCTCAATGTTTCCCTGAACCTGGCCTGGAAATTCAGCTTGCTTTACCATTTGAACCCTGCCGTGGAGTCCCAGGGACCAGCGTTCCAAGTCTGCCTCTATCATTTCCCAGCCATGTAACCTTGAATGAGTCTCTTGGCTTTTCTGAGTCTCATTGTCTTTAGCATGTCCCCATACCTATCTCTCCTTCTTACTTTCTTGTCTTAGTAAATGACCTCATTTTCCATCTAGCTGTTCAAACTACAAACCTACAAGTCACCTTTGATTTCTCTCTCCCTCTTACCTGCTATGTAGAAACCATCAGCAAGGGCTTCTAGCTCTGCCCTTAACACAGATCCATGAAACATGCTTCTACCTTCACTGCAACTCCTTATGAAATCTGCATTCAGTGACAGCAGCATCTTCTAAACTGGTATCTTCTTCCAGCTTTGACATCCTATGATCAATGCATGACCTCGCTGGTCGAGTGAGTAAGAACGATGACAAAACCCATATCTTGAATCACATGCATCTTTATTAAAATCTTCCTCCAGCTTTCCATTTTACCTAGAATTAAAATCAATTGCTTGCTGTGGCCTAGAAGGAGCACCATAATCTCCTGCTTATATCTCAGACCAAATCCTGCTCTCTTTTCCCTTGGTCCTTTATCTTTCTGGAACATTCCTCACACTCACCTTTGCACTTGTTGTTCCGTTTGCTTGGGAATTTCTTCCCCTGGACCTTTCTGTGGTTGTCTTGTTCTCACCATTCAAGTTTCGTCTCAAACATTGCTGACTGTGACAGGCTGTTCATGATCATCCAAGTTCAAGTAGCCTCCACTCTAGCCATTAGCCCATTACTCAGCTTCATTTTCTCCTATAGCTTAGCTCTATCTAAGTATTATATGGTTAGTGTTTTGTTTTTTTTTTAATCAAACTCCTCCCATTAAAGCATGTGTCCTTTGAAAGCAGGGACATTAGTCATTTCTATATCTTAAGAGAGTTATCACCAGCCTGGGCAACACAGAGAGACTTTGTCTCTACTAAAAACTAAAATGACTTCACCAGGTGTCATGGCTTACACCTGCAGTCCCAGCTACATAGGAAGCTGAGGTAGGACGATCACTTGAGCCCAGAAATTTGAGGCTGCAGTGAGCTCTGATCGTGCCACTGCATTCCAGCCTGGGCAACAGAGCGAGACCCTGTTTTAAAAAAGTAAGTCACGCACGTAGTAGGTGCTTAAAAAAAAAAGTGATGCACATAGTAGGTGCTTAATAAATATCTGTTAAATGAATAAAGATTGGTTACGGGGATGAAATAAGAGCGTGCTCAGGTATGCACAGACACACTCGTGCACATATGTGCATTGAAACTGCCATGGTAAGAAATACTATTGTTAATAGCTGGGAGCCAGAATTTCTATGACTCTCCAGTTGCATCAGGCCTCCCTTGACTGTATTATGCTCCTAAGAAACTTTTCTTGCCTTTTGTTGAATTAAAATTCTTTAACTTCTCAGCTATCTCATGGATCTTTGCATCTGTTTTGCATCTGTTTCTTAGCAGCCTAGCTTGGCGCATGGTGCTTTATAGAGACATTTAGCATGTAAAGATATTTATAAAGGAGGGATTCTCTTCTATTTTTGCCCAGTCATCTGTTGGAGAGAGGGGGAGCAGCAAGCAGGCACACATGATTCATGCTCTTGCCTGGAGGGTGCTGCCCACCTCTAGCCTAGAAGAGTGGGGTGGCAGGAGCCCTCTGCATTCCAAGGCTGGTTCCAGTGAATGGAGCATCTACAGTGGTGGTTTGGCCAATCTCAACATTCTGTAATGGCCTCTTCTTTACAGTTCACACTTCCCAGATAGGTTAATATTACAGCTCCTTCCATCAGAATGTCCTTAAGTGTGTAGCTGCAAAGTTGAGGGGTACAGTTCATAAAACGATCATTTCTGACATCACTTGGAAGATTGAGGGCTGCCAAGACCACCCTTATCTTTGATAATTCACTGGAAACTCACAAAACTCGCTGCAAGCTGTTGCACCCACGGCTATGGCTTGTTATAGCTGAAGGATACAGACTAAAATCAGCCAAAAGAGGGACACATAGGCAGAATCATGAAAGGTCCAACCGTGAGCTGCCAGTGGTGATCTTCCTACGGAATCATGGACAGTGCCACCTTCTCAGCAACAATGGATGAAAATAAGCATGGGACGTTGCCAACAAGGGAAGCTCACTGAGCCTTGGCGTGCAGAGTCTTTTTTGGGGTCTGCTGTTGAGTTCTTATATGGGTGACCTTGGCTTCCAGGTCCTCTGGAGGTTGAGCTCATGCTATGTGATTCTAAGCCCCCACTCTAAATCACACTGTTAGACTCTCTGGTGTGACCCAAGGCCCCCACAAGCAAAAAAACACTCCTATCCAGGCATGACATTCCCAGGGCTTAGTAAGACACCAAGGGTAAAGACCAGACTTCTTTTTGGGCGAGGTTTAATTCTTTACTATGGAAGAGCTCAACTTGATACTCTTGGTATGGATGACTTACGTAGATAGCGGTGGTGCTGGCCCTTTTCTTGCTTCCAGTGCCTGAATTCATCCATCAATTCCACAAATATTTATTGATTGTGAGCTAGGTGCCAGGCTCTGTGCTAGTTGCTAGGGATACAGTGGTGAAGGACATAGTTCATGCTATAAAAAGGCTGGGGAGACAGATAAACAGGCAATTATTCTTATATATAAATATACCATGATGCTAGAAATGATACTAAAGGCTCTTGGTGCACAAGGGTGCCTGGCACAGTTGCTGGTGAAGACCTCCCAGGGCGGTGGTAGTTAGGCTAAGATTGGAAAAATGATTAGAAGTTGGCCAACCAGGGTGGAGTATGGGGGTAGGGAGGTAGTGTTTAGGTGGAGGAATATCACATGCAGAGGTTGAGTGGTGAGAAAGTTCTTGAGGATGGTAAGGAGCTCCACATTTTCATGGATGCCACAGCTCACAGGTGATTCATCTTGAACATACAGCCAATAAACACCCAAAGACTTTCCCATCTTGTACCAAGGCAGGTGGATTTTTTTTTTTTTCAAGACTGAATCTCTGTTGCCAGGCTGGAGTGGAGTGGCACGATCTCTGCTCACTGCAATCTCTACCTCCCAGGTTCAAGCGTTTCTCCCAAGGCAAGTGGATTTTGAAATCAAGAAAATGGGGTTCATGAGAGAAATTCTTGGCCCCTGTTGCTGTCAGGAAGGCTTTTAGACTAAAAAGAATGGAGCTAATGAAAGCAGTTGGATAGGGCAAGCGTGTGAGCATTGGCTTTCACTGGCTTAGGGCAGCTCCAACTCCCCCAGAAAAGGCTCTTTGTTTATGGTGAGGTCAGGACTTCAGAGTGTGACTCAGAAGGTCCTCAGAGCTGGTAAAAAGTGTAGACTGGTGCTGTAGGCCAAAAGACAAGGTTTATAAAAGCAGAAGGATTTCTGAGACATCTTGGACATGTGAGCAGGTGACTCACAGACGTTCTAGAAACCATATTTCAAAGACAATATTTTTGGCAGAATCAAATGGTTGCTTTGTGGTCGTTTCAGGGAGTTCCAGCAATAACATAAAGAAAATTAACAGAAACCAACAAATGGTAGGGAAAAACGTTGGTGATACGTGCCAAAGGGTTACTATCTTTAACGCACAAAGATGACTTACAAATTAAGAAAAAGACAAAACACCCTAAAAGAAAAATGGAAGAGAAATGAGTAACATGTGATTAGAGAATAAAAACTCAATGGCTAATAGATGCCCAAGAAAATAGTAAACCCTGCCAATACTGCAAAATATTTGAAATACGGTAATGAAACTGGCTGGGCACTGGCTCTTGCCTCTATTTCTAGTGCTTTGGGAGGCAGTGGCAGGAGTGTTGCTTGAGGCCAGGAGTTTGAGACCAGTCTGGGTAACATAGCGAGACCCCCCTCTCTACAAAAAATAATTTTTTTAAATGAGCCAGGTGTGGTGGTGCACGCCTGTAGTCTGTTTCTTGGAAGCCTGAGGCAGGAGGATCACTTGAGCCTAGGAATTTGAGGCTGCAGTGAGCTCTGATTGTGCCACTGCATTCCAGCCTGGGCGACAGAGCGAGATCCTATCTCAAAAAAAAATATATATATATATAAAGAAATCCATCAACTCACACAAAAATGTTGTTGATGGGACTTTGCATTATTCTTATAATTAAGAAAAGCAAAATGAAAATTCAGTAAGCAAAACAGTGCAGTTGGAAGGAGCTCTAAGCCTCCCTACTTCATTCTGGTGAAGGCAGGGAGTCAGGAAGGAGTCTGGGGCTCCTCCTGTCTGTGTCCTCATTTTGTCTCCCACCTCCTGGCCCCCAGTTTTCCTGCAGGTGTGAGTGTGTCAGACCTCCTTCTGCTCTGAGTGGGAGAGAACTCGCTGTACTCTAGGGAGCTGAGTTTGGGGAAAGACTGGCCCTTAAGCATCCTCCCACCCAGCCTTTACCCCCAGCTCTCTCTCCCTGTAGGACGCCTGATTTTCTTGGCAGAGGAAGAAGCTACCCTCCATCCACTTTCCCAGGGTAGGCAAGGCAGCCTCTTCCCCTGGGCCATCCAGCCTCCTGTAGGCCTGGGGCTTAGCAAAACAGCCAGGGAGGGGAGACTCGGAACAGTCTTTTTTTTTTTTTTTTTCCTCCCACCATGAGCAGTATGAGGATGATGCCTTAGCTCCATTGCTTTGCTCTCAGCCTTCAGACTTGCTGTAGGAGAATCTCTGCTGTACCCTGTCATGTCTTAGATTTGTGTAATTGAGGGAGGCCTCCCAGGCAATTTAAGTAGGGATTTACTTATTCCTTGGGAGTGCTGAGCTTGTAGTGGAGGAATGGTCTACTCACTAGTGTATTTACTCGACTTCTCCTAACAAGGGTCTTTCCACTTGGGGTTGTTCTGTCCAGCATCCCTTGGGACTTCCAGGGAAAGCCAAATATTCTTTGCTGCCCCTGCTTCTTCGACAATAAATGCAAAAAGTTTGAAAAAATCCCGTACTGGTGTTGTGTCACCAGGGTCAAAGACCTTGAATCTCTAGTAAGAAGTAGAAGGCGTCAAGAGGTCAAGTTCTGACTCCATAGTTTCAGGACATTGTGGGACTTGATTGCTGCAGTGTGAAATTTATGGTTTTGTAAGACAGATTTAAAACCCTTTCATGGCATCTTGTAGCCTTTGGAATAAAATCCAACATCCTCACCATGGCCTATGAAGAGACCCTGCATGATTTGGGCACTACGTGCTTTTTTGGGGCTTTGTTTGCTGTCATTTTCCTCCTTGTTCTTTCCAACCCTAGGGGCTTTGTCCTCATGGTTCCCTATGCCTGGAATGCTCTTCCCACTATTCTGCACTGGTTGACGATGACTTCTTCACAACTTGGCTTTTGGGGCATTTCCTTTGAGAGGGCTTCGTGACAGTCCTGCTAACCTTTTCCATAGGAGCCCTCATGTCATTAGCTGTACCACAACTTTAACTTGTATGTGTTCATTTACATGTTTCTGTCTCTTCTGTGAAATGGTTGCTCCTTGAGAGTGGGGCCTCTGCTCTGTCTTGTACAACACCTGACACACGGGCCAACTTATAAATATCATGAATGAATGAATGAATGGATAGCTCTCTAGTTATCAATTGTGACTGTATCTTTCCCTGCCATCTCCCAGCTCCGTCTCACCTGGACCACCTGGAAAAACCTCTTGTACCCCATAATTTCAGTGCCCCTGTCTGTATCTGAGGCTATGGAAAAGCTCTCTACCCAAGCACCAAGGAATCCTGCCCTTTTCCGCTTGCCCGGATAAACAAAGAGTTATCAAGGCTAAGTTGCCAGTTATGTTGGCTTCTTCTCCTGTTTGCTCTTGGGAGGATAGGATTTTGATTACAAGCATAACAGCCTCCAGTTATTGAGCATCTACTGCATACAGGGCAGGCACTTTGCATACATGATCCCTGATCTTCATAGTATCCCTACATGGTAGGTTTTATTATCCCAATGTTGTAAGTAAGCAAACGAAGGATCTCACAGGTCAGTTTGCTCCCTGGGCCACCTGACCTGTGCTCTTTTTTCCCTATACATCGTGGCCTAGGTTTTGGAACACACAAGGGCACGCACACGGCCCTTCTCAGACTATGACAATATAGTGCACTGCAATACCTCGCTTTTTTAACAACCTAAGCTGATGGGTTGAGTTGTGAGAGTCAGAAGCTTGCAATTTCACTTCATCTGTCTCTGGAGACTATTCTGGCTTTCTACTGCCTGGAAAGAAGGTGGGAACAAGGGCTCTGTGAGGGATGATTACACCAGGGCAGAAACAGCTCACCTCTTGAGTGCTCATGTGCCATACACTGTGCCGAGTGATTTATACATATAGCTTTCTGTAACCCACGGAGCAGCTCTATTTGTACTGTTATTTTGAGCACTATTCTGCAAATGTGGAAGCTGAGGCACACAGTAAGAAAGGGTAAACAGTGGAGGCTGGATGCAAACCCAGGTAGTCTGATTACAGAGTTTGAAAGCTCAGCCACCAGGTACCTACCAACCAGCTAAACAGATCTCATCATTCAAAGTGTGGTCCATGCACCAGCAGCTTTGACATCCTCTGGGAACCTGAATGCAGAATCTCAGGTCCCATCCAGACTGACCGAGCTAGAATCTGCCTCTTAACAAGATCCCTCGGCGATTCACGTGCATGTTAAAGTTTGAGAAGAACTGCCCCAGAAATTCTATGAATATAAAGTAAGTGCCATTTTCCTGAAGTCAAAAGCTGGAGATTTAGAGCATCAGTGTTCTTAGAAACAACGTGCGACTTCAGTATCTTGCAAACTATGGCATCAACGAGGAGCTGTTCCTTTGCTTGAGGGAATTAGTGATGACAAATGAATTTAGTATTTTCAACAAAAATAAAAGCAAGTTGAGCTTGCATAGTTGATCCAAGGCTTTAAAAAAAAGAGGCTGCTTCAGCCTGCAGGATGTTGTTGACATAGTATTACATCTAAGTACGCAGGGAGCCCCGAGCCAGGGTTGCTGGAGTGTCCCTATTGCAAGGGAAGTTTTGGCAAACACAATCTAGGGATTGAAAAGGTAACTCCTTCATTAGATCTGCCTGGAATTTACACATCTGCAAATGTGAGAGGACAAAAAGGACTTTTGATCCAAGAGAGATCGGCCCCATCTCCCTGTGCTGGGAAAAAACTTTGATTTTCTTCTTTGATGTGAAACATTGCCATTGCTAGCTGTATATTTGATCATAGTCACTGGACAACTTATTCAGCTCTAGTTCTTTATTAGGTCCTCATGGCTGCTTTCTTAGACATCGGAATCCTTAAAAAAGAGAATTTTATTTTATTTTTTAACCTTTCCCAGCTTATAAATGCCCCAGGGACCTGGAAATGTCCACGTGGGCTTTACCAATGATGTATGTCGTTCTGTTTGAGTCAAAATAATGAGTGGTTGCATAGATGATGATTGATATTGTGTATTTCCGAGTCGCCTCATTTTGGGGAAGGAATATGCTGATCGTGCGTCAATTTCCCTCAGGTTGGCTCTCCAGCAGGGGGCCCAAGAAGGTCTGCACCCTTTTCATGTTTCTTTGCTACTTCCTTTCATCTTGCCAAGTTACATTTAGCAGGATATTCATCTAATTCCTTTTTTAAAATTTTAATGCTCCCCATTTTTTGGGGGGGTGGGGGACAAAAAGAGCCTTTTAGGAAATAAGCATCAGGAACTAACTAATCAAAGCGAAACTTTCTGGGAGAGATCTGACAGCCGCATGCCTCTAATGACCTTCAAAAAGATCACGTGCTCCAGGCAATTACAGGATTTGGGAGAAAATAGCTCATTCTGAATAGCCGAACCTGCTGCAATGTTCATCACTTTGCAGCCGTGCCCCTACCTCCCCGCTTTTGTAGCTTCCTTACCCCGAAGCCTCCTGAAAGAGAGTTCACTTGGATTAAAACTCCTCCAGCTTTAACAAACTGCAAAGGGGACAGCTGATGCTAAAAAAGGGGATCTTGTGCACAGTGCCAGGTTTCTCCTGTAGCCAGAGTTTTTTTGGCTCTGGCTACAGAAGGTGCCTAATACATTCTGACTCATGGCCAAATATTATCAGGGGACTTTGCTGGTCAAGCTCTTGAATATGGGTGCAGCTGGAAAAATAACCTATTTGTCAATAGGTTACCAGTTTCACAGCTGGTAGTGCCCAGAAGGGCGCTGAATAAACTTCAGTGGGATCCCTGCTGCTTGGTGCTTGAAGTTCATCTGACGTGAAGCCTTTGTGAAAAGAGTATTCAGGAACCCAGTAGCAATCTTTTCCTTTATTTTAATTAGACCATGCTTCTCTCTTGTTTGCAGGGTTTTTTGAGATTTTATGCAAACTTTTAATGTTTTTGCCTGTCAGTGTTTCCATTATTTGAAATCTTTCATATTAAGTAAAATTAGCCAAGGCCAGTGCTATATTAAAGTATCAAAACTTTTAGCATTTGCTCACCCTCCTTTCCTGGGGAGAACAGGTTTCTCTACATGATTGCCTGTATGCTTTGCTATGAGTCATAGTTTAGAGAAAACCCCCACGTTCCTGTGCAATGAAAGAAGCAGCATAATGATCTCAACTCAGGCAGAATGGCCTGGAAACTCATGATATGTGGCTGCACCCAGTCGGTGCCTTTGCTTTGCTTGTGTTGGAGGTCTCTTGCATTAGTGTTATGAAAATAGATGATGAGCTCATGCCTTTGTGACTTTGTTTCTTGAGACCTGCCTGATTTCCATGGTCACAAGAACACAGAGAAAGATGTGTGGGCTCCCGGGGCTCTGCCTGACACTGTTGAGAGCGATTCCAGAGGAGAAGGTATCTGTGGGGTAATCTTCGGATGTTATTCTGAAAAGCCCCAACGTCTTCCTCATAACAGCTTCTAAGCTTGAGGACCAAGAGTTATCCTCTAAAAAGGTGTCCCCAAACAAGGTAGGTGACTTTCCCCCAGTGTTTCCAGGGGTGTGAGCCAAGACATGGGGCAAAATGATTAGGGGACCTCCTGGGTCTTGGAAGTGGTTTAATCCTTCCTGTAGCTCAATGTAACTGTCTGTGGTTGATGTCACTCGGAGTCAGGGGTAGGAGTGTGTGTGATACAGTGTAGCAGAGATGCCAATCTTTGTGGTTGCCCCACCCTTCTTGCTGTGGATTGCTGCTTTGACCAAGAGTGTTGGACCGATGAAAGTATATCCAGTCCTCAGTCTGAAATTTGACGTCTGTGGCTGGGTTTGAAAGGATGAGCTTAAATGTGGGCTTTTGAATTAGAAATAGAATAGGATTTTTCAGTTAGCATCGTGGATACAGGGGCTGAAAAGATGCCACAATGAGCTGAAGTTAGGAAGGATCAGGGGACAGCTGTGGGAGGAGGACAGTGTGGGGATGACTGGAGGGGAGTGGAAATAGGGGACCATGGGGCAGGGGAGTGGGGAGAGAATATGAAGGCTTCTGGTAGCAATCTGCATGTGTCCTTACAATAAACAGTTTCTCTTGAACTAACTGGAGTGGGTCTCTTTCCTTGACCATGCGGAAGACCTAATATAAGAAAGGAAACAAAGAGATTGCAGGTGTCTTCCAGAGAGAAGATCTGTTTTCCTGTGTGTTTTAATGTGGAGTCTCTTTCTGGTCTGCTTACCCACTCCTTGCCCCCTGCATCCACCCCCCTTGTATATTTTTCCCTTAATGAAAAGAAAATAGAGATCATTTTAATACAGAGGTAAAATTCTAGGGCCTCCCCAGAAAACTGTTTCATGAATGAGGAAGCTAAGAAAAAGGGCCACTGGCTTTAAAGCCCAGTAGGTTAAATAGGAGAACGGAGAAAGTTATAAAATGATTAATTGGTCAAGTTGGGATGGGAACCTTAGGTTATAATATCAAGATTTAACCTTGGCACTATGGACATTTTGAGCAGGAGAATTCTTTGCTGTGGGAGGGGCTGTTCTGTGCATTGTAAGATATATAGCAACATCCCTGGACTCTACCCACTAAATGCAGGTAGCAGTCCATAGTTGTGACAACAAATGTCTCCAGCCATAGACAAACATTTCCTGGTGGTAAAAATCTCCCCCAGTTGAATGTAAATTTGTTCAGCCATTGTGGAAAGCAGTGTGATGATTCCTAAAAGAACTTAAAACAGAATTATCAATCAACCCAGCAGTCTCATTATGGAGTATATCCCCAAAGGAATATAAATAATTATATAAAGATATATGCATACATATGTATTCTGCAGCCCTATTCACAATAGCAAATACATGGAATCCACCTAAACGCCCATCAATGGTAGACTGGATAAAGAAAATCTGGTACATATACAGCATGGAGTACTACATAGCCATAAAAAGAATGAACTCATGTACTTTGCAGCAACATGGATGGAGCCAGAGGCCATTATCCTTAGCAAACTAATGCAGGAACAGAAAACCAAATACTACATGTTCTTACTTATAAGTGGGAGCTAAACAGTGCGAACACAGGGACATAGGGAGGGGAACAACAGACAAATAGTTCTAATCGAGGGCGGAGGGTGGGAGGAGGGAGAGGATAAAAAACTACCTGTCAGGTACTATGTGCATATTACCTGTGTGACAAAATAATCTGTACCAAATGTGTGTACCAAATCCCTGTGACACACAGTTTACCTATATAACCTGCACATGTACCCCTGAACCTAAAATGAAAGTTAAAAAATAATCTTTCCCTGTTGAGAACCACGGGGCTAGACAAAAAGCCGCCTTCCTTCCTTTCTTGAATGAAGCTTTTGTTTGTTTGAATCTGCTGTTTATGAAGGGCTGTGGAGGCTACAGAGATGACTAAGGCACAGTCTCTTACCTGTATGAATTAACAGATTTCTGGAAAATATTAAGCATGAAAACAACTCATCAAATAAAGCTGGAAAATACCTTCCTCTTGGCTTTGAGTAACAGCAAAGATATCCACCTGTGTCAAATGGGTAACGCTCATTCTAAGTGTAATGAGGATCTAACCTGAGGTTCCCACCCAACTTGATTACTTTATAACTTTCTCCATCTTCCTCCTCCTACTGAATTCTGCTGGGTTTTAAAGCCAATGGGCTTTTTTTCCCTTAGCTTCGTAATTCAAAGGATGATGGTAGATGCTATAACAAATAAGCCCTCAAATATCAGTGGTATAACATAGTAGAAGTTTGCTTCCTGCTGATGTAATGGTGTTCCTGGTTGGTGAACAGCTTTCCTATGGCCATGCAGTGATTCAGGGACCTAGATTTCTGCCATATTGTGGCTCTTCCAGTCCCCTAAATCTCACTGTCTTTTCTTTCCAATCAGCAGAAAAATAAGTGAGGAGAAAACACGCCCCTTTCTTAAGAGTCCTGGCCTGAATGTGACTTTGTTTATGCTGATCTTCCATTAGAAAGGACAATTGGACTACTGATGATTTCCGATCAAGTAGAATAAATCAATATTGAATGGCTCATCTTGGCTAAAATTCTGTGACAGTCTCTGGTTATGAAAATTTACCATCAGGATCCTGTTCACATAGGACACTTTATTCAGCAGTGGGGAGAGTTTAGCAGAATTCTCTTTCTGCACAGTTTAAGATGGAGCTGGGAAAAGAACCCAAGTTTTTAGATACAGCAGTCTGTCTGCTACTTGAATCTTTTCTTCTCCGCCATACCAGGACTGGAAGACATAGATTGTGCCCAATTTCTATATCCTAATTACCTACCAGAGGATTGGGCATGTAAAATATTTTCAGAGGGGATGAATGGATGAGAAATATTGTTCACAGGCTTAGAGGTATACACTCAAGGAAGATTTTACTTGTTAACCTGAAAATTGCAAAACAGGTGCTTGTAGAGCTGTACCCACAGCAGTACATTGATGTCGCAAGTATCGGGGCGGGAAAAACTACAATTGCTGCGTGGGGTGGGGTGGGGGTGACCATAGTTCCCTTTATTAGCCAGAGATATAAGTGACAGGAGTCTAAATGAGAACCTGAAGCCAAACAGGAACATTTATTTGATCAGGTAACTAAAAAGTTCAGGGTATCTGGCTTCCAGCACGGCTGAATACAGATATATAACAATGTCTTCGAGAACGTCTTCCTGTACCTGGGCTCCGCTTTCCTCTGTCAGACTCAGTCTTTGGCAGATTCTCCTTAAGTGATGGCAAAGATAACACCAGCCACAACAGATGTTCATCCTTCAACTTGGCCACCTCAGAAGGAAGAGGGGCTCCAGAGAATGCCCCAAGATTATCATTGGCTGGTCCAGTGCCATGTGCTCATCTCTGCACCCATCACCAGGGTCTCCCTCTCATTGTTCAGACCAAGTCACTTGTGCACCATTAGCACAAGGGGTGCCCAGTCCACAGGGATAAAGGGGCAAGCAGGGACAATTCTTCAGTAAAAAACTAGAATGGATGCTTGATGAGGAAAGATATTCTATGTCCACTATATTTCTATTGTCATTATGGAATGAACCTGTGTATTTTTTATCTTAACACTCATTTCCATTCTTCTGGTAATTGTATGTAATCAATCTCTGTTAAGCCCTCTCCCCAGCTGTAGCCCCTGAGCTTTTTGTAGAGATTCCTCCTGGTGCAGAGATGGAGCATATGGTTCAGTGCTGGAACAATGTGGTCATTATATGCTCCTGGTCCCTGTGAACAGTTCGGGGATGGTTATCTGGTCCAGGAAGACCCAGTGAGGTGAAATGAGACTTTACCTCAAACTTGAGTAAAAGAGATTCTTTTTTCAAATTAACTTTTTATTATGATGATTTTCCAAAATGCATGAAAATAGAGGTAACTCTAATCATAAGCAGAGATAACTCTCCTATACTCACCATCCAGCTTCAGCATTTATCAACTCATGGACAATCTTAATTCATTTTATCGCCACCCACAGTAGATTATTTTGGAGCAAATTCCCAACATCCTATCATTTCATCTCTATACTTTTCAATATGCGTCTCTAAAGATAAGAGCTCCTGGGGGAAAAGACTTGGTATTTTCTATTAAAAGTGAACCTGAAAAGATGTAGGGAATAAAATCACTGCTACCATCTTGCTTCCACTTGGAGCCAAGAATTGGAGCCAACAACTAGAGCCAACTGTGTGGCAGCAGAACAGCAAGAAGGAGGAACACGAAATCCAGATGACAGATTTTGGGTCCTGAATTCACCTGTGCATGGAGTAAGCTTAGCTACTTTTTTTTTTTTTTTCAGTCACTTGAGCTAGAATATTCCCTGTAGCTATGTTGTTGATGCCCC
Source organism: Homo sapiens (assembly GCF_000001405.40). NCBI lineage: Eukaryota > Metazoa > Chordata > Mammalia > Primates > Hominidae > Homo > Homo sapiens. The sequence goes on along the minus strand of NC_000016.10, from coordinate 10,117,013 downwards.
ACTCATATCCTCTTGGCCCACCCTGAGGGTCACCTGAAGCTTAGATGGACAGTTCCCAACACAGTGATGGCTTCTCACCTCAAGCACAGGCATCTCTCTGCCTAAGAATGTTCTCTGGCCATACGATTGTGTTTGGCTCCTGCATATGGCAGACCTGAAGTGGCAGGGGATAAATAAATGCCCCCCAGAACTGTCTTTAATGATGAGGGATAGAAGTTGGCATACCCTGGCTTCTTTGCTGCTCAGGGAGACAGTAATGAGGTGTGTCCTACACTGTTATTGGAGGGCCCTTGTGGGGTTAAATCCCTGTTATCCCCAGAAGTAACCTTCCCATGAATTTCCCTGCTGCTGGCTTCTTTTCCTTTCCTGTCTTATTTTTCTACTTCCTCACCACACTTCCTGTGATCACCTTCCAACTAAACCATGTCCCCCCAGTTTCTTGCTTTAGCATCTGCTCTAAAGTAAAACTTAACTGAAGTAATTCCCCTTTGCTTCATTTTGCTTAAGCTTCCATGGTTCTATTTCCTTTTTAAAAATTTCTATTTAATTTTAAGTTCTGGGATACATGTACAGAACATAGGTTTGTTACCTAGGTAGACATTTGCCATAGTGGTTTGCTGCACCTCTCAACCTATCACCTAGGTATTAAGCCCCATATGCATTAGCTATTTATCCTGATGCTCTCCCTTCCCCACCACCAACAGACTCTGGTGTGTGTTCCCCTCCCTGTGTCCATGTGTTCTCATTGTTCAGCTCTCACTTATGAGTGAGAACATGTGGTTTTTGGTTTTCTGTTCCTGTGTTGGTTTGTTGAGGATGATGGCTTCCAGCTTCATCCATGTCCCTGCAAAGGACGTGATCTCATTCCTTTTTATGGCTGGATAGTATTCCATAATATGTATGTACCACATTTTCTTTATCCAGTCTATCATTGATGGGCATTTGGGTTAATTCCATGTCTTTGCTATTGTGGATAGTGCTAAAATAAACATACGTGTGCATGTATCTTTATGACGGAATGGTTTATATTCCTTTAAGTATATACCCTGTAACGGGATTGCTGGGTCAAATGGTATTTCTGGTTCTAGATCTTAGAAGAATCACTACACTGTCTTCCACAATGGTTGAACTAATTTACATTCCCACCAAAAGTGTTCATGGTTCTATTTCTGGTCATTCTTAAAACAAAAAAAAAGTCCTGAGTAATTATGCTCCATATTTCCATCCCCAGTATTTGCTTGAGAAATGAAATAATGAAGGCTTCTGAGAAACAGTGTCCCCACGCCCCCATACCCCATTCACACAAAATGTTTTCAGCTTGAGAATACAGTTGCGGAAGCCAAGTTGGGTCTCAGGAATATCTGGTTTGCACTAAATTTCACCTGCAGAATTATAAAATTCAGGTGCTGTTGCCTTGGGCACAACTGCTGGGCTCTGATAAGTAGAGTGGGTGTCCCAGCAGCCTATCCTGTTGGTTCAGATAATGATTTATGGGGGGGCGCAGGCCCCAGGGTGTGCACATGGATGGATGCTCTGCTTATCCTCCTCCAGATAGGTTTCTGGCATCTAAGACAAGAGAGGAGTGGGGTCAACAAGGAGAGCTTCTGTCTCTTCCTGTTTAAGCATCTCTCCTACTACCTACAAATGAAAACATACAAATACTATGTTGATGGTATAGCAAGTAACTTTAAAGAAGGCCCCCAGAAATACTTCACTAATTGGAGACCAGTTCTCCAGCATTTTGAAACCATAAGGAAATTACAAAGTAAGCTGAAAAAAAAAAACTTAGATCATGCAAAAGAGTGGTCAACAAAGTCCATGTATTCTACACAAAGGAGAGCCGTCTTAAGACTGTCTCTCCAGGCTAGTTTACTTTTACTTTATATACAATTGCAACAGAGCATTGAAAGCAGCACATTTTAAGCAGGGAAGGAACATGCACAGCAAGGGCTGCAAACTCAAAAAATTAAATGAACCAGAGAATAATTTTAAACAAGTGAAAGAGGCCAGTTGATGGATTAATGCCATGTGGGGACGTGGGTCCAGTGTTGACAGTTCTTCCATGTTTTCAGGAAGAAACTGAAAATTGGAATTTTAAGTGAAATAACCTTAGTTTTACATAGAAAATATCTAAACAAAAAATTTTTAAAACAGCATGCAGACCTGGCACATCGGGGGCGTGACTTTGCCCCATTAAATGAAGCATAAATTCTCTATTTTGCCAGTGTTCCTATTTGGCTCATATAGGACACTTTAATTTGTGATTCTTTGGTTATTAGATCACTAGCTTTTTAAGCACAGGCTTTGGGCTCTGTTTGCCTTCTTGGGAAATACTGTCAGAAATCAGTGGGTTCATAACCTTTTGAAGAAGTCACTCTTATTTTGGTTGAGTGGGCAGTGTTCTTAGCTACCCAAAACAAACTAGCTATTCACTTCCTGGGATCGCTGGGACCGGTGCCTGCGGGTTTCTGGGGACACAGAAGATACATCTTCCTCCTCCCTCTCCTGTGTTTACACAATCTGCTTTGAAAGGTTATGATTCTTCTGTGGGCGACTGGCCTACAGCATCTGCCTGCTTTGCTTGATTTGGTTCATTTCACCCAGGCTGGCATCTTCGAGTCTGGGGTCCTTTTGGCTTTACCCGCACATAATCTCTTGGGTGGATCAAAACCTCTTCAACTCTCTCTTGAGTTTCCAAGCAGGCTCCCCTGTGGGGCTTTTCTAAGAGTGTTTAGCATTGGCATTGCTGCAGAGCACAGTCTCACTGTGTGGTTTTATGAAGGATTTGTTTTTTAAAATTTATTTTCTATTTTTGTGTCTTTAGAGGCAGGGTCTTGCTCTGTTGCCCAGGCTGGAGTGCAGTGGCATGATCATAGCTCACTGCAGCGTTGAACTCAGGCTCAGGCAATTTTTCTTGCCTCAGCCTCCAGAGTAGCTGGCACTACAGGCACACACCACCATGCATGGCTAATTAAATCTTTTTTTTTCTTTTTTTTTTAAGAACGAGGGTCTTTGTTATCCAGGTTGGTCTTGAACTCTGCCCTAGCCTTCTGAGTAGCTGGGATTACATGTGTGAGCCACCATGCCCAACTAAGGTTAAAAATCTTAAGATGCCCTTCAAGACTCTACTCCTCAAGGTCATGAAATAGTCTTTTAAATTTGTTAAAAATAATGCTGAGTGTATTTTATTTTCAACTCAATAACGCTGTCACACATATTAAACAATAATGGCATTTTCCCATTTATTTCCTTCTGCATATATATGTGTGCATTGATGTGCATGTGTATGTATGTATCTGTATTTATACAAGTACATAAGATATAAATATATCCATACCTATTTGTAATTGCACACAATTTATACATGCAGTAGTGTATAAGCTGCATGTTTCACTTACTATCAAAATCTCTGTAAGCATAATTTTTATTTATTCTGATTATTTAATACACAGTGATGTAACTGTGATCCCAAAATGTGCAAAGTTAAAGCCTTCAACTGCAGCTGAGGAGAGGGCAGGAATGGTATATGGGGACGGTGGTGAGTCACGAATGATGGGCAGGCGGCCATGAGCAGGGCAGCCTCCTCCCCGGGGCCAGGGACAGGGGAATGGCCTAAGGAGCCAGGACCCAAGGGTAGCCCAGGACCGGGGAAGGGGGCAGAGACCTCCTCTTGGCCTAGGTCAGGAGCTCAGAAGTGCCACATGGCTGAGGGGGCAGCGGCCCGGGAAGAGCCAGAGGCAGAGCCAGGAAAGCACCATTTCCTGGGGGGGCTGGGGGCAGGGAGGTACCCTACAGGAGAAGCCAGGTGGGGCCTCCTGTCCCTGGGGTGGGGGCCATGCTGGAGCATGCTGCAGCAAGAAAGACCTGAGGCAGGCGCAGGGCCTGAGAGCCTGGCTGGCTGGGCTGGGGGGCGCCCCCAGGCAGCCTGGCCCAGGGAGCAGGCCCGACTCTGTAGGGGATGCTCAGCGAGGGGCTGCAGAGCCTTCAGGACCTCTCCTCCTCTCTCCCTGGAAAGGAGCTGGGGAACCCGTAGTGCAAATCTGTGGACCACTCAGTTATGGAGAGAGGTTGTGCCCGAAGGTGGACACTGGGGTATGCTCCCTCCACCACCTCATCCTCCACTGCTATCCTCAGTACAGCTGCTTCTGGTAAGCGTGCAGGCCATGGACGCCACCCTCGATCTGGGCTGACATGGTCCACTTCTCAAATTTGAGCTCTCCTGAGTACATCATGGAGCCATGCTGGTTACTCGCTATGAGGTAGGGCACAAACTTCTGAATGGACCCTTTGTCCTGGATGGAGGCCGAGACACCCTGCACAATATTCACCTTTTCCCCCTCGCTGAAGTATCGTTTCTGGCTGCTGCTGCTCTTCTCCATGGCATCTAGCGAGCCCATGCCCCAGTACTTCTTGAGCTGCACCCTGTCTGAGAAGAAGTACTCGCCGCTGGGCCTCCGTGGTGGTGGCCAGCAGGGAGCCCATCATCACTGTGGAGGCTCCAAGGGCCAGGGCCTTGACCACGTGCCCCACGGTCTGGATGCCACATCGGCTATGATGGACACACCAAAGTGCTGAGCGTACTTGGCCACCTTGTACACAGCAGTGCCCTGGGGCTGACCGCAGGCCATCACTTCCTGGGTGATGCAGATAGAGCTGCAGCCCATAACTACATGCAGTCCATCCACACCAGTGTCAATCAGGTTCTTAGCCTGGGCTGCTGTCACCACATTCCTCCCAATCACCTGGAGGTGGAGGTACTTCTGTTTGATGTAATGCACCATGGTGATTTGATACACCGAGTTCCCTTGGGAGGAGTCCAAGACTATGACGTTGATGCCTACCCAGGTGAGCAGGTCCAGGCAGTATTTGTCATCCTCATGGGTGCCCACAGCTGCCCTGCACAGCAGCTGCTTGTGGGAATCCTTGGAGGCCAGAATGTAGTCTCGATTCTTCTTCAGGTTGGTGTGGGAGACGATGGCCACTAGCTCATGGCGATCATTGACCACAGGCAGCTTCCCTTGCTAGGCTGAAGGATCTCATTTGCCTGTTTCAATGTCATGCCTGCTGGAGCCACCATCAGCTTGATCCTTGGCGTCATCACCTCACTGAGGAGGGTGGTGTGGTCCTTCTCAGCAAGAAAGTTGATGTCTCGGGAGGAGATGATGCCCACCAACTTGCTCCCCATGGTGCCCATCTCAGTGATGAGGATGCAAGAGAAGCCATGCCGGATCTTGGCCTCCAGCACATCACCCACAGTGTGTGAGGGGCTCAGCACCACGGGGTCCGTGATGAAGCCCTGTTCAAACTTCTTGACCTTATGCACCTCGTTGGCCTGGAACTCTGGGGTGCAGTTGTGGTGAATGAAACCAATACCTCCCATCAGAGCCATCGCGATGGCCATGTCGGCCTCTGTCTCAGTGTCCATAGGGGAAGAGATCAGTGGTGTCTTCAGCATGATCTTCCGGGTCAGGGCTGAAGTTAGGTCTACCTCATCAGCTATGAAATCTATGAACCATGGGAGAATCAGGAAGTTGTTGTGGGTGCGGCAGTTGGCGCCGAGGAAGAGCTGCTGCACGGTGAGCCAGTCCTGGGGCACGTAGCCGGTGCCGCCACTGATCAGATGGTTCGCCATGCTGCCGCAAGGCCCCGCGAAGCGACAAACACCCGCGCGGCCGCCTGCCGCTGCTGCCGCTGCTGCTGACGCTGTGGGCCTGGGAACTGTAAGCATAATTTTTAATGCCCATAGTGGTGGTTATTTAACCACTTAGTGTTGGGTGCCTTGGTCATTTTCATGGAAACTTTTGCTAATATAAATGCCACTGATAAACATCTCTGTGCATAAACCTTTATATTTACTGTTATTTTCTCAGTATAGATTCCTTTTAGAAATGGAATTGAACAAATCCCTTGAAAGCCTCCAAACTGTCTCATTTCAATCAGTTCTTTTAAGAGCTGAAGTAAGAGTATTCTTAGCTCCACTTAATTGGTCGAGCTGATATACTAGCTTTTTCTTGATTTTTGTCTGAAGTAATTAGGTTAAGAAAAGTTAGTTTAACACATACATCCCTGAATAGCAGAAACTGAATCCACCACAGATGTACTTCTTACTCGTCTGAAGTCAAATGTGGATGTTTGTATTCAGAGGGCGGCCCTCTGACAAGTGACGATTCAGGGGCTCAGCTCCTTTCATCTTTTGGTTCTGCCACCTTCAACATATGGCTTCTAAGGCCACTGACATCATCTGTGTTGAGCTGTGAAAGGAGTGGAGCCTGGGAAGTTTTTTATGGACTAAATATTCCCAGGAGGAAAACGGAGTAGGATTTATGATCACTTATCCAGAACCTGCTACAAGATTTCTCCTTATCTCATACTTGCAGTCTGTCAGCAAATCCTGTTGGTTTTATCTTTGAAATATCCCTTGACTTACCCACTTTTCTCCCTTGCCCATGCACCCCCCAGTCCTGGCTGGCGCCATCACTCCCCTGGATCACTCCAATAGCTTCCTCATTGGTATCTCTCTTCCACTTTGCCCCCTTGCCACTTGCTTCTCCATATTCTGTTAAGAAATCTTTATTAAAACAAACAGTTCCACGACATTCCCCAGGTAAAAACCATGTAATAGCGTCCATTAGAATTTATTAAAAAATCCAAACTATTTACCTTGATGAGGTCCTGTGTGATCTAGCCTTGTCTATTCTCCAGTCTCATCCATTACCACGTTCCCCTAACTCGTTAAATGCTATTCCAAATGGTTTCCATTCAACTTTTCAAATTTGCCAAGCTCTTTCTTACCCTGTAGCCTCTGCGTGTGCCACTCCCTTTGCCCAGAACTTTCTTGTTGTTCTTCACTTGACAGGTTATTTCTGTTTTTATTTAAAATTCTTTTTATTTAATAACAATGAGAACACATGGACACAGGAAGGGGAACATCACACTCTGGGGACTGTTGTGGGGTGGGGGGATGGGGGAGGGATAGCATTAGGAGATATAGCTAATGCTAGATGACGAGTTAATGGATGCAGCACACCAGCATGGCACATGTATACATATGTAACTAACCTGCACATTGTGCACATGTACCCTAAAACTTAAAGTATAATAATAATAAAATTAAAAAAAATTTTATTTTTTTTGTGGGTACATAGTAGGTGTATATATTTATGGGGTACATGAGATGTTTTAATACAGGCATGCAATGTGAAATAATCACATCATGGAAAATGAGGTCTCCATCCCCTTGAGCATTTATCCTTTGTGTTACAAACGATCCAATTATATATTTTTTGTTATTTAAAAATGTTCAATTATTGACTATAGTCACACTGTTGTGCCATTTATTAAATGGTAGGTCTTATTCATTCTTCCTATTTTTTTTTTTTTTGTAATCTGGTTATTTCTTGTTCTTTGGATTTCAGCCTACCTTCATGGTGTGAACGTACTTGGTTATAATGCATTGCCTTTTGTTACATTTTTCTATTTGATCTGCTCATATTTTGTGGGGCACTTTTGCATGTATGTTTGCGAGGAAGGTTGGTCTAGAGTTTCCTTATAATGGCTTCCTCTGGTTTTGGAATCAGGGTAATACTATCCTCATAACATGAATTGGGAAGTATTGCCTTCTGAACACTAGTTTCTGAAATAATTTGTGTAGGACTCTTTTTTTTTTTTCCTTAAATGTTTTATAGAGTGCAGCAGAGAAGACATCTGGGCCTGAAGTTTACTTTGTGGGAGGGTTTTAAACTATGGGTTCAATTTCTTTAATTGATACAGGGTTGGTGAAGGTTTCTATTTCTTTTTGAAAAAGCTTTGGTAATTTGTATCTTTCCAGGAATTTGTCCATTTCATCTAGGTTGTCAAATTTATAGGCATAAGGGTTTTTTAATCCTTTTAATATCTTAAAGTCTGTAGTAATGCACCAGACTTTATTTCTGATAGTCTCTTTTCTTCTTGATCAGTCTACCTAGGTTTATCAATTTTGTTTTTTTTTTTTTTTTTTTTTAAAGAGAATCAGCTTTGGGTTTCATTAGTTTTCTCTGTTATTTCTTAATTAGCTTCTCAGCCTAAATGTCTTCTCAGAAAGGATGTTTCCTGACCATTCTACCTAAGGTGGCTTCACCTTTCTCTTGCCTTCTCCTCTGATTATTTGTTTTCTACCTCAGGTCTATGTGTAATTATTTTATGTGTTATGTGCTTTTTTTGCTTCTATGTTACTTGCAGATACTGCAGAATAGTAATAAGTCTGCCTAACATGGTAATGTGCTTGGTGAATTTCCAAGAACATATATGGTGGTTTCCAAGTATGCTAGCACAGCAGTATCTATAGTGGTTAAGAGACTAGGGTCTAGAGTTGGCTCATCTCAGCTTTAACCCCGGCTACATCGTACACTAAGTGTGTGACCCTGAACACGTGTAACCGTGAACACAAATTCTGATTCCTTCTGAGATGAGGGTTGTGCAACATGGCAGCTGTGATCAGGAGGCCTGGGGTTTGAGTTCTGGCTCTGTTACCTGTCAGCTGTGTGATTCTTGAGGCAATTACTTCTCTGAGACCCAATGATATGGTTTGGCTGTGTCCCCACTCAAATCTCATCTTGAATTTTAACTCCCACAATTCCCACATGTTGTGGGAGGGACCCAGTGGGAGGTAACTGAATCATGGGGGTGGATCTTTCTTATGCTGTTCTCACAATAGTGAATAAGGTCTCATGAGATCCAATGGTTTCAAAAAGAGGAATTCTCCTGCACAAGCTCTCTGTCTTTGCCTGCTGCCATCCATGTAAGACTTGACTTGCACCTTCTTGCTTTCCACCATGATTGTGAGGCCTTCCCAGCCATGTGGTACTGTAAGTCCATTAAACCTCTTTTTCTTCCCAGTTTCAGTTATGTCTTTATCAGCAGCATGAAAATGGACTAATACACTCAATTTTCTCTTCTTTAAAATGATTTGATGCAAGGAGTACCTAATCTTGGGATTATTGGGAGGAACTGGATGAGACATACATGAGTAGGATCTAGCCCAGGGTTGGCCTTTTGCATATGAGGCATTCCCTCAAACTGTACTTTCCCAGAACTTCAGCTCTCCCCACCAGAGGGTAAGCATCACTGTAGCAGGCACTTTGCACGTTTTGTGCACCTCTGTACCCCCACTGCCTTGATCAGTGTGGTCAGACAGGCACTGAAAAATGCCTGTGAAATGGATTCTTCTTTTTGTTGCTTATGAAATCTGCAACTGTGAGTTGAGTGTCCTGAAGCTCAGCAGGGCAACGATGGCTTCAACAATCTGGCCCTTGCTTGTCTCAGGTGAGCTGCTCCTTTCCCTTTCAGGAATCTTCTAAACTGCTGGGATTCCCAGGGGGAGGACGGGACCTTTAGGGATCTTGCAAACCCCAGCAGAATATCAGTTTTCTTCACAGAAGCGTGTCTAACTTCCTTCAGCCCTGGTCTGCAAATTCCAGACATGAAACTGTGCTATTTGCTAGCTTGGCCTGGCAGGTATTTATTCAAAGGCTGCAGGACTCCATGATAGAGAGTAGCAACAGAGCCAGCAGGATCCTGTAAGTACTCCTCATGCAACTACCTGCAGTGGATTTAAAGTCAGCTCAGGGCAGTTTCAACACCAGAGTTGGAGGAAAGAGGTTGTGTGTACATTGTCCTCTGGGGACTGCTGCTGTTTATGCCTTGTGGTTTCCTTTGGGGGAGACAGATCCACCCTGCTTTCCTCATCCATCTTCCTACATGGATATATCTTGTTATCTAGTGCTGAAATGGCATGGACACAGGGGCTGGGACTAGTGCTGAGATCTTCCGCTTAGCTCTTCCAAATACAGAAAGAACTTCCCTGTGTATGGTTAGGATTGAAGTACATGTGCTTGGTTCAACATTCCTTCAATCAGCAGGAAATCCAGTCATCATCCTAGCCCTCCATTTCATTCTTTGTCTTGCTTCATGATGTCCCTTAGGGGTAAAGATTTCTGAATTCAAAGCCAGCTGAGCTGGGTTCAAATCTCCACATGTCCATTTATGAGATGAACATCATGTCTTCTGTCTGATTCATTTGTCTTAGTTTCTTCCTCTGAAAATGGAGGTAATGGCAATGTCTATTCTGGCATGTTCTCGGGAGGCTGAAATAACACCCAGGCTTGCTGCTTATTGCACAGCCCAGCTTCCCTGCCTTCCTTCTCTCCCTTCATGAATCCCTCCATGTCCTGCTCTACCTGTTGCCTTTCTGTTCATAAGAGTATTTTGAATTCCTGCCTTATTCTCCTTTTTTCTCTAGAAGTGAAGGAGCCAACTTCCCCAAAGTCCGTGGAATGCCATTTTACTTTGTTAGGAAAAAAATCACTTTTTCTTATGTGCATTCTCATCTATCCATTCAACAGACGTCATCGGAGTGCCTTCTGGGGGTCAGGCCACTTCCAGGTACCAGGGATTCAGAGACAAACTAGTCACGCTCCCTATCTTCAAGGGACTTAGAATCATCCCCAGAGAAGGATGCTGTGAACAACCTCACGTGTGATGGTGTGGCCACTTTGGTTGTACTAGAGTGGTGGGATTTGGGAGGTTTTTCTTATTTTTATTTATTTATTGTAAATTTTTTTAAATTAAAACAATTTTAAATAGAGACAGGGTCTCAATATATTGCCCAGGTTGGTCTCGAATTCCTGGTCTCAAGCAGTCCTCCCTCTCAGTCTCCCAAAGTGCTAGGATTACAGAAGTGAGCCACTGTGCCAGACCACTTTTTCTTATGTGTAAATTAAAAAAGAATTTGAACAGGAATGAAAGATAAAAAGAAAAAAAAAAACACTTCCCCAAACAAAAAAAAAAAACTCTTTCACTTATAAGAATGGTCATCATCTTGGCTATTTCAGATGGGGAAGTACGCATGCCTCATCTTATCCAAGTTTCTCACAGTTCTATAAGTCTTTTTTCACACACAGTTCCATACACAAAAGGTGGCTTTGCAAAAAACTTCTTTTAACATAGCTGGCAGGCTATACTGTACATATATCTATACACATGTATGCATGTATGTGCATATACATATACCTTTGCATATATATGTTTATGCATACATTTTATTTTGCTTTATTTAGAATTATTATTTTTGGAGATAGAGTCTTGCCTTGTCACCGAGGCTGGCGTGCAGTGGCACGATCTTAGCTGTCTGCAACCCCCACCTCCTGGGTTCAAGCCATTCTCCTGCCTCAGCCTCCCAAGTAGCTGGGATTACGTGTGCGCACCACCATGCCCAGCTAATTTTTGTATTTTTAGCAGAGATGGGGTTTCACCGTGTTGGCCAGGCTGATCTCAAACTCCTAACCTCAGGAGATCTGCCCACCTCAACTCAGCCTCCTTAAGCGCTGGAATTACAAGCATGAACCACCATGCCCAGCCTTATTTAGAATTTCATAGGGAATTCTTATGTTATTAAAACTAAGGGTTATAAGGGCTTCCAAATCGCTGTCATATGGCTGGTCTCAAATGCATTTAAACACCCCCTCCCCCATTGATTTTTTTTTTTTACATGGTTTTCTTATGTTTGAAAATTTGTAGTTTCTCTATTAAACATTGGGTCAGCTGATTCTACTGCCCAGGAGACCCAGGCAACACCTCAAAAGTCCACAACTCTCTTGGCCAGATGTGACTGTTCTATTTCCCAGCTCATTTTTCTGTGTCTGCAGAAAGACACAGTGCAAACTGTTAAATTTGGAGGTTTTTGGCAGCTTCATTAAAGGGCAAGGATTTTCCTCTTTGGGGGTGGGCTTCATGTTTTAATGGTCGTGGTCAGCATTGCTGGGTGAGGATCCTTAGGCTTTTTGTCAGGGGTTCAGGGCCTTCTGGCTTCCCCAGGCTTCTCCAGGCTTCTCCAGGCTTCCATCTCTAGAGAAGACTCGGGATGAACTCTGAATTCTTCTAGACCCCAGCTACCAGTTCGGCTCCAGACCCAGAGTGGCACTGCTTTAATCTCGGCAAAGAAGACTAAAGACTTTTTTGTGTAACGAATTAAAAGTTTGCTTCAGGCTTCTTTTATTTTATGCCTCTGCTGCACTCTCGTAACATTTAGCACCTCCCCCTGTTGTCATATCATTTATCATATCGTGGAGTTTCAGGTGTCTTATTTTGGTTTTCCTGTCAATCTTCCTCCTACACTCTGCGCTCACAAGGGACATGGAAACCTGTCCTGTTTCTCCTCATACCCTGCCGTCGACTGCGGCCCCTGCACACAGTGGGGTCTACGATGTTCATGGGAGCCAAGGGATTGTTGTACTGATTTTTTAAGGCTGGATATTTATTTTTCGGTATGCTTTGCACTTTTTGCCTAGGGAATCAGGACTCAGTACAGAAACTTGTCTCTGTCATGTGCGCACCCTGGAGAATCCAATCATTGGAAAAAATAAAAATACACATAGAGAACACCATTCCTTCCCATAACCACGTAAAATTGTGCTCGTGCAAGCTTTCCATATGCAAGAGTGCTTTTGATCTAATCAGATGGAAAGCCAGAAGCAGAGGGGAATGAATGTAACTTACATACTGATTATTAAGTCATTCATTCTAGTAGTATTTATTGGACTCCTATGATATTCTTTCTTCAAACTGGTCCTCCTCCAGGGCATGGCACCACCATCCTCCCAGATGCCCAGGCTCAACTTCTTGCTGCCACCATTTCCCTCACACCCCTCGCCCTGTGACTACACCTTCTACATAGTGTTCATATCCATCCACTTTTCTCTTTTCTCTCCTGGCCAGAATCCTCTAATCTTTTACCTTGAAAGGTTCAATAACAGATGAATGAACAGATGACAGAATGAATACGTCGAATAGTTTCTTCAAACTGGTTTGTGTTAAGAGAAATAGCATTTATATTTTTATTTAGTCCTAGAGAAAAAATAACAACCCTTTGCCTCTGCCTACTCTTGTTTTCACAGTCCCTTCACAAATATTGTATCTTCGGTTATGCTCATGTGTGAGTTCTGTATTTTAAGAAGGACATTGATAAACTGAGCTTGTTAAAAGGAACATGACTAAGGGAGGTACAGGCTGCTGGAAGTGGTTCCTGAATAACATCAACAAAAGGATAAATGTTTGCATTTCTGAGAGTGGAGAGAAATGAGGAAGTGAGAGGGGTGAGTAGATTGCTATACCCAATTATTTGAAGGGCTTTCATCTTGAACATAGAGCAGATACATTCCATGGTGCTCTAGAATCTAAGGGAAGAAGTAGAGCCCATAGAGACAAAATCTACCTCCAAAAAGTATGTGGAAGAGCTATGAGCTGGCTAATTAAGTCTAGAGTTCTGTCACTGGAGGTAGTCAGCAGAGTAAACATGTCAGGGGCAGGGATTCCGGCATACATATGGACTCTCTTGTTTTGTAGATTTTCTGAGGTTATTAGGACTTCTGGCGATATTCTTATCTATAGATAGGTATTGCTTCAGCTGCCTAAACCCATATCTCCCTGTACCCCCAAAACACTCAAGAGCCATAGCCATAAAACTTCAAGAAGATGAAATATTTTGGGGGTTAGTAATACCCTTGATGGTTAGAGTTATATGTGGCTGAGATTCTTCTTGTATCTATTCTGGTCTCATTTAAGATGGCTGAAATGATTGATCACTGCCCTTCAGAGACTCATATATTTTCTGCTCTGCAAAATGTCTGCAAATTGCATCCCAGCTTGTGCAAGGAGAGCCACTCCCCCATCCCCAAGTGTGTTGTTTCTTTCAGTGATGGTGATTCAGAGGCTGTGATACATCAGCTTAGCTGTTTTGGGTTTCAGCTTTCTCATGACTAGATGTATGTCTTTGGACAAGTTTACATTTTCCCATATTTACTTTCTTTGTCCTTAAAAAAAAAGTTGCTGTTGCTGCTGATAGTATCTATTCCTCATAGTTGCGAGTGGGTCTCCTATTAGAGAAAATAAAAGGAATTGCTATATTAGTATCTTTCCAGCTAGTCTTTGAGCTTCTTGATGTCAAGGATCATTCATTCTTTTCGTCCCAGTGCCTACCATAGGGGATGGCACAGAGCAGACAATAGATGCTTGTTAAATGATGCAGCAACCGAGGCATCCACTCCATGTCTGTGAGTGGGATACGTCTCTCAGAGCAAGAGTGCCCCAGTGCAAGAGTGATCTAGAACAGTGGAGGAAGGGAGGATAAATGTAGTCTTTGATTTTGGAGAGACCTAAGTTTGAATCCTAGCTCTACCTCTTGCTAGCTCTGTGGTCTTAGACAAGTTACCTAACCTCTCTGAGCCCATGTTAGTCCATTCTTGTGTTGCTATAAAGAAACACCCAAGGCAGCCTGGCATGGTGGTGCATGCCTGTAATCCCAGCTACTTGGGAGGCTGAGGCACAAGAATTGCTTGAACCTAGGAGGCGAAGGTTGCAGTGAGCAGAGATCACAACACTGCACTACAGCCTGGGCAATAGAGTGAGACTCTGTCCCCCCCAATAAAAAAGAAAAGAAAAAAAAGAAAAAAAGAAGAAAGAAATACCCAACATTAGGTAATTTGTAAAGAAGAGAGGTTTAATTGGCTCACGGTTCTGCAGGCTATACAGGAAGCATGGTGCTGGCTTCAGCTTGGCTTCTGGTGAGGCCTCAGGAGGCTTCCAATCATGGTGGAAGGTGAAAGGGGGGTAGCATATCGCATGGTGAAAGACAGAGCAAGAGAGAAAGGGGATCAGTGCCACACTCTTTTAAACAACCAAATCTCATGTGAACTAAGAGCGAGAGCTCACTCATTACCAGGGTTATGGTGCTAGGCTGTTCATGAGGGATCTGCCCCCATGATCTAATGGCCTCCCGCCAGGCCCTACCTCCAACACTGGAGGTGACATTTCAACATGAGTTTGGAGGGAACAAACACCCAAACCATATCAGAACCTCTGTGTCCTTATTGAAATAGTTGGTGAAAATAGCACCAATGTCTAGGAGTTCGTGTGATGATTAGATGAGCTGATTCTGTAAAAAATACCCCTCTCAATCTACAAACATACTCATTGCTCCATAAATACTGCTATTACTATTATCTCTAGGATTACCACCATGTTTTCAGCTTTTCCTGTCACCCTTGCCTACACAAAAGTGGCTCGATGTTCTAGAAATTGAGACTAAACTAAACTTTGAATAGATTTTCCCAAACCTGCCAAAATATCCCCCAAATTATAGCAATAACCATTCCCTCCTAGAGTGGGGCTATCTCTCCAGCGGAAGATCTGAAGGTTGTGTGAGGGATGCTTTTTCTCTTGTCTCCCTCTACTTTCTTGTAGCCTGAGATATATAGCAATTTCCAAGGCAGGGATTGGTAAAGTAGACTGACAGCCCAGGTTTTCCTTGCTGGGAGATTAGGCTCTTGTCCCAAGTTTATAATTGGTATCCCAAATAATGGATTGAGAGGTGTTGGCCAGAGGGGAGAAGAACTGGCAACATCACCACCTAAATGACCCCAGGGATTCTGGCCAAAAGCAGAGAGCAATCTTTCTCGAAGCCCCAACATCTGCTGTTGCTCAGAAAGCTTCCTGGCAGTTTGAGCCAACTTAATCAGACTGTTCTCTTCCACGGCGCTCGGAGGTTTTCATCCTTTGGGACAAGAGATAGCTCTGAGTTACTTAACTTACCTGGTTCTTGTATACGCTTCATGTTGTGGCTTTTAGTTTCTGTTCTCTCCAAGGTGAGCCAGTTGGATCTTCCAGGAAACAGATGCTGAGATGGAGTTAGGGGCACAAGAAGTTTATTGAGAGGGCATAAGTACCTGGGAAAAAATAAAATAGGGAAGGCAGGAAGTAGAATTGTGCAAGGGAGAGCTTCAGACCACCATGCAGACCAGACAGTCTCTGCCAACCTAACAGAAAGCTTTGGAGAAGAGGTTGCCCATGAAAGGAGCCCCATGTTGGGCAGAAGTTGCCGGGCCCCATGTCCCCCTCATGCCCTGTCACTGGCTGAGGACTGCTCTGGCAGAATGTGACCTCAGCTCAAAAGCGGAAGTGAATCCTGAGGGCTCTGAAGCCAGAGGATGTCAGTAACCTGCACCCCCAGTGGCTGAATGACACATTCTTTTTTGAAGGCAGATCGGATCCAAGTGTCTCCTCCATGGAAGTCACACCTGGAGAATCACACCTTGAAAAACATTGGCCAGCACGTCTGTGATGGATTAACTCCAGTGGTTAGGGAGCCTGGCTGAGTGCCACCATCTGGGCCATTCAAATCAGTTTTCTCCACAAATATTTACTTACACTTTCTGGGCGCTAATCATCCTGGTGGGAGAACTGATTGTTATAAAGTGAATCCAGCAGGGGGGCACTATGCCTTCAAATAACATAAAGCTGCACAGATGGAGTGAACAGTGTGGACAGACAATCATTTAAAAAGATGTGAACTGAAAAGCATCTTACAAGAGTTACAAAGATCATCACTATAACAACGACTATCGTTTATTGAATCATCAGGATGTGCCAGGTGCTTTCTACATGCCATCTCATTTCACTGGGAGGTGAGTGGGCTTATTACTCCCAGTTTACAGATGAGGAAATGGAGGTGCAGAAAGAAGTAACTTGACCAACATCAGTCGAAATACATCTCCCCATTTCCATCAGCAGCTCTGTGATCCAACACTCAACATCTCTTGCCAGGACTACCAAAGGTCTTCGAATTACTCTCCTTTGCACAAGCATCTTTGCTTCTTGCTCAAAATCTATCCTCTCTACTGAAGCCAGTGGGATCTTTCAAAATGCAAACCCGATCATGTTGTTTCTCTGCTGAAAACGGTTTCATGGCTTCCCGTTGCTATGGTGATAGGAATAAAATTTGTCTCTGTGGCCTTCCAAGCACTTCATGGCTGACCTCGGCTACCTCTGGAGCCCCACGTCTCACCTGCTCCTTGCAAAAGTAATATTGGCCTTCTTGCAGTTGCCCTCATGTCCCCCCTTCACCTGTCTGACATGGGCCCTTTGCACCTGCTGTTCATTCTGCTGATACTTCTTGACTAGTAAATTGTTTTCATGTACTTAAATAGCACTCGCTACAATTTGTGATGTTGCTTTACTTTTGTGATTATTGACTAACTCCTGCCTCCCTGAGCTCCCTCAATGAAGCTCCGTAAGAATGGAGAATTATCCATCTTCACTGTTATATCCCCAGCACTCGGCACCTCAGGAACTTCACGGAATGAGCAGACGTTTCAGTACTGGTGTTTGGAATAACAAACATTCTGACTTCAATACCATGTTGAAAAAGCAGAGTTCCTTCTATTTGGGAGTGAAGGAGGGTCCTGAAGGTATCTTCTAGGAAGTAGCATTTGAATCTAGCCTTTGAAGTGAGTTACCTTTATTCTGTTTCTGACTCCAGTAAACAAGCCAGCAAATCAAACCCTTAGAGATGGCAAGACTACCTTAACAGAGCAGGTGCAGATCTCTTCTGACCCGTCCTACTCTCAGAGGACAGCAGCTCCAGATAGTATCATCCTTGTGAAAAACCACCAACTTCCACATTTTCTTTGAGCCAGGGGAACACTAGTTAGCTGAGGAAGGGGGTGCAAGGGAGGGAGACAGGATGGCATTCTCTTTCCTTCTCTCAGTTATTTGCTTCTCCCAGTGCTGAATCTAGGCACTCCAGAGACAGGGCCCTGAATTCTGAGCTCTGGTGATTTGCATTTAATTACTAAGAATGTTTTATTTTTCTCTTGTAAAATTGTAATGCTGCTTGCAGCATTAAAAGGAGTTTCTTCTGGAATGAAAACACCAAGCTTTTGAGTAAGTATCTTTTATGCTGAACATGGGGAGTCATCCAAAATAGGGAGTTGATTTTCATAATGGTTTTGCAGTTACTCATAATGATGCCCTTTGTAAGCCTTTAAGGTCAAGGAAAAAAATCATAGGTCAGATGCACAAGGTATGGGGAATGTTAGAAATTTCTTTGCTGTGATCTAAATTCCTCTAGATGAGTGGTTTTTTTGAGCATTTTCTAAATTATTTTTAACAACTATTTGGAGAACACAAACTGAAATAACCCAAATCAATACTAGTTTTATTTATTTATTTTTCCTTTTCTAAAATTTCCATAGGTTTTTTTTGGGGGGGGGAGGGGGGACAGTAGGTATTTGGTTACATGAGTAGTTCAGTGATGATTTCTGAGATTTTGGTGCACCCATCACCCGAGCAGTATACATTTAATCCAATTTGTAGTCTTTTATTCCTCACCACCCTTTCCCCTGAATTTCCAGCGTCCATTGTGTCATTCTTATGCCTTTGCATTCTCATAGCTTAGCTCTCACTTACAAGTGAGAACATACAATGTTTGGTTCTCCATTCCTGAGTTACTTTACTTAGAATAATAGTCTTCAGTTCCATTCAGGTTGGTGCAGATGCCATTAATTCATTCCTTTTTAAGGCTGAGTTTTATTCCATCGTGTATATATACATACCACAATTTGTTTAGCCACTTGTCGATTAATGGGCATTTGGGCTGATTCCATATTTTTGCATTTGTGAATTGTGCTGCTGTAAACATGTGTGTGCAAATGTCTTTTTGGTATAATGACTTCTTTTCCTCTGGGTAGATACCCAGTAGTGGGATTGCTGTGCCAAATGGTAGTTCTCCTTTTAGTTATTTAAGCTATCTCCACACTGTTTTCCATAGTGGTTGTACTAGTTTACATTCCCACCAGCAGTGCGGAAGTGTTTCCTTTTCACCACATCCATGCCAATGTCTATTTTTTTAATTTTTTGATTATGGCCATTCTTGCAGGAATAAAGTGGTATTGCATTGTGGTTTGATTTGCATTTCCCTGATCATTACTGATGTTGAGCATTTGTTCATATGTTTGTTGGCCATTTGTACGTCTTCTTTTGAGAACTATCTGTTCATGCCCTTAGCCCACTTTTGTTTGGGCTTGCTAATTTGTTTGCTAATTGTTTTTTTTTCTTGCTAATTTGTTTGAGTTCCTTGTAGATTCTAGATATTAGTCCTTTGGATGTATGGTTGTGAAGATTTTCTCACACTCTGTGGGTTGTGTATTTAGTCTGCTGACTGTTCTTTTGGCTGTGCAGAAGCTCTTTAGTTTAATTAAGTACCGCCTATTTGTCTTTGTTTTTGTTGCATTTGCTTTGGGTTCTTGGTCATGAAATCTTTGCCTAATCCAATGTCTAGAAGGGATTTTCCCGTGTTACCTTCTAGAATTTTTATGGTTTTAGGTCTTAGATTTAAGTCCTTGATCCACCTTGAGTTGATTTTTGCTTAAGGTGAGAGATGAGGATCCACTTTAGTTCTCCTACATGTTAGATGAAGGGTCTTAAGAAAGAAAGTGCAGGAGGGTCGGATGCAGTTTAGGGATCTGCCCACATTTATCAGCCATCCCTGTCCCCACCACTGCCCACCTCTGGCTCACTAGGATCTAGGATATGCCAATAGCTGCAGATTTGGTTAGGATCCCTTTCCAGTCCCTGGGTTTCAGGAAGGCTTAGGGACCAGGAGGAAGAGCAAAAGTGTTCTCTGCCAGCCCCTCTAATGAAACTGCTGATCCAATCTCACTGGAGACTCCATTCCTTTCCTGTTGCTTCATAGATGAGATCATGGTAGGATGCAGTCTCCAAGACACCAAAATGATATATGTAGGGTGAAGATTTCACAGGGAAGAAGCCCGGGTCCTCATTCTCTGTTTTCCAACTTCAAACATCTCTACGATTATTTGTTTAGTGTGTGCTTTAAACCACTTGCATTTTAATTTAAGCACATTTATTTTTAAAAAGCAACTTGGCATCACAGCCAGAAATGGAAAACCAGTATCACTTCCCACAAATAGAAAGTAAGTTGCAAAAATATATACCACGAAGACCAAACAGCTCAGAGACTGCTGCCTAAGGCTCAGAGCCTGAGGCCTGATCTCGCTGTTAAAAAGGGAGATTAGCGAGTGTTGTAGGGTGTTTGGGACTTTTTCCCTGATGTTTTCAGAAGAGTTGAAACAGACTTGAAAGGGAGCAACTTTTGCACCATGTGACTTGATGTTATTTAATTCAGTCTCCTTGTACCACCTAAAAATTATCACAGCTAACACCCGTGCTATAGCCTCACACCTGGGAAAGGGATCTGGTCTTTTTCAGTAAATTGTTAATTCCACATTGGTTCTTAGTCTCCTGGGCAGGCTCAGAGAATGTGGCTTGAGAGTGATGGAGAGGACAGGTTAGTCTCAAGGAGTTAGTTGTGGTTGTAGCAGGTCTATGTGTGGGGGACTGACCAGTAGGGGAAGTACAAGGAGAATGGGGTATGTGGCACAGGTAAGGAGGAGGGCAGGGAAATGAGACCACCAGCAAGAAAGAACTGATAGTTAGAACAGTGGAGTAAAATCCACACTTTCACTGTTGTGTCTGGACTTTGCCCCTTGGAAGACATTTGGGAAAGGTGATGTGGGGCTGGAAGTCTATGCTGACCGGCCAAGAGAGTAAAGTGTGTGTGTGTGTGTGTGTGTGTGTGTGTGTGTTTTACCACAATTTAAAAAAAATTGAAAAAGAAGAACACTATTAGTTACCTGAGAATCAATATAGACCATGGTTCTCACACTTTAGTGAACATCAGAAACCCCGAGATGCCTGATTAAAGCACAGGTTGCCGGTACACCACCGAAGTGTCAGATTCAGTAGGTCTGGGTGAGGCCCAAGAATCTGCATTTGTTACAAGTCTCCGGGTGGTTAGGTGCTGCTGCTGGTTGGGAACTGCTGTAAACCATTTACTTTGGTACCCACAGGTCCAGAGAATGTCAGAATGTCACTATCCTCTGAGTCCCGTAGGGGCTGTCAACCTAGGAGGCACATTAGAATCACCCAAGGAGCCTAAAAAACAAACATAGAAACAAAAACATGGATGCCTGGGCCCTAAACCCCCAGTGAATCTGATTTTATTAGTCTGGGGTGGGGCTTGGGCTCATATGTTTTTTAAACTGTATATGCATTTAGATATATTTTCTTTTTTTAACTTTTTATTTCAGGGGTACATGTGCAGGTTTGTTACACAGGTAAACTTGTGTCATGAGTAGATATATTTTCAAGCTTACAGAAAAGTTGAAAGAATAGTAGAAAGAACTCCTATATTCTCTTTATTCAGATTCACCAGTTGCTTACATTTTGCCCTATTTCTTTCACACTTTTTTTTTGTAGGAATATCACTGAAGTGATATTGTGTCCTTCTTGGTGCATTGTATCAAGAGATGATGTCCGTTGGTCTTGATATTGGTGATATTAATTTTGACTCCGTGGTTAAGGTAGTATCTGCAGTCTCTACTGTAAAGTTGCTATTTCCTCTTTGTAATTAACAAGTAACTTGTAGGGAGTTCTGATGCTGGGTTCTGATGCTTCCTGCTTAGAAACCTGCACTAGGAAGACGGGATACACTTTCAATGTAGCTCCTATATTATTAGGCAGATACATTGAGACTATATAAATATCCTATTCCTTATCATGTTTTTACTCACCAGCTTTAGCATCCATTGATGTTTTCTAACTCCATCATTCCTTCTCTTTACTAGTGTTCTGCTATAAGGAAGAACATTTATTTTTACTTTTATACTTTATATTAGCATGGGCTCAAGATTCTTAATTTTACAGTGGGTTATAATCCATTACTGTCGTTATTTATATTTATGCTTAAATTGTCTCAGATTTTATCGGTCAGCACCTCAACCTGGCTCTTGTATTCTTTTGACACATTCTTGTCTTAGTGAGCTCAGGCTTCCATGACAAAATATCATAGACTGGGTGTCTTAAACAACAAAAATTTATTTTTTTCATGGTTCTAAAAGCTGGAAGTCCAAGATCAGGGAGCTGGCGTGGTTGGGTTTGAGTAAGGGCTCTCTTACTGGTTTGCAGACAGCTGTCTTCTCTCTGTGTGCTCATATGGCCTTTTCTCAGTGCATGCTGGTGGAGAGAGAGAGAGAGAGAAATCTCTCTTCTTCCTCTACTTACAAGTTCACCAGTCCTATCAACCTGGGGTCCTACTCTTATGACCTCATTTAACCTTAGTTACCTCCTAAAAGCCCTATCTCCAAATATAGTCAATGGCAGGTTAAGGCTTCAATATATGAATTTGTAGGGGACAAAATTCCATCCCTAGAAGTCCTCATTTTTTTTTTTTTTTTTTTTTTGGTGCACATTCCCTTACTTTCTGGAACAATAAGATGCTCTTGGTTCATTTTATACTTTTCCTGCTTCAACCCTGGAATCAGCAATCAGTCATTTCTCCAAGGGTCTGGGTTCCTCTTTTAAAAAATGCTTTCTGGGCCAGGCACAGTGGCTCATGCCTATAATCCCAGCACTTTGGGAGGTTGAGGCGGGCAGATCACTGGAGGTAAGGAGTTTGAGACCAGCCTGGCCAACGTGGTGAAACCCTGTCTCTACTAAAAATACAAAAATCAGCCAGGCATTGTGGTGGGTGCCTGTACTCCCAGCTACTCAGGAGGCTGAGGCAGGAGAATCGCTTGAACCCAAGAGGTGGAGGTTGCAGTGAGCTGAGATTGTGCCATTGCACCCCAGCCTGGGCAATAAGAGCGAGATTCCATCTCAAAAAAAAAAAACTGTTTTCTTGGTGAGAATAATATGCAGTCAGAACTGAGAACTAGAGTTCTAAAAAAATCCCCTCATGTATACCCACATTCTATAGATGAAGAAGCTGTTATTAAGAGATAGGGAATGACCAGCTCAAAGTCACACAGCAGGCGAGTGGCAGAACTGAGCCTGTAACTCTCACCTTTCCTCAGTCCAGCACTTTTTAAAAATTACAGCCTCCTGAGCCCTCACCATTTTGTTTGCAAGTGTCTTGTTGATTCACTCCATTACAGATTTAGGACATTATAACCAGGGACCCAGTCATTTTCCTTATTGGTATCTCCTCTGTACACGTGGCTTAGTGCTGAGCAGAGAGTAACTGCTCCATGAAACCTTGGGGCCTCAGATTATTTTTCTGACAGCCAGGTTCTGATGCTTCCTGTTTAGAAACCTGGAGTAGGAGGACAGGAGACATGGGTTTCACTGTAGCTCCTATATTCACTCACTGGGTGATGCATCAGTTCTCTTTGGGTTTCATTCTCATTGATACAAGGAGAGAAACCACACTACGTGGGCTCTCTGGTGATGTCTTGGGCAGAGTTTCCCAGACAATCTCTTCCCTACGGTCTTAGACACCCTGGGCAAAAGCCAAAACCGGCACACTGGCACGTCTCCCTCACGTAATTGGCCAAACTAAGTCACGTGATCAAACTCAAAGTCAAGAGGTGAGGAACTGTATCCTGGTTCTTAAGTGGCAGGGACCACAGAATCACGTGACAGTGACATGTTTCCAGTAAGAGATGAAGAATTGGGCCAGTTGTGCAATCATGCAATCTACTGCAAAAGGTTTTTTGTTTTTTTTTTTCACTTTGTTGCCCGGGTATTCCCTAAAACACCCAGAGACTCTAGCTCTTAAATATAAGGCTGATTAAAGCTGATCGATGCCACCTGACTATAATACTGTCACTTGAGTGAAGGTGCCAATGCTACGCAGCAAATGTAGGAGAGATGCTGTAGATTAACTGTATGTTTTTAGAAGCTATGGAGGCCCAGCCCCTCCTACAAGTCAGGGCTGAACCTAGTGGTCTAGTAAGATGGGGAGGCCTGATGAGAAGCAGGACACACACCTGGGATGTGCCTATGATGATTGAGATCTTCTGACAGAGGCTGCTCCTTTTGGAGCTAGGCAAGATAAAATGACACAATTTCCTTTGGGACCTGCAGGCTGCAAGAGCAATGGTACCTACCCCATCTGTTATTATGACATACGGACCCTGCCTGCAGTGCTGAGCAACTGTGACTCTGAGCCCCACTTGCTCTTCTTTCTTCTGGGTTTCAGAAAGGTTGGCCGGGCGTGGGGCTCATGCCTGTAATCAGAGCACTTTGGGAGGCTGAGGCGGGTGGATCACTTGAGCCAGGAGTTTGAGGCCAGCCTGGCCAACATGGCGAAACCCCACCTCTACTAAAAATACAAAAAATTAGCCAGGCATGGTGGTGGGTGCCTGTAATCCCAGCTACTTGGGAGGCTGAGGCAGGAGAATTGCTTGAACCCAGGAGGCAGAGGCTGCAGTGAGCCAAGATTGTGGCATTGCACTCCAGCCTGTTAAAAAAAAAAAAAAAAAGCAACTTTTCATGCTGCCTTTTACCTTATCTTTTATGTATACCTTGAGATTTAATGCCTCTGAGTACATGAGATGGAGGGCTTAAGAGAAGGGACTTGAGTTACCGTTTAGTTTGAATCCCGTCTCTACTAGCTTGCTGTGTGATCTTGGACAAGTCACTTAACCCATCTGTGCTCTAGTTTACTTATTTGTTAAAAGGGATAAAATAGAACTGACCTCATAGAGTTGTTATGAGCATTAAATTAGTTAATATATTTTATATGTTTGAAACAGGGCATGTCACATAGTAAGGAGTCTATAAGAGTTACTTATTATAAAAGGCAAAATCATTGAGAGAAAAAAATAATGCTTAATTTTCCTTCTATTCTTGAGAAGAGAGAAATTCAAACTCTTGAAGACACCCTGATCTCTTTCCACTGCACCCTCAGACCTCTGGAGGCAAAGGAGGTGATGCTGTCCCCTGTATTCCGACTGCTAACGTGGGAAGACCTCACACAACATTGCATGTCTGCTGAAATGTTAATTTATAATTCAGTGTAGAGACTGATTTTCCTTGGACTGTAAGAAGACTCCTTTTCTAGAACAGAAAAGATGAAAAGTATGTGCATGTAATTATGGTGTTTATGCCACTCTAAAAAAATTATTCCTAAATATTGTTTGGGTAGAATTATTTAGAGAATGAGGCTAGAACCATTCCAATCCCAAAGACTCCTCATTTGACTAAACTCTTCTATTCTTTGTTGAAAGGACTAGACTGGAGGTATATCAAGGCATGCAGATGACTAAACTATTGTGTGGGCTGTTAGAGGATTAATTATTTTAATACCTTTATTGATATATAATTTACTTATCATAAAATGCACTCATTGTAAATACATAATCCAATGATTTTTAAAGTAAAGTTACAGATTTTGCAACCATCACCCCAAATAAATTTTAGAACATTTTCACCAGCCCTAAAAAAATTATCTCAGGCCTGTCAATCATTGCTCCTAACCCCAGCCCCAAGCAAGCACTGATCCACTTTCTGTCTCTATAGATTTTCCTTTTCTGGAAATTTAATGTAAATGGAATCATACAATATATAGTCTCTTGAGTCTGGCTTCTTTCACTTAGCATAATGTCTTTGAGGTTAATTCATGTTGTCACATGTATCAGTGTTTTCTACATTTCTATTTCCAAATAACATTCCATTATCTGGATATATAACATTTTGTTTATTTTTTATTTTTTTGAGATGGGGCCTATTCCCCAGGCTGTGGCTCACTGCAGCCTCTGCCTCCGAGGCTCAAGCAATCCTCCCACCTCAGCCTCACGAGTAGCTGGGACTACAGGTATACACTACCACACCCAGCTAATTTTGTGTGTTTGTGTGTGTGTGTGTGTGTGTGTGTGTGTGTGTGTATACACACACATACATACGTATTTGGTAGAGATGGGGTTTCCATGTTGCCCAGGTTGATCTCAAACTCCTGGCTCAAGTGATCACCTACCTCAGCCTCCAAAGTTATAGATGTGATCCACTGCGCCCAGCCAACATTTTGTTTATTTACCAGCTCATGGGTATTTGGGTTATTTCTACTTCTTGTCTGTTAGGGATAATACTCCTGTGAATATCTATATGCCAGTCTGTGTGGATGTATATCTTAATTTCTCTTGGGTTGATACCTATAAGTGGAATTGCTGGGCCATATAGTAACTTTACGTTTTAAGTTTTTAAAAAATTGCCAAACTGTTTTCACAGGTAGTTGCACCATATCACATTGCCATCAGCAATGTACAAGGGTTTCAGTTTCTGTGAATCCTTGCCAACACTTGGTGTTGTCCATATTTTCCATTATAGTCATTCTAGTGTGTATATGGAAGTGGAATCTCATTGTGGTTTTAATGTTCATTTCCATAATGACTAATGATGTTTAACTCCTTTTCATTTCTTATTGGCCATGTGTATTTCATCTTTGATGAAATAACTATTGAGTATAGAGTTTTTTAGCTCATCTTATTTTTGAGCTGTTTGTTTTATTATTGAGTTGTAGGAGTTCTTTATATATTTTTGATACAGTTCTTTATCATATGTATGATTTGCAAATGTTTTCTCCTAGTCTGGCTTGTCTTTTTATTCTTAATGGTGTCTTTGGAGTGCAAAAGTTTTAAATTTTAATGGAGATGAATTTGCCTATTTTTTCATTTATGTCTAGTAAAAGAATAATGAATGGTTTTGTGTCTAAGAGCTTTCCGCTTAACCCAAGGACATGATGGTTTTCTCTAATTTTTTTTTCAAGGAGCCTTATAGTTTTAGTTGTTATATTTAGGTCTAAGATCTATTTTGAGTTAATTTTTGTGTGGTTTGGAGATAAGGATTTAAGTTCACTTTTTCACATATTGATATCAAATTTTCCCAGCATCATGTGTTGAAAAGACTATCTTTTTCCTATCAAATTATCCTGTCATGTTTGTCAAAAATCAATTGACAGTGTCAGAGCTTATTTCTAAACGTTCAGTTTTGTTCCAGTGATTTGTCTCTTTCCCTTAATACCACACTCTCTTGATTTCTGTAGCTTTGTAATATGTTTGAAATGAGGGTAATGTAAGTCCTTCACCATTGTTTTTCTATTTCAAAATTATTTTGCCTGGGTCTATTTTTTTTTTGGCTACTGGAAACCCCTCCCTCTTGGGTCTGACAGGGTTGGAGATAGATATGGTAAAATAGAGTATAGGGGACAGAGACCAGTAGACTGTGTCTTGGTCACCGTTGTGTCTTTAGCACCTCATATAATGCCTGGTAGGTCCTAAATACTAAAAAAGCTGTAAAATAAATGGATAAATGTATCTTAAGATTTTTTTTTATCACATGGTATCATCTATGTCTTGGGATTAGGGAAAATTTCCATGTCAAACTAAAGAGTAAAAATTCACCAAGGTTTTGATATGCTCTGATATGATCACTACTACTTGAGCCTCCCCCTCATCGGTTTTATTTCCCACCCATCATAGCTCCTGGAGGAGGATGGAATTAATTTCAAGGGGATTTGGGAAGTAATTGTCTTGTTGTTAGTTATAAATTTTTGAGAGATGATGGAACCTTATCAAGACAGCTTGCTGTTGAAATCTTATAGTTTCCCGTTTAGACCTCTGTTATTATTATCTGATTATTTGATTATTATTATCAAGGGTTTTATATGTCTAACAGTGTTAGATATTGAGAGGACCTTCCTACATGTTGCCTCTTCTGTCTGAAACAGAGCCCCTCAACCCTCCCGGAAAGAAGCACACATACCCCAAACTCTCTCATAATTCTTAGACATTCTCCAGACCTCAACCTCATCATTACTCCTTAGAAAAATCGTTCCTAAACCATAACCTGTATCAACTGCCCTCCTGGAACCCACCATATGCTTCTCGTTGGTAACACTTATGGTGGTTACATATTTAACATTCATTGTTGTGCTTATTTTATAAAGCTTTGAGGTATAGTTGACATACAAAAAATTGCACATATTTACTGTAAACGTTTCAATGAATCTAGACATATGCATACATCTGTGATACCATCACCAAAATCAAGGAGTACTGAATATATCTTTAACCTCCAGGGTATGTGATTAATGTATATTTCTCCTCGGGGATCATCAGCTTCGTAGGGGCAGGAACTGTATTAGTTTTCACTCACCGTTTTGTCCCTATTGATTACTACAGTAGTTGACAAAGTACAACTAACATTTTACCGAGCACTTACTTTGTGCCAGGCATTATTTAAATGCTATGGATATATTAATATACTTAATAACTACAGTGGCCTCTTGGGTTGTTCTTATTGTCATCCCATTTTTTAGATAAAAAAACTGAGGCATGAGGAGAGACATTATGTAACTTGCTCAACGTCATACAGACAATATGTAATGGGGCATAGAGAAGGGTGTCAATAATTATTTGTTAAACAAATGAATGGATGAATAAGAGAAAGAAAGGGTGAATGAAGCTCTTCCCTTGATCCTAGTTGGAAGCATGTCCTCTACAAGAGTGCTGACTTATCTTTTCTTGCGAGATGGATGGGAATACAAGGCTATGGGGATGCCCAGGAGACTGTTTTGGACTCCAGTGCTGCTGACTCTGGAGAGAGGAAAAGGTGGGGGTTGGGATAGTCTAGGAAATGCTGGCTTCGCACAACACAGCCGAGTGGGTGGGAGCCAAAAATAGCCAGTCCTTTGAGTAGAAACTCCTCTAGGGAGGAAACATTTCTTTGAAATTGGACACACAAATTAGCTAATGATATCCAGACACTAAAGAACTGCATGTTCCCCAGACAGCCCGCGGCCCCAGGATCAGACGCTGATCTTGTGGAGCACAGATTAAGAGATGCCGCAGGTCTAGGGTGGGTATAGATTGTTGTGTCTGCCATCCTCACTCACAGCCCTGAGCACAGAGGTGAGGACGCAGCCAGGGGCCAGCACTCTCCTTCCATGTGTGCCAATCCCTGCCTCCCTGTATGTCCTGGGCTGTTTGTCCAGGATGGAAAGTGGCACTGTGGCATTTTTACCTGTTTGTGCTCAGTGACAGTTGACATGACACAGAGTCTATGTTGGCAGTATTTCCAGGCCGAAGCTTAGGAAATCGACTTTAGGATGAATTTTTCAATCTGGGAGACTCTAACAGAGGCTCTGAGCCTGGGATGTGCAAACTACCTGCACTTATCTTCAAAATTGTGTCCAAATGTGCGTTTCTCAAGGGAGAGGGTCCAAAGGTTTCATGAGTAAACAACAACAAAAGCTTTCAACAAGGTATGGGATGTCTCCAAAAGGGTGAGAACCCATGATGATGATACTGATAATAGCAATAATAAAGTAACTTTTCTGAGTGCTTAGAATTTGCTAAGGCCAGGCGTGGTGGCTCACACCTGTAATCCTAGCACTTTGGGAGGCCGAGGTGGGCAGATTGCTTGAGCCCAGAGTTCGAGACCAGCCTGGGCAACGTGGTGAAACCCTGTCTCAAAAAAAAAAAAAAAAAAAAATTAGCTGGGCATGGTGGTGCATGCCTATAGTCCCAGCTACTTGGAAAGCTGAGGTGGGAGGATCACTTGAGCCCCGATGGAGGCTGCAATGAGCTGAGATCATGCTACTGCACTCCAGCCTGGGTCACAGAGTAAGACCCTGTTCCCCAACCCTGCCCAAAAATAAATAAAAAAGAAAATGCCAGATATGCATTAAGTCTCTTATATAGATGATATAATTTAACTGTTGTATCAGTCAGTTTAAGCAGGTTCATGCTACAGTAATAAGCTACTGAGATTTTGGAGTTGTTTATGAAAGTTGATTTCTTGTTCCAGTTATATGAGGTTAGTTGCAGCTCTGCTTCATGTCTTAGATGCAAGAGTCAGACTGACGGAGGGCTCCTTTCTAGGTCATTGCTAATCTCATGGAAGAGGGAAAAGAGAAGGATGTAGATGAAGAGATGGATCTTAAAGATTCTCCTGGAAGTGGCACTGTCACTCCCACTTACATTCCGCTGGCTCCCAGCCCAACATTGGCGAGGATTCCAATTGTCCAGTAGGGAGGAGTCCTGTAGAGAGGAGGGACAGCAGATATTTGAACAATAACATAATCTATTACATTCCTTATAAAAACCAATGCGGTAGATATAGTAGTGATTATTATCATTGTCCCTTTCTTACAGATGTGGAAACTGAGGCTCAGAGAGGTTAACTTTCTCCCCAGTGCTGTGTATTTATTAAGTGAGAGGTTCAAGATTTGCATGGACTTGGTCAGACTCTCGAGCCTACAGCTTTAGCCACTGCATTCATCGACTTCCATTGTTATAGCAGGAGCTTCTCCTCCACTCCTTGTTCCTCCTCCCCAATTCATGGTAATCCACACACACCAGTTTTCTTAAAACTTCATTCATGCTCAAGAGAAAACCATGTCCCTATCTGGATCCTGTGTTTGCATAGTCCCCAGCCTCTGGGCTCATTCTGGATCATCCAGCTAGGTAGGCATTTGTTTGGCAGGATTCCTGCCCACTAAGAGCTTACCATGAGTGTCATGGTGGGAATGAGCTGGGTATTTTTAGAGCTTGGCAGCCTAGCACTGCGGCTTGCTCTTCCCCGAGGTCTGTGGATTAGCCTAGGGGTAGCATATGCCTACGCTTTGCTTGCCTGGTCCTGGTACATGGTCCTGTGTACTGTTAAGAAAACAGATTGTCCCAGGTAGATATGTAGCCAGATATTTTTTTCTCTGTTTCCTTTTTTTTTTTTTTTTTTTTTGGAGCTGCTCCACCCCCTGGTATGGTGCAGCTTCTCCTGGGGCTCCTCTGTAATTTTACAGCAGCTTCTGAGCTAGTGAAGAAGGCGGGATTTGCTCACTTGCAGTTAAGTCTGGCCAGACAGCTGTTAGTTGTTGCCACAAACATCTTATGTGTTTGCAATCTTGCCTGTCCTCCTGGGTAGGCAGAATGCACAATCTCTCCTCAGGGGAAGTGAGAAGATCTAGAAGGCCCAAGGAACAATTATTTTTGGCATCATTGCTCCTCCATACTCATTATCCACATCTGTTGAGCATTCCTGTGGCCCAGAAGCTGATGGCAGTGTCACTGTGGCACCCTAGCTTTGATGTACTTATTGTCAGAAGCTCTGGATAGGGACCACCAACAATGCACTTTGCTGCATAGGTGCTGTGAGTCTCCATGGGAAGGAAAGCTGGAGATTTGCATAAAAAAGTATTTAGAATGTCCAGAAGCACAAACTCAGGTGTCATCCAATTCAACAAACACTTTCTGAGTGCCTACTGTGTGCAGGACATAGGATTTTGCTTCATGTAGAGGTTATAACATTCAAGAGGACACCCGTGGAGCACACAGGCACATCCCCCAATATGGCCCCAGGCATTACAGAATGTGACAGACGTGACATTTTTTGTTTGTTAATTAACTAATTCATTCTAGTGTTGTGGTTAAGCGCATAAACTTTGGGGCCAGACTGGTTGGTTTGAATCCTAGAAATAAAAATAAAATCCTAAACCACCCCAACTAATTAAATGGAACCCCTTCTTGGCCAGGGGGATCCCAGAGAAACCTTGAAAACTGAGTTCCTAGCCATAACCAGACAGGAGCTCAGACTTACCACATTATATCCTCTCCCTTGCTAACCATCATTTGGCTTTCTTTCCTAAGGGTTAAACAGAAACAGGCCATCTCAAAAGACTTGTTCCATCACTGTTTCCAACCAACCACCTGACTCTGCCCCTCGCTTTATACAGGTTTGACACGGCCAACCAAGCAACATTCCTTCCTGATAAGATTTGCACACCCAGAACTAGCTTCTGTTTGCATGAAGTGGTTCTGGTCAGTTTACGGGGGCTGCACACTGAGTGCCTTCATGTCCTCTAATTCACCTTTTGACACATGGGGCCAAATTATAGTATACTTAAATGTTATGTTTTCACCCCAAAATGAACATGGCATGTATATGACATTCATATTAATTTACTGTGCATTTGCGTGCCCTTCTTTTGTGAATATTCATAGCTCCTCCTATAACTTGAGTATGTATACTTAGCCATTCTGTTAGCATAAATTCCTGTCTCACCTTGCCTCCTTTGAAGTGCCTGCCTCTGGTTTCTGCTGGATGCTACACTCCCCAGCCTGCGAGATGGTCAGCTTACAGGCTGCAACCCCTTATAAGAAATAAAGCTCTCCTTTCTAGATGCATGAACCTCGTGTTTCTTCAGTTGACAAATCCTTACTCTGTAACTCACTGGCTATATAACTGAACAAGTGACCAAAACTCTCCCTGCCAAGCTTCTTTCTTCCCAATATGGGAATGACAACAGTACCTAGCTCAGGGAGTTGTTGCAGGGATTATATGAGTTAATATACATAAGGCCCTTGGAATGGTTCCTGGTGCATAGGAAATTGTATCAAAGTGTTGGCTGCTACTAACACTATTATCATTTATGCAATAGATATTTATTGATCTATGTGTCAGTAGACTGTTGTCTACTATGTATCAGGCACTGACCTAGGTCCCAGTTGTGGAACATTAAGCTCACTCCATATCCTTTTACCCTTACGGAGCTTGCATTTCAGAGGTTGGAGGCAGAAAATAAATAAATAAATAAATAAATAAAGTGTCAGGTGGTGATTAAGACATGAATGAAAAATCATACTAGAAAAGTCAGATGAGGGAGATTAATTCCTAATTGAGCAAAGATGATGAAAAACTTCCCCAGAGGAGATGACACCAGCTGAGAAGAGGCATGGTAGTAAGAGGCAGGCACCCAACATGCAATTCCAAAATGAGATTTTGCTAGAGAATGGGAATATCCTTCTTGGGGGTCATATTGTTACATCTTTCTTTTTCTTGCCGCCTATGAACAGGAATTCTAAATAAGGTCAGAGACTGGGGTTGTCTTTTGGTCTTAGTGGCCTTGGTGTTGGACCCCAGGTTCCAGGAAGTCTTTTATCCCAGCAGCAGTTTTTCGGAGAGAAGACTCACTTATATGCAAGACTGACATGAAAAGGGGTTTGCTCTGTATGAGGCTGTGAGCTCAGCCCCATGCTTAAAGTGCTGAGTGGGAAAAAGGGCAGAGACTATGCCTGTTTTGTATTCAAGGGGCTGGCACAACATTTGGTTCTTAGTAGGTGCTCAGTAAAGAATATAAATAGTCATTGAGTGTTTACTGTGTGCTGAAGACATGTCACCAGGTTCTAAGCCTTTGATATTTGTCAACTTATTTAATTTTTACAACTGAATGCCTTTTGTTGTTGTTGTTAGACAGGGTCTCACTCTGTTGTCCAGGCTGGAGTGCAGTGGCATGATCTCGGCTCACTGCTGCCTTGACCTCCTGGGTCCAGGCGACCCTCCTTCTTCAACCCCCAAGTAGCTGGGATTATAGGCATGTGCCCCATGCCTGGCTCATATTTGTATTTTTTTGTAGAGACAGGGTTTCACCATGTTGGCCAGGCTGATCTTAAACTCCTGAGCTTTAGTGATCCACCTGCCTTGGCCTCCCAAAGTTCTGGGACTACAGGCATGAGCCACCACACTCAGCCCTGAATGCCTATTTTTGTCCCTGTTGAAAAGATGAGGAAACTGAGCACAGGCCATGCTGGGGCTATCTAAGGACTCTTCATAGAAAGAATTCAAGAAGACTTCTTAGAGAAGGTGACTTTATAAAGCATGTCTTGAAAGATAAATTCGTCAGGTAGGAGAGTAGGGATCGGGGGTGAGGTGCAGAAAAGAACATTGTAAAGAGAAGCAGCTCTATGAGCGTGTTTGGTAAGTTCAGTCCAGGATGCAGACAGGAGTAGCAGGGGAAGAGGGTAGAGAGAGGTCAGGGTGAAAGCACGTGGGCCTCATAGGCCTTACTCAGTGATTTAGATCTTTATCTTGACTGCATCAGGTAGCTATACAAGTAATTCCTGAAAAGGAAATGTCCTGAGATCAAACTGGCTTTACTCAAAGGTCACCATTTAAACCCAGCCATGCACAGTTTAGCACTTCATTAAATATTGTGTCCTAATGGTTGCTCCCTTCTCCCAGGGGCCACACACGTCTTCTCATGTACATAAGCACTCGTGGAGTCTGCGGTTGGAAGAAATCACGCAAGGACTGGTTGTGCCTTGCACACCTGTCACAGATTTGCACACCCAGAACTAGCTCCTGTTTGCATTGTCTCTACTGTAGCTTCTGCAAATGACAAATGTGGGGGTTTCTTCTTGGATGAAGTGGTTTGAGGTTTGAGGTTTGAGACTTGGATGTTTTCTTTGAAAATTTTTTATTTTTTTATGTTTTTGCAAAGAGAAACTTGTTCCTCTTCCTATGCTCACTGAGTCCTCTTTTCCCTAACTTCTAGAGGAAGTGCATTTAATCATGCTGTGATCAAGTCAGCCCTGGGTACCCATGTTGGCTTTTAATTTTAAAAAAGAATGACAGGAAAAGAAAATGGGCCAGTTAGGTTTTGAAGATTTTTCTATTTTATTATTATTAAAGGAAGCCCATGTGGGAGAATGTCTGGTGCTAGTTTCTCATCTCGGCACTGACATCATCACTATCTTGACTGCTGTAGGTATTATTTGTTCT
Organism: Homo sapiens; assembly: GCF_000001405.40. Taxonomy (NCBI): domain Eukaryota; kingdom Metazoa; phylum Chordata; class Mammalia; order Primates; family Hominidae; genus Homo; species Homo sapiens. Next base: position 10,082,789 of record NC_000016.10, on the reverse strand, counting down.
TGGCTTGTGTATCAGCTATCTATTGCTGTGTAACAACCGACCACCAACTTAGCAGGTGACACCCATTTATTATCTCATGGGAAATGAGGAGGCCACTCAAAGAGGCCTCCTTCTTCAAAACCAGTGATGGAGAGTGGAGGAGGGCTCTGCTGCTTCCAGTCTCTGAGCACAGGGAAGGTTTAAGCCTTCTTTTAAAGGGCTCATCTGATGAGGCCAGGCCCACCTTGGGTAATCTCCCTTTTGATTAACTCAAAGTCAGCTGATTAGGGAACTTAATGATATCTTCAAAATCTTGTCACTTTTACCATATGATGTAACATAATCACAGAAGCGATGTCCTATCATATTCACAGGTTCACCTGTACTCAAGGGGAGGAGATCACACAAGGACATGGGTCATTGGTGGTCATCTTAGAATTTTGCCTACTGTGGCTGGTAATCCAAACCAAATATTCTTCCTGTGGATTAAGACTATCACTTTGGGAACATCTTAGAATTCTGCCTGCTGTGGCTGGTAATCCAAATCAAATATTCTTCCTGATCTTTGTGTTAAGACTACCACTTTTGGAACAGCCATTTTCCAAAGCTCTCTCATAATTCCATCGTAGGCAGAGATGGAGTGTGGCCATACAATGTTTTGGAGGCTCCAAATCTAGGTAAAGTGGAACCACTGGAGACAGAGTGCCATCTTGTTTCTGGAGTCAGGCAAAGACACTGTGTCCAGGTGGGATTTGCTTGGAGCTGATTTCTCTGTTGGATAAAATAGACCAGTGGCTTCATAACCCTATGAAAAAATAAGGGTTCTATAAGTTGACACATTTTGGAAGTGGAGCTAAACCCAAGGCTGACTCCAGGACTACAACTATTTCTACTTGGAGCCCTTGAGCTTATTTTTCCAGTACATAGGTCTCAGCTTACCAATCTGAAAATGGAGAGTAGGGACATAGGGCCTTGGAGGTTCCTACTTATTTTAATCAGTTCCATAGCCTGACCCTGGTCCAGTGAGCATCAGATTTGGAGACTGTGCCATTTATGAAACAGGCAGGTATTGGAGAGACTCCAAAAAGCTTGTCTCATGTGTGCTTCCCTGCAAAAACAGCCAGTTCCAGCTAGAAACTTTATCTTCATGAAAGGAAACCTCTAGGCAGAGAGAAGTTCTATTTGTTTTTACAACTATCCCCAGTTGTATTTGAAGATGGCAAAATGTTGGGCTTAAGGCCTGCCCTGGGTTCATGGAGCTAGCTTTCTTAATGCCTCAATCATACTTTTAATCAGAAAAAATTTAGAGCATTAATCTTCAGTGCTTGTTCTTGCCATTTCCAGCCACTAGACACTTTTTCATAAACAAAGTGACAGTTTGATTGAATGTGGTTTTTAATTAAGCTGCCTTCACTTGGAACAACTTTCTGGGGGCATATGTAAGGAGCAGAACTTAGAAGCACAAGCTGAGACTGACTTCGCAATAGCTTCATCTCCAGGCAGAGTTTGAGAACAAAGGAAACCAGGCAAGTGGAATTAACCAGGCACCTTAATCCAGGGCATCAGCTCCCACTCCATCCTAGCTGGCTGTCCCTTAGAATAAGTGTGGGAAGGCGTAGCAGTGAGTGCAGTTGCCTCATGCTAACCTCAGGACGAAGCATGTAAGAGCCTCGGAAATTGCCCCATGGTAGATATTTATATTAACGACATTTGACCTGTTTATGGCATGTCACTCTCTTCTGCAGTTGGGACTCTGCAAACACAAAAGGCAAAAAGACCACTCTGATTCTGCCCTCAGGTACAACTCAGAATTGTATGAGCAACAGTGGATTCTGCAGTACAAGATCTCAGAGTCTAACAGGGAGGCGAAGATATTCACTGGGGCAGAACATTTGAGACGGGAATGAAGGAATGGGCTACCTGAGCTTGGAGGGTGGAGATGTGGCTGGGAAACACTTTGAAAGCCCTTCAAAGGCTGTTCAAGTATAATGGGGACAGTCATATGACAGGGCTGGGCCTCCTTGAGGTGGGTGTTTGGATGGTAAGAGGGTCCCAGGCATTGTCATCTGGCTGCAATACAAGGATCTGCAATACAAGGTGAGGGTGATATTGCTTTAAGTAGCGCTCATCTGTACTCCATCGCTCCCTTTGTGTTCTGTGGTGTATAGATCTACCCTGATAAATAGCTGCTGCCGTGGAGAAATCCATCAAGCCTTCAGCCTCTGCATGACTCATTTCCCTGTGGCAGGCGTGTTGCTCGGCTTCCAAGAATAGCCTAGCCTGAGGGATCCAAGCTCGGAATCCCTTCCAACTTTCTGGGCTCTGAAGTTTGGCACCCACAGAGGTCTATGCTTAGGTAACGGGGTGCAGATGGCTTGTCGTTTGCAGAGACAGTGGCTAATAACCATCTCCCTTCCACCTTCGCTTTCTGCAAAAGCCCAGGGCCTGGCAGAGTCACATTGCTTGCAAAGGAAGCCTAATCATAAAAAGGTGCCTTTTGGTGGCTTAAAGATAAGGTAATCAGGAAACCCATTCATTGATTTATTTGCTCATTCAACAAATATTTGATGACTGCCTTGGGAGTGAGAACCACAGCAAGAAACTTAACAGGGGACCTTACAGAGGCAAATCAGATCTCAGTGCTAAGCCCTGAATATACTCTGCTGTTGTGGCAACCAGGCAGGGAGATGATAAGAACAGTAATTGGCATTTATTAAGCACTTACTGTATGTGGTGTATTAAGTACTTTACATGAATCAATTTGATTAATATGCACAAAAGTGCCATCAATTCAGTTCCATGATCATTCTTATTTGCTCGCTGAGAGCAGCATTGCACAGAGGGTAACTTGCTCATTCTCATACAAAGTGCTCATGCAATTCTTCATACAGGAATTGCACCCAGGGTTCTCTGATACAAACACATAAAAATCACACTGATTACACCATTGCGTTATCATAGCAACCTTCTTTCTGTCACTTCTTCCCAGCCTGTGCCAAGCTCTTTCCTGCTTTCTTAGTCTGTTTGGGCTGCTATAGCAAAATGTCATAAACTGGGTAGCTTGTAAGCAACAAACATCTATTTCTTATAGTTCTGTAGGCTGCTTAAGTCCAGGGTCAAGGCACCAGAAGATTCATGTCTGGTGAGGGCCTGCTTCCTTTTTCATAGATGGCTGTCATCATTTTGTTTTGTTCTTCATTGGTAATGGAAGGGGCCGTTGATCTCTCTGGAGCCTCTTTTATCAGGGCATGAATATCATTTATGAGGGCTTGGCCCTCATGACCTAATCACCTCCCAAGGGCCCTACCTCCTAACACCATCACATTGAGGATTAGGTTTTAACATCTGAATTTTGGAGGGATACAGACATTCAGACCATAGTGCCTACCCCATGGGCTTAGCGTTTTCCTCTGCCTGAAACATGGCTGCATTGTCTCCATCTCATTCTTCAGGTCTCCCCTTAAAGGCCAACTCCTTAAGAGGCCTTCCCTGACTACCCAGTCAGTTCTCTCCTATTATTCTCTAGCTTGCACTTTATTTCTTTCACAGCCTTTATCATACTGTGACATTACCATTTTTTTTGGTTGTTATTATCCATATGCCCCTCTCCTCCAGTCCCTACTAGAAATTAAGCTCCCAAAGGCACAGGCCTTGTGTATCTTATTTGTGCTAAGATGGTGCCTGACACCTAGTGAGTCCTCAGTGAGTGTGGTATGGGTGGTTGGAGGAAGGAGCTCGGACCTTCAGTCCTCACAGATGCACAACAAATCTCAGGTGTTGTTGCATGGCTGTTTGAATGAATGGAGCTATGAGCATAAGGCTGTATTGTTATTGTTGTCACTGTCATGATCATGGCTGGTGAAAAACAGAAAGACACTGGGGATTCAGAATGCACAACAGTGTTTGCAATTGCAATGCAGAGACGGTGATGTGGCAGGCAGTCAGTCAGCCAGTCAGTCAGCATGCTCCCTTTCCGGGATCTGCCAGTGGAGTGCACTGTGCCCCATGGATGGGCTTCGGAGGGGGTAGTGGTGACATCAGCTCCCCAGCAGCTTCTCACCTCTCTTGGCCTGAAGGGGGCTGTGCCCTTTGTTTCACTGCAGCTGCTGCAGACAGAGAAAGGAGGAGATTCCCAGCCTCGAGGTTGCCTCGCAGGGCAGTAGCAACCGAGGGCAGAGCACAGAGGAGCAGCTGCATTCTCCATGGGGACATGACTACGTGGCCTGGCTTCTCCTGCCCCCAGGGGCTGGGGGCCTGCCAGGTGCTCTGAGGATTCCCTATTGCTCTTATCTCCTTCCCTCCTGCATCTCAATTTGCCTCCCCCCTGGACTCTGCTTTTCCCCCCTTGTCTTGCCTAATCTGCCACAAGGACATGCTGGAAAGAGGACTTTCTGTGTTCTAGAACATTCTACATGTGTGGCTCCTGAGTCTCACTTTGTCCACCTGTGAAGTGGGCATTATACCCACCGAGAGTGTGGTCACGAGGAACAGACGAGGCTGTCATTTCCCCAGCACGGTTCCAGGCACTTGGCTGGTAAAGCTCTGTGGTGTTTGTTCATCACACTGGACCACAGAGCAACAGTGTCTCACATGTTATGAAGATGTTTCAATCCGTGGACTAAGCACTTCATTATTGTTGTTGTCATTATTATTACTAACATTTTCTAATTTAACAGCTTTATTGAGGCATTGACATGCAATAAACCGCACAGCTGGATGAGTGCTGATGTAGGCATATACCTGTGGAACCATCACCACAATGGTATTCAGCCCTTACCACAACCGCATTTTGCAGATGAGGAAAAAGAGGCTTAGAGAGAGAAATACCTTATCCTGGTTCACGTGGATGGCTAAAAGCAGAGCTGTCTGATCCAGGCCTGAGTTTACCTTGGAGACAAGAAACGTCAGAGATAAGGCTGCAGTCTTAAATATGATGCCACGGAAGGTATCACCAAAAAAAATGGTATTTGGATAAAGACCCTAAAGAGGCTTCAAAGGGAGTGGGCTACGCAGAAGAGCATTCCAAGGAGAGAAAATAGCATATGCAAAGGCCCTGAGGTGGGGGTGTTTTCCAGTGTGTTTCAGAAGCATTTAAGAGGCCAAGCTGGCTTGGGGATGGAAGGAGATGAGGGCAGAAAGGTAACCGGAGGCCAAACTCTAAAGGGCCTTGTAGGACTGTGCAAGGTCTTGCCTGAAACACCATTGCAGGGTTTGGGGCAGATAATAAACATGGACTAATGGGGCCATTCTGGCTTCACTGTTGATACTGGATTGTAAGAGGGCACAGGTGGAAACAGAAGTCATCCAGGTGAGAGGTGGCATGGACCAAACTTGTAGTGGCAGTGGTGAGAGTGTGGGATGTACTGGGTTTACTGATGGATTTGTGCAGAATGAGAGAAAGAGGAGAGTTGGAGATGCCACCAAAATGTTTGGCCTCAGCAACGAAGTCAGGGGCTAATGTGGCTGAGATGGATGATAGACTTGAGATGCCTGTTACACATCCTATTAGTATTTTTTCCCTTTGCTGCTATAACAAATTACACACAGTGGCTTAAAGCACATCAATTTATAATCCTACTGGTCACCCACATCTCACTGGGCTAAAATCAAGGTGCAGTGCTGTGTTCTTTCTGGAGGCTGCAGGGGAGAATCCATTTACTGGGCTTTCCAGCTTTTAGAGGCTGCCTGTACCCTTTGGCTTGTGGTCGCTTCCTCCATCTCCAGTGCCAGCAACATTGCATTCCTCTGTGCCTTTCTTCTGAAGTCACATCTCTTTCTACCCAAAGCCAGGAAAGGTTCTGCACTTGTGACCCTGGTGATGATATTGGCCCCACGCAGGTCATCCAGGATAAATTCCCCTCTGAAGATCTTTAACTGAATCACATTTGCCAAGTCCCCTTTGCTGTGTAAGGTAACATGCTCACAGGTTCCAGGAATTAGGGTGTGGACCTTGTTGGGGACCAGTGCTCTGCCTACTACACACATATCCTGGTGGAGATGCAAGGAGAGACTTTGATGTTTGAGTCTGGCTTTTCAGAAGTGTAGGTAGCTGCAGATGGAATGTTCACAGTGCTCTCGACTCTTCCATATTTACTTTCTGCATTTGTTCAGTCGTCATAGCTCTTTCTCCTCCAGACTATGAGCTGCTTGAGGTAGAACTTGGGTCTTTTCCTCCTTGTGTGTCTCAGAGCCACACCCCAGAGAGTGCTCTGGATTGTCTGTGACAAGAATACAGTTTGAGTTCAAATTTAAACCAAACTCATCTCTTAGATGAGGAGCATCATACAGATCCTAGTGCGTGGGAGGGCCACGGACATGTGTCTCCACCCTGCCTTGCCTGGTAAGAGTTCATGGCAGACCCTAACCCTGCTGAGCTCTTGTTTTAGCTTTTAGGTCCCCACCGTCGCCACTCTGGATACAAACTTGGCATTGTGGCTAGGGGTTTTGTGGGATGGATGCAGCAGTTGTTGCCTCGTCAACATTCTCCTGTGGATGGTTTTTGGGTCAAGGCCCACTGGATCCTGTTGTGAGTTAATTTGCAAAGCTTAGCTGTACCTAATGCAGGAAAGAGGGTAAACAAACACAAGCAGCAGGACAGACTTTGCACCAGTGACTCAGAGGAAGGCCTATGGGGATGGGATCCTCAACCCACTTTGCTTCCTGATGTCCCAGGTGCTGGGCTGGGAGAATGGTCTGGTTAGCCCTATGTCCGATCCTAAGGAACATTCACATTTTGCCATGCTTTTTACAGGTAGCACAATGGGCGCATTTTTCACTCTTGCAGATGGGTCTCGGAATGAACTTCCTTGCATTGAAAAAGGGAGTGGTTTGGATTTTCTCACTGTCTAGAAGCATAGTGGCTAAGGGAATTTCTGGAGTCCCTCTGTCTGGGTTCAGAGCCCAGAGTTATAAACACTAGTTGTAGGATTTTATTTTTTAATTTTTAATTTTTTAGCATATTAATTATATTTAATTCTCTATTTTGGATATTTAGAGCAGCTAGAGGCATTATTTTAGATATTGACGAGATGAATGTCCTTCTAACACTTGTCTGATTATTTTCTTATGAGAAATTCCTAGTACAGAATGTGTTAGTCAAAGGGCTTATTTTTAAGACTTTGATATGTGTCATCAAGGTGCCCTGTAGGGTGACTGTCCTGGATGACACTCATTTTGATGGACTGGTTCCTTTTTATTGTGGTAGAATATATATAACCTAAAATTTACTATTCTAACCATTTTTAAGTTCAGTGGCGTTAAGTACATTCACATTGTTGTGCAATCATCATCAGTATCCATCTCCAGAACTTTTCCATCGTTCCAAATCGAGTCTCTGTACTTACTTGCAATCACTCTCCATTCCGCCCCGCTGCTTGGTCCCTGGTAACTACTATTCTACTTTCTGTCTCTATAAATTTGCCTATTTTAGGTATCCCATATAAGTAGAGGCATACAAATTTATCTTTTTGTGATACGGGACTTTAGACAAGTCACGTCATTTCTCTAGGGCTCAGTTTCCTAATCTGATTTAGTATGACTGTGAAACTCTCAAACTCAGGATGAAAGGGAAGGAGGGAGGAGGACCTTTAAGTGATCAACCAAAATTTACTAGGTGCTGACTACGCGCCAGGTACTGGATACCATTATATTCCCCGACATGCAGATGAGGAAACTGCATAGGAGAGGACCCATGCAAAGTCCCAGCAAGTTCAGGGCTGAGATTTTAACCCATGTGGCCTGGCGTCAGAACCACATTCTCAATGCCTACACTGGGCTGTCCTTTGATAATAATGGAAACTCCTTCATTGGAGGATTCTTTGAAGGATTGAGCCAGAAATTTTATCTATGTATAATAGCACTTAGGCCAGCAAGGAGAAATTGGTCAATAAGTGATACCTAGTCTTACGTTTAAATGTTTTTGAGATATAATTCACATAAAATTTATCATGTTAAAGTTCACAGTCCAATGCTTTTTAGTATATTGACTATATTGTGCAACCATCACCACTCCCTAATTCTAGAACAGTTCCAAAACCACAAAAAGAAACCTCATATTTTTAGCCGTCACTCTGTCTCCCTTTGTCCCCAGCCCTAGAAACCATGGATCTACTTTTTGTCTCTATGGATTTGCCTATTCTGGAAATTTCATGTAAATGGAATTGTATAATACATGGCCTTTTGCGTCTGGTTTCCTTCACTTAGCATAATGTCTTCAATGCCCATCCATGTTGTAGAAGGTATCAGTACTTCATTCCTTTTTATGGGTGTATAACATTCCATTGAATGGCCATATCATATCTTGTTTATCCCTTCATTGATTGTAGGATGTTTAGATTGTTTCCAGTTTTTGGCTGCTATCAGTAATGCTGCTATGAACACTTACATACAAGTTATTGTTTGAACATCTGTTTTCAGTTCTCTTGGGTATATACATACCTAGAAATGGAATTGCTGGATCATATAGGAGTTCTATGTGTAGCTTTTTGAAGAACTGTCGTACTGTTTTCCATAGCAGCTGTACCATTTTACATTCTCACAATCAGTGTACGGGGTTTCTTATTTCTCCACATCCTGGTCAACATTTGTTATTTCCATTCTTCTGAATTTAGCCATCCTGGTGAGTGTGAAGTGCTATCTGATTGTGATTTTGATTTGCATTTCTCTAATCACTGTTTGTATTGAGCATATTTTTATGTGCTTAGTGGCTGTTTGTATGCCATCTTGTAAGAAATGTCTATTGAGACCCTTTGCCTTTTTTAAAAACGGAGTCGCCTTTCTATTGTTGAGTTGTGAGTGTTCTCTATGTACCCTGGATACTAGACTTTTATGAGATATATAATTTGCAAATATTTTCTGTGTGTCGTGTTTTCACTTCGTTTTTTTTTTTTTTGTGACGGGGGTCTCACTCTGTCACACAGATTGGAGTGCAGTGGCACGATCTCAGCTCACTCACTGCAACCTCCGCCTCCCAGGCTCAAGTGATTCTCCTGCCTCAGCCTCCTGAGTAGCTGGGATTACAGGCACGTGCTACTGTTGCCCGGCTAATTTTTTTTTTTTTTCTGGATTTTTAGTAGAGATGCGGTTTCACCATGTTGGCCAGGCTGGTCGTATTTTCACTTCTTAATAGTGCCCTTTGATGAATAAAAGTTTTTAATTTTGACAAAGGGTGAAGGATGTCTAATATTTTGTCTATGATCCATTTTTCACCTCTAGGCCCACTTTTTTGACCCTCACACATCACGGTAGATTAGGAATTTCTTAATGCTGTACTGGTTTTGGAGGTAAGGAAGATGGGACTAGCCCACTTTGCTTTGTCAGGCTGAGAGGGAAGAAGTGATTCCATTGAGCCAGGACTTCAGTGGCCAAAACTACCTCCCCTGGCTTCAGAATCCCTTCCCCAGACCAACCCTGCGTGATATCAGCATGTGGTAAAACACTCCTGTGTCTTTAGAGACTGCAGTCTATAAATGATTTTTCTGTCTTCCATGGGCCTTGCCTGCAAGCACTTTCCATCTTTCCCTAGGTTTCAGGAATGCTCAAGAATTACGGGATCTTGACTGGGCACGGTGGCTCACACCTGTAATCCCAGCATTTTGGTAGGCCAAGGCAAGTGAATCATTTGAGGTCAGGAGTTTGAGACCAGCTTGGCCAACATGGTGAAACCCCATCTCTACTAACAATACAAAAACTAGCCAGACGTGGCGGTGGGTGCCTGTAATCCCAGCTACTTGGGAGGCTGAGGGAGGGGAATCTCTTGAACTAGGGAGGAGGAGGTTGCAGTAAGCCGAGCTTGGGCCACTGTACTCCAGCCTGGGCCTGGGCAACGAAAAGAGACTCTGTCTCAAAAAAAAAAAAAAAAAAAAAGGGGGTCTTGTCACTGAGTTTCCTCATCTTGCCTCTGCCTCTGAGCACATTTTTCCTTCTGCTTCTCCACCATAATGAAAACCAGCCATAGGCTTTGACTACTCTCTATTCTCTAGTGTCCCAAACTTCAGTGAGCACAGACAATCACCCAGATAACTTGTTAAATATGTGGATTCCTGGGATATTCCCCAGAAATACTGAATCTAAATTTAGGGATAGAGCCTAGGATGCACATGTTTAAGCAGATTCCCAGGTGATTCTGATGTCAGGGGGTCCACAGACCACGTCTTTAGAGGCACTGCCTTATTCTAGAAGCCTACCCACCCAAACTTATTCTGAGATCCCAAGAGAGGCTAAGTCCAGTGGTTCTCAAACTTGACTGCATACTATAATCACCTAGGAGAACTTTACAACTTCCCTCCATCCTAGGGCACAGTGCAGACAAATCAAAACAGAAACTCAGGGCATGGGACCCCAGCTTCAGTAGTTTTTAAAGCTCCTTGGGTACTTCCAAATTGCAGCCAAAGCTGAGAGGCATCGGAGCCATAAAATTGTAGGTACTTGTTTCTCTTTGCTAAGTCCTTTAACCCACACAGGTCAGCTGGATTTGGAAGTTGATGCTTCACTCTTATAAACACATTTCAACTTGTTGTTTATTCTCATGCTGCAAATGGAAGGTACAGAATTGCAAGGGATGGAATGTGCACGTACCTCCAATTTCCCTACCAGCAGGGAATGCAACAGCCTCATGATGCTTAACCACAAAGGGCATCACTTGAGACATCTTTGCTCACTCTCACGATGGTGAAAGATTGTCCTGGGCTCATTGAAGGAGCTATGGATGTTTCCAAGTCCCCAGATAGAGGTATCATCACTTTCTGATCATGAACCTATGGTACCAAGGTCATTCTGGTGAAGAATCTTTTATGTAGTGGCCAAGAGTGTGGGCTTTGGAATCAGGCTGCCTGGTTTGAATTTTAGCTCTATCACTTAGGTGGGCAACCTACCCACCTTTCTGTGCCTCCATTTCCTTCTCTGTGAAATGGAGATAAACAAAAGTACTGTACCTATAGGGTTGTCTTAAAAATTAAACAAGATGATGCATATAAACAATTTAACCCCTGCCTGGTGTCGGCTCCCGTCCACTTCTCCTCTTGGGTTGCCTTTCAAGAAGTGATAGTGGCAGGCAGGGCTGGTGCTTGGGACCATACTGGTGATAGAAGCAGCAGCCAGGTACTGTGCCCAAAATGCTCTCAAGAGTACAGGCTCAGTACATCCCTTTCATTTACCACCTGAGCCCTGTCTGGTGAGACTCATCATTTGTCCTCTATACAATGCCTTCCCAAACTCCACTCCAATCCCTTTCTATAGGCACAGCTTTTGTTAACAAGGTATAGCTTCATCCTGGGGGCATAATGCACTTGAAGTTTTTCTCAATACAGTGTTATTAGGGTGAAGAAGGGACTTACATAATCAGGACAACCAGAAGAGATACATGCCCAAATTCTTAACAAGATTCATGGCTCGTCCCGTAAGACTCCTTGACTCTATTATTGCAGTTTTAAGAGTACAGACTCTTTGTGGTTTTCCCCTTACTTCAACTGGATCTGTCAGTAATTCCAATTACTGACAATGACACATTCTTCTAGAACCAATAAGCTTCCTACATTGCATTTCTGCTAATAGAATGTTCCGAATATTTCCAGGTATATGTGTCTGCATGATTCTACCTTTATAAAGCCTCTAACTAGAAATCCCAAATTTCCATGCAACAGTATTCAACATTCAGCCATGTGCTAGGCATGGTTCTTTTATGTAGGTATTACTTAAGCTGGTTTATCAATTTTAACACACTAGATTTCCCCTTCTGATCAATACTGCCTATCGGATGGCATGAGGAGAGTTTTGGAGAAATGGTAGTCATTACTCTGGTGAGGGCATGGACTTTCCATGCTCTCAGGTGACCAAGGCACTCCAAGAGTTGTTGGGTTAATCTGACTGCTCTCTCAACAAAGAGAAATAGGGAGAGGAGGAGAGGAAAAGAGGAAAGTAGGCTTCTTAGAGGGCAAAGTACCCATGAGAAAAGCAGACAAAGGAAAGAGGGTACTTGGAACATGTCTTCTCTATAAGCGGTCCAGATGGTCTGCGTGTGAGGCAGTCTGCAGAACTGGCTAATCCAACCGCTGAACAATTCATAGCCAGTTTGCAAAACCTGAAAAAGGCAGCCCAGAGGTCCACACAGGAGTAGAGGGGGAAGAAGGGCCTGCTAAAAACTTATCATCTGGAAAATCTGATGATGAGAGGAGTGCTCAGAGAATACGAAGGGAAACCTTATAAATATCTCAGTGTCACTAGGATCTCGGGCTTCAAGCAGCCCTTGAAGTTTAAGAACAAATCATCCCAGGCCACGCTGGTAGCATTTTTTTTTAACTGTAATTACAAATAACTGACATATGGCAATGTTGTAGATGGCTGGCTTCTGAGCTGTGGACCAGTGATTCTCAAACTTTAACACGCATGCACAAATCACCTGGGATTTGGTTAAAATGCAGATTCCAGTTCAGCAAGTCTGGGCTGGAGCCTGAGACTCTGCACTTCTAAGAAGCTCCTGGGAGATGCTGATGCTGCTGGCCCATGGACCCCACTGTGAGTAGCGAGGCTAGAGGCGTGCTTGGTAAACAAAGTCAGGAGGCCTAAATGGAGGTGCTTCGAGGTGGTGCAGGAGCACCTGGGGCACCTAGAAAACATTGCTGGCATCTCGGGGACCCATGTCCAGGGAAGGGCTCCAGGACTTCCCCGAGTTGAGGATGAAGACTCAGACTTCCTGGCTACCACTCAGGTAGAGAAGAGCAGACGTTGCCACTGAAGTCCCAGGTATGAATGAATTCTAGAGCTGCTGGAGTGGGGAACATTGTCATTGAGCTTAGAGAAACAGAAGTAGGAGGGAGGGGTGGATAGGCAAGAGGGAACCCACAGGTACTGAGCATTTCTTGATTGTCTTCCTCTTGCTCCCCACCCTTAACTGTTCCTTCCCAGGTCTTTCTCTCTTTAGTAATTGCACTCACCATCCACCTAACTGCCTAAGCCCAAGACGTGGGATCTATCCTTCACTGCATTGGGAAAGGTGGTCATGCACAGCTTGCTGGACCCTGTATGGCTGTATGAGTGGCCTTGGGCCTGAAACATTTCCTTAACAAGAGATGAAGAGCCCTCCCAGCCTGGGCTGGGCATATCTCTTTGCCTGGAAATATCTTTCCCTGTTCTGGGCTTGATGTACTTTGTTCTGCTCAAGTGTGTGCATCTAATGGCCCCTGGCCAAACCTGCTACTATATCTGTCCCTGGTGGAAAGGGATCTGGGTCCTTCTACTGCAGCACGAGGTGGGTGTGTGCAGCTGCACTGCCTGGGTTGACTGCAGAGCAGATCCACTGGCTGTGGGGGACTGACGCATTGCAAGGGACTGCATCTTGTGTAGTCTGTCTCCTCTTGCTCTACCACTTGAGCCTGGTGTGTGTGTTGTCTGTTCTCAGCAACCTCAAATCGTGTGATGGTCTCTTCCCTGGATGACACTTAGCCTTTTAACCTTGGCTGCCCAGCCTGACCACCCAGTGAATGGTGGAACATTCTCTTTCTCTCATCCCCACCAGAGTCTAGTGCAATGTATAATTATTCTCCTTCAAATGTATATCTCAGATCCTTCCTCATCTCCAGTGCTACCACCATCATCACCATCTGGAGCTGTAGATGAAGCAGCCTCCACTGGTCTCCCTGCTTCTACCTCTACTCCTCCCCTACTTCATCCTTTCCTTTGCAGCCAGGGTAAATTGGATCAGGTCACTTCTCTTCTGAATAGCCTTTAAGGGCTTCTCATGACATCTTGGTGGCTAGAACCTAGGTGCCTTCTCATGAACTGCGGGGTCCTTACCCACCTGTCTTATCCCTCTCCTCTTGCCACCTGCTCCCCACCACGCACCTGTGCTCTGTCAGTTGTCACCTGTGCTCTCTGTCAGTTTTGAACATACCCTGTTTTCTTTCCTTCTTAGAGTCTTTGTGTATTTGGTTCTCTCTGTCTGGAACCAGCACCAATCCCCAAAACTCTGCCATCCTTCAGGTCTCTGCTTCAATGTCGCTTCCCCAGAGACAGATTCCCTGATCACCCTAGATTGGGTGTTAGTCTCTGGCCTCTGTCCTTTACTCTCATGGCACTAACCTTAGTTTGGTTTGTACATTATCTATTATCTGCCTCTCCCAATACATTAGATGATCCATGGGGGAATTGATAAGGTTTGGATGTCTTGCCCAAATCTTACGTTGAATTGTAATCTCCAGTGTTGGAGGTGGGGCCTGGTGGGAAGTGTTTGGATCATGGAGGTGGATCCCTTGTGAATGGCTTGGGCCACACTCTTGGTACTGAGTGAACTCTTGCTCCGAGTTACTTTGAGATCTGGTCATTTAAAAGTGTATAGCACTTCCCCCCAAGACTTACTCTCTCCTGCTCTGGCCATGTGATGTGCCTGCTCCCCCTTCACCTTCCACCATGACTGTAAGCTTCCTGAGGCCTCCCCAGAAGCCAGGCAGATGCCAGTACCATGTTTCCTGTAAAGCCTGCAGAACTGTGAGCCAATTAAACGTCTTTTCTTTATAAATTACCCAGTCTGAGGTATTTCTTTATAGCAATGCAAGAACAGACTAGTACAGGGTCTCTGCCTTTCTTATCTGTTGTTGAATATCCAGCACCCAGCTCCAGGCTCAGAGTAGACACTCAATACATGTTGGTTAAAGAACTGAGTGAATTAGTAAATAAATACGCTTTGGGAAAGCAGAGGACCACAAGGAGAGCATAAAAGGGATTAGCATTCATGGAAACAGCTGCTATGTGCATTGCACATCTGCCATCTCATCTCATCTATCCCACAGATGGCTTTCAGCCATCTTGTAGCCTAGAGAGTTTAATTAACCTGCCCAAGTTCCACAGCCACTGAGTAGCAGAGCTGATCTGTACTCTGCTTCATCTTAGCCTGGAGTTGTTTTAGCTTTGGCATCATGACATTTGGGACCACATCATTCTTTGCTGTGGGGTGGAGGGGGTGGATATAATACGCATTGCAGGACATGTAGCCTCTACCCATGCCATGCTAGTAGCACCCCCTGCCCAATTTATGACAACCCTCATGCATCCAGACATTGCCAATGTCCCTTGGGGTGGGGGTGGGAATGTGTCCCCAGTATAGAACCACTGGCTTAGCCTGTGGGTAATCTCAGCCTCCCATCTGCTTCTACTCCAATCCCTGCCCACCCCACTCCTCTCAGCTGCTGTTTTTCTCCTGGACTCTTTCTCACCCTGTCTTCACGCAGTCCTCCCTGGGTGTCCCTCCGGGCATGCAACACACAGATGGCAATGTTCCGAGTGTTGCAATACACATTTGTGTTTCTGGTTACTTTAATATCAGCCCCATGTCCTGATGTTCGTGTCATTGGCATGGATGCTAACAGGCTGTCTAGAAAATGTGCAATATATTTTTTATTTTGCCTAAATAGCACATCTAATTGTTCAGCATGAGATAAACCAGTATGTTTACGGGGAGATAACTTGTCAAAACAGACTTTTGTGGCTCCACCGTTGGAAAAACCTAGCCTCCTCATTCAGAGATGGAGTGTGAATTTTTCGTGGGTATTTTATGTGGATTTAAAGCAAATTATTTCCTGCTGTTTTGTGGACAGAAAAAAATGAGGGAAAAAACGGCTTCAGAAAAAGCCCCAGATGCAAGTGTCTTTTAAAGCATAGGGGATGAAGAAAGAGAATAGAACAGAAAAGAGGAGAAAGAAACAGCAAAAAAGAGGGAATTTGCTAGAGAAAAAATGTGAGAGAGTTCACAGCTGGGGGATCCAGTTAGAGGTAGGGTGCTCTTTTTTTGCTCATTCATTTATTCATCCACTTAAAATATCGTGAGCTAGGGAGTGTGCTGGTGTAGCATGTATCCGAATGTCCTTTGTTTTTGAACGCTGGCTAATATTTAATTGTATGTATTTACATTTTGTTTACCTGTTCTTCTGTCAATGGACATTTGGGTTGTTCCCACCTTTGGCTATTGTGAATAATGCTGCTATGATGGGCTGGTCTTACATATCAGTGTTAAAGGTGACATTTCCCAAGTGCCTACTGCTGAGCTGGGCACCATGCTGGCCTCTGCACACGTGGTATCTCATTTAACCTTCTCAATCTCCTGGGAGGTTAACCCTCTGCCATGACATTTAGCAAACACTGGGAGGGGCAGCTTAAGATGCTTCAGTCACTCATCCTAAGGTCTCAGAGTGATAGATCCTGGGTGGAAACATGGGTCTCTTTGTAGGTCATCATTTTTATAATCAGAATAAGTGATTGTGAGTGAGGTCTTACTCAGTGAGGAACATGAAATAGCCCATAGTTTTGTCCCTGTTGACTTTGACGCCCTCTTGCATTTGTATGGAACTGCTATTTTGCAGCATACATCTGTCTTCAGGTACCATTTTTACTCTGCAAACATTGGTTAACCTTGAAACTCTCTGCTGCTCCTTCCTCCTCTCCTTTTATGACAGAGATAAATAAGTTGGTGATGTTTCCAGAAGGACACGATGAGACAGACAGGATTAGACTCCAGGAAGGAGCCCAGCGGCCACTTCGTGAGCTAGTGTTCAGGCAACCCTCCCCAGATGTGCAGTGTAGCAGAAGTAAAGGCCCCTGAGAGGCACAGAGAGGAAGACGCATCCCAAACTTCAAAGGCTGGCAGCCTCCCACTCCAACACCGGGGGATATGAAATTCTGCCGTGATGAAGAGCATCGTCTGCTTTCTAAAGTCTGAAGAATATTTCTAGTCAGTTCCTAAGATGTGCTGGGGGTGAGATGGACTATGGAAGTGTCAGGAGGACAGATAAATGATCTCTTAGTTGTTGGATTCATGATGTCTAAATCCATTTCCGAAAGCCCTCTCTCAAGGAACACTCTTTAAGGTATGGGTAGGTGACTTTCAGCTCTCTATTCGTAAGAGACCCATGTTTCCACCCAGTATCTATCACCCTGAGACCGTGGGAGGAATGACCAAACCATGTTAAGCGCCCCCCCTCCCAATGTTTGTCCAATGTCATGACAGAGGGTCAACCTCCCATGAAATTGAGAGGGTTATAGTCTTGGCTTGAGATGGGGTTGGAGTAAATAATGTATCCAATCCTCTTCCAGCTTAGCATTCACTTGGTGGCCAATGAGCTCTTCCATAATTATTAACACTACTGAGCACACGCTACAAGTCAAGAACTATGCTAGATGCCCTTCATCCATGCTGTCACTGAATTCTTTTAAAAACCTTATGAGGTAGGAGCTATGATTAGCCCTATTTTAGAGATAAGAAAATTGAGGTTCAATAACTTGCCTGAAGTCACACAGTGAGCAAATGACAGAGATTTAAACATGCATTAAAACAACTTTATGAAAGGATGAATTCTGAAGATCTGACCTTAGAGAGATGGGTGTAATTAACCTGAAGTTGAGAGACTCCTGTGGCATATGTATTGTGCTAGATAGAGAAAGAAAATCGTGGTTGTAACAAGGAGGCCGAAATAGAATGTCACAAGAGTAGATGCTCTGGGTTGCAGGTGCATTCTTTTGCTAACAAGTTTTTTCTCACGTGAGTAACTCCACACAGCATGCTCTTGGCTGGGTGGCAGCAGGCTACCATTTTAGTGACAGTTAATCATTTAATGATGGTTAATAATTCTCCCAACTGATGCCAGGCAGGCGAGGTACCTTAAAATAAAGTACAGAACTTACTGGCATGTATGAATGCCCAATTGCATCAGAGATTAATTTTCTGTTTGTGTTGAATGCTGTGTGGAGAGTCTATGTTATCACCAGACTTTGCTAAATTTCCCTGTAATTTTTTGCATGGTCCTGACTCTCCTCTTTCATTTATCTGCATATGGATTCTCCACGTTACGGTGTATTCTGATTTTCTTAGGTAGGTGACATTGAAAAAGTGTAACAATTGATGAGGCATGGGGATTCGTCCGTTTGGATGAATGCACTGACCGTGTGAATGCTTGCCAGCCATAAACAACCAGCTGAATATCAATCTTGCCCTGAAACAATGGAGATTTCCCCATAGTCTAGTCCATGGGATCAAACAGTAATTTGCATTTCACTGAAGCACATGGAGAAGTCAAAACAGACTATGCAAGTAAGAGTCAGAGAATAGCATGTGAAGCAAAGATTTGCACCTGGGGTTGTTAGTAGCAGGGTCTATTGAACTATGACATCTCTTGATATGTTTTAGTCACCATATTAATTTCTCTTGCCATTTCAAATAGCATTAGAGGAAAATGTGAGGTTAAAAATGTTTATCAAGGAGACCTGGATCATAAAAGCTTGAGAAACATCAATGTAGAGGCATGAACAGTAGAAACAAGCATAGGTTTGATGGAGTCGCTGGGTTAACATGGAGTGAAGCTGTCCATCTTTTTCCCGTTGATAAAGTCCTAGTTGAAAATGTTTGAGGATCTCTGGTGCAGGGCTTTGGGAATCAGGCAAGACCTCAGTCCCCAGGGAGTGAAGATGAGGTTAGACCAGTGACAACGTTGTTCTGATGCACCAAAATGGGCGAACGAAGTGAGGTGCCTGGGACGCATTTACCAGCATTCAAGTACCTGTTGATGCAGGGCCCCTGCATGTTGCTGTGGCTAGTTTTGGGGGTTGTTTGAAAAATAGAAGAGTCAGCCCCTGATTCTGAAGGAATATCTGTTCTCGTGGAAGAAACAAAACACTCACCAACAAAGTCAGTTCAATTCTATAGACATCGATTGAGAACCTACCATGGGTAAGAAAAGCTCTCTGTTTGAGAGTAACTTAAGGATCATTGAAAAATGACACATCAGTATGATTCGAATAAAGCAGAACAGAACAATCCTATTGTTCTCACCATACTGCTGAGACATAAAATCCCAGAATTCTAGAAGGGCTCTAATTAGGAAAGGCTTCCAGGAGACGGTGACTGTGGGGTCATGAATAAAGTGGCAGCTTCCTCAGGGGAGCCTGGGAAGAGGGTATTTGCTCCATTATCAGCCCGGCTTTTGGCGGTGCAAGAAATGAAGGCTACTGTACGTCTAGAAGTTTCCAATATTTTCACCACCTAGTGTTCTTTTTTATTATTTTGACTCCTATGGACACTGTTTTTAGGAGGATTTTATCTACTGATAAAAGTATATTGAAGCAGTGGTTCTGTACTAATCAAACCTACCTGTAACATGTAATTTAGATCCTCTGATTTGCTTGAGAATTATTTATTCATTCAACAAATATTCACGGGATACTAAATCAATTGGATTCAGTTTGGTGGTTTATGACAGAAAATCCAGATTATCAATGGCTTAAGTAAGAATTTTATTTCCTTCTCATGTTAAAGAAGGAGAGAATAGATTTTTGGGTGGGAGGCTTATGGTTGCTGTCATAAGCATCTACTAGAAGCCAAATACCAGGTTATGTACTAGAAATGGCTAGGCGGGGCTCATGCACAGTGATTTGCTATGATTCTAACCCATTTTTAAATTATAATTTCAACTTTTATTTTAGATCCAGTGGATACATGTGCTGGGTTGTTTCATGGGTATATTCTGTGATGCTGAGGATATGAATGGTCCCATCATCCAAGTAGTGAGCATAGTTCACAACAGGTAGTTTTTCAGCCTTGCTCTCCTCACACTTATCATCATCCCCAGTGTCTATTCCCATTTTTATATCCATGTATACCCAGTGTTTAGCTCTCACTTATAAGTGAGAACATGAAGTATTTGTTTTTCTGTTCCTGTGTTAATTTGCTTAGGATAATGTCCTCCAGCTCCATCCATGTTGCGGCAAATAACATGATTTTGTTCTTTTTTATGGCTGTGTATATTCCATGGTATATATGTGCCAAATTTTCTTTATCCAATCCACCACTGATGGGCACCTAGGTTGATTCCATGTCTTCGTTATTGTGAATAGTGCTGCAGCGAACATATGAGTGCATGTGTCTTTTTGCTAACCCAATGTTTTTCTTTTCTTCTTCTTTTTTTTTTTTTGAAACAGAGTCTTGCTCTGTCACCCAGGCTGGAGTGCAGTGGCACAATCTCTGCTCACAGCAACCTCTGCCTCCCAGGTTCAAGCAATTCTTCTACCACTGCCTCCCGAGTAGCCGGGATTATAGACATATGCCATCACACGCAACTAATTTTTGTGTTTTTAGTAGAGATGGAGTTTTGCCATGTTGGCCAGGTTGATCTCAAACTCCTGACCTCAGGTGATACACCCACCTCGGCCTCCCAAAATGTTGGGTTTACAGGGGATTACAGGTGTGAGCCACTGTGCCCGGCGTGTTAACCCAATGTTTTTCAAACTTTAGTGTGTGTCAGTCACCTGGAAAGCTTGTGAAAACAGATTTCCGAATGTTATTTCTGGAGTTTGTTTCATTAGGTCTGGAGGCAAAGAGACTGACAATTTGCATTTCTAGAAAGGTCTGGATGCTGTTGGTCTGGTGACCAGTTGAACCCAGTGACATAGGTCAGGGCATGGCCATCTACAGCCTACAGGTCAAATCCAGCTAGCTATTTTTGTACATAAATTTTTATTGGAATGCAGCCATACTTTTTTTGTTTTCTACTGTCTAGGGCTGCTTTTTACTACAACAGCAGGGGTGAGTAGTTGTAATCTGAAGTGTTTCCTATTTGACCTTTTACAGAGAAAGCTTATCAACTCCTGCCTTAGGTAGAAGTGGATACTCGCAATCCATAAAGAAGGTATGTACATCAGTGGAGAAGTCAGCAAGTACCGGACCTGGGTTTCCATCTCATCCCAGTTCAGCCATTCATTTTTTATGTGACTTTGGTCCGGCCATTACCCTATCTGATCCTCAGTTGCCTCCCCTATGTAATGGAGGCACTGAGCAAATGGTTTCAAAAATCCCTTTTAGTACTTCTCTGATTTCAGCAGAGAAGCTGACGGAATGGTTTGTTGCCATTGTACAAAGTGACAGGCTCTGGCTGAATACGTCCCATTTTGCTGCTGAGTTCGATTGGCCTTTATGTTCTGTTTATGAAGGTGTCCCCTCTGCCACTTTTGGAGGGAACTCCCTTTCTTCACTTTTGATTGATATGTGACATTTACTGGAGCTGGCATTCTTTAATTCCTACTCTCTGAGCCACTTTCCAACATGTTCTATTCATCACTGTGACTTTTTTGTTGCCTTTGCCACTACTAACCTTCTAAGAGTTCGGAAAAGAGGCACTTAGAGTTTATAATGACATATATAATATCACACCACCTCTCTCTGCCCCAGACTGACTTCACTGTGGGTTTGGGAGTCTTTTTCAGAAGCAACAAGGGAGAAAATTTTGCTTTTGATGGCACCCCATCAATCAAAGTGAGACACACAGTTGACTGTATTTAAATCAGAGTGAATGAGTGGAAATGAGTATGTAAAGGAATCTCAGGAATCTCTATTCATTGGATTTTAGTATTCGGGCAGGTGCATATATTGGTTAGGAATTGTGTTTGCCAATAAATAAGCCTGGAAATGCTAAAACAAAAGAGAAGTTTATTTCCTTCTCAGATTAAAGCAGCCTGGAGGTAGGTGGTTGAGGGTTGCCAAGGTGGCTTCATGGTGTCCTCATAGATTAAGCCTCTTCCTGTATTTCTGTTGTACTCTTAAGCACATGGTTTGCATCATTAAAGTTGCTTCATGATCCAAGATGGCTGCTGGAGCTCCAGGCATCACATTCACACTCAAAGCAGGAAACAAGAATAAGGAGGAGAAGAGCAAAAAGGGCACACTCTAGCTGTATGCCCCTTCTTCAAGAGCTCAGAAATCCTACCCCAGCATTTCAGTCTATTGTTGGTCATCTCTGATAGGGAGGAAGGCTGGGGAATAGAATATTTTACCTAGAAACATTGTTTCTGAATTAAACTGGAGTTCTAAAAAGGAAAAGGAGAACCGACATTGGGTGGGAAACCAGCAGTTTCTGCTCTGATGTCTTTCAGAATGAATACTTTGATCAATATGGTAGGAAGTTAGATTTGGGGATGGTTTTTGGCTTGCACTGTTGTGGGTGTGTTATGAATGGAAGGCCATATAGCTTGCACTCGTAAAGAGGAAACGCAGCTTTCATTAGATATCCCTGGCTTTGAATCTGCCATTTACTAGCTTTGTGACTTGGGGCAAGATATTTAACTTTTCTGAGTCTCAATTTCCTCATCTGTAAGTTGAAAATAATAATAGTAGCAAAGATGATGATAATGAAGATGGTGCTAAAAGTAATCATGACTTTCTTGCAGGAACAAATGATACATTGAAGATCAAGCACTAGGAACAGTTTTTAGCATGCAGTTAGCATTTAATGAACAGCAGATAATCCTCTTTGAAGAACAATGGATATCAGAGGAAAGACTATAAATTTTGGGTTCCTCCAGACATAGGTTTAGGTGCCAGCTTAGCCACTGGCTAGCGGAGGAACCCTAAGTAGGTTTCTGAATCTTGCTGAGCCTTAATTTTCTTATCTATAAGATAGGTCACAGTAGGGGCTAAACAGATAATGTGTGGGACAGAACTGAGGCAACATCAGAAAACGTGAAGCACAGACCCCGGCATGTGGTTCGTGCCTAGTACCTATTGATTTTCCTTCTCTTTCTAGTATAGAGGATTGGGCTGTGAGGACTTTGTTCCCGGGTCTGCTCCGGTAGCCTGATTGTTCTCAATCCTTTCTCTGACCTTTCCCTTCTCTGTTCTATATGCAAGGACATATTTTATCCAGGCTATAGGTGATTTCTCCCTCACTTCCTCTTCCTTGGGAATGTCCCCATCTAGCTCTTGATGGGCAGCCTCCAGGGTCCCAATTCCTATCAGGTGGTCCCTGCTGTGGGATTTGCTACTGCCAAGCGACCCAGCTTCTGAACTTTGGTAATGTCTCCTGCATCCCCCTTTTCCTCCATCCCTAGGATATTAATGGCTTCCTCTTTTCCTTTTCTCTCTGTGTCCCAGTGGCTCCTATGTAACCAATTTCCTGTATTATCTCTGTTGGAAACACCTGGAGTGGTTTCCGTTTCCCTGACTGGGTCTTAACTCATTCACGAATCTAAAATTGTATAAACACATAATGCCCAAACATTCTCTTCACTTACCTCTTACCTCTCACCACCCTCTAAAAATCTTGTTTGTTTTTTTTTTTTTTTTTCGGTCACGATGGTGTGATTTTATTTCTTTAGTTCCATGGCCCTTCATTAGCTACAGGAGAAAGTCAAAAGTCCTTCCTCTGTTGTTTAAGACGCTCTGTTGTCTGAGGCATGGGCTCCTTTCTAAAGTTATTATTTGCTTCTGAACTTCAGAAATTTTTAGAACAAATTTGATTTTACCTCCAAAATATATCATCAACCTACCCATTTCTACCACCAGTCAAAGCCAGGGGTAGCTGAATCCTGCACTTGCATGGCCCTGAGAATGAGTTCTTCCTTGAATTCTGTACCCGTAGATGCCTCAGTAGCCCCAGCCCTGGATCAAGTCACCACTCTCTTACTTGGATGAATGCAATGGCCTCTAAACTGGTCTCTTCTATCAATTATCTTTTTCTTTACAATCCATTCTCTATTCAGTGTCCAAAGAAATCTTTTAAAACAATATAATGTAGATCTGTTATTCCCCTGCATACACTGCTTCCATGGCTACCCACTGCACTTAAGGCACAACTAAAACCTATTCCCATAGTCTGTGGGGCCCAGCACATCTGCAGCTGCTCCATCTTTGTCGCCATTTCCTCTGTCTCCTATTGCTATGTTCACTCCAGCAACATGGACTGTCCTCCTGTTCTTCTGATGCCCAAGTTCTTCTCCTGTTACAGGGCCTTTGTCTGAATCCCTCTTCCATGTATTATGATTCCCCATCCTGCTGCATAATGTGTTCATCATGGGTACCAACACCAGGTGAACCTCCCCTTTCCCCATATCACTCTGTTGATTCTTTTTCACAATCTATTGTTATCACAGCCTATAACTATCTTGTTTATCTGCTTATTGACTGTCTCTGCCCACTAGAATATAAGCTCATTAGGGAAGACACCACATCTGTCTTTTTGGCCTTGTATATTGCTAGCACTAACCATATTGTCAGGAATGTCAGAAACATTCAGAATTTGGGGGATGAATGAGCGAGTAAATGAATGGACAAATACATAAATACCTAAACATATAAATCACATAAACGGGCCCCTAAGGGGTCTGTGGATGGAACTCAGTGGTCTGTAAACTTGGATGGGGAAAAATTGCTTATTTTTACTTACCTCTAACAAAAGTTTTCATTCTTTTCATTTTGAATTGTAGCAAGAAATCACAGTAATAGCAGCTGTCTGATTTTTTTTCACCAAGAGAAATTACATATTTCTTATCACATTATCATTGTTGTAGATATTTCAGAATTATTTACTTTTGCCAAATTATTTTGAAATCATTGTAGTTAGTAGACACAGCACAGATCTTGTGATTTAGCATGTTAATACCGACATAAACATAACACAAGTTTGTTTTAAAACATCATTATGACTGTATTTTGATATAATTTGTTTTCTTTGTAATCTAGCGGTTTTTTTGTTTCTTTGTTTTTTGTTTTTTGTTTTTTTGTTTTTTGGTTTTTTTGTTTTTTGGTTTTTTTTGAGACAGTGTCTAGCTCTTTTCACCAGGCTGGAGTGCAAGGCTTGATCATGGCTCACTGCAACCTCTGCCTCCCGGGTTCAAGCAATTCTCCCGCCTCAGCCTCCCAAGTAACTAGAATTACAGGTCTGCACCACCACGCCCAGCTGATTTTTGTATTTTTAGTAGAGACAGGGTTTCAACACGTTGGTCAGGCTTGTCTCAAACTCCTGACCTCGAGTGATCCACCCTCCTTGGCTTCCCAGAGTGTTGGGATTACAGGCATGAGCCACCACACCCGGCCACGTATTTTATTTTACTTATTTGACAGCTCTGTTCTGAGAAGGAATTTGAAGGCTTCACCAGCCTGCCAAAGTGGTCGTTGGCACATAAAAGTCAAGATCTCTTAAAATGAACGAGTGATGTCTGCGCTTTTGTTTATTGAGGACCACGCTAAAAATAGGTATCCCTCCCATTACTTAACTGTCATTTATCCTTCAGTATCCAGGCAGACTTTTCTTCAAGAAAGCTTTGCAGTCTTCAGTGGACTCCCTGTCCTCTGAGAGTGTGTAGCACTTACCCAAAGCCCAATACTTCCCTGATCGTGTAAGCCTCTTTGGGAAGTGATTTTTTTTTTTTAACTACTTATGAGTTTGTTTTGTTTTTCCACCTTACAGAGGCTTTCTGTTACTCCCTAATCATAATTAGTGCCCTGTCCCCTGCACCCTTGTTATTTTCTTTGTAGAGCTGTATTTTTTTCCTTCATAGAATTCAACAAAATTGATAAATATATATTTACTTGTATGATTTATTTATTGTCTATATATCCATTTGGGAAGAGGCCTTGGATATTTTGCTCCTCATCTAGTGGAGGCCCCAGAACATTTATATTGGAAGGGCCTAAGTGCCACCAACATAGTTACAAGTGGCAGGAATACCTAGGGAACTTACCTTGAAGTTCAGTTTGCATAGCAAGCCCATTGTATTTACTTAGATTGTATTTATTCTTGAGGTCTGGTGATATTAGTGGGGTTATTAGCATATGTCAGAGGAAGAACCCATAATATCGTGCTACTACTGTTGTCGCCATTGTACACTTAGCACACAGAACAACACTTGGCACATAGACCCTAAATAAAGTATGTGTGAATGGATGAATGATGGATGGATGGGTGGATAGATGGATGCATGGTTGGATGGAATGAATGGGGAATTGGGTGGATGGCTGGATGGATGGGTGGAGGGATGGATGGGTAGAAGGCTGGAGGGGTGGAGGGTTGTATAGTTGAGAAGATTACTGGCTGGGGGTTGGAGAGATGGAGTAGTTGGTAGGGGAGGTGGTGTATTAGTTTCCTAGGGCTGCTCAACAAAGTCCTGCAAACTTCGTGGCTCAAAACCACAGGAATTTATTATATCACAGTTCTAGAGGCTAGATGTTCAAAATCAAGGTTCTGGCATTACTGTTCTCTTTCCAAGGATGCTAAGGGAAGACCCTCCCCTGCATCTTCTAACTTCTGGTGGTTGCCATCAACCCTTGGCGTTCTTTGGCTTGTAGGTACATCATTCTAGTCTCTGTTTCCATATTTATGTGGCCTTCTCCTTGTGTGTGTTCCTGTGTTTTCTCCTCTTCAGGACACCAGTCATTGGACTGGGGTCCAAATTCAGTATGACCTCATATTAATTTAGTTGATAACATCTACAAAGGCCTTCTTTTCAAATATGGTCATATTATTAGGTTCTGAGTGAGCATGAATTTTTGAAGGATGCTGCTCAACCCAATACAGGTGGTTAGAGGGTTGAAGAGATGGATGTATGAAGCAATGGAAGGTGGCTTAATGGGTAGGTGTAGAATGGGAAGGGAGGACCAGCCTGGCTGGAAGGGGAAGAGGATGGATTGGTAAAGGAGTTGTTGTATAAAGAGAAGGGTGAATGATTATTTGAATGGATGAGTGGAAAGATGTAGGGTTGAATGGATCAAGGGTGGAAAGGTGGATGAGTGAAAGGGTAAATGGGTGGAGGGATGAATGGTTGGTTGCTTGGATATATGTATGGGTGAATCAATTATATTATTAATTTCTTCAGAGTAGAAATTCTGGTACATGTATTTATCTTCTCTGTTATTAGTATGACACTGCATTTAGGAAATGCTCATTAAGTATTTGTTGCCTGGTTTTCTCTGCATTCAGAAATGCTGTTAACTGGAATGACTGCTACCAGCTGTCCAGGGATATGAACTTCTAGTGGGTGAGGGAGTGTATGTGTGAATTCATTTGGTGCAATATCCAGCCTGGAGCTGTCTCTAGCCTGGAGTATGCTTAGTGAAACCCTGAGAAAGAACTTAAATGTTGGGTATAATTCCTGCTGTTTAGGGAGTGACAAAAATGTACATGTATAGACACCACTATTTCATATTTCAATTATTATTTATTTAACATTTTAAACCTGATGGCAGAAAAATATGCCTCAGACAGGCACAATTGCTTTTATTGTTTCAGATTGGATGGGTAAATGTAGCGTGGGTGATCCTAAATTTGGGCTACATTGGTTTCTGTTGAAGCTTTTATCTTATTTGCCTAAGGAAGGGCTTAGTTGAATTTAAAAGCACCTATTCTGATGTTGTCTATTGAAGTGACTGAGTTTGCCAGTGCACTGTTAATAGGGAGTTTGCAGCTTGGTGCCAGATGGATTCACTTCATCAGATGTGACAAAGGTCTTCCCAGATGTTTTGTCTGCTCAGAGTATCCTTTTTACATTGATCTGGATATCTGCAGTGAACTAAGGAGTCTCAGAGAAGTCATCCTATTATTGTGTTTAAATCTTTTCTTTTTCTCTTTCAAAACCAGGATTTATCAATGGTGGAATATTTCAGACATGCTGATAAGTACAGAGAATAAAATAACAAACAACCATGTACTGACAATTCAGATTTAACAAATGTTAATATTTTTGTCACATTTATTTCAGATTTTAAAAATATAAAGATGCTGCTGAAGCCTGCCACCCTCATTTCATTCCCTTATCTCCTTCCTCAGAGGAAACCACTAACCTAAAGCTGATAAATGTGTTTTTCTATATGTACATGCAAACCTAGGGTATAATGGTATTAGTATGTTTTATGCTTTTTATAAACAGTACTATATTTTTCCAACTACTGTTTTTTTTTTCTTTTTTCTTTCTTTCTTTCTTTTTTCTTTTTTTTTTTTTTTTTTTTTTTTTTTTTTTTTTTTTTGAGATAGAGTCTCGCTCTGTTGCCTGGGCTGGAGTGCAATGGCGTGATCTCAGCTCACTGCAACCTCCGCCTCCTGGGTTCAAGCGATTCTCCTGCCTCCAGCTTCCTGAGTAGTTGGGACTACAGACGCGTGCCACCATGTCCGGCTAATTTTTTGTGTTCTTAGTAGAGATGGGGTTTTACCATATTAGCCAGGATGGTCTTGATCTCCTGACCTCATGATCCGCCCACCTCGGCCTCCCAAAATGGTAGGCTTACAGGCGTAAGCCACTGCGCCTGGCCCAAATTACTCTTTTTTACTCAGTATTATGTTATTGAGATTTATCTGTGTTTATAAATGTAGCTTTAGTGGATTTATTTTAACTATTTATATTTTAAATATCCACCCTATGGATGTATAAAAATTTTACTTATCCATGAACTGAATGATGGGCACTTTGTCATTAAATCAACGAAACACAGAACATCTTTGCACAGATGAGAAATTTTCTTAATGATATATGCCTGTAAGTAAAATTTCTGGGTCATAGGATGTGGGCATCTTCAACATCACCAGAGATTGCCAATTTGTTCTGCAAAAGGATTGAGCCTGTTTATGTTCCCACAGCAAGGAATGAAAAGTTGCAACCTTCTTATATCTCTTTAAATCTTTGTATTAGTCCTGTTCATTTTTGCTTATATGATAGATGTAAAACGGAATCTAACCATGGTCTTCAATTTGCATTTATCTTATTAAGAAGTTGAACATATTTTCACATTTATTGGCCATTTGGGTTTTCTTTTCTTTGGTTTGTTTTTCTTGAACAGTCATGTCAGAAGATTCATTTAATGTTTTTCCTCTGAAGATCAGCTTATAGTTTTATTTGGCTTCTTTTTTTTCGCTTGGTTTACTTTTGGTTTCTGCTTTATCCACGTAGGATATTTTCCTTTTTTTAGCTTTGTTTCTTTATTCTGTTCGGTTTTTTAAAATTAAATTTTAACTTCTTATTGTCACTCCATATTCAAATATATCCATTTATGGATGTATTAGATTGGTGCAAAAGTATTTGTGGTCCTTGCCATTACAAACCACGATTACTTTTGCACCAACTAATAATACAGCTCTTGTGTGGAGGTTTCTGCTTTATCCACGTAGGATCTTTTCCTTTCTTTGGCTTTGTTTCTTTATTCTGTTCAGTTTTTTAAAATTAAATTTTAACTTCTTATTGTCATTCCATATTCAAATATATCCATTTATGGATGTATTAGATTGGTGCAAAAGTATTTGCGGTTCTTGCCATTACAAACCACGATTACTTTTGCACCAACTAATACAGCTCTTTTACTGCATTTCATGAGTGACCCTGACAACAGAAGGACGTTGTAACAGCAGGTGGCAGGATGTAGACTAGGCAAAGTGGTCTAATCCTGGCTCCATTTTCTCCCCAGGGCAATCCACCTTAGTGCAACATTTGCCCTCCTAAAACTCCTATGAACTTGTCACCACCTGCTCAAAAGATACCAGTGACTCTGCTTCATTCGTCACTCACAGTCCTTAAGAGAGACGGTGTGTAGTGGAATAATTATGGGCTTCAGAGAGGCACACATTTCAGGTTTAAGCTCCAGCTCTTCTCTTGCTAGCTGGCTGACTTTGGGTAATTTAAAGTGGGAATATTCATAGAGGGTTGTTGTGAAGAATAGACAAGATTAGATTCTGATCTGTGGTAGATGTTCAACAAAATATATTATCTTCCTTTTAGCCTGACATTTAAGGTCCTGTAGATCAAACCACCTTTTCCATAGGATCCTCTGCTAGTCAACTACAGAAATCTTCTGTCTCAGTCATTTGATTTTCTTGCTGAATTTGGAAAGTTTCAGTTAAAAGCTTTCTGTCTCCATCCTACTCTTCTCCATTCACTGTTGTGGCCCTGAACAGTGGCAGAATTACTAGTGGGGCTTGTTCAAAGTTCAGATTCCCAAGTTTTACTCAGACTCACTGTCTGTATTTTTTTTTTTTTTTTGAGATGGAGTCTTGCTCTGTTGCCCAGGCTGGAGTGCAATGGCGTGATCTCTGCTCACTGCAACCTCTGTCTCCCAGGATCAAGCCATTCTCCTGCCTCAGCCTCCAGAGTACCTGGGACTACAGGAGTGTGCCACTGTGCCTGGGTAATTGTTGTATTTTTAGTAGAGATGAGGTTTCACCATGTTGGCCAGGCTGGACTCGAACTCTTGATCTCAGGTGATCTGCCCACCTTGGCCTTCCAAAGTGCTGGGATTACAGGTGTAAGCCACCATGCCTGGCCTCACTCTCTGTATTCTAAGGATAGGGCTCAGGATCTCCATTTAGGAGAAGCTCCCAGTTTGGGTGGAATTTGCTCTAGTGATTGAAGCTTCCTGCCTCAACAGATCTTTTCTTTATATCCAGCACAGGACCTACATTTTCCGGGAGGTCTTTACCGCCAGCCAGCCCTGGTCACACTTACCCTCCCAGCAACCTGAAGGCGGAATATCTTAGCCCACCCCTCTCCCTGGCTAGAAGCATCATTCATGTCCCCTGGGGCAGATGGCGATTCCTTAAGGACAGGGCCTAGGTCTTGGGGACTTGACCGTTCCTGTTGGAAGTTCAGTGCATGATATGTAAAAGGACTTAGGGTGAGCATGGGAAGGAGCACAGGCTTTGTAGCTGCCCAAGTTCAAACACCAGCTCTGCAAAACTGGCCCACGGGGCTCAGTCTCCTTAACTGTGAAGTGATGATAGCACATCCAACCCACAGGTCTTTAAAGGAAGATTAAATGTGATCAGCTCTTTGGAAAGTCATTTGTTTTTCTCTTATTCCAGATGGAGAAGAGCTTGAATTATCATGAGAATACATCTGTCATTGGGATCATCTTTGTGTTAATTTCCTCCTACAGTAGAATTTAATGACCTCTTGAATTTCCTGATGACAATGTTTTGGGCATGTGTGCCATTGTCTACTGGCCACTATCCTTGTCTTTCAGAGACATTTCCTTCCAGGCCATTATAATTCTGTAGTTTCCCCCTTGAAGTCTTCAGTAAAAGAGGTAGTTTGAGATCTCTCAGCACAAACAAGACTTTTTAGTATGTGACAGTGATCTGACAAATGAAAATGCATTGTTATGGTGCCCACGTAACAGTGCAAGTGTAGTCTTTACAAAATACCTACCTAATCCCATTACCCTTCTGCTTAAATGTCTGAGCTGGCTCCTGTGGCTGACAGGAGCAGGCCAGCCTGGCAGAGAAGGCAGGGTCTGGCCAGTCTCTCTGCCCCATCTTCTGTACCACCTGCACAGTATTGCACTCACCCTGGCATGCTCTGGTGACCGTTCCTGGTATTTTCTACCTCCTTGCTCTTGTACATGCAGTTCTCTCTCCCTGGAATACCCTTTCTCTTTGCCAAGTTGTGTGAATTCGGCAATATTCAATTCGAATGGTCCAGTCCCTGATACACCCCCTCAGACACACACATGCAAGGCAGAATTAATTCCTTCCAGCTTTGTATACTTGGAGCACTTTAAAAACTACTTTGAGTTACTACTCATTCATTCACTCAACAAATATTTATTAAGTGCCTACTATGAGTCAGCCATTGATCTTGGCTCTGGGGATACTCCTGTGAAAAGGCAATGCCCTGCACCCATGGAGTTTTTCTTCCCAATGTTTTATTACTACTCACTTACGACTGCCCTTTCCATCAGACTCTGAGACCCATGCAGGAGGTGTCTTGTTCCTGTCTGTGCACTTTTACAACTGACTGCAGTTATTTGAGCTTAGAATTCCATGGAGAGGAAAAACAGTCCCAAAGTACAGAGTGGGTGCTGAAGAGATTGCAGGGTGGAATAGTCATGACCTTATAGCACCAAAATCCCAGGAACTGAGTGTTGCACACAGTGTTTCTTATTGTTTGATCAACTCCCTTGACTTTGTACAGAGGACAAGAGGAAGAGTGTGGAGTTAAGCTGACTGCACTTACATCTACATCATCCTACCACCTAACTACATGGGGGGCCTGGGACATGCTCTCGAGTCTTAGCTTCATCATCTGAATAATGGGTCTCTTACTTTCCTATTGCTGCCATAACAAATTACCATGAACTTCTTAGCTTAAAGTGGCACATATTTATTATATAAATTATATGTTTTGGAGGACTGAAGTCCAAAATGGGTTTCACTGGGTTAAAATCAAGGTTTGTGAAAGCAGGGCTGTGCTCCTCTGTAAACTCTCAGATTATGATTCACTGTCTCTACAGCAGTGGTCCTCAATCTTTTTGGCACCAGGGACCAGTTTCGTGGAAGACAGTTTTTCCACAGACCGGGGTTGGGCTGATGGTTTTGGAATGATTCAAGTGCATTCCATTTATTGTGTACTTTATTTCTATTATTACATTATAATATATAATGAAATAATGATACAACTCATCATAATGTAGAATCAGTGGGAGCCCTGAACTTGTTTTCCTGCAACTAGATGGTCCCATCTGGGGTTGATGGGAGGTAGTGATAGATCAACAGGCATTAGATTCTCATAAGGAGCATGCCATCTAGATCCCTCGTATGTGCAGTTCACAATAGGGTTGGTGCTCCTATGAGATTCTAATGCTGCCACTTATCTGACAGGAGGTGGAGCTCAGGTGGTAATGCAAGCAATGGGGAGCAGCTATAAATACAGATAAAGCTTCACTTGCTCACCTGCCGCTCACCTCCTGCTGTGTGGCCCAGTTCCTAATAGGTCATGGACTGGTACTGGTCCGTGGCTTGGGGTTTGGGGATCCCTACTCCAGAGGTCACCTGTATTTGTTCCTTGGCTCCTGGCTTCTTCCTTCATCTTCAAGGCTAGAAGTGTAGCATCTTCAAGTCCTTGTCTCCCTCTGCCCTTTCTACCTCCCTCTTAGAAGAATACTTCTGATTACATTGGGCCAAACCAGGGACTTCAGGATAATCTCCCCATATCAAGATCCTCAATCACTTCTGTGAAGTCTTCTCGGCCATGTAAGTTAACATATTCACAGGTTCTTGGTATCGGGACATAGACATCTATTGGGAGACCTTTATTCTTCCTATCAGGTAGGATGGTATGGGTATGAGTATAAATATGGGAGTGATGATAACAGTGGCTTTTCCACTGGGTTATCAGAAAGATTCCAGGAGATTCATTTATTCATCCTTTCAGTCAGCAAATATTAATTGAAAGCTTCCTATGAGCTGGGCACTGCTCACAAAAAAATTGCACAAAATGTTCTGCCATTATAGAGCTTCCATCTTAATCAGGAGAGACAGACAAACAATTCATTATATAATGTATTGGAGGGTGCTAAGTATAATGGAAAAAAATCAGGAGGGAAGAGGACTGCGGAGTCCCAGGCAAGTTGTGGGCTGGTCGCGGTGACTCATGCCTGTAATCCCAGCACTTTGGGAGGCCAAGGCGGGTGGATCACCTGATGTCAGGAGTTCGAGACCAGCCTGGGCAACATGGTGAAACCCTGTCTCTACTAAAAATACAAAAAATTAGGTGGGCGTAGTTGTGGGTGCTTGTAACCCCAGCTACTCAGGAGGCTGAGGCAGGAGAATCGCTTGAACCTGGGAGGCGGAGGTTACAGTGAGCCGAGATCGCACCACTGCACTCCAACCTGGTCAACAGAGCAAGACTCTGTCTCGAAAAAAAAAAATAGTAAAAAATCAATAAATAAGGTGGTAATGCTGTGACAACTTGAGAAGGTAGCATTTGAGATAATGAGTCTAAAATGCTTAGCACAGTGCCTGAGATAGAGTAAACACAGAGCATTTAAATGTAAATTAAAAATAAATTTAAATAAATAGGCAATCCATCTCTTCATTGTCATCTCACCATCCATAAAACAAAACTCTGTTCTTTCTGGGTGGTATCATTCATTGAAATTCACTGGGCTTTTGCCAAGCGGAACTCTGATCTTTGGAAGGGTAATTTCAGTATGGAGTGTGTCATATCAGGAAATTAAAATACTGTTATAGATTTTCCTC
The DNA here is from genome assembly GCF_000001405.40 of Homo sapiens. Taxonomy (NCBI): domain Eukaryota; kingdom Metazoa; phylum Chordata; class Mammalia; order Primates; family Hominidae; genus Homo; species Homo sapiens. The sequence continues at coordinate 10,049,052 of NC_000016.10, read as the reverse complement.
CCCTCTGGCTCTCTTTTGGAATAGCAACGACTGGGAGGTAAATAGCTTAGAATAGAGACAGCAAGTTTCTGATGCATGAATGGGCAGGGGCTGGGGCCAGAGAGATCTCTCCCTCGGCTCCTTCCTCCACGTCAGCAGGAAGGAGGCTTGTAGAACTTGGCCCTGGAGCTTGCACTGATCCCAGCTGCCATGTAGAATAGCATTAGGAACAGAAACCCTCCAAGGTTGAGATGGAGAGAGGAAATGGGGAGAGAAGTCTTTTATGGGTTGAGACATTTTGAGCCCCTGTGGCACCAGCCCAAGGGAGGCCAAGTGTGGGGTATTACTGTCTTTCAGAATGGAATACTGCTTAGCCATTCAACAGCCCGAGGAATGCTCATTTCTGGAGGGCACAGACCTGGGCTATGTTAGTGTTTGGAGACACTAATATCTCTAGTCTTCTTCCCAGGCCAGGAGAGATTATTGAGCAAATGCAGACTTATTCAGGCATATTTCCTGAATGTTAATTCAAGTGGAGGAATCCAAGCAGTTTGCAGGCAACATGTCCCCACATATGTCTTCACTAACAAAGTCTGGAATTATCCTTTGGGCAAATAGAAGTTTTCTTTTTGCTGTTGACTGTTTTTGAAAATTAGATTCTTAAATAATTCCTGATATGTTGGCTTGAGGTAGTAGGCAGTTCTCCCAAGTCCTAGAAACTTGACTCTGGCTGCCAAGGAGACTAGGATTGATTACGAAGGAATTAAAAGGAATAATTGCTTACATAGGGCTTACTAAGTGCCAATCACGATTTTAAGTATTAGACAAATATTAACTCATTTAGCCCTTATAATAACCTTGTGAAGTGAGTATTATTATCTGCATTTTACATAAAGAAAACTGAGTCATAGGTGAAATAACTTGCCCATGGCTACAAAATTAATACATGTTTGAAAAGGGATTCTAATCAGGAAATATAACTATTGAGTCTGAACTCTTAATCATTAAAGTAAAGGGATAGTGTTTTAGTTGGGTCCCTCAGAAACAGATTGTGATTAAATATTGAATGTACCTAGTTTATCTGGGACATGTAGGGGGGTCACAGGCAGGGGAGACAGGAGGTGATAAAAGGAGAGGGAGCCCACCAGTGAGACATATGTTAGTAAGCCAGATACCAAGGTGGTGAACTGAAAGTTAACCCTGCAGGTAAGCTCTGAGATCAATGTAAAATGCACACCTGAGAATTATTCCTGCCAAGGAGTGGAGGAGCTGAGGTATTTATACTCCTGTGCCCATTAGTCATCTTTCAAAGGCTATTCCAGGGCAGAAAAGGATATATTAACTCTCAGACACTTCTGACCCACCATGCATGCTGGCAATGTGGGGTCCAATATTCAGAGGGGTTTCTCTCCTACAAAGATGAAGGTGCTGGCTATTGGGATTCAGGGTGGCTTTGCAGAAATGGTAAGAAGATCTGAGGCAGTTCAGGTGGAGCACCAACATCTATATCAGGTATGGGACTCAAGTCTGTAAGTTCATAGAACAAAGTAAAGAAGATTAACAGGAACTGAGGTCCTAATTCCTAAAAGCAGACAATAATCTTTAAACCAAGAACACAATAGTATGCAAAGCTAACATTTATTGGGTACTAATTGTTTGCCAGGCACTTTGTTAGGTGTTTTGCAGTCCTTATTTTACTGAATTCTGAAAATGATCTAGAGAGGTAGACTTTATCACCCCGATTTTCTGGATGAAGAAACTGAGATCGAGACAGTAACATCCACAAGCTAGCGGAGAGTGGGACCTAGATCTATCTGCTACCAAATAATGGTTGTGGTTGTTTTATGTTATAAAATAAATGATCATTTATAGAAGGATATAAATTACTTGAGGGCAGGAAACAAATCTTTTTATCTGTATGTCACCAGGGTGTACACCAATGGTTTTCAATGTGAAGTAATTTTATCCTTCAGGGACAAATGTTCTCTGTTTGGCAATGTGTGGAGACAGCTTTGGTTGTCATGAGTGAAGGTGAGTACTACTGGCATCTGGAGGGTAGAGTCCAGGGGTGCTTCTACACATCCTACAGTGCACAGAACAGCTTCCTTCCACACAGAATTAACCAGCTCCAACTGTCAACAGCACTAAGGTAGAGCAACTGATATACACAGCACTTAACATATAGTTAGGCTTAATAAACGTTAGCTGAAGTCTGAGTGTTGGGTGGTGAATATGTAGACGTGCCACCCTCTGAAGGGGGTGGTAGGGACTGAAAATGTAATGATACCCACAAAGCACTTGGAGTTTATTATGCATTTTCATACACACTATCTCATTTGACCATTACACAATCTCAAAAGGGTGCAGAATTTATGGTGTTATCAACATGGAAGAAATGAAGGAAATTAAGAGCTGTGTGTGTGTGTGTAGCTGCTGCTCAAACTTAGCTGTTTGCCTCAGACTCCAGGGCTCTTTAAACCATCCTATACGGCATTGGGATGCATTGAAAGGTGATGTTTTGACTACTAATAAGCGAGAGAAGCAAAGTAGGTTTGTTATGGAAAAGATGGGAAGGTGTTTATATTGGGATGCTTTTGGCTGCAAGTAACAAAACCCCAACTCAAATTTATGCCGTCAGTAATGAAATGAATTTCATTTATTATGTAGTGAAGAGTCTTAAGGTATGGTGACCCTAAAGTTGCTTAGGTTAACTGAGGAGCCATGGCTTTAAGAAAAAAAAAAAAACAATTTAAAAATGTATTTCATCCTTTTTTATTGGCTGCATCCTCAGGGTGGTGATAAGATGTGATCTAGATATGCCAGCAACCAGAAAGAGACACTTTCAGTTTTGTAGCTTCTTAAGAGTGAGAGAACATTTCTCAAAAGGCCTCAATATGACTTCCTCTCATGCCACATTGGTCAGAACTGGATCACGTGCTCACCCCTAAAACCATCACTGGCTAAGGCAATGGGGCTATCATATTGGCTTAGAGCAGTGGTTTTCAACTGGGGACAATTTTGTCTTTCCCTCCCCGAAGGGTAATAGTCTGGCGATATTTTTGGTGTTCACAGGTAGGTGTTTGTCGGGAGATGCTACTAATATCAGCATGTAGGGACCAGGGATGCTGTAAAATATCTTACAATGTACAGGACAGCCCACCCAGCAAAGAAACACGATCTGGTCAGTAGTGCAGAGGTTGAGAAACCCTGGCATAGGGCAAAAGAGATTTAATCCTGAGCCTCCTGTAGGCAAGTAAGCACTTGAACAAAATGAGGACTCCATCAGCTTGGAAAAGGGTGGCATGGAAGTTGGGTGGGGCACCCCAAGATGATCTGCTTCAGGAGGACTTTGCACATTTTTGATGACTGATGTCATAGGAGACAAATACAGCTCTTTTCTGCAAAACGTTTCTGGATGCCTCTGTCAGACAGTGCCATGGCCAGAATGGGCCATTGGTCTGACCCAGTCTGGCATTTCTTATCTTCATCAGGCTCACTGCCAAACCCCGAGGATAGGTTGTCACCTCTGGCAGAAGATCAGTCAGGATTAACTGATGGTGAAGCTGTGTCCCACTTTGAACCTCTCTCTCACGTAGCCAGAGCAGTGCAGATTCGGAGTCTTAGGAGCAGAACATTCGGGAGCCAGTGCAAAAAAAAAAAATTTGCAAGAGGCCTGAGAGAGAGCCTGCTGTACAAAAGGATGTAAACCAGCCAGAGACCCTTGGTAAACATAAGAAGGAAGAACATATTTACCTTGCTTCTATTTAGGGAAAGAAAATAATACTTTCCTGAAGGAGGCCATCTGTGTTATTAACAATAGTGCTTGGCAGTTTTGAGCTCGTGGGATACATTTTCCTGGCCAGATCTTACCAGAAATCCTTGAATCATGTCTGCACCCTGGTGATGGAAGGCACCAAGGAAGACTTCGGCCAATTGGCAAGGAACTGTCACCAACTTGAAGAAGCCTATGACATCAACTAAAGATCCTCCCCATCAAACATTTTCAAAAGAATATTTTGAACAGGCACAGGTTTTTTTTCTTTGCCAGGTGATAATGTACGGTAAATGTTTTATTCAAAAGCAGTGTCTTTGAATTGCTCAATAATTCCCTGGTCATTGATTAGGGAATAGTAACACATTTAACCCTTGACTAAATAGATCACAGTTGTCACACATTTATCTACAAATATTTGAATGCTCGCCTTGTACCCTGTGATTTATGTTAGAGATAAGAATGGTGAAAAAATCAATTTCTTGCCCTTGGTAACTTACAGTCTAAAAGAGGAATCAGATTCGAACACATGATTGGAATGTCGTGGGATGAGAGCTGTCATAACTGTTGTAGGAACACAGCAGACGTAGGCTATCCTTTGAATGATAAACGTGTGCATCCCTTTCATAACATTTATTGAGCATCTAGTATGAACCAGACATTGGTGCTTAGGGAATTTTTAACACATCTGATTGTCTAAAAACTTTTCAAAAGCAAATAATCATAAAGCAATAGGATGTATATTAAAGATATGTATAGAACACAATGACAGCCTAGATGAAGAATGACTTAATTTGGGAGTTAGGGAGTGGCATTAGGAAAGACTTCATAAGGACTCAGCAAAGACATCAACAGAGGAAAGAAAAAGCATAAAGGAGGGCAGGCAAGTCAAACTTTTCTGTGCAGCAAAAAGCCATGTACACATGATTTTAAAAATGATATTGTAGGCCGGGTGTGAAAAAATATTGCAGGCCAGGTGTGGTGGCTCACACCCGTAATCCCAGCACTTTGGGAGGCCGAGGTGGGTGGATCACGAGGTCAGGACTTCAAGACCAGCCTGGCCAACATTGTGAAACCCCATATTTACTAAAAATACAAAAATTAGCTGGGCATGGTGGCGAGACGGAGGCGGGAGAATTGCTTGAACCGGGACCTGGGAGGCAGAGGTTGCAGTGAGCCGAGATTGCGCCACCGTATTCCTGCCTGGGCTACAGAGTGAGGCACTCTCTGTCTCTGTCTCTGTCTCTGTCTCTGTCTCTCTCTCTCTCTCTCTCTCTCTATATATATATATATACACACACACACACACACGTATGTGTATATATATATGTGTGTGTGTATATATATACATATATATGTGTGTATATATACACACATATTTATACGTGTATATATATGTGTGTATATATATATGTGTGTGTATGTATATGTATATTGCAGCCCCCTTCCATTGATCAAGCAGTGGGCAAGTGTATATTAAGCATCAAATGCTGTAATATCTAGGCTCAGGGGCTGAACAAAAGGAGTATTTGGCACAGGAGTTTGACCTTAAGAAGGAGGTAGCTTGGCTGATGGGGGCAGGTTAAGATGCTTGAAACAATTTGAAAACCCTTCAGCACTAAGCTGTGTGGTTCTGGTTATCAGTACAGTGGGGGTTCAGAGCAGGGAGCCTTGACTGTGGGCTAGAATGGTTGCAGAAGCTTCCCTAGCTGAGATAATTGAAAGTTGGTGGCATCTTTGTAGGATACTGAGAAACAATACCATATATAGTGAGAAGTGGAAAATCACATCAAGACCTGTCCTGCTTTGGAAGGCATCATGGCAGAGGATAATGTTTAGCTCCACAAAAAGATAAGGAGGTAGCGAGTGAGCATTTAAAGTTTGGGCTTGCTGCTGATGTGATCCCGGCTGCCTTTCTGAGCAAATCCTGGGGTGCTTTCTTAGCGTGCCACTTTGATCATCAGCCTGGTGGGTTGGAACGAATGTCAACTTTGAGTTCAAAGGCCTGTACTGAATCCTAGCGGTGCCTCTCACTAGCTATGTGACCTAGGAAAAGTTACTTAACGGCATCAAGCCTCAGTTTCCTCATCTGTAAAGTAGGGGTGATAATATCTAAATTGTAGGATACTAGAGAGATTAGAAAGAATCTGTAAAAAGTGTCTAAGATACTACCAAATGTAAAATGCAGAGAGCCCATTACAAGTAGCTCCTTGAATGAGTTGGGGTATGTTTAGCTGCAAGTAATTATGAGAACCTTGACTCAAAGTAGATTATACGATGTATAAACTTATTATTTCACATGACCAGAAACTCTGACGTAGATCAAAGTTGGGGACTGATGGATTCAGTGGCCCAGTGGTATCAACAAGAATCCACCTTCTTCCCTTCCGTCTGTTCTACCATCCTTAGTGTTGAGTCTACTCATAGGCTGGTTCCAAAAGGGTTCCTGAAGTTTGAGGCATTGCATACAGACACAAATGTGGCAGAAGAGAGATTTTATCTTCCTATGGCCCCCTTAGGTGTGAGTTAGTAAATGTTTCCCCATGCCGCCTCCATCCCAACCCCAGCAGATTCCTCTTAATATATCATTGTCCGGGATTGGGTCAGCATCAGAACTATGTACTGATGGCTGTGTTGTGTATTAGTTAGCTATTGGTGCATAACAAATCATCCCAAAACTTAGAAGTTTGAAGCAACAAGCATTTATTATCTTACTGATTATGTGGATCATATTCGGGAGCAACTTAGTTGGGGGATTCTTGCCTAGGGTCTCTTGTGAGGCTGTGGTCAGTACATTGGCCAGAGGTGCAGTGATCTAAAGGCTGGACTGAGGCTGGAGGACTGGCTGGCATGGATGGCTTGTTTCCGAGGCTGCTGGCAGGGGGCCTCATTTATTGATTTTGAGAACCTCTCCGTGGGGCTGCTTGAAGTCCCTCATGTCATGGCAGCCAACTTCCTCAGAGTGAGTGATCCAAAAGAGAGAAGGCAACCACATTGCCTTTGTTGATGTCATCTCAGAAATCACACTGTCTTTTGTCCCCCACTCCATTCATGAGAAGAGAGTTGCCAAGCACACAGGGAGGATTAAGCTTTACCTTTTGAAGGAGGGGAGTATTGAAAAATTTGCAGACATATTTTAAAACTACCTTATGTGTGGTACAACAGAAATTCCATTGTTATCTGGTGGTCAGGGGGTGGAGTGCTTTTTTTGGAGCCACCTACAAGGTCTACCACACTATTGCTATTAATCACCTAAGGAACATTTATGGAGCCCCTACTGTGTGCAATCATTGCACAAGGAGGACTCAGACATGAGTCTTGCTAATTATGGTGTAAAGGGAGTGTAAGATGCACCGGGACTATATTGCGATATACAAAGCTGAATGTGGAAAGGAACAAATAAAGTACCAGGGGGTGACTGCAGATTGCAGAAGGAGGTGGTTTACTTCCAATTAGCATATTCATGGAAAGACTTCACTGAGAAGGTGGGCTTTGAACTGAGCTCAGCGGAGTAGGTTGGATTTATACACTCAAGGATGGGTATCTGGGTTGGTCAAAAGCATGGTCATACCAAAGTTATCAGCTAGCAATTATTGAGCACCTAGTCTGTACCAGACACTGAACATATATTATCTTTAACTCTTATTGCATCCCTGGGAGACAGGCAATATTACTCCCATTTTACAGATGAAGAAACAAGCCCGGAGACATTAAATGACCCCGTGAGACCATGTAGCTAGGAAGAGGCCCCACTCAGAGCCCTTACCTAAGAGATACTTGTGTTTTAAAGAACTGAGGGGACACCACCTTGCCTTAAGGAACTTCCCTAGCTTGTTCAAAGTAAGGCTTTTATATAACAATTTAGCTTCAGGGAGTAGGTACAGCAGAATGAGTAATCTCTTTACAAAAGAATTTGTCATTTTATTGAACCTTTACAGAAGATTCTCCTTAATTATCAAGCCCACACCCCACCCAATACATTGAAAATATGATTCAAAATTTATTAAGATTTACTTTGCACATCTTTCCCCCTGGAATTCCTACTCTGCGTTATACCTTTTGTAGGCTGGGTTGTTGGAAGAATTAGCTGGTAAAAATGAGCTTACGAAAATGGGAAGGTCTCATGGAAGAAGTGAAGTCTTACACATTCCCTTCACTTTTTTATGATAAAGGTGATAAGATTCATTAAAGTAAAAAGACATTAATTGCTGCTGATTAACATCTGGCACTCTACCCACTCAGACCACCACCTGTGTATTGGAGGTGAGGGGGTGCCTTAACCTGGGTTACTTTGCCAGGGGGCTTTGATGTCAGGTGGAGGCAGAGAAGGAAGGGCTTAGGATAAGCACAGAGAAAGCCACCTCTTCCAGCCTGCGGCAGAGGGGAGTGTTCCTGGCTGGGGCCGCTTTCGCAGAGCATAGATACGACGGCTCATCGGCACAGCTCTGACCTGCCAGCCTCCCCCACAGCTGCCTCCAGCCTCCAGAGCGGCTTATTCAGGAACAGAGGCAGATGCAGTGTCGGAGCGCAGCTGCGTGAGGGTTGCGTGGGTGTGTCTCCATGGGAGTGTGTGCAGTGTGCCTATGGTGTGTGTATGTGTGGTGTGAATGTGTAGGTTTGTGTGTGCACATGTGAGTGTGTGTGTATTTGTGTGTGTATGCTATGTGTATTTATGTGTGCGTAGTTGTGAATGTGGTGTGGATGTGTGTTTTGTGTGTGTGTGTGTGTGAATATGTGGGTTTGTATGTCTGCTGTGAGTGTGCAGCATTATGTGGTGTGGATGTGTGTTTGTGGTGTGGATGTGTGGTGTGAATGTGTGTTCATGTATTTGTGTGTGGCGTGGATTTATATTTGTGACTGTGTTCATGTATTTGTGAGTGTGTGTGGTGGTGTGTTTGTGGGTGTATTTGTGGTGTGGATGTATGTGTTGTGTGTTTGTACATTGTGAGTCCAGGGTTGTGAGTGCATGTTTGTGTGGTGTGGATGTGTGTTGTGTATTTGGATGTGCATGACGTGGATGTGTTTATGTATCTGTGTGTGTGGTGTGGATGTGTGTGTGGTGTGAATGTGTGTGTAGTGTATTTGCATGATGTGGATGTGTGTGTTCGGTGTATTTGTGGGCGTATGCATGTGCACTGAGTGAAGTTGCGAGTGTGTATGTGTGGTGTGAATGTGTGTAGTGTGTGCGGTGTGGATGTGTGTAGTGTATTTGTGTGTGTGGTGTGTGGATGTGTGTAGTGTATTTATGGTGGTGTGTGGATGTGTGTAGTATATTTGTGTGTGGTGTGTGGATGTGTGTGTTGTGTATTTGTGCAGTGTGGAGGTGTATTGTGTGTTTTTGTGGGTTGTGCTGTTTGTGGGTTGTGTGTGTTTGCATGTGCGCTGTGAGTGTGCTGGATTGCGAGTGTGTACCTGGTGAGTGTGTGGCTGCCGCACCCCTCCTCTGAGCGGTGTGGACCAGGACTCCTCTCTCTCTCTCTCTCTCTCTTTCTCCCCCCCCTCCCCCTCCCCCTCCCCCTCCCCCTCCCTCTCCCTCCCTTGCACATTTGCTCAGGCTCCTCATTGCTGAGGGAGGGAGGGGGCTTCTGCCCAGCACCTGGTCCTTCGAAAGGCCCCTCCCAGGAGTAGAGCGAGCAGCCGCCCCCGCTCCCGGGTGCGGACCCTCCCCGCGCAGACCCTCCCCGCGCCCAACGCCACCGGTCCCTCCCGCTGCTGCGCAGTCCTCGCTGCCCTCTGTTCTGTAGGTGGCAGCCTTGGTAAGCCTTGCTCCCATCCTGCCCCTAGGGAGAGGAGCTTCAGCAAAAGACTTAGAGTTTAGCGTCTCGATTTTCAAACAAACAACTCTATCTTTTACAGTTTAAAAATGAAAACAGAAGATCCAGAGAATGCGCTTTTAAACAAAGCCACATTTACCTGAGACCCTGGGGATAGAGAGCAGGTTTTTGGTGCAGGTTTGGAGTGCAGTTCATCCCTGCCCCCGCTACGAATGCACATTCGCATTCGCCTTTGAGTCGTGAGCAAGAGAGCATCTGAGAAAACACGCTAGATGCAGCCAAACCTCTTTAAACCCTGGCACCAAGGAACAAGAGTGGGTCCCCCCTCTGCCTTTCTTTTCCACTCACTGTCTATCATCTAGTTGATCAACAGACATCAGTGGGGACATTGGGGGGTGGGAGGGGATGTCTGCTCCCTGCCGGGCGGGCACTGTGCTAGCGTCAGGGGCACAAAATAGAAGCAGACCTGGTTTCAGTCTGATGTGGGAAAGAGCTAAAGTAAACACGCAGTGAATTTGCTGCTGTTTGGGGGATGAGGGGGCCAGGGGGCTTCCTGGAGGAGGTGACACTGCCCTGATTTTTGAAGGACTAGTTGCAATTATCTAGGCCAGGGGACATTTGGCAATATCTAGGGTGGGTTTTTGTTTTTTTTGTTTTGTTTTGTTTTTTGTTTTTTTTTTGAGAAGGAGTCTCATTCTGTCGCCCAGGCTGGAGTGCAGTGGCGCGATCTCGGCTCACTGCAAGCTCCGCCTCCTGGGTTCACGTGATTGTCCTGCCTCAGCCACCCTAGTAGCTGAGACTACAGGCGCCTGCTGCCATGCCCGGGTAATTTTTTTTGTGTTTTTTATAGTAGAGACAGGGTTTCACCATGTTAGCCAGGATGATCTCTATCTCCTGACCTCGTGATCTGCCCGCCTCGGCCTCCCAAAGTGCTGGGATTACAGGCGTGAGCCACCGCGCCTGGCCGGCAATATCTAGGTTTTTCTGTTGTCCAAACTGGGGATAAGGTGGAGTTGCTACTGGCATCTAGTAGGTGGAGGACAGGGATGCTTGTAAATAACCTACAGTGTGTGCAGGACAGCCCCCTCCAATGCAGAGTTATCCAGCCCCAAATGTTCGCAGTGCTGGGGTTAAGAAACACAGGTCTAGACAAGAGGAGGAAAAGTGCTGTGGTTTGAATGTTAGCGTCCCCCTAGAATTCATATGTTGAAATCTTGATCTCCAAAGTGATAGGCTGAGGTGGGGTGGAGCCTTTGGGAGGTGATTAAGTCATGAATGGGATTAGGGCAAGCCAGGCAAGGCAAAAATCTCTAGACCCTTCCACTGTGAGGACACAGTGAGAAGGCAGTGCCTGTAATCCAGGAAGCTGACCGTCACCAGACACCGAATATGCTGGCACCTTGATCTTGGACTTCCCAACCTCTGGAACTGAGAGAAATAAAGTCTGTTGTTTTTACGCGCAGTTTATGTGTTTTGTTACAGCAGCCTGAACAGACTAAGGCAGAAAAGCATTCCAGGGGATTATGATGTAGACTGGGAGGAGCTGCAGACAGCTGGGTTTGTCTGGAAGGACTGCTGGGTGTGGGAGAGGGCTTAGAAATGGGAGTAGAGCCAGGCACAATGATTCATGCCTGTAATCTCAACAATTTGGGAGGCTGAGACAAGAGGATTGCTTGAATCCAGGAGTTGGAGAGTAGCCTGGGCAACATAGCAAGACCCTGTCACTGTAATACAAAAATTAGCTGGGTGTGGTGGCATGCGCCTGTCTCAGATACTCAGGAGGCTGAGGTGGGAGGATCACCTGAGTCCAGGAGGTAGAGGCTGCAGTGAACTCTGATCACTCCGCTGCACACCAGCCTGGGTGACAGTGCAAGACCCTGTCTCTAAAAAATAAAAACCAATAATAAAAGAAATAGGAGTAGAGAAGCTGTCAGATGGAGATGAATGAAGACCCTTGAATATCATGCTAAGGGGTTTAGACTTTATCTTAGGGAAGGGGAAACATTAAAGTGTTTTAAGCAGGTTTTAAGTAACTTAGTCCAATATACTTTTTAGAATGATCACTCTGGATAATGCATGTCGGGTGCGGTGGAGGGTGGCAGGGCTGCACACGGCGGGGAGAGGCTTCAAATGCGGGCTGTTAGTGCATGCAAGCGGAGAAGTGATCACCATGTTTCCACAAAAGAACTTAGAATTGGTTTAGTTAATGCAGTGCAATGGAATGCAGTTATACAACAGGGTCGTTTTTATATTTCAAGAAGAAGAAAGCAATGGGAAGAAAAGCATTAGGGAGATAGAGTTTTGCATGGCTGCCGTGCCCTTTCATTTAAATGACCGACCAGGTCAGCATGTTGCATAAGGACACGGGCAAATTACTTCTGCTAACCGAGGCGGAACTCTCTGGTAGCCCAAATTCCAGTGCTCCATCCATCCAGGGAGGTGTCTATGAGATGACAGGTCATCAAGGCAAATAATGAGTTGTTTGTCTCCACGGCATGGATCCTCCTGGGATCAGAGGTGTCATCTGACAAGGCATCATGGGCTGTATCCCCCACCAAAACAAAATATATGTTGAAGTCCTAACCCTCAGTACCTCAGGATGTGACCTTATTTGGAGAGAGGGTCTTTACAGAGGTAATCAAGTTAAAAGGAGGTCATTAGTGTGAGCCCTAATCTGATAAGACTGGTGTCCTTATAAAAAGGGGAAAATTGGACACAGAAACAGACATGCAGAGAGGAGAGATGGTATGAAGATGCATACAATCTTAAAAAAAATAATACTGGCCAGGCACGGTGGCTCACGCCTGTAGTCCCAGCATTTTGGGAGGCCGAGGTGGGCGGATCACGAGGTCAGGAGATGGAGACCATCCTGGCTAACACAGTGAAACGCCATCTCTACTAAAAATACAAAAAAAAAAAATTAGCCGGGCGTTGTGGCGGGTGCCTGTAGTCCCAGCTACTCCAGAGGATGAGGCAGGAGAATGGCGTTTGCAATGAGCCGAGATTGCGCCACTGCACTCCAGCCTGGGTGACAGAGTGAGAATCCATCTCAAAAAAAAAAAAAAAAAAAAAAAAAAAGAAAAAAAAAAAGTAAGTACTAATATTTTTATTATGGCATAAATAGAACACCATCTATGAGCCAAGGAATGCCTGAGGCTACCAGAAGCTGGAAGAAAGGCATGAAATAGATTGTCCTTCAGAGACTCCAGAGGGAACCACCGACACCTTGATCTTACACTTTCAGCCTCCAGAACTATGAGAGAAAAAAATTATATTGTTCAAGCCACCAAGTTTGCAGTACTTTGCCACAGCAGTTCTAGAGAACTAATGCTAATACCAATCACACAAAGTGATTGAAAAGGGGAGAAGTCCTGGTGAATTTCAGAAAAACCCCTGATCTCAGTTATGCAAGTGAGATCATCAGGGGAATCTGAATCATTCATCGTTTTTACCTGAAAGCAGTAGGCAGAAAGGAAATTAAATTCCATAGAAATCCATTAATCGTGCTGGGCATGGTGGCTTACGCCTGTAATCCCACCACTTTGGGAGGCCCAGGCAGGCGGATCACTTGAGGTCAGGAGTTCGAGACCAGCCTGGCCAACATGGTGAAACCCCGTCTCTGCTAAAAATACAAAAATTAGCCAGGCATGGTGGCAAGCACCTGTAGTCCTAGCTACTGGGAAGGCTGAGGTATGAGAATTGCTTGAACCCAGGAGGCAGAGTTTGCAGTGAGCCAAGATCATACCACTGCACTCCAGCCTGGGTGACAGAGTGAGACCCTATCTCAAAAAAAAAAAAAAAAAAATCGATCATCCAGTGCAGTGGTTCTCAAAGTGTGGTCCCTGGACCAGCAGCATCAGCATCACTTGGGAATGCAGATTCTTGGGCTTCCCCTGAGATCTCCTGGTCGGTGACTCCAGTGGGTGATGCCCATGCACACTCAAGTTTGAAAGCCCCTGGCCTAGGGTCTGTGAGACCCTGGAGAAGTCAGGCAGAGCTTCACAGGGGAGGTGACACATGAGATGTGCCTTGAGGGATAGGTAAGGGCTTTGAAAGGAGCCAGGGAAGGACATTTGAAATGGAGCAGAGGCAGGGAGATATAGATGTGTGAGACTTCTTCAGAGGAGCAGTACAGTTTGGAGGGTATATGGAGAGGAGGGTGAGAGAAAGGAAGTACAGACACATGGTGGGCAGTGAGGATGGGTGGGGAGTGGTGGCTCACATCTGTAATCTCAGCATTTTGAGAGGCCAAGGCAGGAGGATCACTTGAGTCTTGACATTTAAGACCAGAGTGAGCAATATAGCAAGACCCTGTCTCTACAAAAAATACAAAAATTAGCCAGGTGTGGTGACGTGTGCCTGTAGTCCCAGCTACTCAAGAGGTTGAGGCAGGAGGTTCACTGGAGCCCAAGAGTTCAAGGCTGTAGTGAGTTGTGATGGTGCCACTGCACTCCAGCCTGGGTGACAGAACGAGACCCTGTCTCTAAACACGTTAAAAGAAAGTGAAGATGAAGTCAAAGATGTTGTCATGTTGTAAAGGATTTGTGAGCCAGGATGAGTTTATATTTAATGGGGGCCGCTGAAGAGTTTTAGAAAGATTACTGTAGGCTAAAGTATCAATGTGTAATTTGGGTATATGTGTGATATTCAAATTAGCTGACCTATTAGGACTGTCTCAGCCAACAAATCACTGAATGCAGACAGTCAACCATGCTTTCTGAAAATGCAAAGTCCTAGTGGTTCTTGAGATGAGTGGAGGGGTCACACCAATGTCAGGAGAACTCTAGATTTGGGGAATCTTTAAGAAAGCCAAGGACCAGTAAGTCTCCTGAATAGATAGACCAGTTTTCTTCCACCTGGGACTATTAAAGATGAGTGACACCTTTACCTCTTGACCTTAATCATTCATTAGCCAGCAAGTCAACATCCTTCTCAAAGTGTGGCTCCATCAGTTCTGAGCCAGTTTTTTTTTTTTTTTTTTTTTTTTTTTTTGCTTTTTTTTGACGTGGGGTCTCACTCTTATCGTCCAGCCTGGGGTGCAGTGACACGATCTTGGCTCACTGCAACCTCCGCCTCCTGGGTTCAAGCACTTCTCCTGCCTCAGCCTCCCGAGTAGCAGGGACTATAGGCATGTGCTAACATTCCGGCTAATTTTTTGGATTTTTAGTAGAGATAGGGTTTCACCATATTGGCCAAGATGGTCTCGCACTTCTGGTCTCAAGTGATCAGCCTTCCTCAGCCTCCCGAAGTGCTAGGATTACAGGCATGAGCCACCATGCCCGGCCCTGAGCCAGTTTTGCCCCAAGTTGCTAAGCTTCCCTGATCACTGACCAGTCTGAAGGCAGATAAACACAAAGCCTTTGTCTATGGGACACTTATGATTTGGTTGCAGAGAAGGTGGACCTTCACACTGCCAATCTCAGTTCTCACGGCCGCCTGGCATCAGGAAGGCATTAATCTCTGCCAAGGCTCTGTCCTCTTCACCTTTCAGCAGGTGTTCCTTGCTGGTTGTTTGGCCCGGTTGATAGGAAAAAAAGAAGAGAGAGTGGGCCCGTGTGCCTCTGTCTCCTCTTTGCTCAATGACCCAAGAAGGCAGGAGAAGGAAGGCACTTCTCAGCTGCCTTTCCTATGGTTGGCTGCTGGGCTGGGATGGAGCTGGGGAACTTACCTCTTGTGACGAACGATGAAGAAGCAGGGATTTCATGCAGCATCAGCATACGCACAAGGCTGTGTTGGGAAGAACAAGGACAGGGCTCCAGAGAGGACTGACTGCAGCTGCCCCTTTAATGCTGGTCGCACATGCTTGCTTCTCTCTGGCTCCCCTCCCGGACTGCATGGATAGCTTTGTTCACACCTGAATGCCTGGTGCCTGGGTTCCAGAAAGGCATAGCTTTCATTTCTGAGCATTTTATATGTGCCTTGAGATTAACCATCACCATGAACAGATTTGGAAACAGGTTTGGAGGGATTACGAGACTTGCCCAAACACATTTAGCTTGATGGGGAGAAGATCATGGCCCTGTTCTAACCCCTCACTCTCAGTTTTGTTTCATCACATCATCCTGTTTATTTTCATCGTAGCTTGTATCACAATTGCCAATTTTCTTGCTTGTTGTTGTGTTTAGTGTCTGTCTACCCCTCCAGGCTCTGGGTTTCTGATAGCGGCACCTGTGTTTCCTGGGTTTACCTTGGTATCCTGAGTTGGTAACACAGGCCCATCATACAGCCAAAGCTCTACAGTGTTTGTTAACAAAATGAATGAATGAATGATTTGAACCCAGACCTATTTGGCCAAAGCCTCACTCTGTAACCTCTGCTCACTGCAGAGTTCCATGTGGTACAATCTTGCTTGGCAAATGTTGATGGAATTATAACAGTTCACGGTTGGTAGGTGGGGGTGTCAGATACATGCATCTGGGAAAGTCACAGAAATTCACCCCAATATAGGTATAATCACGTGCCCAGGAATGCAGGGCAAACTTTGCCCACAGGTGCAAACCAGCTGGGGCACCTGTGGTATCCTAGGAGCCTGGTGTGCTTAAAAGCATGGTGTAGTCATGGGTTCGAGAAACTCTCCACTGGGTAAGGACACTGGATATATGGACACAAGAAACTCTCCATTGGTTAAGGACAATGATAAGGAAACTCTCCATTGGGTGAGGACACTGAACTCTTTCACATGAGCAGAGACTTATGTTAGGAGTTGCAGCTGGGAGTCAGGCAGAAGCTATGATGAAAGCTCTCTGGGCCTCAGTTTCCCCATTTGTTGTTTGGTGTGTGTTCCACCACTGTTGTTTAATGGCTCAGAGTGGAGACCGGCATTAAACTGTGTTCGTTCAACCCTGAATCCACCACTTTCTAGGGGTGTGCCTACTGGAAAGTTTTCATTTTCCTTGGTGCCTCAGTTCCTCGTCTGTGAAATGGGGATAATGATAGTATTTACCTTTGAAGGTGGGTTGCAAGGGCTGAAAGTTAATTTATATAAAGCACTTGGAACACATGGTAAATGTCTGGCTGTTTTGATGAGAAGATTCAATGAGATACTGACTTTTCATAATGCAAAAGGCGCTAAAAGAAACTCAGCAGAGGTGGCATTTAGATCAAGGTATCTCTGTGGAAGGTATCAAATTAGATGAAAGGCTTAGAGGTGGGTAGACCCACATTTAAAAAAAATCACTTAATTTGTACAGTGTGCGCCAATTGTTGTTTATAAAATATCATCCATTTTATGTCATTGAAGTCTCCCATGTCTCTCTGGCATAGCCATCGTTACCCAAGGCTCAACAAGCTTGAAGTAGCTTGTTTGAAGGTCACAGCTCTTTAGTTATTTGTTCATGGATTTCTTGAAAGCCTACTATATGCTAGGCTCAGCATAAAATGGGGTCCAAAACCAGGTGCTGTTTCTGCTCATGTGAATCTGACAGTCTAGAGAAGGAGGGACATATTTCAAAAAAGTATCATGCAAGTAAATACGATGCGCTGTAATAAGTACTGTGTGACCCACCCAGGAAGGTCAGAGAAGGTTCCCTGAGGACATGGGCTGAAACTGAGATGTGAAGACTAGGGTGGGTGACAGAGGGAAGGGAAAAGCATTGCAGGAAGTGGAAAGAGACTGGGCATAGGCCCTGTGGCCGGAGGGATCATAGCAAATGTCTGGTCTGAAAAAAATTGCCTGAGAAGACCCTGGTGCTTGGAGGGTAAGAGTGAAGGAGGTCAGAGCAGAACCGTGCTGAGACCCTCAGGCCACATTTGGGTGTTGCATCTTTGCTATAAGAGCAGAAAGAAACCACTAAAGATTTTAAAGCCAGGGTGGATGGTGGTGAACATGAGATTTACCTTCCAGAAGCATCCTCTGGTGGCCACGTGGAGAACTGGCTGCAGGGGAGAGGAGTGCAGGCAGTAAGTTACAGTTGCTAAGAAACATTCACCATTCCATGGGTAATTATTGTGCACCACTGTCTACGGGCTCTCTGCTGGGTGCCAGGAACGCAGCACTGACCACGACAAAGCCCCTGCCTTAGAGAGATGACGTTTCTGTATAAGGACAGAGACGGCAAATGGACAAGCAAGTGAATGAATGTGGCAGGAAGCAGTGTGGCTGGGAAGAAATACTTAAAAGCAGGGCGAGAGACTAGAGCATATTGGCTGCCATTTAGGCAGGAAAAACCTCTTGTGCTGACATTTGAAGTGAAGGGACACCCATGTGAGTATCTGGGGGAAGGGCTTTCCAGGGGGCAGCACAGCAATGGCAAAGACCCTGAGGTGGGAACAGGCTCAGGGTATTGGAAGACCATCATAGAAGTCATTGTGGCTGCAGAGAAGGATTAAAAGAGGCAGATTGTAAAGGCCACATTGAGGATTTACGTATTTTATTTAGAGGGTGAGAAGAGGCCATTGGAAGCCAGATCTGGGAAGTGACGTGAACTAAGTGCGATTCCAGCGTAGGCTTCTTCTCTTCTCAAATTCTGGCCCCCACACCACTTTCCCGAGTTCAGATTTCTCCCTGGCCTCATGATAGTAGTATTTTTAACAAGTCAGCAGCCAGTATGGCAGAGCCTACCCCCTAGATGGTGCATGAGACATACCAAAGAAGCTTCACTTTTCACTTTTTTAGGGCAACAAATAATACATCTATTTATTGCTTTTTCCACTAGAATGTGGGCACTTTGACAGCAATTTTGCTCACTGCTGTATCTCTGAAGCCTTAAATAGTATCTGAGATTGTAGCTGTCGATAACTATTTGCTGAGTTAATAGATGATCACCCTGCACTTAAGTTTCTATGTAATGACTCCTGGCCAGAGAGCAGAGATTCAGCAAAGAAGAAGGTAAAAAGAAGGGAAAGATGAGAGAGACCCCTTTATAACTCATCAATGTAAAAAACACAAAATAAAAAGTCTTGAGCTTAAGAGAGAATGCAGTAGAAAACATCAACAAGAAAACCTTTCTGTCTGAAAACGCCTGATCCTTGTGTGAGACCTTTCCAGGATATGTGGGTTTTCAGGTAGCATCTTCACCCCCAGGGCAACAGTAAGTGCAGGCAGGAGACCAAAACCAATACCCTTGCCCTCATCCCCATAGCAGGGGTGAAGTCTGAGCACGTGACTGGACACAGCAGCCACACGCCTTTGGTGTCTTCCAAGGAGGCAGTGTCTCACCTGTGCACATGCTATTCATACAAACACAACATGATCTGGAGCAGAGAAGGGCATAGGAAACTCAGCAGGGGTATATTATATTTTCTGCCAGAACTGACAGTAATATTGAATGATGAGAGAAATGCAGTAATATTGAAGGACGAGAGAAATGAGAGTTGTATAACATTTAATGATTTTTTTTTAAAAAATCACCCAAGAACGTGAAGATGATTTGAAACGCCTCTGAAAATGATCCCTTCCTGTCCATAGGCAGCCCAGCTTGCACATAGCCCGTGCTTGCTTTACACAATCAGTGATAAACTTTGAAGATGCTGCAGCCTCCATTGAGTTTCTTTTTGTATATATATACTTTTATTTATTTATTTATTTTTTTGGAGACAGAGTCTCACTCTGTGGCCCAGGCTAGAGTGCAGTAGTGCAATCTCAGCTCACTGCAACCTCTGCCTCCCGGGTTCAAGCAATTCTCCTGTCTCAGCCTCCTGAGTAGCTGGGATTACAGGCATGCAGCACCACACCTGGCTAATTTTTGTATTTTTAGTAGAGACGGGGTTTTACCATGTTGGCCAGGCTGGTCTCGAACTCCAGACCTCAGGTGATCTACACCCCCTTCGGCCTCCCAAAGTGCTGGGATTACAGGCGTGAGCATTGTGCCAGGTCTGAGTTTCTACTTTAATTGGCTGCCTTACGCAAACCATGAAGAAGCCCCTGCATGAATAAGGCAGGAAACTTTTTAGTCCCAGACTAGGTGAGACATATGCCGTATCCCCAAAATAAATGTTGGGGCATTAACTTTTAATTGCTGCATTATGTTTTACTGTTTACTGTTTTATACAGCATTCTTGTTCTTTTTTTTAAAATACTGTTTTTCTTTTGAGTCTACGTGACTGCAGCCTTTACGCCTCTAATCCCAGCACTTCGGGAGGCCGAGGCGGGAGGATCACCTGACCTAAGGGGTTTGAGGCCAGCCTGACCAACATGGAGAAACCCTCTCTGCTAAAAATACAAAAATTTGCCACGTGTGGGTGGTGCATGCCTGTAATTCCAGCTACTTGGGAGGCTGAGGCAGGAGAATCCCTTGAACCTGGAAGGCGGAGGTTGCGGTGAGCCAAGATTGTGCCATTGCACTCCAGCCTGGGCAACAAGAGCGAAACTCTGTCTGAAAAGAAAAAAAAAAAAGTGTGTGCAATTGGGGTGGGGAGGTATAGTGCTCTTCTTGTAGACTCTCTCTCCCAATTTTCCATAGATAAATGGATTCAGTGGGGACAGAAAGAGGGCCACTCCAGCTCTGGGGAGAAATGAGAGAGTTGGGAAAGTGAGATCCCTCTGCATTTGGTTGTGGATTATTAGGAGACTAAGAAGGAAACCAAAGAGGACTCCCCCTTTCCTATATTACTTGATTAACATTAGCTATAATAACAAATAATTCCTGCAAAATTTTAATGCCTTAGCACAAGATTTGACAAGCTGTGGTTCTCCAGCCCAATTTGGGCCCTTGTTTGTTTTTGTGAATAAAGTTTTATTGGAACACAGCCACACCCATTTGTTTACAGATCATCTAAGGAAGCTTTTATGCTATGATAACAGAGTTGAGCCATTGTGAGAGAGACTGCATGGCCTGCAAAGCTCAAAATATTTACTCTCTAGCTCTTTACAGAAAAGTTTGCTGACCTCTGGCTTAACAATAAAGCTTACTTTTTGCTAACCTGATGGTCCAATGGTGGGTATTCCTGGGGTCAGCAGGCAGCTTCTCTTCATGTGGGGATTTAAGAAGTCAGTCTCCACTATCTTGTGGCTCTGCCATCTTCTAATAACTTAGGATTTTCTGCAAGCAGCCAGAAAATCCAGGAAGCAGGAAGGAGAGAAGAAAGGGTGTCCTATCTCTCCAAAACTCTGGCCCACATCCTGTTGGATGAACGAGTCACATGGCTACACCCAGATGCAGAGGTGCTGGGAAGTGTCCATGGCTGGGCAGCTGCCTCCCAGCGACAGTGCCACACTGTGTAAATGGGAGCACACATTCATTTTGGACCTGTAGCCATCACCACCATGCTCTTTCCCTACTATGCCAGATACCTGCATTTGAATCATGGCTGTGCCACTTACTGACTGTGAAACTTGGGGGAATTTAACAAAACACTCTGTGTGTCCCAGGTTGCTCGTCTTTGAAATGGGCACAATCACAGTTCCTGCCTCATAGAGTTGCTGCAAGCAGTAAGTGACATATTATTTACTGCTCAACACAGACCTGGCGTGGGGCATATGTAGAACATGTGTCACTGATCAAGGATGATGTCGGCATTTTCAGTGACTAGACAAAAACCAGAGGCACTCGGCAACATCCTTCAGAGCACTTTGTAATAAGTCCCCAACCTCCCGCACTGTTCTGTGAGAAGCCAGGTGGATGTAGGAGAGGTTCCCTGGAGAGATTAGTCCAGGCTAAGGCAGTGGGGACAGCTCGAGGGTGGAAAGGGAACTCTGCCCAAAAGACAAGGGTGCTTTTCGGAATGCCTTGGACGAGGGAGGAGAGAGGAGGAGCACGCAGGGCAGAGGAAGCACTTGGTTGGTGGGTGCAGCATCATCTCTGGTTTAGTCCTTTACTGCATCAACATTGCCTTGCTTGTGACGAGTAAGGGTAGGGACAGCTTGTGGATGGGAAGTCGCAGAGGCACCAGGCCAGCCCATGCTGAAAGCTCACCAACTCCAGCACTCACCAGCGAGGACTCCTCATGTCTCACTGGGTTCCCCTTCCATCATCAGAAGCCAAGGATGTTTCCAAAATATTCCATCGATGTCCAGAGCAGCACTGGAAGGTAGTAAGAGCAGGATTTGTCATCTTATTTTGCATATGGCTAGATGGAATCACTGAGAGACACACCAACCTCACTCAGCTAGTAAATGCAGACCCAGGATGGGCAGCCAGGCTCCTATGACGCTGTGGCTGTGGATGTTGCTTCTGAAACAAGGCAGGATGAACGTTCCTTGGAGCACTGGCAGGGGGGGACATTCACTATATTCTAACGTTAATACTTGGGTTGTCTTGATAGCTGAGATGCTAAACTTTGCTGTGAGAGCTTGGAAAAGTCTGTTCTCTCTGAGCCTCAGTTTCCTCATCTGTAATATGGGCAACTCCTTTATAAGATCCCTTACACTTTATGTGGATGCTAGGTGTTGGGGAGGGCTATAAACAACTTATTTTCTCATGTAACAAATGCTACTTGAGCCTTCAATGGGCTGTGCATGCTGGAGATACAGCAGTCAACAAACCTGTCTTCTTTGTGTGAGGAGAGGCCAACAGAAACATAACAAATATTTAATGTGTCAGCTGATAATAAGCACTAGGCAAAAAGTGGATTAGGGAAAGGCAAAAGGAAGCCCTTGGGTGGTGGTGCGATGGGGTTTTGATTTGAAATAGAGCCATCTTCACGGGAGGGTCCACTTGAGAACAGGCAGGTGGAATAGGAGAGAACTTGATCGTTTCTGTGATTGAGAAAGAGAGGGGACTGGAAGTGCAGTTCTTCCTGAGGTTCGTTCACCTGAATCTGAAAGCACCTGATTTCAAGTTCTGCATTGTTTTGGGGTGGGAGGAAGTGAGAGAAAAGCAGACCTGGTTCTTGTTTGGCGTGTTTCTCACTGAGTGGAGCTACTAGGCTTTCCTGGGGCCATTGTTAAGAGCTGCCATGGCCCATGTCTGCTGGTGGTGGTCTTCTTTCCTTGTTCTCTGCAGTGCCCCCCAGCTTGACTGTGCAGTGAATGGAGCAGATCCATGTTCTTCAGTTGACAGAAAGGGAGAGTTAGAGATGAACCTAATGCCCTGCTTAAATCAGAGGGCGAAGTGATATGAAGTTTAAATTTAGGAAGGACTTTCTTTTTTCTCTCTCTAATGGCCTGGAGATATCCTACAGGCTATGCTGGGTACTTTGCATAGACTACCTTCAAGATGCAGAGAAAGGAAATGCATCTAATGCTGTTAGTAACAATAATAAATAATAGCAATAGATTCCCTGTACATGCTGGACAGTGCACCAAGCATTTTATTTTATTTTTCACAATAATACCATGAGGAAGCTACTTTTTATTACTCTTGTTATACAGAGGAGCAAACTGAGGCTTAGGAAGGTGACGTGACTTGCCCCAACTCATCCAATTAGTGAGAACCTAAGTTGGGATTTGAATTTGGCTCTCAATCTCCAAGCAGTCATGTGTCAAAGTGGTTGCCACTGGGTGGGGGATTCTGGAAGTCCTTTCTGTGTCCTCATGCTCTAGATATTTTTTTATTTTTTTCTGTAGTGAGCATACAGAGATTCTATGGCCAGGAGGAAGGTTGGGCTGAGAACAGTGATGATGTAGCCAGACAGTATTGTGTGAGTCAAAGAGGCTGCCTTGAGGTTGGCTCCAGGACCCTGGCTACGAAGCTCGCTGTGCCTGACTTCCTCAAGCCACTTGCCTCCCATTTTTTCTTTAGAGGAAACTTCCACTGCCTCGGATACATAAGGTCATTGCAATCCTGTCTAAAGTCTGGCCTCCAGGGTTTGCAGTAAGATTTCTCTGAAGCAAGGCTGCATCTCTACCCATGAGATTTTGCATCCCCTAGCCTGCCTGTCTCTGCCAGCCGATATAGGGAGGCAGGGGATGGCTCACATCAGTATCCTTGAGTGGACCCCGCTCTGGTGTCTTTATTTTCATCTCTGGGAAAAAGTTATATTTTCCCTGGAGTCAAATGAGGTGGTATTCCAGCCTCCTTGCTTAAATATATCTCAAAGGTTCTGCTGTGTCAGGCATGGTGATTCACGCCTATAATTCCAGCACTTAGGGAGGCCGAGGCAGGAGGATCACTTAAGCCTAGGAGTTCAAGACCAGCCTGGGGAACACAGGGAGACCCTGTCCCTCCAAAAAAAAGAAAAAATAGTCAGATGTGGTGGCATAGGCCTATAGTCCCAGCTACTTGGAAGGCTGAGGCAGGAGGATGCCTGAGCCCAGGAGGTCGAGGCTGCTGTGAGTTGTAATTACACCACTGCACTCCAGCCTGGATGACAAAACAAGACCCCATCTCAAAAAAAAAAAAAAAAAAAAAAAAAAGACCCTGCTGCGTCCCTGATCTGGCAAATTAAAAATATAAAACCTTTCGTTAAACCCCAGAGCCACGAGTTTCCTATAAGCATGATAGTTTTATGATTCAGCTGCACCATTAGTAATCTCCAGTCTTCTTAGCCCCTCCCATCTCTCTGCCACCTCTTTCAATTTTCTTCTTTACTCATTCCTCTCTTCTTTCCTCCTCTCTTTTCCTCTCCATCTCCTCTCATCTCTCGATTCCTCTCTCCATCATCCTCTCTTCCCTCTTCCTCCCTTCCCTCTTCTTTTCTCTCCTCTCTGACTCTTCCATGACTTATCTCCATTTCAACTATGCTTTTTTTAAAAAATTCATTTAAATTTTGGATTATTTTGTGGGAGGCTCTGTTTTGAATTTAGTGCTTATTTTATTTGCTCAAAAAATGAGCAGCCAGCCAACCAAATAGCCATTCTGTGTCTACTTGTGGTCTCTCATGCCATCCAACAGCTCTTACTTGATATAATTGCTAAGCAGTGAGAAAGCTATTGTGCCTACCTCTTCAGTGAGGAGTGAGTGGGAAGTTATGGCTGAACGTGGGCTTTCTCTATGTTGTTTAGGCTTCTCATCTTGACACTACACTAAATCCATGGCTTGAATGGGTCTGCAAAATGAGAGTCTCTAAAAGCCAGACCCATCTTGGCATATCTTGTGATCTCTAAGCGGCAATGGGAGACAGAGAAGACGTGGTAATGACATAGTTTAGCTGAGACTGAAACATAGTTTTGCTTAAAACTGTGCGTGACATTGGCTGGGCACGTTGGCTCACGCCTGTAATTCCAGCACTTTGGGAGGCCAAGACGGGTGGATCATGAGGTTGGGAGTTTGAGACCAGCTTGGCTAACATGGTGAAACCCCATCTCTACTAAAAATAAAATTAGCTGGGTGTGGTGGCACACACCTGTAATCCCAGCTACTCAGGAGGCTGAGGCAGAAGAATTGCTTGACCCAGGAGGTGGAGGCTGCAGTGAGCCAAGATGGTGCCACTGCACTCCAGCCTGGGTGACAGAGCGAGGCTCCGTCTCAAACAAACAAACAAACAAACATGCATACCATTAATGAGACCACTTGTGCATCATTAGTCTGCAATGAGCCAAAAATCCAAATGAACTGGTAGATAGCTGATAGAAGCCTCATGGGCTCGATTTGAGCCCTTGTGTGTCCTAGGGAGAGGTGAATGCCATGGTTCTTAAGAACATGTCTTTGGATTCGAATTCTGGCTCTGAGGACAAGCTATATGACCTCGGATGAGTCATTTAACCTCTCTAAGCCCCAACCTGTTCTTCTGAACAAGAGGCACAATGACAGTTTATGGGGTGGATTAAATGGCATAATGTGTGATGTACCTGGCCTAAGGTTTATGCTTAATAAATATGTGTCATCACTGCAATGTTTTGGGATGTTTTCTCTGTATGTAAAATGGTGCCCATGTCCACCTCCCTGGGCTATTGGGGGATTAACTGAGACACTGCATGACAAAACTCTTTGGAAGTCCAGTGCAAATGAGTGGACTTGTGACCTCTCACATTATTTCTGTTTGTAGGTTCAACTGGCAAGCCAATCATGCTCATTTATAGCGACACGCACTGAAAACTTTTTTCTCACAAGAGGTTATTGAACCAAGATGAGAGGAAATACCAAGGCTCTTTTTGGTGTTTTAATTCCTTCACATCTATTTCTTTCATCACCAGTTAATGAGGACTTAGTACTCACATCAGCAGTAAGAGTAGAAAATGGGCTCATATTGGTGTTCGAATCCTGATGTGTTCTCTTACTGGTTTTAAGATTTGTGCCAGGTTACTAATCAAATCTTAAACCTTAGTTTTCTCACATATAAAGTTGTAATTATAATACCCACTTCGAAGGGTCATTGTAAAAACCACACCTGAATGTACCCACATATATACAGACACAACCACTAAAGAAAATAGATTATGTAATATTTATTCAATGTATTTTACTTGTCTGTTGTTTATAGAGCCCTGCCTCAGTTGGATGAGTTATTTCAGATTTGGAAGTGTCTCGTTCTCTAGCTTGGGAATGCAGCTGAACATTGGGGGCAGCTGTGGCCCTCTTTTTGTTTGTTGCCAACTCGGTCTAAGATCAGCCTGAGTGGACTCAGTCGGAATCTACCATCTCAATACCAGGTGGTTAATTTCTCATTGGTAGAGCCCTCTTTTTACAGGCTTGGGAAGTCTGGCTGATCATCTCGGGTTGTTTAAGCAAGAAAGTTAAGCTATATCCCCCTGATTAGTAGGATTTTCTCCTTTAGATTCCTGTGTTAATCTACAAACTGAGCAGTTTATCCCTGGTAGACATTGGAATACCAGGTGTGGTAGTCATACTGATTATGCATGTGTAGTACTTTCTAGTGGTGCCGTTCTTAGACCACATTTTCAGTTCTTGAGAACAGTGTCATTGTTGGCATTTTTCTCCCAAAGAGCTGGCATAATACTCAAAAGAAACGGGGTCTTATTAAGTGGTTGTTCATTGACTGATAGGAAGAGAACTGTGGGAATATATATTTATGGAAAAACAGTTCCAAGGTATTCATTCACTCATTCAGTCACTAAATACTTATTTATCATCCTCAAAATGTCAACTGTGTGCTAAGTGTTCAGACTGGAGAGAAGAATAAGACCTGCTATGGGGAAGCACTCAGTCTGAGGTGAGGGAAGAGAGGGTGGGAAATAGACTATGGTGCAGCACTGATGTATGTTTTATTTTTGTTTATGAAATGTTGTAGGGATGTAGAGGAAAATGAAACTAGCATCAGTGCTGGACTTTAAAGCGAGGCTAAACCTCCACAGGTGAAGGAGATGGGGAAGACATTCTAGACAGAAGGAAGAGATTTGTAGACATGTCAAGGTGGGACATGGAGGAACAGCAAGATGTTCTGTGTGGCTGGGATGGTACACGTATGTGCGTGCTTGCGTGTGTGCGTGTGTGTGTGAATATGTGCATGCACATATGCATGTGTGTGACTCTGTGCATGCATGTGTATGTGTGTGTAAGGCTGAGCTGGAAATCAAGGCTTGCATTCTATTCTGCTAGGGAGTTTGTATTCACTTATTCAACACATATTTATCAAGCACCTGCTATATGTTGGATGCTGTGGTATTTTGATGTGTGCCTCATAATCACAGTAAAACCTCCACAGGTGAAGGGGATAGGGAAAGACATTCTAGACAGAGGGAAGAGATTTCTAGAGGTGTCAAGGTGGGACATGGAGGAACAGCAAGGTGTTCTGTATGAGGTATTATGAGATAGGTATTATGACCATTACTCTCATTTTACTAATGAGAAAACTGAGGCTCAGAGAGGTGAAGCGACTTGCCCAAGGTAACACAGCATGATGATCCCCATCACTGGGGGCAGAGAGTCCACTGAGAAGAGAAGTTAGGCAGATGGGGCAGAATGCAGCCTAAGGTCACTCAGAGTGTCCTGAACGGGCTTGATGGACATTGACTTTGGCAGCCTCCTCATTTGCTCCAGCCCCACTGACCCTGTCTCCCCTGACAGGGGAGACAACCCCAAGGTCTCCCCTGCTTTGGGGCATTTGCATATGCTTTTCTTTCCACCTGGAATGCTCTTCCCCTCATTCCCTCCCTTGGCTGGCTATTTCTCATCATTATGCATCATCTCCTGAGAAAGGGCTTGCTTCCGCTCCTGTCAATCCCCTCCTGCCTATCTTTGCTGTCAATGTGGATTTCAGCTTCCTTTTTTATTTCCTTTTTCAAAGTCTACCATTGGTAACTGGGGGAATGTATCACAGTTCACTGAGTGGCGAAGAGCTTGGAGTCTGCGGTAGACTGCTGAGGTGAGAATTCTGGCTCCAACACTTACCAGCTGCTGGGATATTGGGCAAGCCCTTCACCTTTCTGGGCGTCATTTTCCTCTGCTATAAAATGGGAACAATAGTAGATTCCCCTCACAGGGCCATCCAGGAGGGATTCCAGGAGGGCAGAGTCTGACACAACATAGATGTTCAATAAATATGTGTTGAATAGAGCCGTCATTGACCAGTCCATTCATTCACTACCTAGGTCTCATGGCTGCCTTAGAGCTGGGAAGGTACAGGCTGCTTAGGGGACCCAGCTGTGGTCTTCCCTCTCCCACCCACCCAGTGACTGCTCTCCAAAGGCTGTGGGCTTGCTTCTGGGGATTCTGCCAGTCACCTGCCCCCTGAAAGGACTTCTGCTGAATTGCAGCCAATTAGGGCTGATTAGATGTTAATGAGTCTGAAGCTGCTTGGTAAGCGGTTTAGCACAAACTTGGAGGTGAGAGGGAGAAGTTTGGGGAAGTGGTGACATCATGCACAGGCTGGAGAAGTGCAAGGGCCTGACCAAGACGTACAGCATCTCAGTTGTCTGTCCAGACTGTCCTGTGGCTCTTTATGTTGGAGCTGGTACAGGTAGGACCCCTGCTAAACCTGGCAGGGGAGTAGCAATGATAATAATGATGATCATAATTATAGTAAAATAATGCTTTTTATTGAGCTCTTAACATGGGCCAAGCACTATGCTTGGTGCTTTATATGTACTTACTTTTATCTTGTCCTTACAACATCATAGGTGGCACCATGATTATTTATCCTCATTTTGCAGCTGAGAATCAGAACAATTAACCTTGTATCGTATAGCTAGTATGACTCTCTTGAATCCAGAGTTCATGTTCTCCTTAGTTTTTCAGAAACTCAATGTGGAAAATTCTAATTCTATATTTATTGCACACACAGCTGCAGCCTGCTGCACTAAACTCCCACCTCGTATTGAAATAATAACGTGCAGAACTCCCTTTTATATTTATTGATCATCTACATTGTGAAAGGTGGTTTTTTATGCAATTGACTTCTGAACATCTTGGAAAAATAATGGAAAAATAATGTAGGTTAGGTATGAGAATTCCCATTCTCCAGATGAAGAAACTGAGCCCAAAGAGTTTCAATGAGCCTCTCAAGTAGCTGGGACTACAGGCACCTGCCCCACGCCCCATGCCCTGCTAATTTTGTATTTTTAGTAGAGATGGGGTTTTACCAGGTTGGCCAGGCTGGTCTTGAACTCCTGACCTCGTCATCCACCCATCTCAGCCTCCCAAAGTGCTGGGATTACAGGCGTGAGCCACTGCACCTGGCCCATCTTTTCATTTCTTTGGTATACTGTTTTTTTCCTTCCAGCTTTATTGAGGTTTAACTGACAAATAAAGTGGTTTGTATTCAAGGTGTACAATGTGATGTTTTGATGAGTGTGTAGACTGTGAAATGATCACCACCATCGAATTAATTAACACATCTTTCACGACTGTTGGTTACCATTTTGGGTGTCTGTGTATGTGGTGTGAGTATAATTAAGATCTAATCGCTTCACAAATTTCAAGTGTATAATATGATATTACTAACTGTAGTCACCATCCTCAGAACTTATTCATTCACCTTATAATGGAGAGTTGGTACCCTTTGGTCAACATATCTACATTATGGCCATTTCTAAGTCAGCCAGGAAGTCAGTGTAAGATGAATCCAGGATCACTCCTTCTGACTCCGGTAGTCCTGAACCCTCGCTGAGCTGACACAGACCTGGCTGCAATCTTAGAAGAAAGCATTTGCCAAACAAATGAGTAGTAAAGAGGCATTGGGGGTACCCGGCAGGGTTGATTTAATCTACTTGAGGGCATACCGTTTTCTAGCCTTGGGTAGATAAATTGTTTATGTACAAGGAATGCTGCTAACTAGAAATGTGTTTTATCTTGTCATTAAAATGGGTCCACAAATTTCTGCTTAGAAATACAATTTTAGCTTCCCTCTTTGAAATGCTTACAGATTAAACATTTCCTCCTTGCTATCCTTGTGACAATATCTTCCATTTATTGTGCCTCTGCTGTATGCCAGACTGTGATAGATGCTTTCCATGCATAATCTAATTCTAATTTTTACAACTTAATAATAGTGATAATTATAAAACAATGATAAACAGTAGCTTTCATGTATCAAATGCTTGTCACATGCCAGACACTGTGTCAAATGTTTATATCTTATTTTATCCTTATACTCGCCACACATGAAGGTACTGTTAGTGTCCTTATTTTACTAATGAAGTGTTAGCAGTGAGGTGACTTCCCTCTTTTTATTAATGGGGCAACTGAGGCACAGATCCTGCAATTTGCTCAAGGTCACAAACTTACGTTGGGATTCAGTTTTTTTTTTTTTTGGAGATCAACACTTCCTTGGACTTATTGGGAAATGGATGATCATTGTTAAAAACACGTTTTCCAAAAAAAATATTTTTTCTTGAGGTTTGGGGGAACTTGGGAGAAAAAGTGGGGTCTGAGCTGCTGGCATGGTCCAAAGTCACTGAAGGCAGGCCACAGCCAGTGCTCAGATTGGGAAGGTGGAGCTGTAACTCTGGGGCATTCTTGCTTATGACAATGAGGATTTCCAAGGTGTCTGCAACTCAGAGATTCTGGGACCTAGAGAATCAGAGCAACCTCGGGTTGGGAGATGAGTTTTCTTTCCTGCTCATCTTCATGGTGAAAGCGGAGCTGGGGTGCACGGTGTGTGGGGAGTGACTGGCAGTGCAGGCATGCCCAGCTGTGAGTGCCGTGGCACCAGGACAATCACCTCCCTGGATAGAGTTTCCCTCGTGCAGCATCAGCAATAGGTGGACCAGAGGTTCACCCCTCTCTCAGCAGAAGTATCATTAGTGTTGACAGCGTGAAATAGCCTCTAGGGTTCTCTCAGCCATCTATAAGAAGGTCAGGCTAGAATTGAGCTGAGAGCCACACCCCCTTAGCACGCAGCTGCTGGACTCCCCTTTCACGTTTTGGTGAACTCTTCTCCAGGGGCTTCTGTCACATCAACTGCAGTGGTATTGCTGCCTCCAGTTTGTGTCTTCTGGTGCTAGCACAGAAACCCCACCTTCTTCTCTTATGTTTCTGGAAAACACCAGCCTCCTCTTACCTTACTGAGATCAGAATTCTTATAACACCCACCACTGTTTCATCTTAGGGTCCTTTTTCACATACAGTCTTATGGTTTTCTATTTGAAATGGCCCACGTGCATCTGCTTTGCCTCCTAAACGAAGCTAAATGTCTTCTGATCACGTCTCCTTTTAATAACTCATCTCTTTAAAAAAGTCATATCATTTGATTCTTCTAAATGTAAAAGTAACTACTCTCATCGTAGAAAATTGGAAAGCCACGTATCAGGGCCAGGACAAGGAAGAAGAGATTAAGAATCCCTCCTTGGATGCAAAATTTAAAAGGGTGCCAAACAATTAAGTTATCAAGGTAAATACCATTTCAGTGCAATATTTTAGAGAATAGAAATTAATGCCAAGAATTCCATGATTAACATAATAATAGAGGATCCAGCAGGGCTGAGACTAAGGTTGGGCAAGTACAGTCGGATCTTGTCTTTATTTAAATTTTGATTTGTTTTGCATCATTTTTTTTGCATTGGTTTTTATTTGTAAAAATATCATATTAAAATATTACTTATCTTGACTGATGAGTCATTTATCACCCTCTTAAATGTTGCACCCAAAGGAAGTGCTTCATTGGCCTTGCTGTACTTGCAGTCCTGGTTATGATGACCAATGTATACTGAGTACTCACAGTGTCTCAGGCTCATTCTTATGCTTTTCTTATGTTATGCTTGTTCTTTTGTACAACCCCCACAACAACTCACAATAGCTGGGAACTGTTACTGTTCATATTTCTCAGAGCACTTAGAGACCCTCAGAGAGTAGTGACTTGCAATTAACATAGCTCGAAATAAGCCGAACAAACCAAGATGCAACCAAGGCTGTTTGGCTCTAGAACATGCACTCAGTCTACTGTAACCTGTGCAGAAATGATTTCCCCTCCTGCCTTCTTTCATGATCCCCAGCCCCCAGGTAGTCTTCTCTGACTGCCGCCCCACCAAGACTCATCAAGTGCCCTATCATGCTGCCATTGTAGCACTTAACAACGTGTAATGATTATCTATTAATCGTGTAATGATTATCTTAATGTGTAATGATTATCTGTTTCTTTGTCTGTATTCCTCATAAGGTTCCTTTTAAAAAAATGGCAGTGTCTCTATGTTCCTATGGTGTTTTTGTGGTCAGAAGATGAGGGGCTTGTAGGCCATTTCACTTGGGGCTTGATCACCTGCTCATTGTCGGCTCTGGACTCAAACTCATTTGCCCCAGTAGCAGCATGCTCTTCAGAGGACAGAAAGAGGCCCATAGGCTCTGATCCCTTAGTTGGTAAACAATCATTTCTCTAGATCTGTGTTCATCCATCATGGCCCATTAAGCAGCAGTGGCCTGGGGCCATTTTCCAGTGTGACTGATGATATTTGAAGATTTGGCAGAGGAGGTGTAGGAGGCTTGTCTTCTGTGCCAGCTCCATCCTGCTGCTCATGTGAGTGATGATAGTGGGGTTGGGGTGGCTCTGGTCTGCACTGATTGGAAGTATGAGGGGTAGTGGGATGGTGCCCTTGTGCGAGTCCAGGCCGGGAGGCCCAGAGAGCAGGTAAGAGAGATGTGAGCTCACTTTGCCCTAATGTGGAGAAGCAGTGCATGAATAATCACCCAGTGGGGGAGAGAAACTATTGCAAAAACACAACTACAATAAATTCTTCGTCTCTCCGTTGTTATCCATTTATCCTATGGACAATTACTAGGCACCCACCAGGTGTGGGATGCTATGCCAGATAGGAGGCACAGGGCTCCCTGCCCTCACAAAGCTCATGATTTAATGCTACCCTTTGCATTGTCCACTGAGATGGGTCTGTGGTTGGCAAGAGGCTGCAGCCCCTTAGCAATACTAGATGCAGTGAATCTGTGGGGCAATAGTCCTTCTTTTCTTTCCCATGCATGTGTGGAAATCCAGTGTGTATGAAGTGGAGATCTGACCCCATCTTGTTTGAGCTGTGTGCTGATTGTTGGATGGGGTGACAGATGAAACATGTACCATGAGAAGTCCACAGGCTACATGGGAAACCAAACAACGCTCAGGTATCCAAAGTGTCTTTCCTGACTGTCCCCCACTCCACTGCACCATTGCAGGCTGAATTAGGGGGCCTCTTCTCTGCGCCTCTTACATTACCCTGGGTTTCCCGTGCTCAGGCCATGCCTACCACTTTTTTTTTTTTTTTTTTTTTTTTTGAGATGGAGTTTCACTCTTGTCACCCAGGCTGGAGTGCAATGGCATGATCTTGGCTCACTGCAACCTCCACCTCCTGGGTTCAAGCAATTCTCCTGTCTCAGCCTCCTGAGTAGCTGAGATTACAGGCACTTGCCATCACACCCAACCAATTTTTGTATTTTTAGTAGAGACGGGGTTTTATCATGTTGGCCAGGCTGACCTCAGGTGATCCTCCCACCTCGACCTCCCAAAGAGCTGGGATTACAGTGTGAGCCACTATGCCCAGCTACCCTACCACATGGTTTAATGAGGTTCTGTGTGGCTGTCCATTTCCCACACTGATGGTGAATTGCCTCATTGCAGGGGCTGAGTTGTTGCACCTCCCTGTCCCCTGCAGTTGCCATCACCTCGTAAATAGTATGTTCCCAATAAATGTTTGCTGGGGGAATGCAGCCAATGGGTGATGAAGCAGGTGAAAATGCTTAGAAGAAAGCTTACACTGCAATGTTATATACATGCAAATGAATCTAGTGCAAACTGCCTATCTTGCAAAATGATTTTCCAAATGTAAGTATGTTCAGAAATTTAAAGCGCATTCGGAATCAGGGAGTCTTTTTTTGAAAAAAATATTTTTGTTATTATTTTGCCTGAGTGAACTAGTTGTTGTGTCACTGAGTTAAAATAAGTCACCTGGAAGTAGGTCTCCAAAGGTAGGCCACAGGTCTCTGTACTTAGATCTGTTTTATAGACATTGTGGATCTTTCAAGTCTTTTTCTTCCTCTCTATTCTTTCCTCCTACCCTTAGTAAGATTCTAGTTATTTCTTTTTTTTCTTTTCCTTTCCTTTCTTTTTCTTTTTTTTTTTCTTTTTTTTTTTTTTTTTTTGAGATGAAGTCTTGCTCTGTTGCCCAGGCTGGAGTGCGGTGGTGCGATCTCAGCTCACTGCGACCTCCGCCTCCCGGTTCAAGTGATTCTTCTGCCTCAGCCTCCCGAGTAGCTGGGATTATAGGCATGTGCCACCATGCCCAGCTAATTTTTGTACTTTTAGTAGAGATGAGATTTCACTATGTTGGCCAGGCTGGTCCCGAACTCCTGATCTCAGGTAATCTGCCCACCTTGGCCTCCCAAAGTGCTGGGATTACAGGCATGAGCCACCACACCTGTCCAGTTATTTCTTATTTAAATGATTATAACAACCTTCTAATGTCCTCCTGCTTTTCTATTCACTCATCCTCCTGTAGATGCTAAATTTTTTTTTCTGAAATATAAATGTCATGTTCCTATTAATAACCCATTACTTGTTGATAAAGTCCATATTGCTTAACTCACTGCATAAGTCTCTTTGTTCATGGCCTTCTAGGCTTGTCTCTCTCCACTCTGACCTATGTTTAAATGACTTAAAACGGTTGTCACTTCTTGAGACACCCTCATTTCTTGGTAATGAGTTTCCCTTTGTCTGGGACTCCTGTGCCATCCTCATCTCGTTAACTCCTACTTACACCACAGAACCCAACTTTCTTTATAATGGCATTCAACACTTGGTTTCAGAGTGGTCCATTTATGCCTCTGTCTGTCCTGCTAGACTGAGTAATCTAAGGGTGGGGCTCATGCTTTGTTTACCTATTTATCTTCAGCTACCCTCTGAGCCTGGCTCATAGTAGCCACTCAAGACATGTTTGTAGAATGAATGAAGACCCGAGTTTTCTAAGAAATGTGTACATTTATAAGGCCAGGAGAAAAGAACATATAGTGGCCAATGAAATCAAGCTTCAAATATGGTTTACTAAACTAGAATGCAGGGTAAAGTTGTCAAGGTATCCTTTAAGAGACATACATACTGGTCTTGCATTTAGGTTATAAAATTTATTCTACAAGTGCCAGGTTGAGAAGGGGAAGGTATCCAGCCATATGAAAATGACCAAAAACTGGAGTTTTCATTTGTTCTGATAATAAAGCAGAATATTGACAAGTCAGACTCCCCTACACATTCACTCACAACTCACCACCTACCCATTTATTAGCTGGGCTAGGCTATACAGGCTTGCACTCTGCTCTCACAGAGCTTATCAATCTAGACGGGGACACAGGCATCAAATAACGAAGTCACAGTAACTGTGTGTAATTACAGACAGAGCTGAATGTTCTAAAGGAAAATATCATTCAACAGAGGAGCTTGACCCAGACTGGTAGCTGGTCTGAGACGGCTTCGTTGAGGAAGTGACGCTTGAGCAAGAGATTACAGGCATGAGTAGAAGCTGAATCAATAGCTGGATTTCTAGGAAGAGGAAGGAGGCCAGAGAGAGAGGTGTGGGTCAAACCACTTTAAGCAATTTTTCTCTTCACCAAAGAAAATCTCTTTGCCTGGAAAAAGATTGAATAATTTTAAGGAGAGTTTAGATGATTTGTAGTTAAAAAGAAACACTTCAGTGGTCATGGTTTCGCTGTCCTTGCTCCTGACCCAGGAGGATGCTGGTTGGTACCAATCTTTGCGTTTTAGAAGGGTCAGACAGAATGAGCACAGAGAGAAGAGCTATGATTCCAGGAAGGTCTCAGGAAGAAAGGCAGAGGGCATGAGAGAGCAGTCTTCAAACATACGAAGGGCTGTCCTGTGGAGGAGAAACAAGAGCCACTAGTTACTGTCCCGCAGGGAAGAGTAGGACCTGTGGGCAAAAGCTATAAGGGAGAGAGAAATTAGCTGTGCTTGAGAGCAGACCCTTTGAAATATTAAAGCTCTCACTTATTGGGATGATGATTAGGAAGGCAGTCAGCTGCCATCATGTGGATGCTTAAGGCTGGATGGCCATTCTTCAGGATAAAGCAAGGGGAAGGCTTTCGTGGGAGAGGAACAGAGGAAAAAGGGCAGCCTATGGGCTGAATCCAGCCCATAGATACACCCTGGACCTCAGAGGCTGTAAAAATCCAATGAGTATTCACGAAAATATCTAGGGATGGATCTCTTTTTAAAATCCAGATTTTTGAAACTTTTATTTTAGGTTTGGGGGTACATGCGAAGGTTTGTTACATAGGTAAACACGTGTCACTGGGGTTTGTTGTACAGATTATTTCCTCTCCCAGGTATTAATCTCAGTACTCAAAAGTTATCTTTTCTGCTCCTCTACCGCCTCCCACCCAAGAACTGGTAAATTGGGCCAGCTTTCTAGAACTGCAACAATTGTTTGCAGTTGATACATGGTGTATTAGTTGCCTATTGCTGAAATAAATTACCGCAAACTTACTGGCTTAAAATAATACAAATTTATTATCCTACAGTTCTGCAGGTCAGAAAGCTGAAATGGGTCTCATGGAGCTAAAATCAAGGTGTTAGTAGGGCTGAACTCTTTCTGGAGGCTCTAGGGGAAGAAGCTGCTTTTTCCTTGCCTGATTTCCTTGGCTCAAGGCCCCTTCCTCATCTTCCAAGGCAGCACCAGGGCATCTTCAAATATCTTTCTCAGACTCTACTTTCAAATGTCCTTTCTCCCCATCTCAAGATCTTTACCTTAATCACATCTGCAAAGTCCCTTTTGCCATGTAAGGTAACATATTCACAGGTTCCAGGGATTAGGACATGGACACCTTTGGGGGCCATTGTTCTGCCTGTCCCACATGGCCACCCTTTTAGAATCGATTGAACAAGGTTTACATTATTTTCTTTACCTGCTTCTCCATGCTAGATGTTGCATTTGTGATTCTTGAGTTAAAGGGCTGGTCTGGATAACCATTTTTCCTGTGGTTATCCTATAATTAGAAATGAAATTTAGCATATGAGGGTTAAATGCATTAATACAACCCTTTGAGGGGCTGGAGATCAGGTATAAAAGGTGTGAGAAGGAACTTTAAGTTCTTTAAAAGTGATGCTTTTATTGTTTGCAGGATGTCACATAATCAGTTCAATTCAACATTGAATCTGTGCTCTGTTCTGTACAGGATTAAAGAATATGTAAGACAAAGCATAACACATTAAAAACTTTTTCCATTTCGCTCCCACTCAAGAAAACATTTCAGATTGTAAATGAGTAAGAATGATGTTATTATAGAAATGACCTTGAATGTGCTGTAGCTTACAAAAAAAGCCAAAATCATTTCCAAGTATCACTGATTGGACTGGGATCCTAACTAATTAGTGCATCACACCTCACAGCTGCTCATGATCCATTAGTTTTGAGGACCTCTTATCTATGCTATGGTCTCCAGCCTCCAGAAAAGCTTTTGTCTGTCTGCAGAGACAAGAGTTATAGGGTGAAACTATGAGCAGCTTGGTGTAGCATGTGATTAAGTACTTACATGTGTGGTACAGACACTAGGTGCTCAGGGGTTTGGACAGGCATCATGGTGAACCAGCCCTGAACGATGCTTGGTGAACGTCATCCCGCCACAAAGCAGATTCCCACTTTCTGATTCTGCAGTAGGGCAGCAGGTAGATGAAACCAACACTGGGTAACTTAGATTAAAAAAAAATAATTAATTAGCATGTTTCAAGGGTGCTCTGCAAAAAGCGTGCATCTGCAATGAATAAGGAGAGCCTCTCTAGGGATCCATGAAGGAGGATCTGACAGGCAGTTACTTCAGCACACAGCAGTCAGTGAATCGGCCCTGACCTTGTGTTTTTCCTCCTGTGTTGGAAATGTTTGGAGAATGAGTGGTTGATTTGGGTCCCGCCTTGGCCCTGGGAGAGTAGACACGTAGACTGATGGACCCACCAAGGCAAAAGGAAATAGAATATTGCTACTTA
Organism: Homo sapiens; assembly: GCF_000001405.40. Classification (NCBI taxonomy): domain Eukaryota; kingdom Metazoa; phylum Chordata; class Mammalia; order Primates; family Hominidae; genus Homo; species Homo sapiens. Next base: position 10,011,408 of record NC_000016.10, on the reverse strand, counting down.
CAGAAGAATGGTTGGATGCTGATGTCAGTTGTAACTTTTTACTTGCAATGTCTTAAGAGTCACAACTCAGGCAATCCCACAGGTACCTTAGCACCTTACTAAATATTCAGGGGTGAACTTGTCTCCACTTATCTCCAAATCTAGAATTCTTTCTAATGTAAACACCTGGGAAGATAATCTTAGCATTAAAAACTTAGTTTAACATACATCTGTAATTACTGATAAGAGCCATCTTCAAAATGCAGGCACAACTATTACCGTGTAATTTCAAACTGATTCATAAATAAGAAAGAGTGGGGAAGGTAGATAAGTATTCTTCCCAGTTGTTTGTGGGGTTACTGATGCTAAAGAAGAGTCTGGCATTGGTGGCTGGGAACTTTGGATGTCACCATGAAAAGTTGGACTGGGATATAGAACAAATGTTACAGGAATAACCCAGCAAGCCTGAACGTTTAGCACATGGGGACACCATGTTCCACAACTTCAGGTGAAGGGTGGGGTGGAGGACTATGCTCACAGGATATAATATGATTGCTGCCCCCTGGAGTTGTGCAGCATAGCAGTCCTGGTGAAGAGACCAGTGCAGTATAAATACATGGCCTCCCTGGAGAGACAAGGTAAGAATTCTGGAGGAGCAAGGGGAGATATTCCTTTTTCAGCACGTACCTGGGGGTGGAGGCATGAACCTTCAGTAGCCTCTCCTCTCCTCCTCTCTGAGCTGAGTCCTAGTCATCACTTGTTAATGCTGCAAATCCATAGTATTCACAGTGCAATAATAACGGTGGGAAGCATTTATGAACCTATGAAGTACCTATAAAGTACTATGAAGTATATTAAACAGTTCCTATACATGATCTTATTTAATTTTACAACATTTTTACAGGTAGGTACTATTGCTAATGCTCTCCAGGTTCCAAATGTTATCCTTTTAAAACTTTTATATTAAGTTCGAGGGTTCATGTGCAAGTTTGTTATACAGGTAAACTGATATCCCAAGGGTTTGTAGTAAAGATTATTTCAGCGCCCAGGTATTAAGCCTAGTACCCATTAGTTATTTTTCCTGTCTGTGGAATAAGGTTCTCTTGAAAACTCTGGAGGACTAAGAAAAATAAGGCTGTGGAAACTCACCTAGGTGAGGATTCTTCTTGTATTAGTGTACAAAGTAAAAGCTAGATATATGTGCTGAAATGAACAGCTTGATAATAATAAAATAAGGAAAGAACCAGGTAGGCCTTGCTGTTCTCTACCCTTATCAGAAAGGAGAAAGGAACTGAGATGTTCATCTATGTGCCTGAGGGCACAGTACTAGGGAGTAGAAAGCAGGAATTCAAACAGAATTCACAGTCGTGCTTGTTTCTTTGGGCCTTGCTCCTCACTCGTAGAGTAGAGGGGACTGTGCTTTGGTCTG